>NW_011332701.1:3817307-4501706 GCF_000001405.40 Homo sapiens
CAGGACCACAGGTATATGCCACCATGCCCAGCTAATTTTTAGAAGATTTTTGTAGAGACAGAGGTCTTGCTATGTTGTTCAGGCTGGTCTTGAACTCTTGTCCTCAAGCGATCCTCCTGGCTTGGCCTCCCAAAGTGTTGGGATTACAGGTATGAGCTACTGTGTCTAGCCCTAGAAAAGTTTTCATTACAGGGCTAATTATTCCCAATTACTGAGGCAAGATCCTTCTAGGTATTATATTCAGTGCTTGTCCAGCCTGGCTGGTGAGCACAGGCACTTTCCATGGCTCTGTATCAGCCCCAGGCACTGTTTCCTCTAATCCTCTCAGGTGGTTCTCTCCCCAGCTGCACACAGCTTCCTCACACACAGGCACTGATCGGCACTTGGCTGAGTGGCAGAGGCAAACCCTCTGTGAATCGCTGCAGTTCTCTCTGTGTAGCTGTCTCCGCTCTCAGGCTCTGACCTGTGGACTCCAGCCTCCTGGACTCCTGGGACTCTAAGCTCTGTCTCCTTCCACTGTGGAGTCAGGCAAGCTTCCTCTGGGTTCCCCCTCCCTGTACCACGGATTAGAAACTTTCTCAAGGCAGTGAGCTGGGCAATTACAGGACTAACCTTGTTTGTTTCCAATCTCTTGGGGACTACTGTCCTTTACTGTCTAATGTTCAGTGTCTTGTTTATCATATTTGTCTTTTTCTTTTTCAGGCAGGAGGGCACACCCACATTCTGATACTTCATCTTGGCTGGAAGTGGAAGTTTCCTGGTGCTGTCTGTTTTAAAACTTTTTATTATGGAAACATTCGTACATCACTTATAATAAACCTGTTTGCATCTACTATCCAGGTTTAATCAAAATCAACTCATGGATAATATTGTTTCATCTCCTCTCCCACCCATTCGCCTGTCCCCAGAAAACCCCTGCATGATATTACTTCATCCATCCACGTCAGTATGTATCTTATTTTTCTTAGCACTATCATAATAAAAATATCATATCTAAAAGTAGTTATTCTTTAATATCAAATATCCAGTAAATGTTAAGTGCTCACATTTCCCAGATTGTCTTATAATTTTTCTTTTTTAGTTTGTTGGAATCAGTATTCAAATAATGTGCATACATTATCACTGTTTGACAGATCTCTTAAGCCTTTTTTAATCTACAGCACAGGTTGGCAAACTACTGCCCATAGGCTGGCTGGCTGCCTGTTTTATAAATAAAAGTTTTGTTAGAACACAGCTGCCTATAGATTGCTTTAGGCAGGAAGGACCTTGAAGGCAGGGCCTACTCTTCTTTCTTCCTGGGTCTCCCACACTCAGCCCAGAGGCCCTCAACGCCTGCTTGGAGATTGGAAACATGAAGGTTTGGCTTAAGTGGGAGTTCTTAATATGCAGCAGCCTCCTCTTTCCTGCCTAATCAAAGAAAATAGTTTAAATTGATTTCAGTTCGCACAGCCAATTTTTTATCTTAAAAAGTGTTTAACGACATGACTCTGAATCTGAGGGCTTCTGGTTGTTTTTTTGCTCCTTCCCTCTTCAGCTTACGCCCACATTACTGAGTGCCCACTCAGGACAGCTCATCCACAGGGCTGGGGCTCTCAGCCATGTGAAAGGGAATGGCATGGAATTCCTGGACCTCAGGGAGCCCTGGAGTGGTGGGCACATAAGTGAAGCAAAGTGAAAGGACACAAAGTGGTGGGGGGCACGGGGGAATGGGGAGGCTTTATCCATGCACAGACACCAAGAAAGACGCTGGGATGAATACGGCTGGCTTTCCAGAGAGGAAGTGTCTTTCTTTCTCTCTTTCTCTCTCTCTCTTCCTTTCCTTTCCCTTTCTTTCCTTCTTTCTTTTTCTTTCTTTTTTGTTTTTTTTTTTTGAGACAGAGTCTCACTCTGTTGCCCAGGCTGGAGTACAATGGTGTGATCTTGGCTCACTGCAACCTCTGCCTCCTGGGTTCAAGCAATTCTCCTGCCTCAGCCTCTTGAGTAGCTGGGATTACAGGTATACACCACCACACCCGGCTAATTTTTGTATTTTTAGTAGAGACAGGGTTTCACCATGTTGGTCAGGCTGGCCTCGAACTCCTGACCTCGTGATCTGCCCGCCTTGGCCTCCCGAAGTGCTGGGATTACAGGCGTGAGCCACCAAGCCTGGCCAAAGTGTTTAATTTTAAGCAGCCACAATGGCACAGACTTCTGAGTAAAACCAACAAAATAGGCCAGTGATGGTACCTGGGGGTTACAAGCTTCCCCAATAGGAAGGAAATAAGATCTACTTAATTGATCAGCGTGACACAAGGAAACTCACTGCAAATGGTCTTAATGGGTCTGTTTAAGAGTATTTAAATACACTCATCTCTCTAAAGGAAGAATGTGTCTTCCTGAATGAGGCCAGGCGAGAGGGAGTATCTTAGAATTCTGATCTGGAGATGTTTATTTTTATTTTTTTTGACATTTTTTCCCCAAATACGTCTGGTCTAACGGCAGAGCTCTCTCTAGTGGGAACGGGACACTTGGAAGGGCAGCCAACGGTTTCCTTTCAGTATTTCTAGACCCACTGATGGTCCCAGCCCCGGCCAAGGGCCATCACACCTTGTGGTCGAGTGTTAACTCCTGCTTAGGATTCATGGTCCCTAGACCACCTTTTTGTTCCCATTCAAGGGTGTGGGATTTGCCCATGGCAGTCCTCTAATCGCACACACTTGAAAACGCCAGAGCCGTGAATTCTGCTAAATCAGTGGCATGTGCTCAAGACTGGGCAAATCCAGCTTGATAAGCATGTGATGAATTATAAAATAAGGCACAACCAAACACAAGCTGCAGCAGAAGTCCACAAAGTTCCACAGGAGGGCAAGGAATTATCAGTGAATCCTTACCTCGTCATAGAAACTTCTTCCTCCAGACATCCACGTGGCTTGCTTTCTCACTTCCTCAAATCTTTGCTCAGATCCTATTTTTTTTAAGTGAAGCCTTCCTTGACAACCCTAATTTAAAACTGTACACACTCATACCTGCTTCCTTCTCCCCGACTTAGTTATCTCCACAGCACTAATGGCTAACACACTATATAACTTATTTCCATCTGTCTCCATGTGGGCAATTTCTGTCTGGCTGCTCATCACTGCACCTCAGCAGCTATTAATAGATCACTCTACTGAGGGACTCATACGTGCTGGGTGTTGGGCAAACAGTGAACAAAACCTTGTATGGTCCTTGCTGTCGGGGAGTTCATGATCCATCGTGGAGGGAGAGCTGAATTTCAACAGGGAGGCAGTGTGTGCAGGGGGAGGAGCAGCAGGAGCAATGGGCGGAGGCAGAAGCACAGAGGTGGGTGTCAAGTCAGGGAAAGGGATGGTGAAGAGATGCCTCAGGTAATGAGGGGAGGGACGGAATAGGACTAGATGCTGAAGGGCTGGAGTACCAGGTGGAGAAGTTTATTTTGCAGGTAATGGGGACGGAGTATGAAAAATTGGAGGAAATGGAGTTACCTGACTTGAATTTGTTTGGGAGAACCACTTCAGGGACATGCAAGGGACTGATATGAAGATGAGATGGAGCAGAGACCCCTCTTAGGGGCCTGCCGGGCACCTGCCCCCAAGCATGGAAATAAAAGGAAATCTTGAGTTCCTTCAAAGGCATTTCCAGGTACCTAGCCAGCACTGGGAAGTAAATGAGCAACTGAAGCAAGAAGGGAAGAATAACTTAAAACAATAGCCAGGGAAGTTTAAGTCACAGAATAGATCAAAGTTCCCACAGAGACTAAAGATAACATTTTAACACAAGTCCTTGAGCTGATTTCCAGAAACCAGGACACCAACAAATGAAAAGTGCTATCTGCTGGCATGCAGACCTCAGACAGGGGAAACTGAGGACTGAGCTTGGACCACCACTCTTTGTTCTAAATTTCTTCCTGAGGGGCCTGGAGGAAGTCATGCCCAGAGACCAGAGCTAACGTTCTTTTCTCCTGATCACAAATTTGCAGACAAAGCTTCGTCTCCTTAACCCATTGTAAATCAGAAAATCTTCAAATCTACCTATGACCTATGCCCTCCACCCCACATCTGGTTCAAGATGTCCTGTCTTTTTAGGTCAAACCAATGTACAGCCTCCGTGTATTGATTTATATCTTTGCCTGTAACTTCTGCCCCCTGCCTTTATTTTATTATTATTATGTTTTCAAGATGGAGTCTCGCTCTGTCTCCAGGCTGGAGTGTAATGGTGCGATCTCAGCTCACTACAACCTCCGCCTCCTGGGTTTAAGCGATTCTCCTGCCTCAGCCTTCTGAGTAGCTGGGATTACAGGTGTATGCCACCACACCCAGCTAATTTTTGTATTTGTAGGAGAGACAGGGTTTCACCATGTTAGCCAGGCTGGTCTCGAACTCCTGACCTCAGGTGATCCACCAGCCTAGGCCTCCCAAAGTGCTAGGATTACAGGCATGAGCCACCACGCCCAGCCTCTTCCTGCCTGTAAAAACGCTTACCTATATGGCACTGGGGGATTCAGGGCTTAAACATGAGCTGCCCAATTCTCCTGGCTTCCTGCCCTGAAATAAATGTCTCACTTTCTCTTACTGCAGTCTTGACGCCAGTTTTTGGCTTTGCTGTGCCAGAGAGCCAGACCCAACTTTGATCTGGTAACACAGGAAGCAGGTGAACAGGCAAGGCCACCCTCTTCTGTTTGGAGGCAGGTCAGTGTTCACTTGCCTCAGTTTACCAAGGTTGTGATCAGCCTCTGCTCCTCCTTTCTCTTATTGGCCTCCCTCTGCTGTACTGTGATTCCCATCATTGCAGTGTTTTTTTAACTTTTTTTTTGAAATAAATAAAAATACAAGAAGTTACAAATGAGGACCATGTACCTTCCGCTCAGCTTTTGCCACCATGAGGATTTATTTCCCTTTAGACATCTCCCCTCTAAATTCCTACATTACTGACATCCTCCCAATACACATCTTTCTGAGGACTTACAACAAAAATATTTCATTCTTTGAAACACTGGGTTTAGAGAAATCTTCACCCAAATAACTTTGACACCTTAAATAATCCATCATACACAATGGAACCACAGTCCTCTTACCTGTGAAAGCCAAAGGCAGGACCCAGCAGTGGGTGAGGTGAGTGAGCACTCACCACTGCCACCCTCTGTCCCACTGGGTGCAGCCGGGACCCCTGGACAGCGTGCAGGCAGCAGCGACCGGGCTCAGGAAGGTGGATCACAGTTGGAGGTGCTGATGCAGAAAGGAGACCACAGTTGGAAGTGCCACAGAGTTGGAGGTGAGCGAGACACTTCCCTTCCTCCAGTCTCCCCAGTGTGGAGTCAATGCAGCTCCTAACCCAGAGTGGGCACTAATTCCAGGAAAAGCCCAGCCAACTCGGGTACAGAAGCAGGAAAGGGGTCTCTACCGTTCTAAGAAAGTCTGGAAATCTCTAATTTATCCTTTTTTTTTTTCTTTTTCTTCTAAAATTTTTTCTTCTCTGTGCCCCAGACCTCAAGAAATTTTGTGGCCCTAGTGAGAAATGGCAGATAATTAAAGTCATCAGGCCAGGCAAACTTCCTTTCCAACCAGAGAGTCTGAGGTCCCCAGAGGGTGGGGAAACCTTCATGCTTTTTCTCTCTGGCTTCTCGCTGCTTAGCTCTGACGTGGTTCAGTCAAGTGCACCAGAGAGTAGGGTAAATCAAGCCTCAACCACCCAAGCTGGCTGGAGGGCTGAAAAGGTAGAGCCCAGGGACCCAGACACTACTGGGCAGGTTACAATGAGGAAGGGCTTCGGGAGAGCAACCCCTGAAAGTTGCTCATGAACTCTTGGGCTTACCCTTGAGCTCTACATGTATGGATCCGACCCTACACGGACCACACAGACTTTGAGTGCTGAAATGTGGGATAGATTACCACCAGAGTCCCAGGCTGGCCACTAGGTGGCGCTTGTGCCAGACAGATCCACATCTCACAGACTCACAGCAACCACAATCCACACAAGTCTTGCAGGAACTTGGAATTTGTGGTCTGAACCCATTTGGGGTGATTATCTTCTAAAATAAAGTTAATAATGTTCACTGTAAGATTTTAACAATAACCAGAATCTCAAAACATAGTATTTAAAATGTCTAGGATACAATTCAGCATACTGAAACCATACTCAGCATACAAAAAGCCAACAGCTACTCTGAGATGAAACAGATACTGGAATTATTTGACAAAGATTTTCAAGCAGTTGTTAAAAATATTGTACAAGTAAAGGAGGGTACTCTTAAAACATATAGAAAATTTTGCAAAGAAATGGAAGATATGAAGAAGAACTAAGTGGAAATATTAGAAATGAAAAAAATCAACTACAAAAATAGAAAACACACTGGCTGGGCTCACTACTGGGATGAAGATGATGGAGGAAGTAGTCAGTCAGTTCATAAATAAATTAATAGAAATGACTGAATCTGAATAACAGACAAAGCTTGAAAACCTTGAACAGAACCATAGAGACCTTAGGTAATAACAAAAGGGCCGAGCTTCCTATCATCTGAGTCCCAGAAGGAAAGAAAAAAAGGGCAGAACATAGAAACATGGAAAGAAATAGCTGAAAGTCTGGTTTACCACTAGAAGGCAATCAGTTTAATCTAGTATAGCAACAGTTTAAAGCAAAAAACCCACTTGATCTTCATTTTAAAAATTCAGTATCTATTTATTATAAAACGCTCAGCAAACTTGGAATAGAAAGAAATTTTCTTCACCTGATAAAGACCATCTACTAAAACCTATAGCCAACATTCTACTTAATGGTGAAATACTGCTTGTTCTCAGAGATTAAGAACAACACAAGGATCTTCTTTTTTAACACCACTATTTAACCTTTTGAATAGTCTTCGTCAGTGAAATAAGACAAGAAAACCAGAAAGGCCTAGAGACTGGAAAGGAAGAAATAAAACTGTCCTTACTCACAGATAACATGATCACCTATGTAGAAAATCCCAAGGAACACACACACACACACACACACACACACACACACACACACACAGCCCTCCTAGAACAAACTGAGTTTAGCTTTAGCAAGATTGCAGGATGCAAGATCAACACACAAAAATCAGTTATATTTCTGTATATTGCCAATGAACAAGTAGAAACTGAAATAAAAAATACCATGTACAATAGTTTACAACCCCGCCCCCCAATACACATAGAACAAAACATGTATAGGATCTACATGCCAAAAACCATAAAATGTTGACGAAAGAACTTAATGGAGGCCCAAGCAAATGGAAATTATGGCACTCCTTCATGGACTGAAAGACATAACATAGGATTGAGTTGTAGATTTACTAAAATTGTAGACAAAATCTCAGCAAAACAGTTTAGAGTAGATAGAGGTAAGCAGATCCTAAAGTTCACATAGAAAGGCAAAAAAAAAAAAAAAAAGAATAGCTGAAACACTCCTGAAAAAGAAGAATAAATTTAGAAAAATCACACTATCTGATTTTAAGACTCATTACAAAGCTACAGAAATCAATATGGCACAATGTTGATAAAAGAACAGACATAATGATCAATGGAACAGAACCACTGTCCAGAAATATATTCCTTACAAATACCCTCAGTTGGCTTTTCGTCAAATTGCAAAGGCAATTCAATTTCAATGAAAGAAGGAGGATATTTTCTATAAATGATGTTGAAACAATTGGATATCCGTATGCATAAAACTGAATCTGGACCTAAATCTCACATATTATACAAAAATCATCTCAAATGGATCATAGATCTAAATGTAAAACATGAAAGTATAAAACTTTTAAAAGACCAACTACAAGAAAATCTTCATGACCTGGAGTTATGCAAAATTTCTCAGATATGTCACTCAAAGCATGATCCTCAGAAAAAAGTCAGTTGGAACGCATCAGAATTTAAAACTGTGCCCTGTAAAAGGCCCTGTTAAGAGACTGAAAAGTCAAGCACAGATTGGGAGAAGATATTCACAAATCACAAATCTGAACAAAAGATTTATATTCAGAATATGTAAAGAACTCTTAAAACTCAATCAAACAACTCAATTTAGACATAGGCAAAAAGCCTGAACAGACATTTCACGAAAGAGAATAAAAAGATGGAAAATAAACAGCATGAAAATTTTCAACGTCATTAATTATTAGGAAAATGAAAATTAAAACCATGAAGAAATACCATCACACAGCTATCAAATGGTTAAAATGAAAAAACAAAAAAGGAAGAAATACCAAGTGTTGACAAGGATGTGGGGCAGCTGGAGCTCTCAGGCACTGCTGGTAGGAATGCAAAGTGGTACAGAACTCTGGAAAACAGGTTGGCAGTTTCTTACAAGGTTAACATGTATTTAGCCTAGAAAAATTAAAACTAGGCCAGGCACAGTGGCTCACACCTATAATCCCAGCCCTTTGGGAGGCTGAGGCGGGCAGATCACGAGGTCAGGAGCTCAAGACCAGCCTGGCCAATATGTTGAAATCCCGTCTCTACTAAAAATACAAAAATTAGCTGGGCATGGTGATGCGCGGCTGTAATCACAGCTACTCAGGAGGCTGAGGCAGGAAAATTGCTTGAACTGGGACCCAGGAGGCGGAGGTTGCAATGAGCCGAGATAGCGCCACTGCACTCCAGCCTGGGCTAGAGTGAGACTCTGTGTCACCAAAAAAAAAAAAGAAAAAACAAAGAAAAATTAAAACTATATTCACAAAATCCTGTTCTTAAATGTTTCTAGAAGCTCTAGTTGTAACTGCCAAAAATGGAAAACAACTGAAATGCCCCTGGACAGATGAGTGGAGAAATTCTGGAGTACCTGCAGAATGGAATACTACTCAGCAACAAAAAGGAACCGGCTACTGACACATGACTTGATGAGTCTCAAAATGATCTCCCTGCATGAAAAGGAGCCAGTTTCAGAAGATTAGGCTCTGTAGGACATTTATCTGACATTCTTGCAAAGAGACAAAACTAGTGATAGAAAACAGAGCACTGACTGCCAGTGGTTGGGGTAGGGGAGGGTCTGATTATAAAAGACATCAGGACAGAGAATCTGGAGGGGATGAAGTGCTTCTGTGTCCTGAATGTGGTAGTAATAACACAAATCCATACATGTGTTAAAGTTCATAGAACTAGACACAAAAAACTCAATTTTTCTGTATCTTAATGTGAAAAATATAAGTAAAAAAAATAAAGAAAAGAGATGACAACTCTTGCTTCCTATAAGGCTGTCTAGACATTAATACTGATGTTAGTACTAATTACAATAATGGCCACCACAAGCATGGTCTTCTATACTTTTTTGAGCATCTGCTACATGCTGCTTCTTTACCACACATTTTATATCACAACTTCTAATATTCACAGTCACCTTGTAAGGTGGGTTAAGCTCAACATAGAAGAAATCTCAGGGTAAGGGAAGTAAAATAATTTGTCCTATATCTCATAGTTGATAAGTGGCTGAATCTGAACTCAAACTCGGATTTCACTGCCGACCTTATTCCAAGCCTGCTTCTCCACTCTGCTGCCCACTTAATGAAAATAATGGAAACTGACAGGGAGACATTATATAATATAAATAGCAGGAAGGGAGAATCATATTTTGATTTCCATAGATTGCAAAAACTCTCAGCATATTTTATTCTAAACTTGGAGTTGGTTTGAAATTCTAATAGGTTGGGGAAAATTTAAAAACTATGCTTTTGCCATTGCCATTTTTTGATAATCCTCCAGTAGGTGGTTCTTAATTTTCAATATGATTGAATAGTTCTCTCCACTTCTGCAAATGTACAATAATTCTTATTTTCCCTAAGTGACTTAAAGAATCATTGTGACTTACAATTCTTGACCAAGTATTTACTAACTCCACAAATTGCAGTTTATACATTTGAAGTAAAGAGTAAACATTACAAAGTTCTCTCCTCTCACACAGCTGACTGTCCTGAGAAGTTGTAACTGGTCCCTCCCACCTTTACATACCACTGCCGCCATCAGAAAAAAAAAAGAAAGGTAAATCCATTTTAGAGACATAGAAACTACACTTTCATTTTAGTTCACTATGGTTATGGCTGAATACATATCTGAAAACATCATACATACGGAGGATGCAATTTCTCATGCAGCAAATGGTATCTACGTGAAAAGCTGGAGGATGAAGGCTGTCTTCTTGCTTGTGAATTACTCCCAGTGGCTTTCCTGGATAGTAGGTGCTTTTTCCACCAAAAACCCTGGCCTAGAGTATTTTCGTCTCCGCTAACACAGAGATATGAAACTAAGGCCTACCACAAAAGTATTTTCTTGAATGTTTTATAATTTCTGCTCCATTGAACATATTTTCTTAAATATAATAATTAGTGATAAAATTTTGACTTAATATCGGTAAGATGTAACACAAAGCAAAGCCCACTTAGTGCTCAAGTACCACTGTCATCAGGTATTGGAAATCTTCTTATTTGGAAGGTGGTTATGCCCAGAATGGTGGTGTGGGGAACAAGGAGGTGGGCTTACCTTCCAGCAGGTCTCTGGCCAGACCAGGTTCTGCCCCCGTGGACCGAACAAAGTCTGACAGGACTGCGTCCATATCAAGAGTCATAGGATCATGTAGAAGTGCTGCCCAACACTCAGCCGAGGTGGGGTTTGGAAGCACACTAGAAACCATCCATCTGCAGGAAAGAAGAGAAAGGGCATTTTACCACGTGATGGAAATGGAGCTGCAAGTGACAACTACATGCAGAGACCTGAGCGAGAGAACCCTCGAGGGTGGAGCCATTTCCACCTGCTGTCATATTTTTTAGAATTGGTTTGGTCCAACTGCCTGATTCTTCATGCAAGACATTATATTATAGAATGCTAACTAAAATTTCATCCCTGTGTACATGCCATGTGAGAGAAGGGGTATTATGAGCCAAATGTTTGTGTTCCCTCCCAAAATTCATATGTTGATATCTAATCTCCAAGGTGATGGAGAAAGACAGTGCCATCTATGAAGCAGGAAATGGGCCCTTACTAGACACCAAATCTGCTGGTTCCCTGATCTTAGACTTCCCAGCCTTTAGTACTGTGTGGAATACATTTCTGTTGTTCATAAGCCTCCCAAGCTATTGTATTTTGACATAGCAGCCCAGATAGACTAAGGCAAGGGGTCATCACTATCTCCAGCACTCCTGAACTTACATTTTATTAATTCCAATAACTGATGAGGAAAAAAGACTATTTTAAAATTTCAAACACCTAAGTATACCTAGAAAAATTCAGTTGGAGTTGCTAGATTTCTAATCCTCTTCCGAATTGTATAGACTTGTAATACTTCCACAATGTGATGAATGTTACCCACTCTATTCCAATTATGCCTTTATCAGTGTGCCATCCTACCCCCTCAGCTCTCACCCCTTACTTGGCTATTAGGAAAGACTAATAGCCAAGGTTAATCCACAGTTGACGGAAATACCACACTTGCTGAAGATGGCTACTGAACTATCTACCATCCCTCTAAGAGCTGCCATCAATCCAACAACATTCTTAAGAATGTCAGATTTCCCAGGCAGCATGATCCCAGCCAGAGAAATAGAATGGATGTACAGCAGCTTGACCCAGGCTGACTGTAGCAGCTGACTGCTGGGGAAAAGCAACTGTGACATTACAAGTGAGAGTAACTTACACTAGTGAATGGTGCTGGGGCCCCAGTGGGTGCTCAATCTTTGCCGGTGGAGTGCAAATGCATCCTTGTGTTTGTGTAGATAAGAGGTCTGCAAGTTATAGACCATGGGCCACATGTGGTCTGCCACCCATTTTTGTAAATGAAGTTTTATGGGAACACAGCCATACCCACTCATTTGCATAGCGTCTGTGGCTGCTTTTGCACCTGGCTGAGTTGAGTAGTTAAAACAGAGACCCTTAAGGTCCACAAAATTGAAAAGATGTACTTCCTGGAACTTTATGGAAAAAGCTTGCAGACCCCATTACAGGCAATGGAAAATTTTATGCTAGGAAGTATGTAATTAATTTTACATATTGTGGGGTGAGTTTGAATCCCATGCTATTGATGACTGTCCTCTGTTCTTTCTTTCACAGTAACCCACTGGGATGGGTGCTGCTTGGTGGAGTAGGTCCTGTGTCAGTGGCCCATGCTTTAGAGCCAGGCACATAGCCTGATTTGACCCTGGCCCTGCCCCTGTCCAGCTGTGACATGGGCTTCACCTCTCTGAGCCCTCCTGATTTTCTGTAGGAATGCAGGAAATGAGCTCACCTAACGTGCAAGACCCTGAGGACTGAGGGTCTCAGGCAGGGAGGTCTGTACCCTCAGAGACATTCACTGTGACCACCCCGTCTTGCACACAGCTCCTATTGGGTACAATTTTTAGTTGATGCGGCCAGAAAAGAAGAAAATTATTTGACCTGATGTATATGGTACCAATTAGGAAATTGATTTCTTCCTTCTCTCCATGCACTGGGGCCTCGGCCGGGAGAGTCTCTTCTTTCGTCACTGCCACCTGGGGGACAGATCAGAGAACAAGAGCATGTGATCTCCTTACTCTCAGACTGAGGCCGAAGGCTTGGCTTTTTGTCACAGGAGGCTGGATCTTGGCCTTGGCCAATTGCCTGAGGCATGTACTCTGTCTTCCTGGGCCCTACAGGTCCCCGCTTACCAGCTGACCAGCAACTCCCATGCCCGGGCCTGGCCAGGGGCTGTCTCAGCTTTCCTCGTTTTAGCAAGCACATCTATTTCAGTGAGGATTACTTGCACAGCACAGAGCTGTTTTTTCCTTTTCCTTTTTCTTTTTTTTTTTGAGACAGAGTCTTGCTCTGTCGCCCAGGCTGGAGTGCAGTGGCGCGATCTCGGCTCACTGGAAGCTCCGCCTCCCGGGTTCATGCCATCCTCCTTGCCTCAGCCTCCTGAGTAGCTGGGAGTACAGGCGCCCACCACCATGCCCAGCTAATTTTTTTTTTGTATTTTTAGTAGAGACAGGGTTTCACCATGTTAGCTAGGATGGTCTCGATCTCCTGACCTTGTGATCCGCTCACCTCAGCCTCCCAGAGTGCTGGGATTGCAGGCGTGAGCCACCACACCCAGCTTTCCAGATGTATTTCTTAAACCTCACACTGCCACCATCACCACACCCTCACATTCATGTCCCATGATGATATGGGAGGGACTGGGCTGGTGGGGACATTTGACCCCAGCTACCTGGGCCATCCTCACCCACTGCTCCGTGCCATCCTCCCAAGCATGCACTGTGCCTCTCAACCTGCCTTGTGTGGTCTAAAGCACTCACTCAGCCGCTTTGAACAGCATGAGGCTCTGGGTGGCCGTGCCCTGGCCCTGCATTCCTGTTCTCCTCAGTGCATCCTAGCCCTTGGACAGAATGTCTCTGAAGGTCTCATCAGCCACCCCAGGGAGAGTAATGTGTCCCATCAATGCATGGTGACTGCCTTAGGAGGGGCAGTGCCGTGTGGGGACAGAGCGTTGGCCCTGGAATCAGTCTCTGGGGCCAAAATGGTTCCACCACTTTGTGTGACCTTGGGCATGTTATATCGCCTCTCTGTGCCTCAGTTTCCTCATCAATACAATTATAATAATAATTGTATCTCACAGTTATTATGAAATTTTAAGGAACTCATGCACAAAATGTACTGGCCCATAGTACATGCTCAATATACATTAATTATGAGCCAATGAATGAACTCTCAACAGGGACCCTGAGACCACCCTTGCCTTCCCAGGTCTCCACTGAGCAAGAAAACTGCTTCCACCAGCTTGCTGAAGGCAGGAATAAGGGGCCTACCTCTAGTGCCTTGGCTTGGAATCACAGAGGGTTAAACTGGTGGGGGCTCCTGCCTTCAATTCCGTCTTCTTTCCCGTATCCGAGGTTGCAGTGTTCATTGATCACTTAAGCAACCTTCATGGAGCTGCTACTCTGTTCAGGCCATGACTGCAGGGACTCTGTGGGAACTATGAGCCCCCTGAGCCTTCCCAGGATCTCCCCAGTAAGCAGAAAGGGACAGACACACACATACAGGTCTCAGAGACCAACTGCTGGATTTGGAAGACACTTAGTGGAGGAAGTGGTCCAACCAGAGAGAGTAAAATTGCAAGACAGAGGTGTAGCAGGATAAAGACCAAACTACCTCAGGATCCATTTTTCATTAACTTCTGTTTTGGCCAGGTGCGGTGGCTTACACCTGTAATCCCAGCACTTTGGGAGGCCGAGGCTCGTAGATCACCTGAGGTCTGGAGTTCAAGGGCAGCCTGGCCAACATGGTGAAACCCCGTCTCTACTAATTAAAAAAAAAAAAAAAAGCCAGGTGTGGTGGCAGGCACCTGTAATCCCAGCTACTTGGGAGGCTGAGGCAGGAGAATTGCTTGAACCTGAGAGGTGGAGGTTACAGTGAGCTGAGATCGCGCCATTGCACTCCAGCCTGGGCATGAATGAATGAATGAATGAATGAATGAATAAATAAATAAATAAATAAATAAATAAATAAATAAATAAATAAAATAAAATTAAAACTTCTGTTTCAATGAAGCTCAAATAAAACACTGCTGCATTATATTTGTAGATGTTATAACTGGACACTGGAAGGCAATAAAACGGGTAGATGGAGAATGAGACTGGGAGATGATGGCAGAGGCTTGTGGTCTGATCCCTGGGGACAGGTACAGGAAGACTATGGGTGAATGAGTGCCTGGAGGTTACTCTTCACTCTCAGGACAGCAAACAGGGTAGTGAATGCTTTTAACATCTGTCTTAACAGAGGGCCAGCTGCCTGAGAGCTGGGATCCACTTCATCCTCCTTTCTATCCTCCTGCTCACAGTGCCTGGCACACAGCAGGGCCAACTCTAAGGTGAGGCGAGGAGGCACCTGCCACTGCTGCAGAATCTAAGAGGGTGCAAAAACACTCAGGAATCGACATAAACAACATTTTAGTGCTATATTTGCAAAAATAAAAATTAGCGCAAAAATATCTTTGAGGAACAAAATGTCAGCCTTTTAAATGAAGGCAAGGTTGGCATGACCATTTTTCCTTTGCCCCTGGCTCTGCAGGGCTGCCAGGCCCTGGCATGAGCTCAAAGCTGCTGCCTGGGAGGCAGGTGGTTGGGAGGCAGCCCAGTGAACACCCATCACAGCCAGAGAGCCTGACCTCAGAGAGGGCCAGCGAGGGCCACGGGAAGGGGCACACAAGTGAGTGGGGAGTGGGAGCTCGCTCTCATCAGGTCTGTTTGATGATACAGCACACTGAACACAGGGATAAGGGAACAGAGGGGTGGATGAACAGATCTGGGGTCGAGCACAGGCTTGGGAGCTGATGGCCTGGCTGGGTGCAAAGCCCCTGCAACCCTGGAAAGGCTACTTCATTTCTTGAAGCCTTGGTTGTCACATCTGAGCAATGAGGGTGAGAACAACCCTGCCTCTTAGAATTGCAGTAAGGATACAGTGAGATGACACTGAAAGAACATGCACTATTACTATTATTACCATTGACATAGATTAAAACAATAGGCAAATGTACTGTTCTGGTATTGAGAATCCACCCTTGACTACCCATACATTTATACATCCCTGTTAAGGGGGTGAATGGTTAAATATGAAAAAAGGTCAGGCATGCGTTCATCTTGTCCGGCCTGGCGAGGAAGCCCACCCTGGTAAGAAGATCAGATGCCTGGGCTCCCGTGGTGAAATGAATTGGATGTCTCAACTCAGATGTCAACATTCCAAGAGCCTGTGTGGCCCATCCCTTGCCAGACGCCATTGTGACCTTGGGCAAGCGTGGTGCACTAGGGCAGAAAGGCTTCTGTGGATGCCACATTAGGGAAACACATCTTCCAGAGCATCTTCACGGTTTAGATGAAAATTAAGAAAGCCCAGTGTCTTTCAGTGCGGGGGCATGAGTTCTGGGAAGGTTGGTTCTGCCAAACATTCATATGCGTAGAGCACATTATCATTTCCAAAGCTTGGCCACGTATATTACTTACATAACCTCCACAACACCAGCTAGAGATAAAGATGAGTCTAAGAGTAATTTGGACTGTGATGAAGCAAGTTCTCCAGGAAATTCAATGTAAAAAGCCCTGGGTGAGGAGAGGAAAGGTGCTTCTTTCTGAGGAATAAGAAGAGAAGTTTGGCCAGACAGCGACAGATAGGGCTGTGTGAAAATCAAAAGTGGCTATAGGAATGTCTGTGGGGCACATTGAAGTTCTTCGCATTGTTGCAGGATCATTTCACTCTTTAGTTTTCCCCTTGTTGAAGCTGATATTCTCAAACACATTGTCTTGTAGGAACTGAGGAAGGCTCCAGCAGCAACAGTGGGCAGTGCTGGGACACACCACTTGTACCTGAGGCTCGGAGAAGGCACATGTGTGGGCTTTGAGCCCATTTCACTTGTCCAGCAGGTGCCGCGGGCTGGACACCCAATGGGCCCAATGGGAAGGAGACATGCCTTCTGTTCAGGGGCCATGACTGGGCCTTGTGCCAGCTCTCAGAGCATCTGGTGCCTTTAAAATAAAATACGTGCATAGATGCATGATTGGAAGCAAAACAATTCCTTAGTTGACACTCACTTATTATACTTTTTCATAATTTTCTCCTAGTATGGAAAGATGGAAGAAAAGTCTCTCCTAAAATGTATAACTTTGGGAATAGCAGTAAGTGTAGGATCTACTGGGGTTTTGTCTTACATGCATTGAAATGATATACTCATCAATGACATATCAAATTCTTCAATGGTTCTTAATACGAGTTAAACAGTAGTTTAACTGACAGGAGAAAGTGGGGCACTAGAAATTGTAAATGGCACCTCAACATTCCAGTCTCTCTACTCTTGAGCTTAGATTTTTAGGCTAACAAGGAGAACACAGAATTACCTGATGGTATATATTTTAAAAATATTTTTCTAATAAAAATTTAAATATGTATAAAAGTAGACAGAAAAGGATATTAAAGCCAATGTACCCATGCCTCAGGCATGACAATCATCAATTCTTAGCCAACCATGCTTCTTCTCTATCTCCAACCCTTCTCCTGCTCACATAATTTTGAAGCAAATTCCAGATAACACATTATTTCATCCACAACTACTTCCATCTCTCTCTAAGACTCTTTAAAACATAACCACAGTACCATAATCCCACCTAAAAATAACAAAAATTCTTCAGTGCAATATCCAGTGTGCAAATTTCCAATGATATCAAATGTTGTAAGTTCACATATTTACTTTTTCAGTTTGTTTGAATCAGAATTCAAGTAAGATCTCTTATTGTAATTGGTTGATATGTCTTTTTTAATCTACAGATTTTGCCTCCGTCTTTTTCCCTCTGTTTGTTGAAAAATCTTATATATATATTTTTCTCTAGAGTTTTCTATCATCTGGCTTTTACTGATTGCTCCTATGGTGCCATGTCACATGCTCCTCTGTCCTCTCTATTTCATGTAAATCAGCACTGGGATGTAAGACTCGATCAGATTCAGATTCAATTTGGGGCACACTTTGGTGCTGTCTTCTTCCATCAGTTGGCACTGAGTATCTGTCTCTGCCTGTGATGGTCGCAGCCACTGATGATCATTGCCTAGACCCAGCAATTCAAGAGGGGTTGCGTATACTGGCAGCATAATTCTTTTATTCATTCTTTATTTATTAGCTGGAATTCTTAAAGGGAAATTTCTACTAATCTACTATTTGGTCACCCAGTGGTAGACACCTAATAGAAAAGGCAAGATAGATGCTTTATTTATGACCTTTTAATTCATCATTTTACTTGGACAAGTTGGTTCACTAGCTTCCTTCCACGGGATCAATTTGTTACTTCTTTTTTTGAAATATTTTGCATTCGTCGATTTAAACATATTTTATGCATTTCAATCTATCCAATATAGAGCAGTTGTTGTCTTTATTGATGCTTAAGTCCTGAATCAAGTTCCCTTGACACTAGTGTAGCTGATAGAGTCTTTTCTACATATCTTGTGTGACAAAATGTTTCAGGTCCCTTTTCTACATTTACTGTTCCGGATCTAGAATTCAACATTTCTCCAAAGAACTATGAGTCTTTTTTATTGAGAATGGTTTTTCAAGACCACAATCTGAATGCTTGGTGTACCCATAACTAGTGGTTTAGTCATTGTTTACAGGACTTCTTGGACAGCTAAGAAATATGTTTGTTTTAAAAACAAATTTTGAGTTCATTCTAATATTTCCAATTCAAATTGAAGACTTAGGAGTTTTTACTTAACCTAATCTCTTTTACAGATGAACCTCCTTCCCACACCAAATCCTAGTTCCTAATAAAATCAGGAATGATAGCATATTACACAGTTACTCTTTCAATTTATCCTGCTCAAATCAAAGCTATTGATTTCTGTGTGCTAAATTTATATCTTGCTATTTTACTAAGTTCTTACAATTTATAGCAAATTTTCAGTTTTTTTTAGTTTTCCAGATACACAATCATATCAAATGCAAATATAGTTTGTGTTAACTCTTTTTTTTTTTGAGATGGAGTATCCCTCTATTGCCAAATCCTGTCCGATTTCCTTGATTAATGCATTCAATATAATATTACATACTATGAGATGTTATGGGCATCTTTGCTTTGCTCCTAACTTTAGTGGAAATAACTTTGGTGTTTCCACACTGAAAAAGATGCTGGGTGTGGGGTCTTGGGCTAAACACACACACACACACACACACACACACACACACACAAGTTTTTAAAAATTTAAAGTTCCAGGATACATGTGCAGGATGTGCAGGTTTGTTACATAGGTAAACGTGTGCCATGGTGGTTTGTTGTACCTATCAACCCATCACCTGGGTATTAAGCCCTGCATGCATTATTTATCCTGATGCTCACCATCCCCCCCACCCCCCGACAGGCCCCAGGGTGTGTTGTTCCCCTCCCTGTGTCCATGTGTTCTCATTGTTCAGCTCTCACTTATAAGTGAGAACATGTGGTGTTTGGTTTTCTGTTCCTGTGTTAGTTTGCTGAGGATAATGGCTTTCAGTTCCAACCATGTCCCTGCAAAGGACATGATCTGTTTCCTTTTTATGGCTGCATAGTATTCCATGATGTATATGTACCACATTTTCTTTAAAAAATTTTTATTTTTCCATAAGTTATTGGGGTACAGGTGGTGTTTGGTTACATGAGTAAGTTCTTCAGTGGCGATTTTTGAGATTTTGGTGCACCCATCACCTGAGCAGTACACACAGAACCCTATTTGCAGTCTTTTATCCTTTGCTCCCCTCCCATCCTTCCCCCCAAGTCCCCAAAGTCCATTGTATCATTCTTATGCCTTTGCGTCCTCATAGCTTAGCTCCCACATATCAGTGAGAACATACGATGTTTGGTTTTCCATTCCTGAGTTACTTCACTTAGAATAATAGTCTCCAGTCTCATCCAGGTCACTGCAAATGATGTTAATTCATTTCTTTTTATGGCCAACTAGTATTCCATTGTATAAATATACTATAGTTTCTTTATCCACTCATTGATTGATGGCATTTGGGTTGGTCCCATGATTTTGCAATTGTGAACTGTGCTGCTACAAACATGCGTGTGCAAGTATCTTCTTCGTATAATGATTTCTTTTCCTCTGGGTAGATACCAAGTAGTGGGATTGCTGGATCAAATGGTAGCTCTACTTTTAGTTCTTTAAGGAGTCTCCACACTGTTTTCCATAGTGGCTGCACTAGTTTACATTCCCACCAGAACATTCCCTGTTCACCACATCCATGCCAACATCTACTGTTTGTTGATTTTTTTTTTTTATTACGGCCATTCTTGCAGGAGTAAGGTGGTATTACATTGTGGTTTTGATTTCCATTTCCCTGACCATTAGAGATTTGAGCATTTTTTCATGTTTGTTGGCCATTTGTATATCTTCTTTTGAGAACTGTCTATTCATATCCTTAGCCCACTTTTTGATGGGATTTTTTTTTCTTACTGATTTGAGTTTGTGGTAGATTCTGGATATTAGTCCTTTGTCAGATGTATAGATTGTGAAGATTTTCTCCCACTCTGTGGGGTATCTGTTTACTCTGCTGGCTGTTCCTTTTACCATGCAAAAGCTCTTTAGTTTAATTAAGTCCCAGCTATTTATCTTTGTTTTTATTGCATTTGCTTTTGGGTTCTTGCTCGTGAAATCCTTGACTAAGCCAATGTCTACAAGGGGTTTTCCAATGTTATCTTCTAGAACTTTTATAGTTTCAGGTCTTAGATATAAGTCATTAATCCCTCTTGAGTTGATTTTTGTATAAAGTGAGAGATGAGGATCCTGTTCCATTCTCCTACATGTGGCCAGCCAATTATCCCAGCATCGTTTGCTCAAAAGGGCATCCTTTCCCTACTTTATGTTTTTGTTTGCTTTGTCAAAGATCAGTTGGCTGTAAGTATTTGGGTGTATTTCTGGGTTCTCTATTGTTTTCCATTGCTCTATGTGCCTATTTTTATACCAGTACCACGCTGTTTTGGTGACTACGGCCTTATAGTATAGTTTGAAAGCAGGTAGTGTGATGCCTCCAAATTTGTTCTTTTTGCTTAGTCTTACTTTGGCTATGCAGGCTCTTTTTTTGGTTCCATACGAATTTTAGAATTGCTGTTTCTAATTCTGTGAAGAATGATGGCAGTATTTTGATGGGGATTGCACTGAATTTGTAGATTGCTTTTGGCAGTATGGTCATTTTCTCAATATTGATTCTACCCATCCATGAGCATGGGATGTGTTCCCAATTGTTTGTGTCATCTATGATTTCTTTCACCAGTGTTCTGTAGTTTTCCTTGTAGAGGTCTTTCATCTCCTTGGTTAGGTATATTCCTAAGTATTTGATTTTATTTTTGCAGCTGTTATAAAAACGGTTGAGTTATTGATTTGATTCTCTGCTTGGTCTCTCCTGGTGTATAGAAGAGCTACCAATTTGTGTACATTAATCTTGTATCCAGAAACTTTGCTGAATTCTTTCATCAGTTCTAGGAGCTTTCTGGAGGAGTCTTTAGGGTTTTCAAGGTAAACAATCATATTATCAGCAAACAGTGATAGTATGACTGCCTCTTCACTGATGTGGATGCCCTTTATTTCTCTCGTCTGATTGCTCTGGCTAGGACTTCAAGTACTATGTTGAAGAGGAGTGGTGAGAGTGGGCATCCTTGTCTTGTTCCAGTTCTCAGAGGGAAGCTTTCAACTTTTCCCATTCAGTATTATGTTGGCTATGGGTTTGTCACAGATGGCTTTTATTACATTGAGGTATGTCCCTTGTATGCCGATTTTGCTGAGAGTTTTAATCATAAAGCGATGCTGGATTTTGTTGAATGCTTTTTCTGCATCTATCGAGACGATCACGTGATTTTTGTTCCAAATTCTGTTTGTGTGGTACATTGCGTTTATTGACTTGCGTATGTGAAATCATCCCTTCATCCCTCGTATGAAACCCACTTGATCATGGTGGATTTTTTTTTTTGATATTTTGTTGGATTCTGTTAGCCAGTATTTTGTTAAGGATTTTAGCATCTATGTTCAGCAAGGATATCAGTCTGTAGTTTTCTTTTTTGGTTATGTCCTTTCCTGGTTTTGGTATTAGGGTGAGGCTAGCTTCATAGAATGAATTAGGGAGGCTTTCTTCTTTCTCTGTCTTGTGGAATAGCGTCGAATTCTGCTGTGAATCCATCTGGTCCTGGACTTCTTTTGTTGGTAATTTTTAAATTAAGATTTCAATCACACTGCTTGTTATTGGTCTGTTCAGGGTATCTAATTCTTCCTGATTTAAGCTAGGAGGATTGTATTTTTCCAGGAATTTATCCATGTCTTCTAGGTTTTCTAGTTTATGTGTGTAAAGGTGTTCATAGTAGCCTTGAATAATCCTTTGTATTTCTGTGGTGTCACATCTTTTGTATTTCTGTGGTGTAATATCTCCCGTTTGTTTCTTAATGAGGTTATTTAGATTTTCTCTCTTCTTTTCTTAGTTAATCTTGCTAGTGGTCTTGAATTTTATTTATTTTTTCAAAAAATCAGCTTTTGTTTCATTTATCTTTTGTATTTTGTTTGTTTCAATTTCATTTAGTTCTGCTCTGATCTTGGTTATTTCCTTTCTTCTGCTGGGTTTGGGTTTGGTTTGTTCTTGTTTCTCTAGTTCCTTGAGGTGTGACTTTAGAATGTCAGTTTCTGCCCTTTCAGTCTTTTTGATAGGTGTTTAGGGCTATGAACTTTCCTCCTAGTATCCCCTTTGCTGTATCCCAGAGGTTTGATAGGTTGTGTCATTATTGTCGTTGAGTTTGAATAATTTTTAAATTTCCATCGTGATTACATTTTTGACCCAATGCTCATTCAGGAACAGGTTATTTAATTCCCATGTATTTGCATGGTTTTGAAGGTTCCTTTTGGAATTGATTTCCAGTTTGCCTCCACTGTGGTCTGAGAGAGTGCTTGATATACTTTAATTTTCTTATATTTACTGAGGCTCATTTTGAGGCCTATCATATGGTCTACCTTGGAGAAACTTCCATGTGCTGTTGAATAGAATGTGCATTCCGTGGTTGTCGGATGAAATGTTCTGTACATATCTGTTAAGTCCATTTGTTCCAAGGTATAGTTTAAATCCATTGTTTCTTTGACTTTCTATCTTGATGACCTGTCTAGTGCTGTCAGTGGAGTACTGAAGTCCCCCATATTATTGTGTTGCTGTCTATCTCATTTCTTAGGTCTATTAGTAATTGTTGTATAAACTTGGGAGCTCCAGTGTTAGGTGCACGTATGTTTAGGATTGTGATGTTTTCCTGTTGGACAAGGCCTTTTACCATTATATAATGGTCCTTCTGTGTCTCTTTTAACTGCTGTTGCTTTAAAGTTTGTTTTGCCTGATATAAGAATAGCTACTGCTGCTTGCTTTTGGTGTCCATTTGCATGAAATGCCTTTTTCCACCCCTTTACTTTAAGTTTACGTGAGTCCTTATGTGTTAGGTGAGTCTCCTGAAGGCAGCAGATAGTTCATTGGTGAGTTCTTATTTATTTTGCAGTTCTGTATATTTTAAGTGGAGCATTTAGGCCATTTACATTCAATGTTATTATTGAGATGTGAGGTACCATTGCATTCATTGTGCTATTTGTTGCCTGTGTACCTTGGTTTTTTCATTTTTTGTTTTTGCTTTTTAACTTGTATTTTTGTTTTATAGGTCCCGTGTGATTTATGCTTTACAAAGTTTTGTTTTGATATGTTTCTAGGATTTGTTTCAAGATTTAGAGCTCCTTTTAGCAGTTCTTCTAGTGGTGGCTTGGTAGTGGTCAATTCTCTCTGTATTTTCTGAAAGGCTGTATCTTTCTATCATATATGATGCTTAGTTTTGCTGCATACAAAATTCTTAGCTGAAAATGGTTTCATTTGAGGATACTGAAGATAGGGCCCCAATCCCTTCTAGCTTGTAGGGTTTCTGCTGAGAAATCTGCTGTTAGTCTGACAGGTTTTCCTTTATAGGTTACCTGGTGCTTCTGTCTCACAGCTCTTAAGATTCTTTCCTTCATCTGAACTTTAGATAATCTGATGACAATGTGCCTAAGTGATGATCTTTTTGAGATGAATTTCCCAGGTGTTCTTTGTGCTTCTTGTATTTGAATGACTAGGTCTCTGGCAAGGCCAGGGAAGTTTTCCTCCATTATTCCCCCCAAATATATTTTTCCAAGCTTTTAGAAATCTCTTATTCCTCAGGAACACTGATTATTCTTAGGTTTGGTTGTTTAACATAGTCCCAGCCTTCTTGGAGGCTTTGTTCATATTTTCTTATTATTTTTTCTTTGTCTTTGTTGGATTGGATTAATTCAAAGACTTTGTCTTCGAGCTCTGAATTTCTTTCTTATACTTGTTCAATTCTATTGCTGAGATTTTCCAAAGCATTTTGCATTTCTATAAGTGTGTCCAGTGTTTCCTGAAGTTTTGATAGTTTTTTCTTTAAGCTCTCTATTTCCTTGAATATTTCTCCCTTCCCTTCTTTTATTGTTTTTTGGATTTCCTCACATTGGGCTTTGCCTTTCTCTGGTGCCTCCCTGATTAGCTTAATAACTAACCTCCTGAATTATTTTTCAGGTAAATCAGAGATTTCTTCTTGGTTTGGATCCATTGCTGGTGAACTAGTGTGATTTTTTGGGGGGTGTTAAAGAGCCTTGTTTGGTCATCTTAGCAGGGTTGGTTTTCTGGTTTCTTCTCATTTGGGTAAGCTCTGTCAGAGGGAAGGTCTAGGGCTGCAGGCTGTTGTTCAGATTCTTTTGTCTCATGGCGTGTTCCATTGTAGCAGTACTCTCCTGCTTTTCCTATAACTGTGGCTTCCTGCCAGCCAAACTGCAGCGACTGCTGTCTCTCTTCTGGGTCTAGCCACCCAGCAAGTCTACCTGGCTCCAGACTGGTACTGGGTATTGTCTGTACAGAGCCCTGTGATGTAAACCATCTATGGGTGTCTTAGCTGTGGACACCAGCACCTGTTCTCCTGGAGCTGGTGGTGGGGTCAAATGGACTCTGCAAGGATTCTTAGCTTTGGTGGTTTAATATCCTATTTTTGTGATGGTTGGCCACCTGCCAGGAGATGGCACTTTCCAGGGAGCATCAGCTGTGGTAGCATGGAGAAGAACCAGTGGTGGGTGGGGCCCTAGAACTCCCAAGATTACATGCCATTTATCTTCAGCTACCAGGGTGGATAGGGAAGGCCCATCAGGTGGGGGCAGGGTTGGGTGTCGTAGTTCAGACTGTCCTTCGGTGCGTCTTGCTGAGGCTGCTGTGGGGGATGGGGGTGAGGTTCCCAGGTCAATGGAGTTGTGTACCTACGAGGATTATGGTTGCCTCTGCTGAGTCATGCAGGCTGTCAGGGAAGTGAGGGAAAGCCGGCAGTCGCAGGCCTCACCCAGCTGCCATGCAGTCCGAAGGGCCGGTCTTCTCCCACTGTGCCTCCCCTAACAGCCCCAAGTCTGTTTCCAGGCAGTGGGTGAGCAGAGCTGAGAACTTGCCCCAGGTTACCTGCTTCCCAGCTAGAAAGAAAAGGGCTTGGTTCTACCCCCGCCTGTGGAGAGTCTGCAGGACAGATTCGCACCCTCCCCTGAGTTCTGGCAAAGAGGCTTCTCACCCAGTTCAAATTGTTACAAAGTTCAGCTGGAGACTTCCTTCTCCCTGTGGTGTTTTTCCCCCCTCCTCTGGCTTCCCTCCCAAAGGATCCCTGTGGTGCCAGGCAGGAATGGCCTGCTTGGGGACCCAGGGAGCTCCCAGGGCCTTTCCCACTGCTTCCTCTACCCCTGTATTTCACTCAGTTCTTTAAACTGACTCAGCTCCAGTTAAGGTCGGAAACTTCTCCTGCAAACAGACCTTCAATTTCTCCATTGGGGGTGTGTGTTCGGGAGAGCAGGATCTCCCTTTTCCACTTCCGCAGGTGAGCACTCACAGTATTTGAGGTGTTTCCTGGGTCCTGCAGGAGCAGTCTGCTTCCTTCAGAGGGTCTGTGGGTCCTCTCAGGACTGCTGGTTTGTTCTTGCAGTCGATCTGGAGCTAAAAATTCACGATGCAAGCCTCGGAATGCTGCTGTGTCCATCTGAGTCAGAGCCATGAAGATCCCATATTTTCTTTATCCAGTCTATCACTGATGGGCATTTGGGTTGATTCCATGTCTTTGCTATTGTGAATACTGCTGAAATGAACACACACATGCATGTATCTTTATAACAGAATGATTTGTATTCCTTTGGGTATATATAGTAATGGGATTGCCGGGTCAAATGTTATTTCTGGTTCTAGGTCTTTGAGGAATCGCCACACTGTTTTCCACAATGGTTGAACTAATTTACATTCCCACTAACAGTATAAATGCATTCTTATTTCTCCACAGCGTCACCAGCATCTGTTGCTTCTTGGCTTTTTAATAATTGTCATTCTGACTAGCACGAGATGGTATCTCATTGCAGTTTTGCTTTGCATTTCTGTAATGACCAGTGATGTTGAGCTCTATTTCATATGTTTGTTAGCCACCTAAATGTCTTCTTTTGAGAAGTGTCTGTTCATATCCTTTGCCCACTTTTTAATGGGTTTGTTTCTTTCTTGTAAATTTGTTCCTTGTAGATTCTGGATATTAGACCTTTATCAGATGGCTAGATTATAAAAATCTTCTCCCGGCCGGGCGCGGTGGCTCACGCCTGTAATCCCAGCACTTTGGGAGGCCGAAGCGGGCGGATCACGAGGTCAGGAGATCAAGACCATCCTGGCTAACAAGGTGAAACCCCGTCTCTACTAAAAATACAAAAAAAAAATTAGCCGGGCGTGGTGGCGGGCGCCTGTAGTCCCAGCTACTTGGGAGGCTGAGACAGGAGAATGGCATGAACCCGGGAGGCGGAGCTTGCAGTGAGCCGAGATTGCACCACTGCACTCCAGCCTGGGGGACAAAGCGAGACTCCGTCTCAAAAAAAAAAAAAATCTTCTCCCATTCTGTAGGCTGTCTGTTCACCTGACAACAGCTTCCTTTGCTGTGCAGAAGCTCTTTAGTTTAATTAGATCCCAATCTTTGCTTTTATTGCAATTGCTTTTGATGTTTTTGCCATGAAATCTTTGCCCATGCCTACGTCCTAGATGGCATTGCCTAGATTTTCTTCTAGGGTTTTTATAGTTTTGGGTTTTACATTTAAATCTTTAATCCATCTTGAGTTAATTTTTGTATAAGGTGTAAGGAAGGGATCCAGTTTCAATTTTCTGCATATGGCTAGCCAGTTTTCCCAGCACCATTTATTAAATAAGGAATCCTTTCCCCATTGCTTGTTTTTGTCAAAAATCAGATGGTTGCAGATGTGTGGTCTTATTTCCAAGATCTCTATTCTGTTCCATTGGTCTATGTGTCTGTTTTTTGTAGCAGTACCATGCTGTTTTGGTTTCTGTAGCCTTGTAGTATAGTTTGAAGTTGGGTAGTGACACACACGTTTAAAAGGTATACATGAACCTCTTCTACTGAGTGGTTTTATTATGGATAGATGTTGACTTTCATACTATTTTTTTCATAAAATCTACTAATATGATGAATTATATTAATGTGCTTCCTAATACTGAACCTAACTCATGTTTCTGGAATAAATCTCCTTTAATCATTCATTGATGTTTCTTTTTATGTGCTTTTTGATTTGGTTTTGCTAATTTTTATTTAAAACTCTTTTTTAAACGATTCCCATAATACTTGTTTATTTTTTTCTAACTTTTACTTTAGGCTCGGGGGACATGCACAGGTTTGTGATATACGTAAACTGCATGTCATGGGGGTTTGGTGTACAGATTATTTTGCCACCCAGGTAATAAGCATAGGACCTGCTAGGTAGTATTTTTATCCTCATCCTCTTCCCACCCTCCATCCTCAAGTAGGTCCCGGAGTCTGTTGTTCCTTTCTTTGAGTCCGTGTGTACTTAATGCTTAGCTCCCACTTTTAAGTAAGAACACGCGGCATTTGGTTTTCTGTAAAATTCTTAAATTAATATTAATAAACTAGATTGAGCTATGGTTTTTACTTTTATGTGTAATCGTTGTCAGGCTTTATAGTTAATATTATATACATAAAACAAAATTGAAAGTTTCACTTTATTTTCAATGCTCTGGATTAACCTAAGTAGCACCAGGGCCATTCGATATCTGAAGGTTGGTAGATTTGACCCACAAATCAATCTTCCTGGTCCTTCTTTTTCAGGGAGCTCTTTTACACCTTCCTCTAATTTTTTCCTGTGGAAATTGCTCTGCCCAGTCTTTCTATCTCTATATGGTTTAATTTTGTTAGGTCATATTTTCCTAGAGATTTATCCATCTTAACTTGGTTTTCAAATTTATTTGAATGGAGTTAAAAAGATTCTTCCCATGGGCCTAAATCCCCTATCTATCTCACTAAGGAAAATAAATGTTACTTGCTGAGTGCCCACAATTACATTGATCGTGCTTACTGCTTTAAGGGTGAGTTAACTCTCCTACAGGCAACAATTCCACAGGGACAGTGGTTTAGTTCCACTTTACTAAAGCCCAGAGTGCCCAGTGGCAGAGTAAGGATTCCCACATAGACTCACTTTGATCCAAAAGTCACCATTGTTCCATCACACAATACCATCCCTTTACAATGGAACGGGGTGTCTTCAAAAGGTGTCAGGTCAAAACATCTGGTGCCTTTGAAATATATTATGTGCATAGATGCATGATTGGAAGCAAAACATTTCCTTAGTTGACACTCACTCAGTTGTACCTTCCCATAGTTTTCTCCCAGTATGGAAAGATGGAAGAAAAGTCTCTTTTAAAATTTACATATTTGGGAATAGCAGTAAGTGTAGGACCTACTGAAGTCTTCTCCTGTGTGCACTGAAATGATATACTCATCAATGGCATATAGAATTCTTCCAGGGTTCCTCCTATGACAGCAAGTGTATAGCTGTCATTACAGTCATGGGCTTAGGATCCCAAAAAGGTTACAGACTGTTCATAAAAACTACAGATGCTCAATTTATGATGGGGTTATACACCAATAAACTTACCTTAAGTTGAAAATACATTAAGTTGAAAATGAATTTAATATTCCAATAAATCCATCTTAAAGCTGAAATAAGTCGAACCATCGTTAAGTCCAGAAGCTCCTTGACTTATGATGGGGTAACCTCCCAAGAAATCTATCCTAAAGTTAGAAAATCCTAAGTCCAACCATTCTAAATTTGGACTAGTTTGTAGACAATTCCTAAAGTATCCACAAGGAATAATAATCAATAGTTTTGAAGAAAAGTCTTAAACATGAAAGTGAACTTTGTAAGGACCCAAAACATGGTAACACTTGTTCTGACTTGTAGAAAACTACAATCTTGCAACAGTGTAATGTGCCCACACCCTGAAAAGATCACCTTACACGAGAACCTCCATGTCACAGAGATTATCTCATCCCTGAAAATGCGCAGCAGAGCTTGACTGACAATTCTAAACCCTCAGCATTGGAATGCTTGCAAGGCCGCTTTGCTTTGAAAGATTTATGTTTTTATTCTTCAGGCTCACAAATCTAGCTGTTACACTGGCATAAAATATGTGCCTGAATCAGACCAATGTGCCATTGACAAGGGTTTAAAAAAAATCCAAAAACCTTACAAATCAGGTTGCTACTTTTCCTATCGATTCCAATCATTAAATCAGTTCTTCTGGGTAAAGGCACCTTATTTTCAAGGAAAAGACAGCCTAATGGGTCAGCCTCTTTTCCTGGCCTGCCATTGTCATTGTGACAAGTGTTGGGGCACACTTTGCGCATTGAGCTGTCACCCCAACCTACTTGCCTCCTTCTTCTCTCTGTGAAGGCTGCCCTGGAGGACAGGGTTCATGTTTTATTTGTCTTAACATCACCACAAGCTGGAATATACCGGATAATAAGTATGCTGAATAAATGAACAAAAGGAAACTAAAAACACTAAACCTACCTTCATACTCCATTCTGATGGGCAGACATGAAAATACCCAAAATTCCACCTAGATTGGAATCAGTACTCTAATACTGCTTACAAGTAAACCCATTGGAATATAAGAAAGGAACAGTTCTCTGTGCCTGGCAGATGAAGACAGCTGAAGGTAAGATAAATTTTTTAGGAGGATTAAGGAAAAGTGCAAAGAGGGCATTCTGGGCTGGATGAGCAGCATGGGTGTTGGCCGGGCACAGATACCCCAGTGTGTCCAGGAGAGCCGGTGGCCAAGAGGCTGGGGATGAAGGTGAGGGCCAGCCCTGGGGGCTGCCAGGGTGAGTAGCTTACCTATGTTATGAGGCCAGTGGGAGGCTGATGAGAATTTCAGAAGACAGAACTGACAGGAATGACATGCTTTAGGAAAATAAATGAAGATACAAAAAATTGGCATCCAGAGCCTAGAAGGCAACGGGCAGGTGCTAGCCCAGCTTCTTAGATGTTGTCCACTGCATACCCTTGCACCTACTGCAGACTGAATCTTGGTTTATCAGGGAGCAGTTGAGACCCTGGATTTCAGAAAAGACAGACAAAATTCCTAGCACCCAGGGATGAAATGCAATTGGTAAAAGCCCGTTATTCCCTGACTTGTGATTCACCAATCTGCATGTGCCATGCTGGACGACGATCCAGTCTACCTGATGGAAATGGTTGGGTTTCCAACTGGTTGGGTTTAGAGGAAAGCACTTGCTTACCTGATAGAAAGAGACAGGCTTAAATGGAATAGTCCTTTCTCATGATGCCTTTTTCCCCTTCTTTCTGCCTTGAGTGAGGAAATAACATCTGCAAGTCCACCCACCATTCTGGGAGTACAAAACATAATGCAAGAGGACAAAACCCAAGAAAAGTTGGGTGGAGTAGGAAGCTATTTCCGATGGTATCATGGAACACTTGCACCAGCCGTAGACAGTCCACCCGTGGACTTCTTATTATACTTCTCATCTAAGTATCTATTTTTTCAAGCCAGTTAAGTCAAATGTCTGGTTACTTGTAGCTGAATGTATTCCTAATTGATAGACAAAGGTAAAATGACTTAGAGGTCTGAACTAGAAAAGAGGCAATAGAAAAAAAAAACCCAAGGCAAATACCATTTATAAACATAGATGTACAACTTAAAATTAAAGATTAGCAAATGAGTCCATAACACAGAAAAAGACATAAAGAGACAAATTAGAGCCTTGGAGCTGCTGCAGCCATCTTGGGTGCTTGGTTGTGGGGGTTATTAGGGTGGAAAGAGATGAGTCTGTGGGGTTCTAGAGATGCCATTACCAACCCTGGAGTGCCTCATTCTCGTACATGTGAGAGAAGTGAATTCTCCTCTTGTTAAATCTGCCATAATGTCTCCTCTCTGTTACTAACAGCCAAACATGATTCTCATGCCAATACACTATCTTAACAAATTTGAGGAGAAAAACCATACGGTCATCTTAAAAGATGCCAAAAAGCCCACAGTTATTCATTATACCACGTTGAAACAAACCAGGAATAGAAGGAACCTTTTTTTCTACTTATTAAATGATATTGATTCTAATTTTTTAGGACTTATCAGACCTAATAATGAAAACTTTAGAAGCATTTCCATCAAGGTTTAGAACAAACTCATGACTAAGTATTGTAACAAATGAGAACATTTTAAATGGCTGGAACAAGATCAACATCCAAAAATCAACACTTTTCCTACATGTCAACATTAGCCAAGTTAGAATTTTAAAAACAACACAAAAAGATCTATTTCATAATAGCCAACCAACCCCCACCAAATATCCTGTAAGTTAATTAGGAAAAACACACAAAAAGAAGGAAACCTTTATTTTTTTTCCTTTGCAGAAAACAATAAATCTTTAATGAGGTATAGAAAGAGAACTTCAATAAATGGATGGGAAGACTATATTGGTAAGTTGCCAGTTCCTCTCTAATATGTATAATAAATTGAATGCAATCAATACAGAATTTTTTGTGGAAGCTGACAAACAGTTTCTAAAACTTAGAAGAATAAGCCAGTAATTCCAAGACAATTTTGAAGAAAATAAGTTGCATGTTTGTTCTCCCACACTTCACACATAAAGATATTGTGACTAAAGTGATGGATACACAGGAACAGACAGAGACACATGGACCTGTGGAGGAGAACAGAAAATGCAGAGATGTGTGAGGGTAGTGGGAGAAGAGAGAGAGAATTTGGTAGATGATAATGGCAGATGCCCTTAACTTCCCATCCAATACCCATTCCCCTTCCTTATTGCCAACAGACCTTTGCTTTTGCTCATGGCTACAATGTGCTCAGCCCCATGTAGTAAATCCACGGGCTTAATACATGGGCTGATGATTGGGCTAAGTGAATCAAGACAATTCTGACTTCTGCTTTACCAGTTTTTCCTGCAGCTAAAAGTATCCATGTGGCCAGTTCTTTCTCCTCCATGAGCTGCCAAAATGCAACAGGAAATCTGCTAGGCTACTTTTGGCAAATGTTTTGCTTTCCTAAGAGGTATGCATAGAATCCTTCCACCTTGAAGTGATGTGATACGAGAAGCTGTGCTGGCCTGTGACCATGAGGGACGGGTCAAGAGAACCTGAAAGATGCTGCCATGACATCACTGAGCAGTCAACCCAATGGTGCACTGGCTCCCAACTCTGTCTTGTGAAATTAAACATCTCCAACGAAGCTGAAAGCATCGCTAACTGACAGAATGACACACGTGGGGAATCCCAAATTTCTGAAAAACCTGTGGGAAAAGGACCACATTATAAAATTTATAAAATAAGTTGGAAACCTAATTGGAAAAAATAAAGCAAGATTCCCTACATCATATCACTGACCAACAAATTCCACAGGAATTAAATACACATAGACAAGAAGTAAAACTGTAAGTGTGCCAGAGAAAAGTATAGGTGAATACATTTATGACCTTGCGGTAATAAAGTGTGCTGGAGACCCTGCCTGATGTTGACCATGGCCCTTGCCTTTGTGTTTCTAGGTCACATTTCTTGGCCTCCCAAGGCCAAGCAAGGTGTGGCCACGTGACTTAAGTTCCATGAAAATAGAATATGGCATGGAAGGAACGTGAGCCATTTCCAGGCCTGGCCCCAGTCTCCCACTGCATCCCCACTTCTCCCTTATCTCTTATTTGCCAGCTCAGCTCATTAGAGAGGATTCAGCAGAGAGTCAGTGACTCCAGGGGATAGTAGAGCTGCTGGATGGGAGAAATGTGGGTCCCTACATGATGGTGTGGTCTCTATCAGGCTGGCACATGGCAAGAAATAAAGCTGCCTTGTGTTAAAGTGCTGAGATTTGTGGGGATGTTCATTTTAGCATTTAGCCAGCCCTAACTAATAAATAAAGCCTTTTTAAGAGCTAAAAAGTGAAGGTCCATCCAATATGGTTTGGCTGTGTCCCCACCCAAAATGTCATCCTGAATTGTAATCCCCATAATCCCCATGTGTCAAGGGTGGGATCAGGTGGAGGTAATTGGATCATGGGGGTGGTTTCCCCCATGCTGTTCTCATGATAATGAGTGAGTTCTCATGAGATCTGATGGTTTTTATAAGTGCCTGGCATTTCCCCTGCTTGTATTTCTCCTTCCCGCTGTCCTGTAAAGAAGGTATCTTGCTTCCCCTTCACCTTCCACCATGATTGTAAGTTTCCTAAGGACTCCCCAACCATGCTGAACTGTGAGTCAATTAAATCTCTTTCCTTTGTAAATTACCCAGTCTCAGGCAGTTCTTTATAGCAGTATCAAAACAGACTAATAGAGTAAATTGGTATCACAGAGAGTGGGGTGCTGCTATAAAGATACCCAAGAATGTGGAAGTGACTTTAGAACTGGGTACAGGCAGAAGTTGGAACAGTTTGGAGGGCTCAGAAGACAGGAAGATGTGGGAAACTTTGGAACTTCCTAGACTTGCTGAGTGGCTTTGATCAAAATGCTGACAGTGAGATGGACAATCAAGTCCAGGCTGAGGTGGTCTCAGATGGAGATGAGGAACTTGTTGGGAACTGGAGCAAAGGTGACCCTTTTTATGCTTTAGCAAAGAGACTGGTGGCATTTTGCCCCTGCCCTAGGGATCTGTGGAACTCTGAACTTGAGAGAGATGATTTAGGGTATCTGGTGGGAGAAATTTCTAAGCAGCAAAGTGTTTAAGAGATGACTTGGTGCTCTTAAAAGCATTTAGTTTTATTCATTCACAAAGATATGGTTTGGAATTGGAACTTATGTTTAAAAGGAAGCAGAGCATAAAAGTTCAGAAAATTTGCAGCCTGACAATGCGATAGAAAAGAAAAACCAATTTTTTGAGGAGTAATTCAAGCTGGCTGTAGAAATGTACATAAGTAATGAGGAGCCAAATGTTAATCACCAAGATAATGGGGAAAATGTCTCCAGGGCATGTCAGAGGTCTTCACAGCAGCCCCTCCCATCACAAGCCAGGAGGCCTAGGAGGAAAAAAACGGTTTTGTGGGTTGGGCCCAGGGCCTTGCTGCTTTGTGCAGTCTCAGGACTTGGTGCCCTGTGTCCCAGCTGTGGCTAAAACGGGCCAATGTACAGCTCAGGTTGTTGCTTCAGAGGGTGCAAGCCCCAAGCCTTGGCAGCTTTCATGTGGTGGTTGGCCTGCAGCTGCACAGAAGTCAAGAATTGAGGTTAACCTCTGCCTAGATTTCAGAGGATCTATGGAAATGCTTGGATGTCCAGGCAAAAGTTTGCTGCAGGGGCAAAGCCCTCATGAAGAACCTCTGCTAGGGCAGTGCAGAGGGGAAATGTGGGGTCACAGCCCCCACACAAGAGTCCCCACTGAGGCACTGCTTAGTGGAGCTGTGAGAAGAGAGCCACTATTCTCCAGATCCCAGAATCGTAGATCCACCAACAGCTTGTACTGTGCACCTAGAAAAGTCGCAGACACTCAACACAAGCCTGTGAAAGCAGCCAGGAGCGGGTCTATACCCTGCAATACCACAGGGATGGAGCTGCCCAAGGCTGTAGGAGCTCACCTGTTCCATCAGCATGACCTGGATGTGAGACATGGAGTCAGAGGAGATCATTTTGGAACTTTAAGGTTTAACATTGCCCTACTGGATTTTGGACTTGCATGGGGCCTGCAGCCCCTTTGTTTTGGCTAATTTCTCCAATTTGGAATGGCTGTATTCACCCAATGCTTGTACCCCCATTGTATCTAGGAAGTAACTAATTTGCTTTTGACTTTACAGGTTCATAGGCATAAGGGACTTGCCTTGTCTCAGATGAAATTTTGGACTTGGACTTCTGGGTTAATGCTGGAATAAGTTAAGACTTTGGGGGACTGTTGGAAAGGCATGACTGTGTCTTGAAATGTGAGAACATGAGATTTGATTTGGAAGGGGCCAGATGTGGAATTATATGGTTTGGCTATGTCCCCACCCAAAATCTTATCTTGAATTGTAATCCCCATGTGTCAAGGGTGGGACCAGGTGGAGGTCATTGGATCATGGGGGTGGTTTCTCCCATGCTGTTCTCATGATAGTGAGTGAGTTCTCATGATAGTGAATGAGTTCTCATGAGATATGATGGCTCTCTAAGTGCCTGGCATTTCCACTGCTTGCATTTCTCCTTCCTGCTGCCCTGTAAAGAAATGTGCCTTGCTTCCCCTTCACGTTCCGCCATGATTGTAAGTCTCCTGAGGACTCCTCAGCCATGCTGAACTGTGAGCCAATTAAACCTCTTTCCTTTATAAATTACCCAATCTTGGGCAGCTCTTTATTGCAGTGTGAAAACAGACTAATACACCATCAAAATAAAGTTGATAAAACTGATAATAGCAAAAACCAAAGACAATAAACAAAGTTCTATATGAGAAAAAAATCATAGATATTTTAAAGTTACATAACAGAATAAGAAGTTCTGGAAAAAACATAAAAACAAGGCATTGGTATTCAAAGGACCAATTAAAAAATTGGCATATTATATGATTGTGTAATTTACAGGAAACTCAAATGACTAGTCGACAAATGAAAAGAGAATCAACCTTAGTCATAATGATGAAAATACAAATTCGACAAGATAATCACTAACCACCCTCACCCAAGCCCTCATGCATCAAATTGGCAAGGGAAAAAAAGCCTGAAAACATCAAGTCCTGGTGAAGTGAAATTGGTAGTTTTTAACATTGCTAGTAGGAGAATATTGGGCTAGTGGTGAGGTCAGCAGGGGGCATTTTTTTAGTATCTAAAATTGTTTTTAATATAGAATACACATTTTAATATAGAATTGTAACTGTACAATTCTGCCATTCAGTATCTTCCTGAGAGAACACTCTAATTATGTGTACAAAGAGGCATGTCTAAGGATGTTCCCTACAGCATAGCTGGAAATGTAAAAAAAGTTTGTCCATAGGAGATTGACTGAATCAAGCCTATTATATCAGTACCTGGACTACATTACAGGTGTCATCATGAAAGTGTCTCTAAGATATTAATGTGTTATAGCGTGATTAAACAATACTAACGGGAAAAAGGTCTCATGGGTAGAAAACTGTCCAGAAGGAAAACTGGCTATGGTCATGAGGGCTCTTAGGAGCTCAGGACCCGGGAGGGAAGGAGCAGGACACTCATCTCTACTTTAAGGCCTCCCAAACTCTTTGTCCCCTGCTCACATAATAAACCATACTTCAAGCATCATTTCCTACTGAAACTATTAAATAAGATACAAGAAATGACAGGGGACTGGGCTCCAGATGGAGGCAGATGCAAGCAAGAGAAGAGTAGAAAGGTGCACTTTGTTTAGCAGCTGAAGTGATGTGGGCTGGAGAATCCATGCAGGCTGTGCTGGCACAAACCCCGGGGAAAGGCAGGGCTAGTTTTGAGTTGAGGTTTTGCCATTCTCTTCAAGTGTGGTCTTTAGGAAGTCACTAAACCCCTGTGAATCCACTTCCCCATCAATACATGCGGAAGATACCATATCTTTCTTAGAAATTTGTTAAGTTTAAATAAACCTAAATAAAAATATATGTATCGGTCTGCCTGCCTGTCTGTCCACCTATCATCTATCTTCAATCTATATTCTATCTCTCCCTTTCTTGTTCCACCCACCTACCTACCTACCTATGTATCTTTTGATATATATTTTTTCCTGTCCGTATGTATCTATCTTTCTTATTAATTTTCTCATTGTCTGTCTGCCTTCCTCTTTCCTGATTTTCTGTCTCCCCTTCTGTTGGTCATGTGTCTGCTAAGTAGATGTCTAACTATCCATGTTTCTTTCTTTCTGCCATCCTGTCTATTTCTACCTGTCTCCATCCATCCATCCATCCATGCACCCACCCACCCAGCCACCCACCTATGCATGTTTCTGGGTGTCTATTTGTCAGTATGTCTGTAGGTCTTTGTGCTATATATCTGTCTATATGACCACCTGTCTGTCTCTCTATGCTAGAAACTCTCTGTTTTTCTGTCTGTCCATCTGGAGTCTCAATGTTTTTCCTTGTCTGTATGTCTTTCAATCTATCTTGTTTGTGTGCATATCTACCCGTATGCCTATGAATGTATTTATCTGATTATCCAAAACCTGCCTGAATGTCTGTCTATATATCCCCCTCCCTCCTTTCCTTTCTCCCTCTATACCTTTCTGTCTGACTGTGTTTCACTGTCTAATAATGACTGTCTAATTTCTCTCTGACAGTCTAATTTCTATTGACCACTGTTGACCTACCTTCATGGTGCTTGACACAGAGCAGAGCCTCACTCAAGGCTAGTTTACTTCCCCCTTTTCAGTTCCTTTCACTCTTTCATTGCTCCATTCTTACACTCAGCTGCCATTAACTGGGCCATTGCTCTGTGTTATGTGCTAGGGATACAACCTAAAATTAGGCAGGGTCTCTACCTTCTAAGAGTATTTGGGCTGCTGGCCTAAAAAGCAAATTAATGAGGCAGTTATATGATGCTTAGAGCTATGAGAGACAAGATGGTGTCAGGCACAAGGGAAGGGCACCCATGCTAGACTGGAGTGGAGGAGAGAGTGAGAGAGGCTCTGAGGAAGTGACATCTCATCTGAAAACCACAGAGGACTGGGGATTTTGCAAAGTGGAGGGCTGAGCTCCATGTAATTGGGGAAGAGGTATGGACAGTGGTGCAAAGCTAGAAAAAGGGAACAGGGTCCATGTAGACCTGGAGAACAACAGAGCCAGGACACAGTCAAAAATTCTAACTAAGGAATTCACAAAATTCAGACAAAAGAGACCAAAATTGACCTAAATAGAGAGATGTATTGTTTTTATGGATTGTAAGATATACCACAGTTAAGATGTCAAGTATAGTCACACTGATCTATAAATTCAGTGCAATCCCAGTCAACATTCCAGCAGGTTTCTTTGTAGGCACAGACAAGCTGATTCTAAATCTATATAGAAAGATAAACTAGATTAGCCAAAACAACGTTGAAAAAGAAAAAAGTTAGAGGACTCGCACACTTGATTTTAAGATGCATTATAAACCTCCTGTGGCCAAGACAGTATAGTATTGGGATAGTAAAGGATAGACACGTTTACTACTAAAACAAAAGACAACTGATTTTTGACAAAGGCACAAAGACAATCCAATGGAGAAAAGATAGACTTTTCCAAAAAATGATGCTGGAGCAAATGGACTTCAGTAAAGTAAACTCAATCTACATCTTACACCATATATAAAAATTAACTCTGAATGGATCATAGACTAGGTGTGCCTGTATGTTTAGGTGTCCATGTGTGAGCATGTGCATGCATGTGCTGTGTGTGTGCATGTCCATGTGAGTGTGCATGTGTTTAATAGTGTGTATGTGTATTTGTGACTTCTGTGTGCATGTTTATGTTGAGTGTGTGTGAATATATGTGCATGTTTGCATGCGCATGTGTGTATGAATGTATGTGCACATTCGCATAACTGTGTGTGACTGTGCGTGTTAAAAAGGGACACAGGGAAGGGTGTCTAAGGGACATTTGGTTAGAAATTCCAGTGGGCTGGTTGCTTATACTTGGAAGTTTCCAGACCACTTAGAGTAAGTGGAATCAAGATAGTCAATGGCAGTGGCTCTTTCCATTAAGAAAAAATAATTTAGATTTCACAAATACAGGAGAATTTCAGCTTTTGGGCTTTCTTATCGGCCCATATTAGTGGACTACTTACACATGTCAGCGACTGGTAAAATTCAGTGTTTTATTTTAGTGTCTATCTTTTCAAATAGAATAAACAATTTTCCAAAATAAAAAAATAAACATAAAGGAAATAAATATCTGTCATCATGTATGGCTCTGAACTTTTAAAATAGATAACAGTGAGATAGGTGGATTCTGAAGAACCCACCCAGCTTTCTATAATACCCTGTCAACTTTATGACCTAATAATCTAGTAATTGTTTTCTTCTTTAGTTTCTTGGGTTTTCATTTTTAGTCACTAGAAACACTTATATAAATACAAATCCATGCAGGTATTCCAAAAATTCCTGGGGACAATTTATGTGTAGTCCCTGGTTCTCACTGCCTCAGTTTTGAAATGAGGATAGCAGTTTCTATTTTAATATGGTTGTGGTGGTGATTACATAGCATAGTGCCTGGCACATAGCAAGTACCAAAAAAAGGATAGGTACCTCATAAATATATACATCTACTATACACCCACAGAAATAAAAAAATTAAAAAGATAGGTATGATTATGATTATTGTGGCCATTATTTATGTATTTATTTGCAACATATTCTTAGATTAATAACCTTGGAAACCTAACAAAACCGTCTGGAGTTCTATTCCTTCAGAAGATTTGCTTTTGGTACTTTTTATATCAAAATAACATATAATTTTTAAAAGGTTGGTTCTGAATTGAAACTGATGACTATGAAGTCCAAGTTTATAGGATCAGCTGTTTGAGTCAGAAAGAAACTGCATTCTTAAGCAGAAAATTTATTTGTCCACACTCCCCTGAGGAAAGAATGGTAAAGCCAATTTCATTCAAACACTAAGCATTGGCTCAAGACCAAATAAGAAGCATTGCAGCCCTGGATGATGTAGCCACAGTAAGTTGGAAGCAATTGATTTCAACAAAGAAAACGATTTTGCTACTGGCCAAGGATGGGGAATCTTTCTGACTTGCACATTGTCTCCACAAATAAGGTGCCTCTAGTTAAGCCTCCCTAATCAATGGCCAAGGATGCAATTACAGTTGCAGAGAAGTGGAACTCAAATGGAGTGGGAATAAAGAAAGGAAGATTAATAAATAATAGGAAAGCGGGAGTAGAGAAGCAGGAGAAAGGAGATGGGAGAAGCTGGCAAAGATGAAACACAGCTCTGCTGAGAAGCATATATCCAAGAACAATCAACACTATAAATTTCATGGATGCTGCATCAGTTACCTATTGCTGTGAAACGACAACTCCCAGATTTAGGGACTTAAAATAACACATATTCATAATCTCACCATTTCTGTGGGGCAGAAGTCAGAGTGCACCTTAGCTCAGGGTCTCTCACAAGGCTGCAACCAAAATGTGAGTTGAGGCTGCAGTCTCGTCTGAAGGCTCAAATGAGGAAGCATTCTCTTCCAAGCTTACTCATGTGATCATTCACAGAATTGTTTCTGAGGGTTGTTGAACTAAGAAGCTCAGTTCTTTGCCACGTGGGCCTTTCCATAGGTGAGATCACAACATCAGAGTTGTTTCATCAGAGCAACCATGTGAGAAGAGTCAGAGAGAGCCTGAGCAAGACAGAAGTCGCAGTGTTTGTATCCTGGTCTTGGAAGTGACATCTGTCACTTCTGCTGTATTTTGTTTATTAACAGCAAGTCACCATGTCCAGCCCACACCCAAGGGCAGGGGACAACACAAAGATGCGATGTCAGGAGGCAGGAATGGTTGGGAGCTGTGTCAGAAGCTGCCTCCCACACATGGCCTTGCAGTATCTACACCGGAGCTCAAGTGCATTGTGCAGGCCAAAAAGCAGCACCTTCACCCGGTGCTACGTGATCACTCACAACTTGTCAATCACCATATTTTAGCTGATTGTTATGGAAACGTTGATTCCAAACTTGAAAAAGGGAAAAATGATGATTTCTGGAATCTGTGATATTCTGCTAGAATGCAAATAAGTCTGATTGATCCCATTCTGAAGCTCTTGAGCAGTGTGACAAATATTTATCTAATCATTCACAATTGGTTAAAATAAAGAGGTTTACAGCCCTGTGAGATTAGCCTGCAGAATTGATAGCTTATGACTTTTACTGCCTAGTAAACAAGTTAACTCCAAATTTGGCATTTTTTTCATTGCTTTGTAGAGGTTTGCCTTAACTTAGCATCTTATTTCCGCATTTGTTTCCCAACTGACCTTAAAAATCCCAGTTACTGGCTGGGTGCGGTGGCTCACGCCTGTCATCCCAGCACTTTGGGAGACCAAGGCGGGTGGATCATGACGTCAGGAGATCAAGACTATCCTGGCTAACACGGTGAAACCCTGTCTCTACTGAAAAAAAAAAAACAAAAAACAAAAAAATTAGCCGGGCGTGGTGGCGGGCGCCTGTAGTCCCAGCTACTCGGGAAGCTGAGGCAGGAAAATGGTGTGAACCCGAGAGGTGGAGCTTGCAGTGAGCCAAGATCGCACCACTGCACTCCAGCCTGGGCGACAGAGCGAGACTCCGTCTCAAAAAAAGATCCCAGTTACCAAATGCTTGTGGAGCCAGATCATTTGTCTTTTTGCTGGTTCCCTTACTGATGAGTTAAATAAAGCTTTGGAACATGGCAACAGACGACTTTGCCTGAGAATTGAGCTTTTGCACGCTCTAGGAGTAAACCAGAACCAAGATGGACATAGGGAATTCAGCAAAGTGCTGAATAGACACTGGGTTCCTGGCCTTCTCTTGACTGGCTGACCCACCTTCACACACTTATGGGGCACAATGTCTGTGTGGATCGCAAGCCCCCAGGGGATTTAAGAACTGCCCTGAGGGTGTGTCTTCAAGCCTTTTGTGAATTTATACTTATGCCATCTCACGGGGGACTGTGTCTCTTTCCATGGCTCAGCACCAGGGCTTTGAAGAGTAAGACCCAAAACCAAGTTCTGGGTGTGAGGGTTTCCTGGCTGGTGATGCTGTTGAATCCACACTGGGGAACACATACTGCCAGGCTGCTGCTATGCAGAAGGGAACAGGAAGAGGGAGAGGCCTGGCCCAGGGCTGTGGAGAAGGAGGGGTCCTTTTCCCCTGAGTGTGGCCAAGCACCTGCAAGCCTCCTGGGAGTGGGCCTCTCTGCAGGGGCTTTGCCTTGGCTTCCAGCCACCTCCATTTGGTTCTCCAGCACACAGGCCATGAGCGTGGAGCTCACTCAAGACTAGAGAGCTCAGGTTTCCAAGTGGACAGACATTCTGCAGGATGTGCTTTGGGAAACTGAAAAAAAGCAGCCCTGATATTTCCATCCACACACTCAAGTGAAACTCAGTGATTTCCTTGGTGTTGATGCAGAACCAGAGGTTTGCTTTCACCTGCACTTCACTCCTCCCATAACCTTTGGGTTTGCTCCTGGGAAAGCAGAAAAGACACAGTCCCATCTCCAAGGAGCAGATCCAGAGGACGAGGAGACAAGCAAGGATTCCTGGCATGTAAACAGCTGGTAAGAAGGAAAAAGGAGATGTGGAAAGGCTTCAGGGAAGCCTGGGGCTGGAGCCCACCAGAAGAGTCCTCCGGTCCTGGCAAACCCCAGGCTGGCTGGGTTGATATTGCCCCAGAAAGCAGAGGAACCCCACAGGGCCATCCCTTCAAGCTCAGCCCGACAAGAAGCCAACAGAAAGCATGTCATTTGGATGCAGGACACAGAGCGGTCTTCTCTGTGAGCACCAGCTCTCATCTGCTTTTAAGAGTTGTGGGGAAGAAAATGAGGCAAGTAACCTTTTCAGAGGAAGTATTTTTAAGATATTAACATGTTTTCCAACAGCAATGTTTTTGAAGACTCAGTCTAATTCATATTCGTGTGTAGCTTCTAAAATAACCTATATTTTCACAAACTGTTTTCTTGGTAAAATTTTCAAAACATTCTCAAGGAAGATGCATTCTGTGGCAATGGGATGCCAATAAAACTAAAAGGACTTGATTTAAATAGAAAAAAAAAAAACCACACATAATCTTCAAATAAAAGCCCAATTGGTTACTGACTGAAAGGCAAACCGACAACAGACTAGGGAGGTTCAGGCCTAGCGAGGGGAGGCAGTTAAGGCTGACCGAGAGCAGGAGGAGGAAGCCGATGGGGGAGTGCACATCGGGACAGTGTTCGCTGATGAATACTTCCTGCCATAGTGGTTTCATTCCCTATGCAACCTTTTAACTGCAGGGACACAGAGCGTGGGGCCTCTGCTCTGTCACTCAGATTTATTAGCATTTTTGCTAAAGGTCTTATAAGAGATCTCAGGAATAAAAGCAGCATCCAGTGGCTCTCGCCCATGTGTCTTGTGTCTGATAATAATTAACAGCTACTGCTTAGCAAGGCCAGCCACAGGCTGTACCCTCTACCATATGCCTCCTGCGATGGTCACTCCCAGTCTCCTAATTGTAATTATAAGGACACTGAAGGTTTGTGAGGAGAAATGTTTGCTCGCAGTCACCTGGCTGTTGTATGACAGAGACAAGATGCATACCTAGATGCCTATCTGAATGGTCTAACTTCAGAGTCCTCCTCTTGACCACCTCAGTATATGCTCCCTTGTGTGATGACCCCACAACCACAGAAAATGTGAAACATGAAGGACTATGTGACAAAGAAAGTCTGAGGTCCCAATAAACTAATGGGTTAAAAATTATAATAACAACCATCAAGGGATGCTAAGATCACTGGATGAAAATCAGCCAGGGAAGAGAATGTTCACAGGGCTTCAAAGTTTGCCCCATTGCTTACTAGTAAAAGACAAAGAATGTAAAAAGTGACTTTACAGGCTGGACGTGGTGGCTCACACCTGTAATCGCAGCACTTTTAGAGGTCAAGGCAGGTGGATCACCTGAGGTCAAGAGATTGAGACCATCCTAGCCAACATGGTGAAATCTCATCTCTACTAAAAATACAAAAATTAGCTGGGCGTGGTGACGGGCGCCTGTAGTCCCAGCTACTCGGGAGGCTGAGACAGGAGAATTGCTTGAATCCGGTAGGTGGAGGTTGCAGTGAGCCGAGATCGTGCCACTGCACTCCAGCCTGGCGACAGAGCGAGACTCCATCTCAAAAAAAAAAAAAAAAGTAACTTTATAAAGAGAACTCTTGTAGAAATGACCTTAGCCCAGTGAACAAACTTATCACCATGAGCCACGGTGTGCCCACTGATGTGCTGGAAAGACAAATGGAGGAAATGTCTATCTGAATCTAAGTATGAGGAAATAATCAGACAGGTCCAGATTGTGCAGCACTCCATAAAACAAGTGGCTCAGACTCTTCAAAGACGTCAACATCACGAAAGAGAAAAACGAAAGCAGGCCTTTAGTTCAGATAAAAAGAGGCATAACTGAATTCAGTGAGTGATACTTAATTGAACACTAGGCAGGGAAAAACAGCTATGATGAATATTTGGGGGACAATCAGGGGTATCTGGGTAGGGACAACATATTTGGATAATATCACTTTATCGATATTATATTTCACAGTGGTAATAGTGCTATACTTTTGTAGAAGGTAGCTGTGTACTTAGGAGATGATGCCAGAGTGTCTCATGATGTCAGCAACTTACTTTCAAATGATTCAGACAAAAAGAATCAAACACACACAAACACATATTTACCACCTGTGTGTGTCTGTTTGTGTATAAACAATTGGTAAATCTGGGTGAAGAATTACGGGTGTTCACTTTTCTATTCCTTCAAGTTTGCTGTAGAATTAAAGCTTATAAAATAAAAAGTAGGCAAGAAGGTATATAAAAATTTTGTTCCAAGAGTCATAAAGCAAAAGAATGGTTATGCTCTCAGTCAGATTAAAATTGTATTATTGGATAAGAAGTAACAGGAAACAGTAAAAGTAAAAATAATTAGTGTGTTAAGATAATGGCACTATTTTTCTTTTGCTTATAATATTTAAAAAATCAATAATGGTTGCAACAGATGACAAATTTTGCACTGGTATAAATCAAGTCACTTGTCAATCACTACAGTTGTTTTTTTTTTCCTTTTAAAGAATAATGCCTATTATTCCAATCTCAAATTCTAATGCAGTATGAAATACATTTCATGACTCTTTCTCAATGAACCTTACACTTTATCTGGGCTTTAGATCTGATTTCCAGGGAGTCCACAGAACCACTACCAGCTCTATTGTCAGAGGCGGTGACTGCACTTGCCCCTTTGGCCTGCCACTAAGACCCCACGAACACAGGACTTACTTTTCAGACACCTGATTCTGGAGGTGTGTGGCAGTCAGGCATGCAGGCCAACACTGCGCCGTCCCTGCTGGAAATGGCCCATTGTTGCCCCAGTGGAAGGTGAGACCACAGCGCCTGAGAACACTGGAAAAGACAGTGAGAATAAAAGAGAATGTTCACACTTCATGGGAAGTGAGAATTAACAATTTCAATTTTAGGATTAATTTTTTATAGTTTAAAAATTAAATATTAATGTTTCAAATTTTTAAATGATTTTAAATATTTAACATGCATTTGAAATTGGCTGGTGAATCCCACAGCCCTGAATCCCACTCCCAACACACGATCCCACCCTTTAATTTTCAAATGAATGTCCCATCAGGAGACAGATGAGGATCAATGGGAAAAGTCTCATCCGTGTGGACTTAACAGACGTGAGGGTGGGCTCAGAGCCCCTAGAAGCTGATGTGCCAGGGGAGGGGACTGTGCTTCTCAGCGGGGCTCAAACACTGAACTCTGACTTCTGAGATTCTGGGAGAGAAGTTCTGGGGGTGTGATCTGCAGGGAACCTCAAAGTGAGGGGGCTGTTCATGTTCCACACAGTGGAACCAGGTACACCCCATCTCGACTGGGCATCCCCTAGGTCAGCAGATGTCTGTATATTTTTACCTTTTGAGGCCATTTATTTTATCTAATAACTTATACATAAAATTTAATTTTTACTCAGTCAAATAACATATACAACCTCTAATTTCCACATAGGATAAGGTCCCTAGTTCAATCTAATTCCCATCTCTTCCTCTGATACCTGCTATATTTTGTTGAAATCATTTAAAATGTTGATTTGAAATTGCTTTTGATTTTTGTGTTCTACTTTCTTAGGAATCATAATTCTTAACAACTACTTTAAGCTTCAGTTCTATATTATTACTTGTAACACAACTGTGTTTTGGTGTTTGCTAACTGATCACGAATAATTTGCATATCTCTCATTGGTCCTTTATTAATTTTTAATTTTACTAGAAGGCTTGAGTAGTACTTTCAAAATGATTTTGTAGGCAATAAATTTTCTGACTTCTAATGCAAAAGAACAGAATCAATAGCCAAGACAATCTTGAAAAAGAAGAATAAAGTTGGAAGTCTCACACATCTTGATTTCAAAACATACTATGAATCTATGGTAATCAAAGCATGTGGTGTGGGCATAAAGACAGATTTATAGTCCACACAAGGTAGACCAGAAATAAATCCTCAAATACATGGTTAAATCGTTTTCCACAAGGGTGCCACACATGGCCTCGCATAAATGGCCAAAGGTTTTCCACAAGACCATTCCATGTGGAAAGAACAATCTTTCCAATAAATGGTGCTGGGAAAACCGCATATCCACATGCAAAATAATGAAGTTAGACTCTTACCTAACATTGTATGCAAAAATTAACTAAAAATGGATCAAAGACCTAAATGTAAGAGCTAAACCTATAAAACTCATACAGGAAAATACAGAGGAAAAGCTTTATGAAACTGGATTTGACAAGTATTTCTTGGGTATGACACCACCAAAAGAACAGGCAACAAAAGGAAAAATAGATAAAACGGACTTCATCAAAATTAAAAACTTTTGTGTACCAAAGGACATTATCAACAAAGTGAAAAGGCAACCAACAGAATGACAGAAAATATTTGCAAATCATATATCTGATAAGGGATTAATATCCATAACATATACAGAACCCCTGTAACTCAACAGGAAGAACCTGAAAAAATGGAAAGATATCCCATGCTCATGGATTAGAAGAATTAATATTGTTAAAATGTCTATATTAACCAAAGTGATTTACAGATTCAATGCAATTCCCATCAAAATACCAATGACATTCTTCACAGAAACAGAAAAAAGCCTGAAATTCATATGAAACCACAAAAGACCTTGAACAGCCGAAGTGATCCTGAGCAAAAAGAACAAAGCTAAAGGCATCATGGTTGTGTTTTCAAATGATACTACCAATCTATAGTAACCAAAAGAGCATGGTACTGGCATAGAAACAGACACATCAACCAATGGAACAGAACAGAGAACCCACAAATAAATCCACACACTTAACAGCCAACTCAGTTTCAACAAAGGTGGCAAGAACACACACCAGGGAAAACACAGTCTCTTTAATAAATGGTGCTGAGAAAACCAAATATCCATATGCAGAAGAATGAAACTAGACCCTCATCTCATCATATACAGAAATCAACTCTAAAATGGATTAAAGGCTTAAATATAAGACCTAAAATTATGGAACTACCAGAAGAAAACATTGGGGAAACACTTCAGGACATTGGTTTGGGCAAAGATTTTTGCATAAGATCTCAAAAAGGCAACAATAGAAAAATGGGTTTATATCAAGCTAAAAAGCTTCTGCACAGGAAGCAAAACAACTAAGTGAAGAGACAACCCAGAGAAAGGGGGAAAATATCTGCAAACTTCCATCTGACAAGGGATTAATAACCAGATTATATAAGGAGCTCAAACAACTCAATAGCAAAAAAACAAATAATCTGATTAGAAAATCAGCAAATGACCTGAATAGATGTTTCTCAAAAGAAGACATACAAACAGAAAACAGGCAAATGAAAAAATGCTCAATATCACTAATCACCAGGGAAATGCAAATTAAAACCACAATGAGATATCATCTCACTCTAGTTAGAATTGGCTTTTATAAAAAAGACAAAAAATAACAGATGCTGGTAAGGATGTGGAGAAAGGGAATGTAAATTAGTACCATCATTATGGAAAACAGTATGGAGGTTCCTCAAGAAACTAAAAATAGAAGGACCACATATCCAGGAATCCCACGGCTGAGTATATATTAAAAGGAAAGGAAATCAGTATATTGAAGAAATATCTGCACTCCCATGTTTATTGTAGCACTGTCTGCAATAGCTGAAACGTGGAATCAACCTAAGTGTCCATCAATGGATGAATGGATAAAGAAAGTGTGGAATATATACAGAACGGAATATTACTCAACCATAAAAATAATGGAATCCCGTCATTTGCAGCATCATGGATGGAACTGGATATCATCATGTTAAGTGAAATAAGCAAGGCACAGAGAGACAAATATCACATGTTCTTACTCAAATGTGGGAGCAAAAAAAAGTGGGTCTCAAAGAGGTAGAGAGTAGAACAGTGTTTACCAGGGGCTGGGAAGGGAAGTGGGGAGGAAGAGAAGTTGACTAATGGGCACCAACATGCAGTTGGATAGAAGAAATTCATTCTTGTATTTGATACCATAGTAGGAAAATGATAGTTAACAATAAACTACTTCCTGGGTCCCTTTCTTTGTTCACATTTTTTCCCTCAGGAATTTTCAAAATTCCTGTTCTCTCCTGGCTCCACTCAAGACCCAGCTCAAATGCCATGTTTGTCACGAAGCTTACCTAAGAACAGCCTTTGACCCAGGGGTCCTGTCTCCCATGCTGGACTTGGTCCCCTGCCCACCTCTGGGGTGTTCACTCCACGGACGTGCAGTCCCCTGGCTGAAAGAATGAAGGATGCCCATCCCCACCACTAACAACCCTCACAGACTTGCACTGGGACAGACACTTTTCCTGGCTTTATCTCTTGGTGGATGGCTTTATCTCTTAGTCTTCCTAAAAGCTTCAAGAGAAGAGTGAGTTTCTAGGAAATGGGCTTTAATTCACACAGTGATCACTCGGTCTGTCTCTCAGGAAGGTGCAGGAGAGATGCTCAGGCCAGGTGTTCATCTCTGCCTCAGGCCTGCTGGTAAGTGGTTTTGTTTATGGTTCCCTAATGGAATAAAAACTTACAGCATGTCCAGGAAAAATTTTCAGGAAATTTAAATTCAGGAGAAGTCTGTAACAACTTCTGGAAATAAAGAGGAGAGTCTCTTTTTTTTGTACTCTAAGATACTGTAAGTCCAAAATATGTCCGTAATGAATTATGTAAAGATCTGGAAGGCTGAAGTGCTTCTCGAAATGCCAATACCTCTAGAGGGAAATGCAAGAAAATAGCCATTGGGTAAAATAAGTTCAGATCCACAACAAAACAAAAGGGAGGGGGGTAAGGCTATCAGCTAAACTAAGGGTGGGATGAATGCTTCCTGCACATTTTAATCCTGGGGAGAACAGTAGTTTCTAAAACAAAACAGGCATTTTAGACCTGTATTCTGGCTCTGAAATGCAGAATGTGGCTGGATTGGATGTGGTGATGCCAGGCAGACACACCCTTCTCAAAGCCCCCAGGGCTGACAGCGGGCCCAGGGAGTGTGCTAACGCTGTGGACACACCGCGTGTCTGGGGCGCTCCAGGTGAGAGCAGAGACCCAGGTCTGTAAGGTGCAAGTGAAAGCCCAAAGAGGCTGTTCTAGCTGAATCCTCCTCTCCATCCAGCCCCTTGGTGTCACTGAAGGCCAGCACACACGGGAAACCCATCAGCCGGGCTTCCCCAGGTCTGGGATCAGTACTAGTCATGTCCCCTACTTGCCTATGGTCTAAAAAGCCACCACAGCTGCTTTGTCCCTGCATCACCACGGGACTTGGGCTGTTCCAAAGGTCCTGGTGAAGATGAAAAGGGACCTCTGAAGATGCTCCAGGGACCCGAAGGATTCACTGCTCTAAGCTGACACTATTGTAAAGTAAAAATACAAGGCACTGAGAAGGGCTCAAGATGAAGGCAGGACTACAGGACCAGAGATGCTTCCAGGACTGACTGCTGGGAAACAGCAGGTACAAAATGAGCAGCAGCTACCCAGCAGGGTGCCATGTGACCTTAGTGACCCCAGAGTGGCGCTCAGAAGCCAGGACACTGCCCTCACAGAGCCAGTGGAGGGGGCCCACGCAGCGCAGGTGTGTGAAGGGTCAATAGGCACTGGCATGCTCTCTGGCATCCCTCGGCTGGGGGCCTCCTCCCTCAGGCTACCTGGATCCTGGGCTCTTACCGCTCTCCTTGTCCCCCACTCCTACCTAGGTTTTGCTGTCTTCTTTCATTCAGTTCTCCCTCTCCCTGTCATAACACCCCTCCACCCTTCACAAGCCCAGATCCCCTCAAGCCCCCTTCCCCCGGGAAACCTTTGCTCATCATTCAACCAAAAAACTTTTTGTAACACCAGTTTACTTTATTATTATCTACTCTCAGCAAGTTTCAAGAATTTTTAAGGATACATCGTTACAATAGTTACCATGTTATAATAGTCCCCATATATCCCTTGAACTTATTTATCCTGCCTAAATGAAATTTGTATCCTTTGACCAACATCTCAACCCACCCCACCTCCCCCAGCACCTGGCCAACACCATTCTGCTCTCTGCTTCCGTGAGTTCACCTTTTTCGGATTCCACACATAAGTGAGATCATGCAGTATTTGTCTTTCTGTGCCTGGCTTATTTCACTTAACATGATGCCCTCCAGGTTCATTCTTGCCGTACGTGACAGGATTTCATTCTTTTTATCACTGAATATTATCCATTGTGTATTTATACCACGTTTTACATTTTCTTTTTTTTTTTTGAGACAGAGTCTTGCTCTGTCGCCCAGGTTGGAGTGCAGTGGCGCGATCTCGGCTCACTGCAAGCTCCGCCTGCTGGGTTCACGTCATTCTCCTGCCTCAGCCTCCTGAGTAGCTGGGACTACAGGCACCCACCACCACGCCTGGCTAATTTTTTGTATTTTTAGTAGAGACGGGGTTTCACCGTGTTAGCCAGGATGGTCTCGATCCCCTGACCTTGCGATCCGCCCACCTCGGCCTCCCAAAGTGCTGGGATTACAGGCGTGAGCCACCGCCCCGGCCATGTTTTACATTTTCTTTATCCATTCATCTTTGGATGAGCACAGGGTGGTTCCATGTCTTGGCTATTGTGGATAGTGCTGCAGTGAACATAGGAGTGCAGGTAACTCTTTGATGTACTGATTTCATTTCCTTTGACTATATACCAGCAGTGGGATGGCTGGATTACATGGTAGTTCTAGTTTTATTTTACTGAGGAACTGCCACACTTTTTCCGTAATGGCTGCACTAATTTACATACCCACCAACACTGTACTAGTGTTCTCTTTTCTCCACACTTTCACCAACACGTATCTCTTCTCTTGTGGGTAACAGTCATCCAAACAGACATGAAGTGATTGATATTTCACTGTAGTCAGCTAGCAAAACTTTAGTTTATTATTCATTTGCATAAAATCCAGATCCTGCACAAACCAGCAACATTTTAATGAGCACTTACTATGCTAGGAGGTGTAGGCCACGAGGCAGAAATAAAGTTGAGTGGTTTTGCCGTCAAGAGCCCTGTAATCTGAAACAGGAGACAGACCTGGAGACCGACACCCGCAGCTCAGCCCGCTCCCTGGTGAACGCCTGAGATGCAGAGCAGCCCCCGTCCAAGGGAAGTCACGGCTTGCCTTGTCATCTGCCTCCGGGGAAAGGGAACTCTTCAGAGAGAAGGAGATACTTGGCTTGGGCCTTAAACTCTAAATAAGAGTTCCCAGAAGGGTAAGGAGGGCAGAGGTCTCTGGTGTTTGCTGAGGGCCTATTCTGTGCCAGGCCTTCACTAGGCAGGCATTGCTAACTTCTCTCAGGTAAATTCTCTCACACACACCTGAGGAAGAGGGGCTCAGGCACACACAGGCCTGTCCTTCTACTGCCCCACGGAGGAGAATTCTCCGCAGAGAACCTCCAGTGCAGACACGGGTTGGGGGTGGGTGGCCTGCACACGAAGGAGTCCCCTGTGCAGGGGGTTGGGGAAGGATTTGGTGTAGCTGCGGGTGTGAGTGACAGGGCACAGGGTTGAGGGGGGCACAAGGGGCTGGGGGTGGACAGGCAGAATGGGCTGTCCCTGCAGCACCATTACAGAGAACTCCTCTCCACAGAGGGGCAGCCGCTGGCGTGTTGAGGCCAGCAAGGGCTCAGGCCAGAAGCGCATTTTGAGCGTGCCTGCTGGCAGCATGCTGGGGACTGCCAGTCTGGCAAGTCACAGGCAGCACCTAAATCTGCTGAAGGGAGAGGGTCTCTGCAGCTCTCCTGCAGTTCCCTCTGATCTGAAATCTTGGTGCCTTCCCTGCACTAGGGCAGAATCTGGGCCCATCGCCTTCTCACCATCTAGATGATGCCTGTGTGCCTCTGCACCCGGGCCCCGTGTCCTCCATGGACTGTGCCTGCTCCACTTCCTCCCACACCTGCCTGCATCCCTCACCAACATATCACACATATTCCACTCCATCCCAGTGTGCGAGCCGGCCCTTCAGCTCCAGAGAGACCTCAAAGGGCCTGTGTCCCAGTGCTCAGAGGCACGCGTCCTGGTGAGAGGTCAGACCCAACGGCTGCTGGTCCACCACCCAGATGACTCAGAGGGACTCAGAGGGAGTTAGGGGAGTTCCCATGAGTAGCAGCCTCTGTCACCCAGATGGGGGTGGGTGCCCACTTGGAGGGCCTGGGGCCAGGTGTCTGCAGCCTTTCAGGGCAAATGCAGCCAGGAGAGGAAAATAGAGGAGGAGTGGGGAGTCCAAGCATCTTGTTGCTCAGCAAAAGCTGCCTTTGTGCCCAGGCATCAAGGTCAGGGAGAGGAGACTGCTGCTCTGTCACCTGTCCTGGGTGTGGGGTGGCCTCTGCTAACTTCTTCCCTGGGGGAACTATAATTCTAAAATGTGTTCAAGTTTCCCAAGAGAAAGAGGGTGCTGGCTGCTCACCTCTGCTTCCTGACCTCACTGTTAACCCAACTTCTCAGAACCAAGATAAATCATCCCTTTTTTAGCTTCTACTTGTTTTCAATTGCCTAAGCACAACCAACATTGCATTTGACCTGCACACCAATCCCAGGGCCCAGTGACATGTCCAGGTGACCTGGGATTTCCCGAGTGGACTCCTCCCCTCTACCTGCCTCCTTCCCCAGGCGGCCCCTCCTCACCCTCAGGTTTAATGCTGCTACCTCCTTAGAAAGGCCCTCCTTGGCTGCCCTTTATGAATGATGTTTCTCAACCTTTGCTTTCACTCACTCACCCACATTACTTTCTGTGGCGTTAGCAATCACCCTGTTAATCTGTTTACTCGCATGCTGTCTGCTGAATCTTGCTAGGCTGCTATCCCATTCGGGTTGTGACCAGGGTCCTCCTGAAGCCTGGCCTCCAGGGGGCCACAAAGACCCAGCGTCTGTGGTTTTAGGCTCAGGGGCCACAGAAGACAAGGGTTTCAGAAGAATGAGACTTAGAGCTACTTGGGGTTCAGGAGGTGAAATTGAAAAGATTCTTCTACCTGACCTTGAAGCAGAAGAGGACATTTCTGAGTGTCTCCTCGTACCAGGCATGCGCCATATTCTCTATCATTACATTTTCACAACAACCCCGCGCTGCAGGGGCTAGCTAGCATGCACACCTGCTTAAAGACCACCTGTCCTGAGCCCAGAGGAGTGAGACAACCTGCCCAGGGTCACACAACCAGTCACCTGCAACCTGAACAGCAAAGCCAATGCTCTGTGTTAGCATTGTGCCACTTCTCGAAATGTGCTGAGATGTGAACAATGCTTTATCCCAGCTTGAAGACACTGGTCACCTTATCTCCACAGCTCCTGAAGCCCCAGAGGCATCTCCGCCATCTAAAAAGTCATTCCCTGATAATCGAGCCCATGGTCCTGCTACTGCTCATCAGGCAGCTTCACTGACTCCCACCAGGACAGCAGCCAAGCATTGTTCCTTCCTCCAACTACACACATTCTTTCCTAACCCTTCCCTCCCCTCCAAGGATATTTTCTATTTCAAAATCGTTAAAATTATGCTAGTGACAATTCCATCTTTTATTAAATATAATTTTTTTCAAACTAGGAATGGAAACAGTCCCTTATTCTCTGGTTATTTGTTCAAATTTTCACATCAAAGCTAAGCAGCTGAAACACATTTTACTCTAATACCCTGGCATTTATCCAACTTGGTCCCTTTTATTTATGTTCCTCCCCTGGTATCATGACCTGTTGATACTTCTGCAAAGAGACCGGCAAGAGGGGTCCCAGAGAGTCATCCCTCCACCCCAGCTCTTCTCCTTCCAGTTGACCCAACCCATGTGGCACTGACAAGCCTGAACAGTGGTTCTCAAAGTGAGGCCCCTGGCCCACAACATCAGCATTGTTGGAGATTTGTTAAAAATGCAAGTTCCCAGGCTCCACCTAGACCTGCTGAGTTGGAAGTGGGGGCACTGCCCAGCAAGCTGTGTTTGCACCAGCCCTCTGGGGTGGAGAACCACTCATCTAAAGGCTACCGAGGCCTGGGCCCCAGCCTCTGCTAATAGCTTCATCTTCTCTCTTTCTTCTTAAGCAGTCTCAGGAGCACATTTGTTCTCATTTCTCAGGAGACCCGCCTTTCACAGTTATCCCTTTGCTGCTCTCATACCTGCAAGCTCCTCCTCTCTAATCCTTTTTACTCCCAACTTGTTTCAAACACACCCGGGGGCCTCTTGTTGTGAAGGCATCTGCCCTCCTGTCCCACAGAATCAGTTCCCGCCTCCCTTCTCCTGGTGTGTTGCTTTGGCAGTGTACTTACTCTTTCTGAGCATCACATTGCCCTTCTTAAAAATAAGAGTAATGGCACCTATTTAACAGGATGGTAATAAGGACTTACTGAGATAACATTCGTAGAGGGATGTGCTAGGAGGGTTAATTCCAGCAGGTCTGAAATTGGCCTGAGCTGCTTTGCTGAAGTACGAGACATTCTGCATCAAACTATGAAAGGCAGTGATTAATACTTTTTTTTTTTTTTTTGAGATGGAGTCTCGCTTTGCCACCCAGGCTGGAGTGCAGTGGTGCGATCTCAGCTCACTGCAAGCTCCACCTCCTGAGTTCATGCCATTCTCCTGCCTCAGCCTCCCGAGTAGCTGGGACTACAGGCGCCCGCCACCACGCCCGGCTAATTTTTTGTAGTTTTAGTAGAGATGGGGTTTCACCGTGTTAGCCAGGATGGTCTCAATCTCCTGACCTCGTGATCCGCCCGCCTCGGCCTCCCAAAGTGCTGGGATTACTGGCGTGAGCCATCACGCTCAGCCAATACTGTTGTTTTTACCCTTGGGTCCGAGGTGAGTTTCAGGGTAGGTTCTGCCTGTTTGTCCTCATTGTTTATGGATGACTGTGAGACTGATGTTTTGCACGTGTTTGGGGAGGGGGCTCTGATGTTAGAGCTGCTCATGTAGCAATAATATGCTTATGTGACCAGAAGGCTGCAAAAAGCCCCACTGTGACTCCACTGGGCTGCTTGGATCTGAGGTGTTCCTTCCTTGCATGGGTATGTGGTTCTGAGAGAGAAAACACATCTGGCTCAGGCCTGCAGAGGGAAGACCATTGGAGGCAGCCCGTATCGGCCTCAGTGTGTCCACACTGCTTGCTGTGAGGCAGCCTTTGGATGCAAGGCAGGTCCTTGCCTTCATGCTTGTTGCTCTATCACATCCCTTCTTGTCAATAAACCACAGACTTGTGAGCACTGTCCTTCTGGGCCCTGTGAGTCTTCTTTAGCAATCGAATCTGTCTGACTGCGCTGTTAGTGGAAGTGACGTTACAGTTATGTTTCCCTCTGCATTGTTAACAAAGAAAATTCCCCGTTGAACCGCTCACAATAATTGCTGTCCACTTCTTTCTTCATCACTTACTGCGTTCTCTGCACTCTCCTATCCCCTGCCTACATCTGGATTCCATCCCTACCACCTGACTGAAACCACAGCCACAGAAGTCACCCCCTGCTAATGACGGAATCACTGACCTTCTAGCTCTTAGTTAACACAGTGGTCATGCTGCCACTGTGAACTCTTCCTTATACATGGCACCATCGTCCTTCATCTCCCCACGACTTCAGTTTGTCTCACTGATTCCTTTTCCAACAAACTATGGGTATTCTCCCAACTTTGTGCTTGGCTTGGCTCTTTCTGTTGGATAACTGATTTATACTCACTAAATATTCATAACACCTGTGTTCGGGTGACTCCCAAGTGGCCCTCTCTAGTCTTGTTCTCTTTTCCACCCTTTGCCCTGCTCTCTGATGGGATGTGCACTTATACGTCTCACAGGTACCTCAGATTTCTTAGAACCAAACCTGCCTTCCTTGCAAAACTTACCTGTTCTTCAAGTCAGTCAAGACTGAAAAATTGAATTCTCCCTTGACTTCGCCCTCTCCATCTCAATGAGTTCTGAACTTCAGATCTCTTTCTCTGTGAATCAGTCTTTCTCTTTTCCTCTATCTCTTTCTCTGTATCTCTCACTCCTCACCTCTTCTCCCCAATTCGGGCAATCATAAAATCATGATATTCATAGAGAATGGCCTTTTTCTGCTTTCCTTGTCCCTTGTATAGATGCCACTATCACAGGCCACCTGATATCATTCAGTGGTGTAAGAATATGTCTTGAGGATTTTCCTCTGAGCCCCCAAACCTTTCTAACTCAAAGGTGTGATGAGAAAAAGATACCTGCATCATAGTCTCAAAGTATCTCCTGCAAGATATTTACTAATGACAAATGGAAAAATGGTAACTTTGCACTAGAGAAACCTGACAGATAGCACCTTAGTCAAGGGACCAAGGTCAACATGCCAGTATAAGACATATCAATAGCATGTGCACCAGCACAGAAACAAGCAGAGCACATCAGCCGTCTCCTTCCCTGTAGTGCACAGCCTCACCTTGATCTAGTTGTGAGAAAATATTAGACAAACCCAAATGGAAGGTCATTCTACCAAATAACTGACCAGTTCTCTTCAAAAGTATAAGGGTAATGACAAGGAAAGACTCAGGAACTGTCGCAGATTAAAAGCGACTAATGAGACATAATAACCAAATGCAGGGTAGGACCTAGATTGGATTCTAGAACAGAAAGAGGACATTAGTGAGAAAAGTAGTGAAATTTTTGTAATGATGTTGGTAGAATAGTTAACACGGTTGTGTCAATGTTAATTCTCTGGTTTTGATAATAGTACTGTGGTTTCGTAAAGTGTTAACATTTGGAAAAACTCGGTGAAAGGTAAATGGGAACTCTAAACTTTTTACAATTTTTTCCTAACTTAAAAAATTATTATTTAAAGTTATTATAATTTAAAAATATATTTAAAATAAAAAGTTTAAAAAGATGACACAAATGATCAATATCTGGAATGAAAAAGGAATATTGGCCCTGGAGGCATCAAAAGGATAATATGGTAATATTATGAACAATTCTACATATATAAATTTAGCAACTTAGATGAAATGGACCAATTCCTTGAGAAGCCCAAACTACCTTAATTAATCTAATATGAAACCGGTCATTTGGATAGTCCTACAACTATGGAAAATTAAATTCAGAATTTAAAAGCCTCCTCCAAAGAAATGTCCAGGCCTAGATGGTTTCACTGGAGAATTCTACCAAACATTTAAATATGAATTAACACCTATTCTACTGTCTCTTCCAGAAAATAGAAGAAATGAAAACACTTTCCGACACTTCTACGAAGCCACAATTACTCTCATACCAAAACCAGACAAACCCAATGTAAACAAATAAAACTATAGACCAATATCCCTCATGAATATAGATGCAAAAATCTTTAACAAAATATTACTGATGGGATTCATCAATATTGAAAAGTAATTATATACCATTATTAAGTGGGGTTCATTTCAGAAATGTAAGTCTGGTTTGATCTTCAAAAATCAGTCAATGTAATCCACCATATTAACAGACTAAAAAGAAAAATCACATGATCACATCAGTTGATGAAGGAAAAAAATTCATAAAATTCAACATCCCCTTCATGAAATAAGAATAGAATACTTTCAACTTAACAAAGAGCATTCACAAAAAACCTACAGCTAACATCATATTTAATGGTGAAAGAATGGTTTTCCCCTAAGATTGGGAACAAGCAAGGATGTCTGCTCTCATCACTCTTATTCAGCATAGTGCTGGATATTCTTGCCAGTGCAATCAGGTAAGAGAAGGAAATGAATGGCATGTATATTAGAAGAAAAGGAGTAAAACTTATTTGCAGATGACAAGATGTCTAATGCAGAAAACCTCAAGGACTCTGAAAACTTTTAGAACTAAGAAGTGACTACGGCAAGGTCACATGACACAAGGTCAACATAAAAATCAGTTGTATCTCTCTGTAATATCAATGAACATGTGGACACTAACATTAAAAATGTAATTCTATTTATAATCATTCAATAAAAATAGTTATAAATCTAACAAAATATGCATAGGACTTGTATGCTGAACACCATAAAACATTAAAGATATAAAAATCTACTAATTAAATAAATGTAGAAACATACTGTGTCCACAGATTGAAAAACTCAATACACTAATGATGCCAATACTCCCCAAATTGATGTATAAATTGACAGACAATTCCTGTCAAAATTCAGCAAGATTTTTAATAGATATGGACAAAGTTATTGTAATATTTATATGGAGAGGTAGAAGAATTAGAATAGTTAAAATAATTTTGAAAAAGAAGGATAAAGTGGGAAGAATCAATCTAGCCAATTTTAAGGTTTACCATATGACTACAGTAATGAAGACTGCAGTACTGGTGAAGGAATAGAAATATAGATTGAAGGAACAGAATAGAGAACCCGGAACTGATTTTTGACAGAGGTGAAAAAGCAACTTGACAGAGGAAAGATGGTCTTGGCAACAAATGGTGCTGGAACAAGGGACAGGCATAGGCACAAAAAACAAGAAAAAAAGAAAGAAAGAAAGAAAGAGACTTGACCTAAGTCTCATACCTTGTATACAGTAAAAATTAACTTAAAATGGATCACAAACTTGAATGTAAAATATAAGACTACAAAACTTTTTGAAAATAAACATACGAGAAAATCTTAGGGATTTAGGGTTAGGAAAGAAGTCGTTACTAGACTTCATACCAAAAGCATGATCCATAAAAGTAAAAATTGATAAACTTGAACTTTTTGTTCTGTGAAAGAGAGTAAAAAGACCAGCTACTGACTGGGAGAAAATATTTGCAAACCATGTATCTGACAAAGGACTACTATCTAGAATATATAAAGAATTCTCAAAACTCAACAGTTAAATCCATTAGAAAATTGGCAAAAAAACCACAAAGAGACATTTCACTGAAGAGAAGGTATATATGACAAATAAGCACATAAAAATGTTCAACAACCTTAGCCATCAAGGAAATGCAAATTAAAACACAATGAGTTATCATTACACATCTATCAGAACAGCAAAAATAAAAAACAGTGACAACACCAATAGTTGACAAGGACGCAGAGAAACAGATCACTCACATGCTGTTTGTGGGAACGAAAATGACACAGCCACTCTGGAAAGCAGTTTCTCCTAAAACTAAACATAAAACTACCATGCAACCCAGCAACTGGATTCCTGAGCACTTATCCTAGAGAAATGGAGTCTTAACATTCACCCAAACACCTTTATAAGGATGTTCATAGCAGCTTTCTTCATAATAGCCTGGAACCAGAAATGATCCAGAACCCTCAAGGAGTGAATGACTAAACAAACTGTGGAATGCCCATACCATGAAATACTACTCAGTAAGGAAAAGGAATGAACTCTTGATAACCACAACAACTTGGATGAATATCCAGGGAATTATTCCAAGTAAAAAAAAATCCCCAAATTACATATTATATGATTCCATTGATATAACATTATTACAATACAAAATTGTAGAAATGGAGACAGATTAACGGTTGCCAGAGGTTAAGAATGAGGTTGGGTAAGTGACTGTGGATATAAAGAGCAGCACTGGGGAACCTTGTGGGATGGAAATGTTCTACATATTGACTACATCAACATTAATGTCCTGGTTGTGATATTGGACCATAGTTTTGCACAATGCTACCATTGGGAGAAAACAGGTAAAGGGGACACTGGAACTCTATTATTTCTTACAACTGCAGATCAATATACAATCATCTCAAAATAAAATGTTTAATTAAAAACATACTTTGCCCACTCCTGGAGACCCTTTACAGCTCTTCCTTAAATACTGATTTTTCCTTAAGTACTGCCTGTATCAGGGCACTACTGTCACTGAACATTTTGAGGCACTTTTTTTTTTTTATCTTACCAAGTCTCTGCCTAGCTTTATTGGGCTTTCACATCTTGACCTGTGCCGACCTATTTCTCAAATATACCTATTTGAGTTACGTAAGTTCTGAATTTTTGTTACAGTCACTCACAGCAGTTTAATCTGGACAAATCATGGACTCTGCCAATTTCTGTTTCCTCATCCACTTCCTTGCTGTTCACAGAGCTACTTTAATTAAAGATATCTCTTTAATTAAAGGTACGGTGAAAATTCAGACATATAATGTCCCCAGTGTTCCCCCTCAAAAACATTATCCAGAAAGAAAATGAAGTCAGACCCTATGCTGACTTCTAGCCAAGGCCATTGCAAGCTGACGGTTCACAAGATGCACTCTTCTGGAGATCTGTCCTGGAATATTCTGTAACATTGACATGACTGCCATAATTTGCAGAAGCAAAGTTCTATTCTTCCTCTTAAAACTCCTAAACAGTGTTTATTTTATGAAAATTCTCAGGGTGTGATCAAAGAAAACCCCCCTGGATACGCCGTGGATTTCATACAGTACTTTTGCCCAGCTGTGTTGGCATCTGCTGGTGCTCATCAGAAATTAACGTTCTCAGGCCCCACTCAGACCTACTGAACCAGAACCCACATTTCAACTGTATCGCCAGAGATGCTTACACACAGCAAAATTTGAGAAGTGCTGCTCTATAATGGATATAATGTAATCCCTGGCTCACAGGGTTGATGTGAGAATTAGCAGAATACCCGGTACTTACTCTTTCCTTTTCCATCACAGTCAGCCTAGTGTCAGGAAATTACTTCCCTCTAGCCCTTCCTTGCACTGGCCAAGAAATGAAGACAACCTTTCAGACACGATCGGCCCACAGGATGGAGAAGCTCAAGGCCCTGATGAGTTGGGACCCATTTATCCTGTTCTAGTTTCCTGCAGCTGCAGAAACTCACATGAAGTTGCTGGTTAAGTGACAGCTTTTGCTTCCCACTTGAACAGCTGTTTTTTATTTGCTTCTTTGCTTTTATCTTGTAGTCTATACTCACTGTCCCATTTCCGTCAGTACTGACTTTCATCTTGTTAGATTCAGTGCACCACAACTCCTGCCTAGGACAAGCCATCTGGACTCCTTTTGGCTCTAGTTGCCCGGCCTAACCTCCAGGCAGAATCATACACTCACAGCTCTGCGTACTCACAGGACCGGATCCACACCCCAGGGACCTCACTATCTTAAGGAGCATCCCATCTCATTCACCTGCTATCTCCTCACTGGGAAGTTCCTGGAGATCAAGAACTGACACATGCATATTTGCAACCCTACGACTTAGTGCTGAATAAAACTTAACCAAATAAATGACAATTTGATCTGTGGGCCACGAATGTTCTCACTGTGCAAGAGTAGGTGTCAGGGCACCTCAGCCTGCCCATCAGCTGCCTGTTTTTTATAAATTAAGTTTTACTGGAACACAAGCACAACTGTTCATTTATGTAATGTCTATTGGCTGAGTTGGCTGGTTGTAAACAGAGACCATAGAGCCTGCAAAACTTGCAATATTTACTGTTGATCCTTCATGAAAAACTTTGCTAACCCTTATTCTACAGCATTTAGAAAATGGCTAGATGGGAAGGAAGACACAGCCTCACAGCAGTCTGCCAGAGACCCCTTTCTAGGCTTAACTAAAGGACTGACAGACAAATGTGTTCTCTGTATATAGTCATTGACAATGGTGACTCCTATCTCATTAAAATGACATTCAGGCTACACTTTTCCCATCTTTACCACAGGACTGTCATGAGGAATTTACAAGAGCAGAGTGTTATAGCTTGAAGGGACTTTTGAAGTCACTTAGATCCCAAACTTTCATTTTACAAATGGAAAATCTGGTCTTGAAAGTGAAGTGACTTCTCTAAAGAGAATAACAGGTAAGTGAGGGTTTAGAGATTTGAACTCAACTCTTCTAATTCCAAATAAACTTTTTTTCACAATTACACTATGCTACCTCTTTAATCAAACGTACTCCAAAAATTCAGATGTATAATGTCCCCGGTGTTCCCCCTCAAAAACATTACCCAGAAAGAAAATGAAGTCAGACCCTATGCTGACTTCTAGCCAAGGCCACTGCAAGCTGACGGTTCACAAGATGCACTCTTTTCTTCTGGAAATCTGTCCCGGAATATTCGGTAACATTGACATGACTGCCATAATTTGCAGAAGCAAAGTTCTTTTCCTCCTCTTAAAACTCCCAAACAGTGTTTAGTTTATGAAAATTCTCAGGGTGTGATCAAAGAAAAGCCCCCTGGATGCGCCGTGGATTTCACACAGTACTTCTGCCACACATCTGCAATCAGCGCCTGGTCCCTGAGGTATCTCTGTTGCCTCTATCTTCTATTTGTCCGTATACATGGGATGAGGAAAGGGTCCAATAATTTTCTTCCCAATTTATATGAAATGATGCTAATAACTTATTAAACATTGTTTCTCCTTGGATTCTATGTATGAGCACCAGGTCTAGTTTACCATGTAGTGCACACTTGTCTTATCCTGAGAGTTGCTACCACGGTATGCCATGTGTCTTGCATGTCAAGATTCTATTCAGATCTATTCAAGATATTATGGAATGTGTTTTCTACTTTTGAAATATAATTTCAAAGAACTGTGGCTTGTGTTTAAAAATGGTAAGTTCTAATTAAATGACAGCACATGTATAAACTGGAACATAGATACTGAAATTACATTTTTGAAGTTTTATATTTCTTGGGGAAACACTTAGGAAGTGAAAAAAATCAAGAGAAAACCATATATATTAAAAAACCTCAAGAATGTAAAACTGCATATGTAAAAGACTAAAGGAAAAGATGCTAAACTGTTTTCATATAGCCATATCTGCCACTCTATTTCTTTATCATTCTGGGTTTCCTGCATTATTTAAGAAGACCTCTCTCAATTGAGATTATATGGATCACATTCTACTCTTTTTCCTACTATTTACATAATTGGATTTTTTTGCTCTACATTTAGGTTCAAAACCCATCTGGAATTTATTCATGTGCGTGCCTCAGTGTTGGCATCCAATTTTATTCCCTTCCAACATCATTGATTACAACAAGATACTTATTAAATATGCCATCTTTTCCAAGTGAGTTAAAATATATCTATACTTTGATCTGTTTGCAAAATCTCTTCTTTCAGTGATTTTAATTTTTTTCATTTTTGGCACCAATACTATATTTTTTGATGAGTGTAGCTATGTGACACCTTTATAGATGACACAAGACCCCTCTTACTATTCTTCTTGAAGAATTTCTTGCTGACATTGCTGGACAGCTTGGGCTCAGTTAAAACAAAAACCTAGAGTACTGACCAAAATTGCATTACAAATACATGTTAATTTCAAAATAACTGATGGCTTCAAATTCAGCTTCCCCATCCAGGAGTACAGTATAATTTTTCATTTATCTAGATTTTTAAGTCCTTTAATAAAAAGTCATACTTGTCATACTTCTTGCTTTTGGTATGAATTCCTATGGTAAAACATAAATATAATATATACAAAGTAAAAAAGAGATTGGGAGAAACTTCCAACCCATCTGACCAAAAGTTAGAGTTCCTAATATATAAAGAGCCTGCACCATAGAGAATTAAAAGGGAGAACAGCCTTAGGAGACAATGGGCAGGAGCCACTTCTGTAAAAGAGAGGCTGGGGACAGCTGACAGCCTGTGAAAGCACACACCACCTGCCCCGCACAAGCAGTCAAGCAAATGTGAGATGACACAAGACACTTTTGCTTTTTAATCTAATGAGACTGTAAAACTTAAAAAGAGTTTCTAACATCCGGTGGTGGTAAAGATGTGGGGAAACAGCACTTCATACATTAATGGTGAGAGCATGGATCGAAAAAAGATGAATCAGCAGATTTAAAAAGTTAAATTGCACATGCCCTTTGCATCACAGTGTTAGGATTTTATTCCACAGAAATTAAGAGTTTTAATAAAGAAGAAGACATGTGTAAGAGGCTTTCCCCTCCTCAGCATTATTTGGGATGGCAAAAGCGTGACCACCATCCATAGGGGAGAGGCGGGAGGAATTTGGACGCAGCCGCACTATATTGTAATGAGCATACACTTTCGCACTGTCATATCTTTCTTCCTTAAGTCATGTTTCCTTTGCAGCCCTCCTCTTTAAGACTGATTTATATTCAGAATCAAAGAGGCCACTGATCAGCCCTGAGCCTTAGTGCTGACTTTTCTTAACCTCCTTAGCAAGAATATCCTCTAGAAATCCAGGTTTATTGGAGGAAGAGGAAGCAATTAACCAATTTTCTAAATTCCAATAGCTCCATTAGCATTTCAAGGGTCTTTTGAGGGAGACCCAGACAGAGAATTTTACTATCTGTCACGGACAAGGGGACTTCAAGACTCGATGACTAAGAAATGGAAAGCCCCACTTCAAGGGACTCTGACGGGGAGGAAGCTGGGGAAGGAGGCAGTGAGAGATACAGGTGGCCTGGGCTGTTTCTGGGCCCAAGGCCCCAGTGGAGGGGAATGTCAGAGAAGATGTGAAAGTGACAGCAGTCGAGGAGTAGATTACACTCTGCTCCTCTTTGGGATTGTGGGAAGAGACTAGACAGAATCCGAGCAGAATGCCACAGCATACAAGGTAATGCAAAAGACCTGCAGGACAGAGAGGGAGAGAGAGCACAGGCCACTCCCAGGTCGTGCCCAGGAAGAGCTGTGTGCGCTCCTGCAGAGGGCTGAACAGGCCAGACCTCCTAGCTACGCCTGCTAGAGCAAGGATGCTATGGCCTAGGACCACAGGATGAATCCCCAAGACTCAGGGCTGGAAAAGCAGGACTGGCAGACTCAGAAGCAGAGAGCTGAGGGACCCAGGGGCATGAGCACTCACAGGAAAGGGCAGGAACTCCATGAGATGCAGACGTCCACAAAGGTGCCAGCGGGGCACCACAGGTGTGGACAAACCCAGCAGCATTCTCTGGACACCAGCCTGCACACACGTGGGGCACCTGGGAACCTGCATAGGGACAGCTATGAGATCCCCGGATACACTTGTGGCTCCAGTGTCCTTACTAAAGTGCCCCCTCACTCCCAAGAGTTTTACATTTGCACAACAGATGATGTGGCCAGGGAACCAGGAGGAGATGGGGTCCTGAAGAACCGGGCATTCACCAAAGAGGATTTACAGCCGCAGAGCATGGGATGACACTGATGGAAAGGCTGAGGGCGGGAAGAGACAGAACACAGAGCACAGGAGGACACATCAGTTAGAGGAAAATAAAGCTCCATTTGCTTTGCATATCTGTGTGTGGTGGTTCTATATGCAGGCCTGCTGCCCATGAAAGAGGACTGTGCAGCTGCCTTAAAAAATGTTTTTGTATGTGTGTATATGCAAATATATGTGTATATATATATACACACACATACATTATACACACACACAAGTGTGTGTGTATCTGGGAATGCTTCCATAGTTTATTGTTAACTAAAGAAAACAAGTTGCAGAGGAATATATGGTCTAAGTCCTTTTGTTAAGACAAAACAAACAAAACAAAATAAAACCCTATAAATAGTCATGTTTGTGTAAGTACAGAAAAAGTTATGGAAGTATAAACTGCATCCTGGGAGATAGAACAGAAGTGGGAAAAGAATACGACAAATAGAGTCACTGGTCACCACGAGTGTGCACTGATTTTGTAATAGAAATAAGGAATAAAAATGTTATCAGTCACAGCCATGAGTGGTAGGATCCTAATTGTCACTTTTGTCTTTGTTTCTTATGTGTTTTCTGCACTTTCCCTAATAGACATCTGTCTTTTTTGTAATCAGAAAAACGTAGATATTAAACAAACACAAAGGCACTGAAGCCTTCAACTCCATTTGCTATTTATCACAGAAAGGGCTTTTTCTAGTCAGGCCGCAATCAATTCAGTTGAATGAACATGAACTGAAACGCACACCTGCACGTGCTCCTGGGGTGAGTGTTCTGAAGGACAGGCACCCACCACTGGGCCACCAGGACATGAATTTCACCCAGCCGCACGGCCATGGGAATACCTGCCAGAAAAGTTCTCAGACATCCAGAATGGCCTCCAGCCCTGCATAGAGGTGCAGAGCAGGACAGCAAGACCTCAGGGCAGGGGGCACCAGAGGGAGACCTGGGAGGACAAGGCCAACAGCTGGGCAGTAAGAAATAAGAAGAATGTGTGTTCTTCTGCTGCCGGGTGGAATGATCTGTGAATGTCTGTTAGGTCCACTTGGCCTACACTGCTGTTCACACCCACGCTTCCTTTTTGATTTTCTGTCTGGAAGAGCTATCCATTATTGAAAGTGGAATACTGAAATCCACTATTATTGTATTGCTGTTTCTCCCTTTGCTGTCCATAGAAGCAGTCCCAGTCAATTTCTACAGCTTTACCTCCTGCAATAGCCAAGCATCTGGGGCCCCCAGGCCACAAACTTGGGGTAGGGGAGTCTTTCTTTCTAATTGCCCAGCTACCTTGTCCTCCCAGGTATTCCCATGGCCGTGCGGCTGGGTGAAATTCAAGTCCCGGTGGCCCAGTGGTGGGTGCCTGTCCTTCAGAACACTCACCTGAGGAGCATGTGCAGGTGTGTATTTCGGTTCATGTTTATTCAGCTGAATTGATTGTGGCCTGACTAGGAAAAAAAAAAACAAAACCCTTTCTATGGTGAATAGCAAATAGAGTTGAAGTCTTCAACACCTTTGTGCTCATTTAATATGTATGTTTTTCTGGTTACAAAACTGACAGATGTCTATTAGGGAAAGTTCAGAAAACACATAAGAAACAAAGATGAAAATAACAATGATCTAGAATCCTATCACTTAAAGGCTGTGACTGATAACATTTTTATTCCTTATTTCTATTACAAAATCAGGGCACACTCATGGTGATCAATGAATCTGTATTTGTCATATTCTTTTCCCGGTTCTGTTCTGTCTCCCAGGATGCAGTTTACACTTCCATAACTGGAAGCCCACATAAAACATGTTTTCCTTCCTTTGTTTCTCCCTCTCTCTTGCCTTACCTTACTTTATATCACCACTCTCCAGAATTCTGCAAGCTTCACTTGCTATAAATCACCTTGAAGACACCTGACTCTCCAGGAGGATTAAATTCTAAATTATGCAATGATATCTGTAATACCTACAGAGTTTTTGGAAAATGGAAAAATACAAACCAGGAATGACAAAGGCATCACCTCCCTAACATCTCTTAGAGCAAGATACTTTGCAAAACTGCACTGCTTTTAAGTTAGAGAGTTGATTCCATGTTTTATACTGAGGTTCAAAGAACATATGAAAAGAATGCATATTTGAGATTATTGGAAATCAAGGAGAAGAAATGCCTTTGATGTTTGTGTCATCTCAGATTAAGATACATCAACTGCATTACTTAAAGTGGCTTTCCCTGTGTATAAATGCTGAGTGGCTGGAAGGCCATGGCCACTTACCAGGACAATGGCCTGAAAGGTGATTTTTCCTGCTTCCTTGGCAGATGGCAGTTATTGTGTTTTTGTGTTTCTGTCTCACTTGAGCGTCTACATGGTGCAGCAATATGAAAGCTCAATTATGGCCCAGAGCACTTCTGGGCTAGTGGGAGGCTTCCCCTCACACAAGAGTGACCCTCCTGAGTGATCAGCTACCTCTGCTTAGGGCGGTGCAGAGGGTCAGTTGTTAACTGCTCAAAGGAAAACTGAAAGAGCAGGACTTTGGGGATGTAATCAAAATGCAACTTATTTACTTATTGTTTTAAATCTCTTTCTGGCCCCTTTAAAATGCATTTAGTTGAGAGAATTCCAAAGGGTCCTTCCTGGGGAAGGTGCTGTGCCTGGCATCTGTCTTCTGCTAACTGCTCTGGGGTAGTGGTGTGGAGGTGGGGGAAGGAGCATTTTGGACTGAAGGGACTGCTTCATGTCCTGTCTCGGGCTTGGGGTCCGGCCACCGGAGGAGGCTCAGCTGCTCTCCTGGGAGCCTCTTTGGAGATTTCCACGGTGGGGTCACTCACGTGCAGCATTCCTACCGCAGGCAGCTGCACGCCTCCTCTTAACAGTCACTTTCTGCAGTGTCAGCGTACTAGGCATCTGAAGTCCTCCTCTAGCTTCTTGCTACTCGGGTCCCTCTCTCCTTCCACGCTGCCCCAGTGACAGGGCCCAACACCACCCCTGCCAGCTCCCACAGGCACGGCCCATCCGGGGGCCATAATGGTCCTCACGCACTCTGACAACCGTAAGGAATGCATCCTGGTCCCTTTCCTCACTCATGAGATGCCCAGATCCAAGCATTGGCACCTTTATCTTCAACACTCTCTTGATCCTCAGCCTAAAGGCTCCAGGTGAGGGGTAGGTCACCTTCCCCAAGCCCCAGAAACAGAAGGACATTGAGTTGACAGTGGCATTCTAACAGCTTTTTCAAAAATTTCTCTTCACAGAATCCTTTCTCCTCCCTACATCTGATTCCTTCTTTATATTCTTGATCAGTTCAAGGTGTTCAAAAATGAGGGAAATGATCCTAGCTCATTCCTTCCTAACTGGGGCTTCTGGCCTGGCATCTCATTTTAGATGTGTCATCTGTTACACTTCCATATTGCTGTCAAACTTCAATACTGACATTCCGTTGCATGTGGCTTTATAGAGGTCATATTTGACAAAAATGACATTGTGGAGTATTTGAGAGAGTATTTATGTCCACAGTAAATGTGCTGAGTCCATGGGAAAGACATATGAGAAAATCTGTCTTCTTACTTCACAGTATACATGAAAATCAACTCCAAGTTGATGGCGTTTCTGAATGTAGAGGGTAAAACAATAAATCCTCTAGAAAGCAACATGGAGGAGCATCTGCATGAACTTGGGATGGGCAGAGAGTTCTGAAACAAGATGCCAAAACTACTATTGAAATGGTAAAGTACGCTGGGCACGGTGGCTCACACCTGTGATCCCAGCACTTTGGGAGGCTGGGGCGAGCAGATCACTTAAGGTGGGGAGTTTGAGACAAGCTTGGGCAACATGGTGAAACCTTGTCTCATCTAAAAATACAAAAATTAGCCGAGTGTGGTGGTGGGCGCCTGTAGTCCCAGCTACTCGGGAGGCTGAGGCAGAAGAATCGCTTAAACCCAGGAGGCAGAGGTTGCAATGAGCTGAGATCGTGCCACTACACTCCAGCCAGGACAACAGGGAGAGACTCTGTCTCAATAACGACAACAACAAAAAACCCTAACAGATAAAGTAGATACATTAAGAACTTCTCTGCACTAGCAAACAACCTAGAGAAGGTGAAAAGCAACCTACACAGAGAGAAAACATCATTGCAATCCATAGACTCAGTAAAGGACTGGTACCCTGAATAAACACTTCAGAAGTTAATAAGAAATAAACAGTCAATTCAATAGCAAAATGGAAATATACTTGTACATACACTTCACAAGATGACATCTGAATGGCCAAAAATCAATGAAAAGTTGCTCAACCTTATTAGTCATCAGTGAAATTAAATTAAAATGAAAATTAGATACCCACCAGAATGTCTAAAATTACAAAAATTGAAAATACCGAGTGTTGGCAAAGATGTGACGCAACCAGGGCCCTCCCACGGAGCTGGTGTGAGTGTAATTAGTAAGGCAACTTGGAAAAACCGCTTGGCAGAATCTACCACAGCTCATCCTACACAACCCCTGTAAGCCAGTACTTTCAGCACTCGGTACCTACACAACCAAAATGTGTACACCTGTGCACCAAAAAATACAGGAAATATCGCCATAGGACTAAGAACTAGAAGCAGCCCAAATGATAACCAATGGATCCACTGGACAATTGGAATATATGGATAAACTACAGTATACTCACACACGGACAAATAGTACATGAATAGCGTAGTATGAATGAATGAACTGGTGGTACACACAGCAAACATTATTTCATTCCATTCATCACACTGAGTTTAAAAATAGGCAAAACTGCAGGTGAGAGGTCAGGAGAATGGAAAGACTGAATAAAGGAGAAAGAATAGGGAGAAGGCTCAAGGGGGCAGATGCCTGCATCTCATGTTCTAGTTTTTGAGCTGGGCAGTGATTATTTAATAAAAAGGCATATTTACATTTTTTTATAATTCATGAAGTTGTACATTTGATGTGCATTTTTCTGTATGTACATTATTCTTCAATAAAAACAATGAGCCGCAAAAATCTACGGGCCATAAAACAGCCCTTATGCAAAGCTAATAAATAAGCTTGTGAAGGACTTTTCCAACTTCTGTCAGCACACATTTTTGAAAAACAGCATTAGTGGCATTCAGCTGGACATTTGCTGGTGTGCTATTGATCAGTTCATTTAGTTTAAGTATTTTTACTAACATGAGCAAACCACAGTCTGCCCCTTTCTCCAATTTCTTCTCAACACAGCCACAAGAATCTTTAAAAGATGTAAATTGGCCAGGCGTGGTGGCTCACGCCTATAATCCCAGCACTTTGGGAGGCCGAGGCAGGCGGATCACCTGAGTTCAGGAGTTTCAGACCAGGCTGGCCAACATGGTGAAACCCCGTCTCTACTAAAAATACAAAAATTAGCCGGGTGTGGTGGTGGGCACCTGTAGTCCTGCTACCTAGGGTGCTGAGGTAGGAGAATTGCTTGAACCTGGGAGGCTGAGGTTGAAGTGAGCTGAGCGCACCACTGCACTCCAGACTGGGCAACAGTGAGACTCTGTCTCAAAAAAACAAAACAAAACAAAAGATGTAAATTATGTCACATCCTACCTTGCTTGAAACCCAACAATAGCTTCCCACTGCACTGGAGTGAGACCAAACTTCTTTCCAAGCCTTCAACTGTCCTGCCTCACTTCGCTGTTCCACCTCTGCAGCTTCAGATGGCACCTGGCTGTCCAGAACCAGCACTGCAGGCTGAGCCTTCTGTGTGCCCCACACACAGCCTGCTGCTTCCTTGGCCTCTGTGCCCTGGCACTGACTTCACCTGGAAGAGCTTCCACAGTGCTTCCCTTCCCCCTCCTTTTAGTTCAAGTGTCTGCTTCAATTTCACCACTGCTAAGAAGCCTTCTCTGACTTCCTTGCTGAACTACATTCCCCATTATTTCACTGCAGTACCAATCACTTCTTTTGTAGCACTACCATTGTCTGTAATAACACTACATACATCATCTGTCCATTCATTGATCCATCCAGCCAGTCATATATGCCATTCTGTTCCCTGGAGAATTTAAGTTCTGGGAACTTGCTTGTTTTGTCTTTTCTATCCTTGGGACCTTAGTACACAGTTCAGGGGATGCTGCAGCCACTCAGTGAAAACAAGTTGAAGAAATAAATGAAAATTATAAAGTCAACTGGCCATTCAACACATTCCTCTGCTTTATCTCTGAGCATTTCATCCTTTTCCTAACTCCAAAGTGACCCTTTCTTGAAGGGTACACTGCTATTTCCATTCAAGAAAATTCTATCGAGTCCTTCCTACAGGTGCTAGGCTGCACACTGTTCTGAGGGTACAATAAGAACGGGTGCTGCCCACAGTGCAGTGGTGCAGTGAGACGCAAATAGAGAGAGCTGTGGCTCATGCTGGTTTGTAAGGAAGTTAGATAGTTATAAAAACTATAAAAACGAATATATACATATTAAAATGTTTATAATTTATAATATAAATATAAAAACGATTTTTTGGCAGAAACCCAAAGAAACAGATAATAGCATGAGAAATATGTGTTTTTTATATATATAAAATAATTTACAATTATATTATTTAAACATATTTTATATATAATAGTATATAAAATACATATAACATAATACACATGTATTATATATAAAATATACAAATATATTTTTATATATTTATATACATTATATAATACATACTACATATTATGTATTATATGTAATATTGATTAATATATTACATACTGATTAATTACATATTATATATTATTACATATGTTATTTCAATAATGGAATTTGTATTAACACTTTTGCTCTGTGTTCTAAAAGGAGATCATCTTGTTGAGATACATTAGCATTCAAAGATGGAGGAGCAAATGACGTGTGAGTGGGCACAGCCTCCACAGAGAGCAACAGGACAGCGGGGAGCATGAGCCTTCAGACCATGGGCACACATGGACCAGCGATGGCTCCCGTGAGAATGTGCAGTGGGGAGAGACAACACATGTTCTGATACCTTTGTTACCGCATCTCAAAGGCACGCTGGAGGCAAACTGATGAGAATCCAACAGTGGGGAATGCTGCATGGAACCTGGCCTATCAATTATAGTGAGATACTTTGCAGATTAAAAGTTATCAAAAGATGAAGACTTCCCAGGGCTAGGTACCTGGACTACACTATGCAGAATCTGTGCATATGGACAAAGGGAGGAGGCTGCATGGGGAAGTCCCTGGCTGAAGCTGCCCAGAGGCCTTCACCGTGGGGATGAGCCACAAAGCCTGTGGCCTGTGGGGCCGTCACACATCCTGCTCGATAATGTGGCATAAAAGGCCTTCTTTAACTCTGCCTACTTTATTTAAAATTTTATTTTGAAATAATTTCAGATATATAGAAAACTTGCAAAAATAGTATACAGAATTCCTACATAACCTCACAACTAGATCCCCTCAAAGGTTAAAGTTTTACATTTATCATTCTCTCCACATACAAGTCTGTTCTACAGATACTATTCAGGTTTCATCCATTGTCCCAACAATGTCCTTTGTAACAAAATGGTTGTTTTCTGTCCAGGATCCCACATTGCATTTCGTTTTCATGTTTCTAATCTAGTTTTTGAAAATCTGAAACAGTTTCTCAGTCTATCACTTTTTTTCTTTTAAAAAATTTTTATTATACTCTAAGTTCTGGGATACATGTGCAGAAGGTGCAGGTTTGTTACACAGGTATACATGTGCCATGGTGGTTTGCTGCACTCATCAACCCGTCACCTACATTAGGTATTTCTCCTAATGTTATCCCTCCCCTCGCCCCCCAGTTCCCAACAGGCCCCAGTGTGTGATGTTCCCCTCCCTGCGTCCATGTGTTCTCATTGTTCAACTCCCACTTATGAGTGAGAACATGCGATATTTGGTTTTCTGTTCCTGTGTTAGTTTGCTGAAAATGATGGTTTCCAGCTTCATCCATGTCCCTACAAAGGACATGAACTCATCCTTTTTCATGGCTGCATAGTATTCCATGGTGTATATGTGCCACATTTTCTTTATCCAATCTATCACTGATAGGCATTTGGGTTGGTCCCAAGTCTTTGCTATTGTGAACAGTGCTGCAATAAACATACATGTGCATGTGTCTTTATAGTAGAATGATTTATATACCTTTGGGTATATACCCAGTAATGGGATTGCTGGGTCAAATGGTATTTCTAGTTCTAGATCCTTGAGGAATTGCCACACTGTCTTCCACAATGGTTGAACTAATTTACATTCCCACCAACAGTGTAAAAGCGTTCCTATTTCTCCAAATCCTCTCCAGCGTCTGTTGTTTCCTGACTTTTTAATGATTGCCATTCTAACTGGTGAGAGATGGTATCCTTGGGCAGGGTTCAGTCTATCATTCTGCAACCCTGATACCCTACTTAGGGTAGAATGTCCCCAGTCTGGGTCTGCCCTGTGAGGCCTCATGATTAGACTCTGTTGTGTATTGCTGGCAGGAACACTGTGGAAGTGATGCTCTGTCCCCTGTGAACCACCTCAGGGACAAATCATGTCTACTTGGTCCATGTTGATGATGCTTATGTTGACCTCTTGGCTAAGGTGATGTGCATCAGGTCCCACCCCTAAATAGTTACTATTTTTGTGTTTGTATCTTGCAGAGATATACTCTTTGTAAATATTGTTTCTCATTAAATTTCTCCACCATTGGTTTTAGCATGGAATGAAATTTCTGTTTGCAACAATTAGCACTTGGTGGTCATCAAATGGTGACTATTTCCTTCCTTTCTCCTACATTTATTAGCTGACACTCCACTATAAGAAAGCACTTTCCCTTCTCCCCCATTTATTTCTCTATTCATCCATTTCTTTCTTTTAATACAAACATATGCATTTTTCTTAAGAATCATCACCTATTTAATAAATAATCACCTGTTACTATAATTAGTAGTTTGAGGCTCAAATTGTCCCAGTGCTCATCACACAAGCCCCATCACTCTTTGGCCACTTGTTTTTTCCTGAAGTGCTAGTTCTGCAAACACATCATGCTTCTCTGCAGCTCTTCTAATGGCACCACCCACTTATTGGCTGGATAATTCCCAGCACTTGTTAAACAGCCCCCTTAGAAGCTTTCCCCAACTTCTCATGTTCCCGTCCCAAATCTTGCTGCTACCACATGACTCCATTATTATCATGGACTGTGCACTGTGCTTGTTTGTTTAGGCTTATAAGCAGTTGGTTTGTGATTCACATTTCTTTATTATCCTTCTAAGGCACCTCCCTGGTCCACATGAGGAACTCAATACATGTATGCTGAATAAGTGATTAGGAAAAAAAAAAAACTGTGTAAACCCTCTGACTTTATATAACCTGCTATTCTACAGGCTTCTATTAGATAGAGTCTCATCACTTTGTTGTTGGGATCTATGTCTTTGGTCATTTTTTCCCATTGTTTTACATTACTGAGAAATGCATTATTGGTTCACATTCATGAAAGTTCTGGCATTATGTTTTATTTTTATTTTAGAGACAGAGTCTTATTCTGTTGCCCAGGCTGGAGTGCGGTAGTGCAATCATAATTCACTGCAGCCTTGAACTCCTGCACTCAAGCGATCTTCAGTCTCCCAAAGTGCTGGGATCACAGGCGTGCACCACCATTGCTCGCCCATGCATTATGTTTGAAATCCCTCCTTCATTGTTGGCTCCAACATACTCCCTTATTTTCTCAAGAACTTGGACATGTAATGCACATCTGAAAGTAAACATGCCAAAACTCAGCTGCAGAGAGGCTGGTATTTCCTTGCAAATCAAACTCTCCTGTAATCTTCCACATCTCTGATCAGGGCAACCTCAAGCTTCCATTTGTTCAGACCAAAGATGCAGGAGTCAACTTTAACATTTTTGACACCTGCATCTGGCCGATCAGCAAGTCCTGTTGGGTTCTAAATATAATTTGAAGAGACAGCCCTCCTCTTGGCACTGTTCCTCTGCTACTATCCTCAAGCACCGTCATTCCTCCCTTGCAATACTGCAGCTCTCTCCTTGCCAGCGTCCCTGCCCTGCCAGGCTGACTTCTGGTTTTCAAACACCAGCCACGGTGATCTTGTTAAACTGAACTGGATTAAGTCCCTCTGCCCAGGCCTCTCCAATGACATCACATCTTACTCAGAAGAAAAGCCAAGTCCTACCACATCTTACAATGCTCTGAATGATGTGATACCCTGTTCCTCTCTGATATAAACTACTTCCTCTCCCTTTCTCCCCACCAGCACACTCCCTCTGGCTACTCCCTGAAAGTGTCCCCTCACCCCTCTGACCATACACACTCCAGCCTCAGGCCTCGACCATCCTCCCCGTCTGGGGATAGCCCATGTCCCCTTCCTCAAGTTTCCTGGTGCTTCAATATATATGACACATATATACTATATTTTTTCCCTTTTAAGCTTAAACGCTAATATAATTTCTATTGACAGAATAATTAAGAAATTCAGCTGCTCTCTGTAAAGGCTTAATAAAAATGTAAATTGTAATATAATGGAGAATTAATTGAAACACTCCAAAGCAGAGAAAGAATCGTGGAAGAGTTTAAAATTGCTCACAAGACTAACAGGGAGCCCGGTGAATTGGCCATATTGTATAGAGTGTTTATGTAGCTTCCATCTGTGCCACATCCAATAGTTGTTATTTACAGTCATGTGCAGATAGATCATGATGTTCCAGTCAATGGTCTGCATATACAATGGTGGTCCTATCAGATTATAATGAAAAATTCTCATGACCTAGTGACATCATAGCTGTTGATAACATCATGGCACAGTAACTTCATTTTTTTTTTTTTTTTTTGAGACGGAGTCTCGCTGTCGCCCAGGCTGGAGTGCGGTGGCGCGCTCTCAGCTCACTGTAGGCTCTGCCCCCCGGGGTTCACACCATTCTCCTGCCTCAGCCTCCCGAGTAGCTGGGACTACAGGCGCCCGCCACCTCGCCCGGCTAATTTTTTGTATTTTTAGTAGAGATGGGGTTTCACTGTGTTAGCCAGGATGCTCTCAATCTCCTGACCTCCTGATCTGCCCGCCTCAGCCTCCCAAAATGCTGGGATTACAGGCGTGAGCCACCGCACCTGGACAGTAACTTAATTTTTAAAAATAAATTTAGTGCAGCCTAAGGGCACAGTGTTTCTAAAGTCTACAGCAGTGTAATGTCCTGGCCTTCACATTCACCACCCTGGCCTTCACATTCACCGCTCACTCACTGACTCACCCAGAGCAGCTCCCAGTCCTGCAAGCTCCATCCATGGTAAGTGCCCTAGACAGGTATACCATTTTTATCTTTTACGCTGTATTTTTACTATACCTTTTCTAAGTTTAGAAACACACATACTTACCATTGTGTTATAGTTGCCTGTAGTATTCAGTACAGCAACATTCTGTACAGGTTTGTAGCTTGGGAGCAACAGGCTATACCACATAGCCTAGGCATGTAGTAGGCTATGCCATCTAGGTTTGTACAAGCACACTCTACGATGTTCACACAATGACAAAATCACCTAAACGTATTTCTCGGATTGTATCCCTGTGGTCAAGCAACATATGACTGTACCTCTATGTAATCAGTGTGTATGCTGCATGCACACATCTATGTATCTATATGTCTGGATACGCAGTGTGTGTGTACATGAATGCTTGTTGCTTTTGAGGTCAGCAGGGTGCAATATTTCAGTACAAGGCAGCAGATGGTTTACAACTGGGGAGAAGGCATTAGAACAGTATCATGAGGTTTGTGTGAAGGCCATGCTGATGCTGCTTCAAATGTCCACACTGTAAACACACAGAGCCTTTGGGCCACCACTTGTCTCCTGTGCAGTCATAGTAGGTGGCTTAGGTGATTAATTTCCGCCAGAGATGCTGCCTTTCCTTCGTCAATGCAGGTTTTGCTTTCTCCTCCCTTACAGTGGTCTTCAGCCACAGTTAGCCTTTTCAAGCATTTTTAAAGAATGAGTTGAAAATCAAGTAAAAAAGACAAAGCCCTATCACTCATTTCCTCCTCCATCTTTTGAGAAAGACATTAAGAACTCTGTCTAATAGAAAACAATGTAATCATTTCTAAATCAACGTGATCAACAGTTGGTTTCCTTTTTCTGCCCATAAAATTAAAATTTTACCTTAAATAAATGAAGACCATTGAAAAACCATGAAAGTGTATCCCACAGAGAAGACCAGGGATGCCTGCTCCTCACAGCCTGGCTGTGTCACGGGACTGAAGGCAAATGCGCTGCACAGCAGCCTCCGCATCGGACCCAGGCTCCTAGGCCAGGGACTGCATCTTTTTACTGAATTCCCGATGCCCAGTGCAGCATCTGGCTCGAAGTCGGTGCTCAATAAAACTCTGCTGCCTGCCTGCCTGAGGGAATGGATAAATAACTGAAGGAGAAGAGGCGGGGTCTGCTTGTGTGAACTTAGACTAAGGGAGGATCTGCCAGGACTGTGCCATGAAGGCACAGTGGCACACAGTCTGTGGCACAGTCTCATCAGCCCTTGCAGGTTCTGGTTATTGAGCCATGACATACCATAGGGAGTGAAGGGCCCCCGATCCCTCTGAGGTCAAGGGAATCTCTGGCAGGGACTGGGAGAGGGTGTAGGATGAGCTCTGATTGGTATGGACACAGTCAGTCCCTCCTCACCTCAGCCACGCAGGAATGGCCCTGAAGTTTCCAAGCCTGCCACAGCGCCCATCTAGAGAAAACCAAGCTGTCCAGGTCTACACAGGTATATATTCTATGGCCATTACACAAGGCTTCTTGGTAGATATTCATGGATCTCTCAGAAAATGGGCAGCTTCTCACAGAACAGACATGGGTGCCCACCGACTCCAAACACTCTCACTGGCTGGAAATCGCAGGTTTGCAAACACACTCCTGAATGCACTGCCAGTTTCAATGCACAGCCACGTGGCATGGAGTGACAGTTTGCATGGAATGGTGGCCCTGTCAGGGAGACGAGGTTCATCACAGAAAGAGGTCTGGGGATGCTGGTTTGAAGAGGGATGGAATGCAGGCAGGACCACTGCGGCCCAGGGAGTGACCAGAGCCAGCAGAGTTGCCACCACCCAGGGCCCAGGAGGAACTGCTAATGAGCCAGGCTGGGCTGCAGGATGTTTGGGTTGAAAGGTCCCTAGCACAGTGGTCCTTGTCCACTTCGTGGTCTTACAGTTGGCAAAACAGAGGCCTAGACAATATAAGATTACATCCCAGAGACAGCAATACACACAGAGGCCATGGGATTTCCAACTGGCTGTCAAAAAGGAAAGTTCTGAGTCCCTGGCCTGTCTGATTGCCTGGGCAGCTGTGACCCAAATCCTCTTAGCCCCCTGACAGCAGTGTAGATGGGAAGAGAGCAGGGAAGATGTTGCTGGCTGGAGTGCCTCAGCGTTGCTGCAAAGATGACCAGCAGTCCTTCCTACTAGCTAGGACAGTGATTCCACCATGAGGACCATGGGGCAGAAGTCAGGAGAGTGGAAGATAGGATGCAGGAGGGCAAGGAGGCGAAGGATGCAAGGACATGGAGCCCAGCCAGAAAGGAGGGGAGCTCCTGCAGAGCCTGAGAACTCGGGATGGCTGCGTGGCAAGGGATTGAAACTGCTGGAGGAGGCCCGGAGGCCTGCCAGCCAACTACTCAGCTGATGGCGCAGCTCTGGAGGTGCTGCCCCACCTCACCACACAATCTGCCCTTGCTTGTGGTGCCAGTGCTACATGGGGCACAATTGCCCTGCCGCCTTCTGAAAGTATATGTACCACTCCCAACTGCCCCCCGCACCGCACGCCACCCCCCCCCTCCGCCCCCCGTTTGCCCATGAAATTTGGCCACTTCATCTCGGAGGCCAGCCTTGCCGAGAGAAAGAAACGCAAGTCATACATCCTTCTGGACTTTCCCTTGACACTCAAGCCCTCAACTTTTTCAATGATATAATTAAGATCATATGATATGTTCTTGGGTGATTTGTTTTTCCTATGCCATAGATATTTCTCTGTGTCACCAGAGAGAGCTAGTTCATTTCCCCCGACTTGCTGCATTGCTTTCCCTTGTGTACATGTACTGTGATTCCTTTAACCATTTTTGTTTCATGGGCTTTGTCTTCCTATTACAAAACAAAAGTAAAATTGGGACACTTGTCTGACTCTCTCAGCCTGCAGAGGCAGAAGTTGCTGTAGAAAAAAAATCCTGCAAGTGGAGTTGCTGGGTCAAAATGGAATTGCAAAATTTAGACAGAGACCGCCATATTGTCCTTCAAGGACCATATACCAAGTAACGCATCACCAGTCACTAGCCAGGTGAGTGCCGTCTCCCCACACCCTCGCCAAGACTGGACATCTTTCTTATTTTGTTTGCCAACATAGTAAGTAAAACGTGGTACCTCAGAGTTTTGTTGTTGTTGTTAATTGGCTCTCCTCTGATTACTCACGGAGCTGGTTAACTTTTCACATGTTTATTGGCTATTTATATTTCTTCTTTGGTGAACTGCCTATGTATATATTTCCTGGTTAATTTTACTTGCTCATTTTTCTTATTGATCTGAGGCACTCTGTGTATTACGGGCATTACATTATCATTGGTGGCTTGTCTTTTCATTTACAAAAACGATTTTCCCTACAGAAGTTGAAAATTTAATGAAATAAAATCTGTGCTGTTTCTCTTCTATGGCTTGTGGGGTTTTGGGTTTGCTTAGAAAATTCTTCCCGTAAAATAAATACTATTCTCTGATATCTCCTTGTAATAGTTCTTGGGGTTATTTTTCTCCTAAATGTTCACACTTTAATGCATCTGGAAGTAACATTTGCAAATGGTAAAGGGTTTCCCTAGTGAATTGCTTTCACATGGATGACCAAGTGTTACTACACAGTTACATGATCTGTGCTTCATCAATGATTTGAAATACCACATTTATCATACACAATATGCCTCTGATGCAATCCTAAGGAGATAGGAATGGGTGATAGAAGCTGGAGTGGGGCTTCAAGGAACTGGGATTGTTTCTGCTACTCACAGAATGGGGGCATACATAGAAGCTGAGCCATGCAGTTGCTCTCACACACCTGAGATCGCATCTTTCACAGTCAGAATACAAGGGCAGGAGTGCTGGGGTCCTGAAACCAATGTGAAAGGACCATCCAGCCTTTACCTGAAGGAATGTTCCCTGGATTATGGTTGTTTGAAGGCTGACTCACACACAGTGGAAAAACTAGACACGATGTTTTAGGGAAAAGAGCTTAAGGGTAGGTCCTCCTGTTGAAGCCAGCTACAATTAAGTCAAGAGAGGGGCAGGGGTGGGGGGCACGAAAGCAAAGAAATGCCACTTATCTGAAATCTCCAAGAGGAATGTGGATGGCAACTGGCACCTGCAGCTGATAGGGACCCACCAGATTCCAAGCCTCTGGGCTGTGAGTGATTGCGGGGCAGAGGGATCGGGAGCCTCATGTAGCAGAGACCTGGGACTGCTCCAGACACAAAATGAGCCCAGAGCCCCCCACATGACTACAGGTAGGAAGCAGGCTGAGAAAGCTGCGAGCTTGCAAGGATGCCATGGTCTCTTTAGTGCCCTATTCTCCAAAGAGGAGCTAAGGCCAGGAGAGTAGGAGATGAAGTCCCTGCCCTGCTGGGAAACTGAACGACCAAGGGTGATGGGACCTCACAGCCTCTGCCCAGTGGAATTTCAGGGTTTCTATGGCCATTGACAGTCGCCTGTCTCCCAGTTATTCCATTCCTGTTCTACTACTGCATGTTGTTGTGTGGGTGTGACTGTATGGTTGCGTGGTATCAGCTAACTTGTTCTTTTATTTAGCCCATGGGTCTCCAGACTCAAAGAAGCTATATCTGCATCTTTCAAAGAGACCACTGGGCATCACGCAGAAGCCCGTGACTTTGAGGCTGATGAGACTTTAGGATGTCTCCCACTACCTTTGATATTTGTGTAGCAAAAAGACTGAATCAAATATTCAGTGACCAGAAGGATAGACTGTGGTTGGCATTAAAACTGTTCACTAATATCCACTTTTCTTCTGCTTCTGGGCTCTCAGAAGAATTGCAGCTCCTGGCCTCCCCAAAGCTACACGTGGCTCTGTAACTTGCTTTGACCAATGAAATATAAGTGGCAGATGTCATTTTAAGTGGATGCATTTAATTGCCAGTGCTTACCTCTCCAGTCCTTCTCTTCCTCCTGCCCCTAAGCCTGGTGACCTCCTGATGGCAGCGCTCCATCAGCCTGGAGGAGAATGGCATGTAGCAAGCCCTGACTTCCCTGTGCACCAGGAGCAGAAAATAAACCTTTGTGGTTTGAGCTGCCGAGATCTGGGGGCTATGTGTTACTGTATCTAACTTAAACTAATTGAAAGTACCTTCATTCATTCCCATGGACTCAAATATCTCTATATTGATGACTCTCAGATTTATAATTCTAATGCAGTCCTCAACCCTGAGCTAGACAGAGTTTTTTTTTTTTTGGTTCTGCTTTTCTTAACCTATGAATATTCAAGCGCCCAAGACTCCGTGTTGAGCTCCTTTTTCTTCTCTGTCTACACTTTCCTCCCTTGTAATCTTATTCCCTATCGGGCCTTAAATATTTAAGCACCAGTGTCTTCCAAATTTAAATCTCTAGCCCTGACTAATACCTCTCTAGTACACATCGCTTAATTCCTGGATAGTTCCTACATGACTCTGGACTCTTGAAACTGAATTTAAGCATTGTCTCTGTCTCTCGAATTACACACACACACACACGCACACACACACACACACACTTTGTGAAATAGTGTTTGCATTTTTCCCACTTAAGTAGTAAGACTGGAGCAAATTTCATAATTAAAAAAAAATCCCTTGAACAGTGTAGCTAAGAAGAAAGGAAGGAAGGAGAAAAGGAAAGGGAGATCTAAGCTTGATCACATCAAACAGAAAATGTAAACACTACGGACAGAATGTTATTGTACCCCATTAGCAACCTGGCTTCAACAAATCATTTTGCAAAGCAAGAATCAGAACCTAAACTAGCCCCTTTCCCAAGACGTATATTCCTTAAGAAATATGCCCTTGAGAACATTGCTCTCACAGGACACTTCAGTCATCAGTAACTTCATGTGGGCTCCAATGGCTGCAATGATCCACTGTACCTACCAGCCAAGAGCATATTCTAGAGGATTTCTCAATGTTAGAAGTGACGATGGCATTGCCACGGTTCTTTTTGTCAACAGTGTTCAATGGGAAGATTGTTCCTGCATGGGTCAATTTCTAGGAAAATCCACTTGAATTAGCGATGGAAAACAGCAAAAATAGTAACAGAAAAACACATGCGGCCTGCTTCACTATGTCCTATTACGATACATGGAAACGTCTGAAATCTTCACTTACATCTCCCTATTTTGACTCCTCATCAGAGAGGTGAGGCTGACTGAGAGGGAGACAGGAGGCTGTGGACCAGGGCCATGGGCCATGTGGGAGCAGGTGCTAGGTCCAAGCGCTCATTCTCCCCTAAGAGACTCTCTCCCCTACCAGGTCTCAAATCCATCACCCCATCATGTCCAGCACAAGAACTTGGCCATGCATCCATTCTCAGCCTGGTATCCCATACTCCAAGTGGCTCATCTCTCAACCTCACCTCATATCCCCACCTTTCCCAACCTTCCCACAGCAGAGCTTGTGCTGATTTATAAGGCTGCCTCTATTTTGTACAAGTTCCTACATAGTCCAAGGCCTGTTCTAGGCTTTCCAGTTTCTCCCACAGTACCAGCCCAGGCAGGAATACCACATATTGTAGTTACTGTTCATTTAAAACATTGATCTCTCCATCCACCCTCCTTTTTTTTCCCCACTGCTGTCTCAGACCTTTAGTATTCAATAGGTATTTTAGAATTATTTTGTCAAATTCCACAAAAATCCATGTTGAAATGTTGAGCATTTGGACTGTATTTTGAGACCAATTCATGAGGAACTGTCATCTCACCACACTGAGTCTTTTGATCTAGAATGAAATTCCAATGAATATCCTTCATTCATTCTTCAACCTGGTGCCAGCTGGCCTCAGCTTTGGCCTTTCCTCCAAGACTATTCTTGCTAAGATCCACGGGATGGCCCTGTTACCAATACTGTGGGTGTGTCATTCCCTGTTGTATTTGCCTCCTTGTGTTTGTTGTCTTTGATGACTTCTTCCTTGAACATTCTCCTCTGTTGCTGCAATAACACCTGGCTCTCCTGTTTCATCTGAGTACTTCTCAGCCGCCCCTTCTGACTCTTCTTGGCTGGACTTTCTGTGGCTATCTGACATGTAAATGACACCCCAGGGCTCCACTCTGAGCTCCTTTATGCTCACTTATGCTTTCTCCACAGATGAAGCTGTCAGTAGCCACGTCTTTAAATATCACCCAAACGCCAACACTTTCCAGGTTTATATTTCAAGCCCCCAACTCTCTTCTGAACTTTACCTTGGTTTTGTACATCTGACCACTTAGTCTCCACTTGGATACCTCACAGTTATTGCAAACATAATGAGGCAAAAAGCACATGTGGCTGTCTTCTTTGAATTGGCTTCTCCTCCAATTTTCCTGAGTTTAGTAAAAGTTCTTCCATCTACTCAGTTGATCAAACCAGTATCCCGGGAGCCATTCTTAAACTGCCTTCTTTCACGATGCATCAGTAATTTCATGGCAGGATTTCCACCTTCAAAATAGCATTGAGGCTACTGGATTCTCCCCATTTTCACTTCTACCATCTGCCCCAGCACAGAGCAGCTGAGATGGCCCCTCATTCCTCCTCTCTGTCCCCACCTCAATCCATTTTCCGTTTAGTGATCTGTATGATCTTTTCAATGGGTTCATACTTTTCCTTCACCTTAATTCTACAGTTACAGAGAATTACAGAGAGAATTAAACAGAAGACCCTTTCTGTGACCTGGGCAGCCCCTGCCTAACTCTCCACCTCTCTACGCATGACCTTTCTTTATTCCTCATCCTCCTGCTTTGTGAGCTTTCTTCCCTCAACACTCTCAGGATCGTTCCTCCTTGGCCCAGAATCTTTCCTGTAAGGACTCACACATATCCTTTAGGTCTCAGGTGCTATGTCACCTGCTCAAATGCTTTCCTTGGTTAAATTATCTCAACGAAGTCCCACCTTTATTTTCTCACGAACCCACTTTTTTCCTTTACTATGCTTCACATTCATTGCAACTATGTGCATGTGTGTGTTACTAGCTTATCTTTTATTATACTGTGACGTCCAGGTAGGGATGGACTATGTCTGTCATTCTCCCCTGGAGATCCAGCAGTTGGCCTGATGCCCAGTGCAGAGATACCTAGAGAGCACCAGCTAAAAACAGATGTGTATACAGTAGTCCTGCCTTATCTGTGGTTTTTCTTACCCATGGTCAACCAGGGTCTGAAAATAGGTGAGTACAGTACAATAAAATATTTTGAGAGGGCGACAGAAACCATATTCACATAAATTTTATTATAGTATGTTGTGATAATTATTTCTAAATTATTGTTGTTAATCTCTTACTATACCTAATTTATAAATTAAACTTTATCATAGGTAGGTATGCAGAAAAAAAGTTAGTATATATAGGGTTTGGTACTAGCTGCAGTTTCAGGTATCCACTGGGGTTTCGGAATGTATTCTCCACGTATGGGGGTGTTAAGGGGTTACTGTATCTGTTTATTGAAGAAATAAATAACTAAAGTTTATAACCATGATACCCTGTGGATGAGCAAAAAAAGCATGGGCTGTTAGTCCTGGTCTGTAATAATAACTCTGACACTGACTGTCATGACAAAGAAGAAATAACAGCATGGTGACTTCAATGCCTAGCATATGGCAGGCAATGGGTTATGGCCACAGTCACATTAATACGGAAGCTTGCATTTAAAGTAGTAAAGAACATGGCTACTGAGTGTGGCCCTTTTTTGGTTTTCCTTTTAAAGTTAAAACTGGCACTTAGATCTGATATCTAGTTTACCTTCACGGGCATTCCATGTGGTACCTGGGAAATAATATAGCTAAAATTGGGTATTATTTTCATTTTCACTTTTAGATTTAACCCTCTGCTTTCTGTGTGATTAATCCCACCTCACCCACATGCATGCCCTGAGGTCAATGCACCTTTCCATAAGCACACCTCACACTCTCCTTGGAGGGCAAGGCTCCTCCAAACGATGGTTGCAGCTGTAGCCTCCTGCTCGTTGTCAGATTTCTTAACCTTCCTATCCACATCTGCTCTATCAGTTCCTTCTCTCTACATGCTTCCCAGCCCTCTGCCCTTTGTCCTCCACTCTTATTCCTCCCACTGGGTCTCATGTGTGCTTTATTTTTCCTTCTCTCTCCTATGATACTAATGATTCCTGTTATGAACTGAATGTCTGTGTCCCCACCAAATTCATATATTGAAACCCTAGCCCCCCAGGGTAATGTTATTAGGAGGTGAGGCCTTTGGCAGGTGATTAGGTCATGAGGGTGCAGCCTCATGAATGGAATTCGTGCCCTGTTAAGAAGAGACATCTGCTTCCTCTCTCTCTGCCATGTGAGGACACAGCAAGAAGGTGGTTGTCAGCAACCAGGAAGAGAGCCCCACCAGAACCAACCATGTTGGCACTCTATTCTTGGACTTCCCAGCCTCCAGAACTGTGAGAAATAAATGTCTGTTGTTTAAGCCACCCAGGCTACAGTATTCTGTGATAGCAGCCCACGGTGCCTGAGAGACAACCCTCTGCATTTAAAGCTCTTACCTCCCATTATGAGATTTTACTTTGTTTCCCCTTCTCCATAACTACCTTTAATGCTGGCTCTCTCCCTTCTCTAACTGCCTTGTTCTGAATGGGCCTTGCTTGAGAGAGTTCATCCATCCCTGTCAAAGGCATCAAATTCCCTCTATGAGTTTGGCTCTGAAATGTCAACCTTCTGGCCAGCCTCTCAATTCAAACTCAGTTCAGTCTCCAGTTGTCTGCTGCAGAATTTTATTTCCTGGCGTATACACTGAAGTGACCACACCAGATGATGAGAGGTCAGATTCAGCTGCTGCCAAGGTGTAGTAAGAATGCAGTTGGGTGGAGATGACCTAGGTTAAATCCCAATGCTACTATTTCTCAACTGTGTGACCTTGGGCAGGATACTCAGGCTTCCTACAACTTCTTGTTCTCATCTCCAACATGGGGGCGGTGGCAGGATTGCTGTCATCCCCCAGAGCACTGAGCCCACGGCCAATACAGAGTGAGCCCCACATGGTCTACAGGAGGTCAGTGATGGACATGATGGAGGGATGGAGGACCATTGATAGTTCAAACTCAGGTACTGCATGCTTTCTCCCTGGAGAAGAGTTTAGTAGCACCTTGGTCAAGTTGCTGAAGTGTCAAAGGAAAAACTACAAAATATACGTACAAAATATCCTTAGGACTAAATCCAAGGTCCTCTCTTCTCCCTAATAGTTGAAATGATCTCTTGGGTCTCAGGGGATGTGCAGCACCAGACTCCTGGGATAATGCATTTGTGGCGTAATCTGTTTTGTTATAACTGTTTGATGTTTCAGTCAAATGCTGGTGAATCATGTGCATTTTCTCCTTCTCTAAAGGGTGATCTCTTTTTACATCCCTATGGAGTTTTCCACATTCAGGAATTGGGAGTATTTTCTGATTTTGCATTCTAAAAGAGTAAGATAAGAACGCAGATGTTTACAGCAGATTTATTCATAATTGCCAAAACTCAGAAGCAACCAAGATGTCCTTCAGTAGGTGAATGGATAAATAAACTGTGGTACATACAGACAATAGAATATTATTCAGCACTAAAAAGAAATGGGGTATAAGGCCACGGAGAAAACTTAAGTGCATGTTGCTAAGTGAAAGAAGCCAATCTGAAAAGGCTGCATACTTTATGACTGACATGTTGGAAGAGGCAAAATCACAGGGACAGTAAAATGATCAGTGGTTACCAGGGGCTAGAGGGAGGAAAGGATGAACAGGTGGAGCACAGAGGATTTTAGGGCAGTGAAACTACTCTGTATGATACCATAATGGTAGATGCATGTCATTATACATTTGTCTAAACCCGTGGAGTGTACAACAGCAAGAGTGAACCCAGATGTAAATCATGGACTCTGGGCAATAATGATGTCTCAATGTAGGTTCATCAGTTGTAACAACTGGACCACTCTGGTGGGGGAGGCTGAGACAATGGAGGAGTCTATGCATGTGTGGGGTTGGGGGTGAACAGGGACTCTTTACACCTTCCTCTCAATTTTGCTGTGAACCTAAAACTGCACTAAAAGTAAAGTGTATTAAAAAAAGGGTAAGATAGGAAATTATCCTCAATGAAAAAATATATAATCACATAAACAGACATTTCCCTTTCAGTAACACTTTTTGAAACTGTCCTAGTGCTTTGGGGGGAACAATGCCAACCAGGAGGAGGGAGATACAGGATCCTGAGAGCTAAAGGTGGGCTAAGCTCTCTCCTCTGTCTTCCCTGGAATTTCTACTTTCATATTAAAATCATGTCTAAAAACAGACTAATCATCCCCTCAGTCTCTCCTACACTTCATGGCCTTTTCCTACAACTATTTTTCTTTACTTAGTCATGCAAACAGAACACCTGGAGTCAGTGGAACTCATTAAACAGCAGAAACCATGTAGATGCATTCTACTGTCATAAGAGAAGTTATTCCTGACTGGTACACATGCGCAGAGCTGGTGTCTCCTCTGTCCCTGGCTCTGCTGTGGATAACTTTGAGGAAAATGAGGCTCTGAGAGATGCCTGATCTCCCCCAAGGGGAAGCTGGGGTTAAAAGGGTACATGTGGCCTCCTAGTTGTGATTTGATTGTGCCATGCTTCATATTTATATCAAGGAGAGGATATTTGTAGTTGCATGACTACAGCTTAACAGGCTATTGAAACATACAATTCATGTTAGAAAGCTGTTCATAACACACGGCTAAAACAACTAAAAAGTTGGTTCTTGGAGAAGTCTACTCTAGTCACTTGGAAACGCCACAGCGTGGATTTCAACTGGGGCATACGTAACAAGCATGCACTTCCCAAGTTTCCTATGTACAGGTGGCTCTATCAATTGCATCGCACTCCAGAAAATATTGTATTAGTGAAGACAGATTCACACTGTGGAAATAATTCACCCTAAGTGGAAAGAATGACAAAGAAGACAAAGAGTGACAAAGAATTCTTTCCACCTCCAAGTCCTTCTTCCAGGGCTTCTTCACACAGAATACTTGCTTACTTGTTTGGTTTCTGTGTTACTCCCCACTTTCCTAGTTGTGCATTCCTTTGGATATCAGTCTCCATGTTTTGCTAGGGTTGCAAAAAATCTTACCCAAACCACAATCTTGACGTCCTCCCCTCAACTACTGGTTCAATCTCTAATTGCTCCTTCACACAGCAGACAAAACATAAGAATTAAAACTCAGCCAGTCTCCTGAAAAAAAGCTCTTTAACAGCATCTTAGTTTGCCACAGTGGGCTCTGGAGCCCGAGTTTCAGTCCTGACTCATGATCCTGGGGACGTGCAAACCTGGCCAAGTTGGTGATGTATCAGCACTCCATTTCCTTACATCTTAACTCAATGGATTGCTGTGAGGGTGAACTGAGACAAACACAAAGGGCTGAGAACAGAGCCCAGCTCAGAGCAAATCTAACCAGATGACACTGACATCTGTCACCATTACCTCCCCTGAGTTTGGTCAACTCTGGCTCTTTCCGACCCTCCACCAACACCCCCTCCTTTACCAGACTCACCGTGGGCCCCACTCACTATCTGAGCAACTGTAGGATTTGTGAATAAGCTGTTTCTTCTGCCTGGGTGTTCTTTCCACCCTCTACCTCCTCTACTCCAACATTCACATCCTGCTGCTCAGCCTGACTAATTCCTATTGGTCCTTCAGAGTTCAACTTAAACGCTTTTTCCTCTAGGAAGCACCCCCTGGCTGCCCAGACCAGGTCAGCCCTCTGGCTCTCTATCCCGAGCATGCCCGTGGCTCTATCAGGGAACAGAGATTACATCTGTCTTGTTCACCATTGTCTCTTCAGTGTCTAGCATGGCACAGGGCCATAATACCCGACAAATATCTGCTGAATAAATGAAGTCATGGCTGGAACTGTCACCATGGGGTCAGCTATAGACAGGATGCTATCTGAGTGCTCTCAAATGGCAAGTTTGTCAGAAAAAGAATTCAAGACTCAAGTCTTAGCCACATAATGGGGAAATACAATCAGCAGTCAAGAGAAAGAGGAGACCCAACCAGCCATCCAAAACAAGAGTGTTCAGAGGATGCCTGAAAGCTACAGGTACGGAGACAGGACAAGCTAGAGAAGCTGATCATGTTTCAGCAGGGGCAGGTGAAACACGTTAATATAAAAAATGTCAATTTTTTCAAAATTAACCCAAAGCTGGAATACACTGTCAAGCAGAGTTCTAATACTGCATTTCGGGGAATTGGATACAATTATTTTGAAGTATGAACAAAAGAACTGATAATAATAGTAGTAACACACCAACAACAGTCAAGCCAAGAGCTAAATCAGGAATGTACTCCCATTCACAACTGTCACAAAAAGAATAAAATACCAAGGAATACAGCTAACCAGGGAGGTTAAAAATCTCTACAAGGAAAAATACAAAACACTGCTTAAAGAAATCAGAAGTGACACAAACAAATGGAGAAACATTTCATGCTCATGGATAGGAAGAATCAATATGATTGAAGTGGCCATACTGCCCAAAGCAATTTATAAATTCAATGCTATTCCTATTAAACTACCATTGAGATTCTTCATAGAACTAGAAAAAAGTATCTTAAATTTCATATGGAACCAAAAAAGAGCCTGAATAGCCAAGATAATCATAAGCAAAAAGAACAAAGCTGGAGGCATCATGCTACCTAACTTCAAACTATATTACAGGGCTACGGTAGCCAAAACAGCATGGTACTGGTACAAAAACAGATACGTAGACCAATGGTACACAATAGAGAGACCAGAAATAAGACCGCACACCTTCAACCATTTAATCTTTGACAAACCTGACAAAAACAAGGAACGTGTAAAAGACTCTCTATTTAATAAGTGGTGCTGGGATAACTGGCTAGCCATGTATGGAAGATTGAAACTGAACCCCTTCCTTCCACCATATACAAAAATCAACTCAAGATGGATTAAAGACTTAAATGTAAAACCCAAAACTATAAAAGCTCTGGAAGATAACCTAGGCAATACCATCCTGGACATAGGTACAGGCAGAGATTTCATGATGAAGATGCCAAAAGCAATTGCAACAAAAGCAAAAATTGACAAATGGGATCTAATTAAAGAGCTTCTGCACAGCAAAAGAAACACCAACAGAGTAAACAGACAACCTACAGGATGGGAGAAAATTTCGGCAAACTGTGCATCTAACAAAGGCGTAATATCCAGTATCTATAAGGAACTCAAACAAATTTACAAGAAAAAAACAACCCCACTAAAAAGTGGGCAAAGGACATGAACAGACACTTCTCAAAAGAAGACATACATGTAGTCAACAATCATATGAATAAAAGTTCAATATCACTGATCATTAAAGACATGCAAATCAAAACCACAATGAGATACCATCTCACACCAGTCAGAATGGCTTTTATTAAAAAGTCAAAAAATGGCAGGGCATGGTGGCTCATGCCTGTAATCCTAGCACTTGGGGAGGCCAAGGCGGGGGTGGATCACCTGAGGTCAGGGGTTCAAGACCAGCCTGGCCAACATGGGGAAACCCCATCTCTACTAAAAATACAAAAAAATTAGTTGGGTGTGGTGGCACACGCCTGTAATCCCAGCTACTCGGGAGGCTGATGCAGGGGAATTGCTAGAACCTGGGAGGCAGAGGTTGCAGTGAGCCAAGATTGAGATTGCGCCACTGTACTACAGCCTGGGCAACAGAGTGAAACTCTGTCTCAAAAAAAAAAAAAAAAGTCAAAAAATAACAGATGTTGGCAAGGTTGTGGAGAAAAAGGAACATTTATACATTGCTGGTAGGAGTGTGAATTAGTTCAACCATTGTGGAAGATAGTGTGGTGATTTCTCAAAGACCTAAACATAGAAATATCATTCAACCCAGCAACCCCATTACTGGGTATATACCCAAAGCACTATAAATCATTCTATTGTAAAGGCACATGCACCTATATGTTCATTAAAGCACTATTTACAACAGCAAAGACATGGAATCAACCTAAATGCTCATCAATAACAGGCTGGATAAACAAAATGTGGTACATAAACATCATGGAATACTATGCAACCATAAAAAAGAATGAGATCATGTCTTTTGCAGGGACATGGATGGAGCTGGAGGCCATTATCCTTAACAAACTAACGCAGGAAAAGAAAATCAAATACCACATGTTCTCACTTATAAGTGGGAGCTAAATGATGAGAATACATGGACACATAGAGGGGAACAACACACACTGGGGCCTACTGGAGGGCAGAGGGTGGGAGGAGGGAGAGGATCAGGAAAAATAACTAATGGGTACTAGGCTTAATACCTGGGAGATGAAATAATCTGTACAACAAACCCCCACAACACAAGTTTACCTTTGTAACAAACATGTGCCCCTGAACTTAAAAGTTATAAAAATAAGATTAGTAGTAATAATGATAAAAGCAGTGAACACGTTTACACTTGTAGTTGCACTAGCAATGGGTGAGGGTAACTCCACCCCCCCAAAAAAAAGATTAGCCACAGCTTGATAATTACAGAAGCTGGGTGATGGGTACATGGGACTCAGCATATTACTCTGTATATATTTATAGATGTTTAATATTTTCCATAGTTGAATGTTTAAAGATGTAAGTAAAACAAAATAAATTTAGCAGAAAACAAAAAAGAGGTGCTGTCTTAAGCTCTTCAGATATATTAACATACATCCAAACTCAAACAAGAAAACTGTAGAAAAGAATGACAGGGAGGGAGTGTACGCCTCACACTGAAGCTGTGCCGACCAATGCACTATGAGATCAATGTATGTTCCAGGTGCCATTTCCGTCCCCAGGGAAGAGTAGTTTATTTAACAGACAGAGCTGGCAGAAAACAAATCTATATCCTCCCACCCTCAACACAAATAAGTTTTGGATAAATTTAAAATATAAATGTAAAATAAAATAACCGTAAAAATATTAAAAGAAAATATATTCAAATATTTGTATGACTTTGTATTTGTATGACTTTGGCTTAAGACCTTCTTTTTTTTGGGGGGGCGGGGGGACGGAGTCTCGCTCTGTTGCCAGGCTGGAGTATAGTGGCACAATCTTGGCTCACTACAACCTCCACCTCCCAGGTTCAAGTGATTCTCCTGCCTCAGCCTCCCAAGTAGCTAGGACTACAAGCACACACCACCATGCCCAGCTAATTTTTGTATTTTTAGTAGAGGCAGGGTTTCACTGTGTTGCCCAGGCTGGTCTTGAACTCCTGGGCTCAGGCAACATGCCTGCCTCTGCCTCCCAAAGTGCTGGAATTACAGATGGCATGAAGACCTTCTTAAGCAATGTAGGATAGGTAGAAATCATAAATAAAAATAATAGAAATATTTAACCAGATAATGTTTCTTAATATGGCAAAATAAACAATATAAAAAGACATTAATATACTTAGAAAAATCGTTGAAACACATACACAGGCAAGGGACTAACAGCCCTCTAAACAAAGAACTGCTATCCACTATTGAAATAGAGACAGACAACCCCACAAAAACTCCAGCAAAAGACACGAACAAGCGGTTTACAGAAATGGAATCAAGATGGCCAGTAATGCATCAAAAAAGGTAGTCATGAAAAAACGACGCAAACTGCCAATGCCATATCATTTTCACACAAACTGGAAAAACCCTGGGGATGACATCCAGGGTCAGAGGGATTTATTGAGCACTGCATGCACTTGCATTTTGGGGGAAGATGTGAACTTCTATGCCCTTTTTGGAAAGTAATCTGGAAACGGCGATTCAAGTTCAATATCTAAGAACTTGTTGACTCAGTGGTCCCATTTTTGGAAATATATCTTACAGAAATAAGAGCAGGAGTATATTAGAAAGTGTTCAATGATATAAAGAATTTTTGAAGTGGCAGAAACTGGAGAAAGTCAGCATGCTTCTCAGCAGGAAATAACTGGATAGACTGAATGTGTTCATACGGGACTATCACACAGCATTCGAGAAAGAAATTAGACTGGATTTGCTCATCTGGAAGGACATCCATGCTGTACAGTTTCCTGAGGAAGGGAAGCTTCAGAATCATATGTATTGTAGGGAATCATGGACAGTCACTGGTTGTAAAAAAGTATCTATTTATAAAAGTGCATATTTATGTTCATAAATGTATAGGTGTAGCTGGTAGTTTGTACATAGTATCTGTTAGCTCAAGGAAGTATAAATTGGGTGGTATTATTAACATTTTTTAGCTTCTTTTCATTGTTTCACTGGCTGTAAAAATGTCACTATTTTTGCGAAAAAATTAATTGAGAGCATTTTTGTAAAAGGTTAACAGTTTGCCAGAGAAAACAAGGCAGAGAATTTCCAGGAGGGAATAATTAGTTAAATAGGAGACAGCAAAGACAGAAGAACTTGGGCATGGGGGGATGGGGAGAGAGGGAGGAGGGAGAATGGCAGGGGGCCTGGAGCTAATGATGAGGATTCCATGGGGCCAGATGAGGACCTCTGTGGATCCCTTATCTCCCATCTTTATAACTGGCATCCTAAGTGTAAAGAGGAGAGGTGAAGAATTTGGCTGAGGATGGAGACCTGAGCATGCAATAAGTCAGAATGGAAGAGAAGAAGGAACTCCAGCCACCACCATCAGCGCTGAATCTACAAAAGAGGTCCAGGGAGGGAGATCAGTTGCCTGCATCCTCCTTGGAGCAATCCCATAGTTTCCAAGGGTCCCAGAGGCATTCTGATAGAGCATGACAGTGATCCCTAATTTGACAACCCAGGAGGATTATCTGCCGTGACAGTTTTCTGTGGAGGAAAGGACCAGCACCTATGCTGCCTCCGCTGATAGGGCTGTTACCCCCTGTACATGCACACGCTGCTCCTCTGCAGCTCTCTCCGCAAGTGCAGCCTGTTGACTCCTGAAATCCAGCCTTACAATCACAGTGGCCCCAAAATGATTGTTTCTTGGGATAGTACGCAAAGGCACACTGCTGATCTGACAGCGTGGATGCCAAAAAGCTTAGAAGCAGCCTTCCTGATTTTAAGATGACTCAAATTACTCTTCAGCGGACGATTTTAAACTTTCATTTACACCTATTAAGTATCCTTAAAGCAAGGGATTCCCACACCATGCCAGGATTCCTGTAAATGCCACATGGCATCAGATCAGATACCAAGTACAGAGGTCTCTGAGGACACTGGACCTGCTGGGGAAGGGGCTGTCCACTCGCTGGGGGCTTCAGAAAGGCCACGGTCTTATGAAAGCACAATTTCTGGGGAGCAGCCCAGACTTGTCACAGAGAAATTTCTGGATGTGGGTCTGGGACTGATTTACAAACACCCCAGGTATTGTTATGCCACTCATCTTGGATCAAAAGACTTTGGAAACCACTCAAAACTCTCATAGTACTGAGTGCTTGGAGCCAGTGTAGGGACCCAACAAACACCTGTGGATTGGCTTTCTATAATGAATGCAATTTGAGGTTCCATGTCTACTAGTCGCCTGATGTCATCCAGTCCAATGCTAAAAGTATTGGATTCAGTATATCAAAAACAACTGGATATTCACTCTTGGTTGTACCCTTTCTCAAAAAATTAATGAAATAAAATGAAATGAAATAATATCTTAAAAGTAGTCACAAGTCATTGCAAAATCCAGGAGGAAAATAACAGTTTGGCTAACTTTAGACTTAATTAGATAAATATGCACGTTGCCATTTCTATGGTAATGTTAACATAATAGACAAAAGAGACATAAAACTTTCAAATAACTACTAAGGTTTTTAAAATGCAATGCCCACATTTGCTCACCATATCTTTTTTTTTTGGAGACAGAGTGTCACTCTGTTGCCCAGGCTGGAGTGCAGTGGCACCATCTCAGCTTACTGCAACCTCCACCACCCAGAATCAAGTGATTCTTGTGCCTCAGCCACCAGAGTAGCTGGGATTACAGGCATGCACCACCATGTAGTAGAGATGGGTTTTTGCCATGTTGGACAGGCTGGTCTTGAACTCCTGGCCACAAGTGATCCACCCACCTCAGCTTCCCAAAGTGCTGGGATTAAAGGCTGAACCACTGCGCCTGGCCTCACCATGTCTTGAATGCCTACACTGGGCCAGGCCCTTCTGAGGCACTGCAATGTATCAGTGAACAGAAGAGGCAGAAATCCCTCATGTGGCTTCTTTTCTAAAAGGGGCAGACCCGTCTTTGAATGATGCTACACTTGGTGCTCCAAACAGGATTTTACAGGTGACAGACTACTACCACGGTGAAAAGACAACAGAAAAGGGCAGGCGAGAGGAAGGCCTAGCGGAGTGTGAGGACATGAGTGGGGTGGCCGGAGCAGGCCTCACTGAGAAGGTGATTCTGGAACAAGGATGTGGAGGAGGTGAGCTGGTGACTTGAGTGCCTGGCAGGGCAACAGCCCCAGAGGCTGGAACAGCTTCTGGTGGGCAGGTGCGTCTGAGTGCCTGGAGCAGAGGTGGGGTCGCAGCTGAGGCCTCTCGGGTTGCCGGAAGCCCCATGAGACTCTCCGCTTTCCCTCTGTGTGAAACCAGGAGTCGCTGCAGGCTTTGGAGCCCAGCTGCCTCATGCTAGAGCTCACATGTGATGGGGCTCACTCTGGCTGCTGCTCAGTGAGCAGATGGTGGGGGGAGGGTGGGAGGTGGGAGGAAGGAGAGAAGCAAGGAGGAGATGAGTCAGGAGGCCACTGCCTTCCCAGAGGAAGGAGGAGAATGGTCTGGCGAGGACGGCTGCCGTGGGGGTGAGACAAAGTGGTGAATTCTCAATGTATTTTGAAAAATTGGTTTAAAAAAGAATCCAAAAGAAGGCATAAGTGAGAGGGGGAAAAAAAACAGAAGATGTGAAACAAATAGAAAGTACAAGAGGAGCTGGGTAGAGGTGAACCCAAATGTGCCACTAATTAAATTAAATGTAAAGAGACCAGATGCTCCAGTTCAAAGTAATAAATTGGCAGACTGAACGCAAGATTCAACTATATGCTGTTTATAGAAGACATCTAAAGCATACACAGAAAGGACAAAATTAAAAGGATGGGTAAGAAATACATCATGTGAATTGTAACCAACAGAAAACTGGTGTAGCGACATTAATAACAGACAGAATAGACTTTTAGGTAAAAAGCATTTGCTAGTGATAAAAAGAATTACTTCAGAATGACAAAAGTAGGACACAGATGTGAATGTACTATTGACAAACTTTACTTAAGGGTCATATAGAATTATACTCTCAAGAGCTGCAGAATACAAAATGCTCTTAGTACAAATGAAACATTTACAAAATATTTATCATACTCTGAGCCATAAAATGCATCATAAAAAATTTAAAAAGAAGAGATCATACAGACCAAGTTTTCTGACCATACTACAATTAACTTAAAAAGATAACTAGCAAATCCCCATATGGTTAGGAGATTTAACACATACTTCCAAATAACCCATAGGATTTGCTTCAAAATAATATAGGAGGTTGTGGTGGGAACAAGGATATAGAAAAAGTAAGATTGGCCACAACTTCATAATTTTTTAAAAAAATTTTTTATTACACTTTAAGTTCTAGCGTACATGTGCACAATGTGCAGGTTTGATACATAGGCATACATGTGCCATGTTGGTTTGCTGCACCCCAGAACTTCATAATTATAAAAGTTGGGTGATGAATACATGGATATTCACTTTATTGTTCCATATACACATAGATATTTAATATTTTCAAGAGTTAAATGTTAGAAACGTAAGTAAAATGAATACAATCTGCATGAAAAATTATAAAAATACAATAACCCAACAATGAAAGAAGAATCACAACTGAAATAATAAAATATTTTGAACTAAATCATAAAATATTTCACAAAAACGTAGTAAGAGACAATAAAAGCCATAGACAGAGAAAGTTTTATTGCTTTAGATGCATATACAAGAAAATAAAAAATACCAAAAATTTAGGAGCCAAATGTCCATTTCAATAAGATAGGAAAAATAGCAAAATAAACACAAAAAAAATTAGAAGAAAGACAATGATGAAGATCAGAAATTTTTTAAAAACCCCAGAAAACAAATATATGGTAGACAGGACCAAGAAAATCAACCATTAGGCTTATGAAAAGAATAATAATATTGAGAACCTCTAAAAATAATTCTATGCAAATAAATTGGCAAATATGAACATAACGGACACAGTCCTAGAAAAATAAAACTTACCAAGGCTGATTAAAATAACAGAAAACTTGGATAGCCCTATAACCACTAAACAAGTTAAATCAACAGATACATACTTTTGTTTTTCTTTATAAAAGGATCTCTAGGTGCAGATGGTTTTCTCAACAAATAAAGAAATAATTCAGTCTTACAATCTAATCCACAATAAAGAACAAGAGGGTACAATCCTAAACTCAGGTTATGAGACTAGCACATAATCTTGGAATGGAAATGTGACAAGAAGTAGTAAGAAAAAAGAAAAAAAATAACAGGGCAATCTCATCCACAACGATTGGTTATATACATTTATTACAATCATGGCAAACTTCTGTTTATTACAGGAATGCAAGGATGGTTTAACACTACAATATTTGCCACATCAACAGATTAAGGGAAAAAAAATTGTGTTACAACACATGCATGTAGATAAGGCTTTTTAAAAACTGAACCACTGAGATTTTATAAATCTAAGCTAGAAATGGAAGGAAATTTCTTCTATCTGATATACGGCTCCTTAGAAAAAATCTGGCACAACATTGTTCATATTTGTAACATGTCAAAAGCTTTTCCTACCACAGAAAAATAGAACTAAACCTAAACATATACATAATTGAATTAAATGCTAATGGACAAACTGCAGAATATTATTTCCAAGTTGCATACAGAGCATTTATTTTAATTAAGTCAGAGATAGAAAAGCAAAACCCGAATAGACTTTATTTACAGATACTCACTTTAAATATAAAGACATAGGTAGCGCGAATGAAAAGGGGTTAAAAATATATATGACATGCAAACTGTGAGCATAAGAAAGTTGGAATGGATGTATTAAAATCAAACAAAAGAGACTTCAAGAAAAAAGTATTACCAGAGATAAACACCTCACTATAATGAAAATATTAATTCACCAGGAAGACAATAAATATATATAAATACACGACTTCAAAATATATAAAGCAAAATATGACAAGACTAAAAGGAAATATAGACAAATCCATAACCATAGTGGATGATTTTGATGTCTATTTCTAAAGGAACTGCTAGAACAACTAGACAGAAAAGGCACGGATATAGAAGACCAGAACATCATCAACAAATATAACCTAATTGTCATTTACAGAATACTCTAATTCAAAACTGTAAAATATAATTTTTTTCAAGTGCAAAAAGAGCCTTCATATCTTGGTGAAAAAGCCATATGCTGATCCACCAAACATGTCTCAATAAAATTCAAAATGCTGAGATAACACAGAATATGTCCTAAGACAAAAAAGGAATTAATCTGGCAATCATGAAAAATGAGATATGTAAAAAAGTCCCAAATATTTGGATACTAAATAACATGCATGTAAATAACTCATGAGAGAAAGGAAAAACACAAGGGAGGTTAGAAAATAATTTTAAACTTGAAGATAATAAAAACATATAATTTTGGTAATGCAGCTAAACTGTGCTTCCAGTGAAAGTTATAGTACTAAACACATAAATGAGGAATGGCTTAAAATTAGTGATCTAAGTTTTCACCTTAAGTATATATGAAAGATAAGCAAATCAAGACCAAAGTAAGTAGAAAGAAGGAAAAAAGAAAGGTGAAATCAGCGAAATAGAAAATAAATAAAATCAACAGCTGGGGATGGTAGCTCATGCCTGTAATCCCAGCACTTTGGGAGGCCAAGGCAGGCACATCACTTGAGGCCAGGAGTTTGAGACCAGCCTGGCCAACATGTTGAAACCCCATCTCAAAAAAAAAAGAAAAGAAAAGAAAAGAAGAGAAAATTAAACAATCTAAAATTTGATTCATTGAAAGATTCATAAGACCGGTAAACAAACACCTAGCAAGACTGATGAAAGAGAGAAATGAGAAGGTGAGGGAGGGAAAGAGGGAAAGCAGGAGCTCGCTTATATCATCAGCATCACAGATGAAGGAGGGAACAGCACCTCAGATTCTACACATATAAAAAGAATAAGAAAATACTGTGAAGAAATATGTTCATAAATTAGACATTTAGATTAATTAGACAAATTTCTTTTAAAACACAACTTACTAAATGTGACATAAAAGGAAACAGAAAATCTGAACTGCATATTTTATTCTGAATCTGTATCTGCTAAGAAAATCGTATTTATTATGAAAATTCTTCCCTTAAAAAAGACATAGATGACTTCACTGGTGAATTCTATCAAATATTTAAGGAAGAAATAATAGTAATTTTATACAACTTTAAGAAGATAAGAGAAAGAAAAACTCATTTCCCAAGTTTGGCATGAGGCTAGCATACCTCTGACACTAAAAGAAGAATGTGAAAAGAAAAGAACAGATCAACAACCAACATGAACATTGCCATAATCACTCATACTGTATTAGTTGAGTCCTGTAATAAATGAAAAATAATCAAGACCAAGTAGAGTGTATCCCAAGAACATAAGATAGGGCAAACATTCAAAAACCAATAAAAATTATTTACTATATTAACTAAAAAAGAGTAAAACATTTGCTAAATTTAATACCTATTCATTTAAAAAAAATCCTGCAACCTTGAAATAAGAAAGAATTCCTCCTGCAATACAGGGCATTTTTAAAAATTCTATCCTTGAATCTTACTTTATGATGAAACGTTGAATTATTTTCCCTTATGATTAAAAAGAAGTTAGGCATATTTAGTCTTAATACTTGTACAAAAGATTGTAGCCAGTGCAATAAAGTAGAAAAGAGGGATAAAGGTTAAAAAGGAAAAATGAAAAGTTTTGCTATTTGTAGATGATATGAATGTCAGTGTAGCAAATTCTAAAAGCTCTATAATTAATAAATGCATTTAGTAAGGCTGCAAGTTACAAGGTCAATATGCCAAAAACATCAATTATATTTTTATATACTAGTAGCAAAAAGTTGGAAAATGATTATATACTAGTAGCAAAAAGTTGGAAAATGAAATTAAAAGAAATCAATTTATAATGGCTTTGAAAAAACATAAAATAATCCAGAATAAATTTAGCAAAAGGTGCCATGGCTTTCTACACTAAAACAAAAACCTCTGTTGAGAGACATTAAAGAAGACCTTACAAAATAGAAAAATATATTACATTCATAGATTCAAAACATCAATATTAGGGTCAGTTCTCCCAAAATTAATCTACAGATTCAAGACAATTCTATTTCTAAAAATCCCAGTAGGCCTTTTTGTAGAAACTGACAAAATTATTCAAAATTTTAAATAAAAATACAATTGATCTAGAATAGCCAAAATTATCTAGAAAAATATAAAGCTGGAAGCATTCCAGAACTTAAAGAGTTACTATAAAGCTACAGTAATCAAGACAATATGATATGGGCATGAAGGCAAATATATAAATCAATGGGACAAAGATGAAGATATAGCTCAATAGTACAAAATACAGGAGAGCTAGAAAGAAACCCACAACCATGACAAGGTAATTCAGAGGTAGAAGGCCTCAGCAGAGGTTGCTGGGAATAGCTGCATTTTCATGTGGGAAAATAATGTACTTCAATTCCTACCTAATGCCACAAACAAAGATTAATTCAAGATGGGTCACAAAACTAAACATTAAACCTACAACTATAACCTTTTTCAGAAGTAAACACAGTCTTCTATCTTCACAATTGGGGGTAGCTACAGATTTCTCAGAACACAGAAAGCAGTGATCATAAAAGAAAAAAATGAACATGTTAGACTTTATCAAAACATAAAAACTTCAACTCACTGAAAAGCATCATTTAGAAAATAGACAAATCCCCAAATGAGAAAAAAATATTCACAAGACAGACTTGACAAATGATTTAATTCTAACCTCTATGATAAAAGTCCTATGGCAACAATGAAAAGGCAGATTATCCAATTTTTTTAAAAAAATTGCCAAAAATTTGGAAGAGGAACTTAAAAGGAAGATATACAAATGGTCAACAGTAGATGAAAAAGTGCTCAACATCATTAGTTATCAGGAAAATGAAAATTTAGACCTCAAACAGATACCACTTGATACCCACTAGAATGGCTAAAATTAACATCTTACAACATCAAGTGTTGACAAGGATGGGGAGCATCTGGAACTTGCTTACATTACTGGAGGGAACATAGAAATGATGCCACTCATTTGGAAAAAGATATGATAGCTTTCTATAAAACTAAGCAAACATCAACCCTATTATCCTGGGGTTTCCCCACTAGGTATTTATGCAAGAGAAATGAAAACATGTGTCTACACACACAAAGACTTGTACAAGAATGATTAAAACAGCTTTATTAATAGTGACACAACACTGAAAACAACCCAAATGTCCATCAAGAAGAGAATGGGTAATGACTGTGGTGTGTATTTATGTACATACACACACCACATACACACACATATGTATACATATGTTCTTTACAATAGAATACTTACTATTCAATGATAAAAAAAGAACGACATATGGATATACTCGGCCATATGGGTAAATCTCATAGAAGCTGGAAACAAGGTAAATCAAACTCCATAGTAGTTTTTACATATTTTTTTTTTTTTTTGAGACAGAGTTTCACTCTCATCCAGGCTGGAGTGCGATCTCGGCTCCCTGCAACCTCCACCTCCCAGGTTCAAGTGATTCTCCTGCCTCAGCCTCCTGAGTAGCTGGGATTACAAGCATGCGCCACCACACCAGGCTAATTTTGTATTTTTAGTAGAGACAGGGTTTCTCCATGTTAGTCAGGCTTGTCTCGAACTCCTGACCTCAGGTGATTCACCTGCCTCTGCCTCCCAAAGTGCTGGGATTACAGGCATGAGCCACCAGGCCCGGCCTACCTGAAGTTTTAAAATTGGCAAAACAAATACAGTCTAAATAATTTTTAGAAAACTTGTTGCTTTTGGAGGGTATTAACTGGAACAGGGCACAGTGAAGCTTTCTGGGGTGAGAGAAAATTTCTGTATCTTGGTAGGGGTGTCATTTATATTGGTAGATGCGTTTGTCAGAATCTGTTCAATTGCACACTTAAAATGTGCTTTTTACTGATGTAAATTATACCTAAAAATACTACCACACAAATGTTGAACTATACTTGGTTGATTTTTTTTCTTTAGTATTTGATGGCAATTCTGATACCACTTTCTGTGTATTCTAGATTTGAACAAATGAGTAAATATATTAAGATTATTGAAAGCAAAGTGTCTTACTACTGGTAAAAGGAGTTACCAAGATGGGAAGGGTTGTGCAGATCGGGGCTGAAAGTATCAATATAAGTTCTCATTTTTGATACATACCCACATTTCTTAATTATGACAACGCCTAGAAGCAATGAGCACATCCAGCACCCAAATTTTTATTTCTAAATAACATTCCCTAAATAAAAGAAAGCAGAACTTCCTAGGAAAAGGCTGATTTCAGTGCTGGAGCAAAGACTGTAAAAGGAAATCCTAGACAACCTCCTTGCACCAGAAAGGAAGGAGGTGTTGAGAGAACAGTGGACACAAATCCAAAGGACAGAGAGCTAGTTTGAAGGGATTCCCCACCCATCAAATCTGGGGCAACCTGAGCATCACAATAAATAATGGTAGTAACAGAATATAATCTACTGGGTAAAATAAGATCCATAAGTCCATATAAATAGATGATTAAGTAAATGGAGAAGAAAAACCTCTTACATACAGAAGAATGCCAGTGTAGGAGGAATAATAGTTAGAAATTCATCAATGAGTGCTAAAGCTAGTAGATAACCACTAGATAAAAGTTTAATGAGCAAAATCCTATTAATTACAAAGGGAAATAATTTTACAGGGGAGAAACTTCCACTACCTTAACCAAGTGACCAAAATTAACATAACCAGTAATGGGACAAATCAACACCATACGCCTTTTTGATGCAATGCACTGAGGGACATAACATCACTTCCGTGGCACTGCTGGCAAAAATCCATAACAGGACTTTAAGAAACCTCGGAAAAATCAAATTGGCAGACATCCTACAAATTAACTTGTCCATGCTCTTGGAAAACACCAAATCAAGAAAGAGAAAGGCTTAGGATCTGCTCCAGATTAAAAGAGACTAAGAAGACATGACAATTAAGTGCAACCTAAGATCCTGGATTGAACCCTGGACCAGGAAAATAATGGCTATAAAAGACATTATTGAGAGAATTGATAAAATTGAATATGGAGTGTAGATTAGATACTAGAATTGTATGTGTTAAATTTTCTGATTTTAATAATTGCACTATAGTTATGAAAGAGAGTGTCCTTTTTATAAAAGAAAATATGCACTGAAATTTTCTGTGGTAAAGGGGCATGATGTCTCTACCAGTCTCAAATGGTTCAGAAAAAAAACTCCACGATGATATACACACACACACATATAAATATATATTCATAAATATGCACATGTGCCTATATATACACAAACACACATAACTATTATATATATTTTATATATATGACACACCATATATATAAAATATGACATACCATATATATAAAATATATATAGATAGAGCAAATGAGTTAAAAGGTATACAGTTGCAATTGGTTGATTTGAGTAAAATATATATGGGGTCCTTTGTGTCATTTTTGCAACTTTTCTATACATGTGGAAGTAGATCAAAATAAAATACACGAGAAGGTTTATTATAATGATGGGACTGTAAATTGGGACAACTACCCATTGAAAACCATTAGGCAGTATCTACCAAAGCTAAACGTACAAATACCCTATGAACCAGCAATTTCATTCCTAGGTATTACTCAATGGAAATACATAGATATGGCCATTAAAAACATGCACAAGAATATTCATAGCAATGTTATAATAGCATAGCATTCCTTTGCGTCAATATATCACAATTTATTTTTGCATTATACCCTTAATAGACATTTAGGTTGCTTCCAGTGTAGGGCTCTTACAAACAGCATGGAAAGGTGCTGAACTTTATTAGTTACCAGTGAAAAAAAGATACTCAAACATTCACCATGTGAGCACACATTTTAAAGTCTGTCCTTTGTAGGAACATGGATGAAGCTGGAAACCATCATTCTCCGCAAACTATCGCAAGGACAAAAAACCAAATACCGCATGTTCTCACTCATAGGTGGGAATTGAACAATGAGAACACATGGACACAGGAAGGGGAACATCACACCGGGGCCTGTTGTGGGGTGGGGGGAGGGGGAAAGGATAGCATTAGGAGATATACCTAACGTTAAATGACGAGTTAATGGGTGCAGCACACCAACATGGCACATGTATACATATGTAACTAACCTGCACGTTGTGCACATGTACCCTAAAACTTAAAGTATAATAAAAAATAAAACAAAAAACAAATTTTGGTGAGGATGTGGAGTAAAGTGAGCTCTCGTACACTGCTGGTAGAAGTATACATTGGCACATCCACTTTGGAAAACAGTTTGGTATTCAGTGTGTGAATTTGAGACAGATATCCCCCATGAGCCAACAACGCCACATCATTATATACCCCTAGACTAACCTACGCACATAGACACCAGAGTACAAGTCTGAGAAGGCTAATGGCAGTGTTATAATAGTTCCAAACTGCAAAGAATCCAAATGCTTACCCAGTAGAGTGCATTTTAAAAGTGGCATATTCAAACATCACACTGAATGGGCAAAAGCTGGAAGCATTCCCCTTAAAAACTAGAACAACATGAGGATGCCCACTTTCACCACTCGTATTCAACATAGTGCTGGAAGTCCTAACCAGAACGATCAGGCAAGAGGAAGAAATAAAAGGTGTACAATTTTTTTTTTTAAAAAAAGGAAGTCGAACTATCTCTCTTCGTGAATGACATAATTCCATACCTTGTAAAACCCTAAAGATGCCATGAAAAGGGCACTAGATCTGATAAACATAGTAAGTAAAGTTTCAGGATACAAAATCAACGTGCAAAAATCAGTAGCATTTCTATACACCAATAACATTCAAGCTGGGAGTCAAATCAAGAACACAATGCCATTTACAATGGCCACACAAAAAAATACAATACTTAGGAATACTTAACCAAGAGGGTGAAACATCTCTAAAGCAGAACTCAAAAACGCTGATAAAAGAAATTACGGATGACACAAATGGAAATGCATTCCATGCTCATGAATTGGATGAATCAATATTGTTAAAATGTTCGACCGGGCATGGTGGCTCGCGCCTGTAATCCCAGCACTTTGGGAGGCTGAGGCGGGTGGATCACTTGAGGTCAGGAGTTCGAGACCAGCCTGGCCAACATGGTGAAAGCCTGTCTCTACAAAAAATACAAAAATTAGCTGGGTGTGGTGGCAGGCACCTATAGTCCCAGCTACTCAGGAGACTGAGGCTTGAGAATAGCCTGAACTTGGGATGCAGAGGTTGCAGTGTGCCAAGATCATGCCACTGCTTTCTAGCCCGGGCAACAGAGAATCTGACTCAAAAAAAAAAAAAAAAAAAAAAGTCATAGTGCCCAAAGCAATTTACAGATTTAACACTATTGCTATCAAATCACTAATGTCATTTTTTGCAGAATTAGAAAAAAAAATCCAAAATTTACATGACATCAAAAAGAGCCTGAATAGCCAAAGAAATCCTGAGCAAAAAGAACAAAGCTGGAGGCATCTCATTACCCAACTTCAAACTATACTACAAGACCACAGTAACCAAAACAGTATGGTACTGACACAAAAGTGGACACATAGATCAATGGAACAAAACAGAGAGCCCAGAAGTAAAGCCACACATCTACAACCAACTAATCTTCCCACCCTTTAATACTATGTATAATTATTATTTGTGTCAGGATAAGTTGAACTAGTCATTGTTGAATAGAAACAAAGTTGACAAAAATAGGCAATGGGGAAAGGACTCCCTTATTCAACAAATGGTGCTGGGAAAACTGGTTAGCCATATGCAGAAGAATGAAACTGGACCCCTCCCTATCGCCATATAAAAAATTAACTCAAGATGGATTAAAATCTTAAATGTAAGACCTCAAACTATAAAAATCCTAGAAGAAAACCTAGAAAATACCCTTCTGGACATCAGCCTAGGCAAAGAACTTACGACTAAGTCCTCAAAAGCAATTGCAACAAAAACTAAAATTGACAAGTGGGACAAAATTAAACTACAGAGCTTCTGCACAGCAAAATAACACAGTAAATATACCACCTAGAGAAATGGCAGAAAATATTCACAAACTATGCCTCTGACAAAGGACTAATATCCATAATCTATAAGGAATGCAAACAAATCAATAAGCAAGGAACAACCTCATTAAACAGTGGGTAAAGGACATAAAGAGACACTTCTCAAAAAGAGACATATGAGTGGCCAACAAACATATGAAAAACTGCTCAACATCACTAATCATCAGAGAAATGCATGCCGAAACCACAAAAAGACACCATCTCATACCAGTCAGAATGGCCATTATTAAAAATCCAAACAATAACAGACAGTGAGGCTACAGAGAAAAGGGAACACTTACACACTGCATGTGGGAAAGTAGATTAGTTCAGCCACTGCAGAAAGCAGTTTGGAGATGTCTCAAAGAACTAAAAAGAGAACTACCATTCAATCCAACAATCCCATTACTGGGTATCTACCCAAAAGAAAATAAATTGTACTACCCAAAAGATACAAGCATACGTATATTCATTGTAGCACTATTCACAGCAACAAAGACATGGAATCAACCTAGATGCCCATCAGTGATGGACTGAAAAAAGAAAATGTGTTTCATATACACCATGGAATACTCTGCAGCCAAAAAAAGGATGAAATAATGTCCTTTTCAAACAACATAAGTGGAGCTGGAGGCCATTATCCTAGTGCAATTAACACAGAAAACCAAATATTGTATGTGAGAGCTAAATATTGGGTATGCACAGACATAAAGACAGGAATAACAGATGCCAGAAACTCCAAAGGAAGAGAAGGAGAGAGGGGGGCAAGGGCTGAAAAACTACCTGTTGGGTACTATGTTCACTATGTACATGATGGGATCAACAGAAGCCCAAACCCCAGCATCACACAATATACCCTTGTAACAAACCTGCACACATAGCTACTGAATCTAAAATTAAAATTTTAAAATAATTTATAAATGAATGTGGCATATTCATATACAAATAAAACACTGAATATGAAAGAACTCCAGGTACCTACAGTGATGCTTTGATTCAATGTATATGTTGAATCAAACAAGAAAGAAAAACACAAAATGTATACAGTATGATTCCATTTATGTAAAGTTGAAAACATGCAATGCTAAAGTATGATGTGTATGGATACATACAAATACAGTACAACTACAAAGCAAAACTATGTTGTTTTGGATGACGTATATGAGGAAAATCTATCCTCATAGAGAAATGTAGTTGTAAAAGTGAGGAGTATTTTAGTAGGTTTTTCAAATAATTGTAGGATATTCTTTGATATCACTCTGAAACTTGACAAGTGATAGTTGCTTAAAAGCTAGTGGCACTGTGGAATCTAACATGACATCAATGAACATTTTGTACTCTGTTACTCTAAAATCCATTGGTCTAGCTTACACTTCAAATGAATCTTTCATTCATGCATAATTTTGCTACATCATGCATTAGTCATCTGGAAAACATTAGCTTGCTGAGTTATGAAACTTTTTCAAATGTTGACATACTATATATTATGCAATATCAAAAATCACATTCACTAATATTACCGCCAATATTAATGCAGAATTTAAGTGCTGGTAAGCTATTTAGGTCATGTTTTAAAGAATATGAATGTTGACTGGAAAGCAACAAATGGTATTAATTGTTTTAACTGAGAGACTTACCCTCATCATTTTTGAAAAAAAAAATCTTTGCCATATAACAAAGTCTGAGTAAACATAGTTTGTCAGTCATTCTTTCAGGTAAAAGTGGTGTTTCATGGAAAAGGGGGCCAGTTCAGCTTGCAACTGAAACAACTGCACAGATGGTGATTTCGTTTTAAGACCACCATCATCATATGCAGCAGAAGTGCTCAGAATATTAAAACGACTTGTAGTCAAGGGTCAATATTTAATAAAATGAATCATTTTTACTGTTTCATCAGGGACATTACTAAGGGAAATTAGCATTTACTTTTACATTGTGCAAAACAGTGAGGAATACAATGACTAATGGCGCAGTTTGATGCCACAAGCTTGATTCAAGCTAAGGTGCCAGCAGTTTTACCACCATTACTTCTTGTACCATGGCCCAAATGTTCACATAGTGAAAAAGGCAAATGACTTTTTTTTTTTAAGCAAACTCCCAAAAAAAGAAATCTCCAGATCCAGGCAGTGTCACTGAAGAATTCTACCAAATATTTATTTATATTTCCATAGGTTATTGGGAGACAGGTGGTGTTTGGTTACACGAGTAAGTTCCTTAGTGGTGACGTGTGAGATTTTGGTGCACCCATCACCCAGGCAGTATACACTGTACCCTATTTCTAGTCTTTTATCCTTCACCCCCTTCCCACTCTTTCCCCAAGTCCCCAAAGTCCACTGTGTCATTCTTATGCCTTTGCATCCTCATAGCTTAGCTCCCACTTATGCATGATAACATACAATGTTTGGTTGTCCATTCCTGAGTTACTTCACTTAGAATAATGGTCTCCAATCTCATCCAGGTTGCTGCAAATGCCATTAATTCATTCCTTTTTATGACTGAGTAGTATTCCATCATATATATATATATAACCTGTGATATATATATATATATATATTATATATATATATATATATCTCACAGTTTCTTTATCCATTCCTTGATTGATAGGCATTTGGATCAGTTCCACATTTTTGCAATTGAGAATTGTGCTGCTATAAACACACATGTGCAGTTATCTTTTTTTGTATAATGACTTTTCTCTGGGTAGATACCAAGCAGTGGGACTGCTGGATCAAGTGGTAGTTCTACTTTTAGTTCTTTAAGGAATCTCCACACTGTTTTCCATAGTGGTTGTATTAGTTTACATTCCCACCAGCAGTGTAGAAGTGTTCCCTGTTCACTGCATCCATGCCAACATCTACTATTTTTTGATTTTTTTGATTATGGCCATTCTTGCAGGAGTAAGGTGGTATTGCATTATGGTTTTGATTTGCATTTTTCTGCTCATTAGTGATGTTGAGCATTTTTTCATATGATTGTTGGCCATTTGTATATCTTCTTTTGAGAATTGTCTATACATGTCCTTAGCCTACTTTTTAATGGGATTTTTTTTTCTTGTTGATTTGAGTTCATTGTAGATTTTGGATATTAGTCCTTTGTCAGACATATAGATTGTGAAGATTTTCTCCCACTCTGTGGGTTGTCTGTTTACTCTGCTGGCTGTTCCTTTTGCCATGCAAAAGCTCTTTGGTTTAATTAAGTCCCAGCAATTTATCTTTGTTTTTATTGCATTTGCTTTTGGGCTCTTGGTCATGAAATCCTTGCCTAAGCCAAGGTCTAGAAGGGTTTTTCCAATGTTATCTTTTAGAATTTTTATAGTTTCATGTCTTAGATTTAAGTCTTTAATCCATCTTAAGTTGATTTTTGTATAAGGTGACAGACAAGAATCCATTTTCATTCTCCTACATGTGGCCAGCCAATTATCCCAGCACCATTGTTGAAAAGGGTGTACTTTCCCCACTTCGTTTTTGTTTGCTTTGTTGAAGATCAGTTGGCTGTAAGTATTTCGGTTTATTTCTGGGTTCTCTATTCTGTTCCATTGGTCTATGTGCCTGTTTTTATAACAGTACCATGCTGTTTTGGTGACTATGGGCTTATAGTATAGTTTGAATCATGTAATGTGATGCTTCCAGATTTGCACTTTTAATATTATTATGAAAATCATTTTGACATTGTGAACCTCCTGAAAGCTTCTCAGGGACCCCAGGGGTCCACAGACCACAGTTTGAGAACTGCTGGAGTAGGGGTATGAAGGAGGTTCTCCTGGAATAACTGGTTGGTCTCCTTATTAGTCTAGTTGGCTGGCACAGAAGGAAGACGAAGAGAGTGAGAGAGACAGAGAGAGAGAGAGAGATGGTGTGTGTGTGTGATTATGTGTGTGTTCCTCTGTGTTCGTGTGTGTGTGTGTGTGTGTGAAAGAGAGAAGAGAGATAATTCTATTTAAGGAGGAGAGAGATGAAGGGAAGGTGGGAAGAGGGGAAGTGAAGGTGGGAGAGAGAATAAGGGAAGATAGGAGAGAGGGAAGGAGGAGGAATGGAAGGAGGGGGAAAGTGAGGAAGTATTAATAATATGTGGCGTACATGGTTTTTTAGCCTGATGGTGCCAGAAGCATTTGAAAACACAAGAGAACTTCTTCATATATCTGAGGGCGAGCTAGAATGCTACAGGGTGAGAACTCTCAATGGGGCCTTTCCTGTCCATTAGTATCAGATAGGAAGCATCATGTAAGGAAAACCTAAACTGTGCAGTCCTTAAACAAAAGTGCTAGTCTTTGGCTGGGCACGGCAGCTCACGCCTGTAATACCAGCACTTTGGGAGGCCGAGGTGGGTGGATCACGAGGTCAGGAGATCGAGACCATTCTGGCTAACACGGTGAAACCCCGTCTCTACTAAAAATACAAAAAAATTAGCCAGGCGTGCTGGCGGGCGCCTGTAGTCCCAGCTACTTGGGAGGCTGAGGCAGGAGAATGGTGTGAACCCAGGAGGTGGAGCTTGCAGTGAGCAGAGATTGCGCCACTGCACTTCAGCCTGGGAGACAGAGCGAGACTCTGTCTCAAAAAAAAAAAAAGTACTGGTCTTCAACGTCAAAGAAATTTTCAAGTAAGAATGGTGTTTTCACTGAAATGCTTCTCAATCTACCTTCGAGCTTTGGCCTTGCCTGTTTGCTTGTTTTCCACCCAGTGGCGGCCTAGGTCTGTTAACAGACTGGCAGCCAGGCAGGCAGCAAGGCAAACAGGGGTGTGCAGTGGCTGGTGTTGTCTACCTGGTGTCCGCTAGAAAGGGGTTATGGGCTTAAGCCTTCTGCAAAGGCGCATCATGAGTCACAGAGCAAGGGAGCAGAGCTGAGGACTCCAGCCTCACCTCCAGTGGGGACTCCGCTGAAGATGAGCCCAGCTGCTGCCCCTTGCCCAGTCTTGCCCCACTGGCCATGGAGTTAGCTGTGCCCAGTAACACTTCAGCGCCTGTGGACACCTGCTTTCAACTTCCACACCTCTGACTAAGGGCCTGTGGGTCCTCTGTTGCTTTTTCTTTCTAAACACAGAATAACTCTTTTACAGTGTATCTTTCTTTTTATTTTGTAGTTTGAGTTTTACATTATTACCATTCATCATTATTTTAACTTCTCTTTACTTATTAAATTGGAACAGGGATTTCTCCTGCAAACAATAATTGTGAGAATAATGTAGACATTAAAGAAAACCTTTTTGTTTCTCCTCTCAAGGTACTTTTCAGGGCCCTGGAAATGTCTATAAGACAGTCTTGCCACTGTGGTCCCAGAGAAGGCCATAAAGTCAGTGCTGACGCACAAAGTCACTGTCCTCGTGATGTAATCAACTATGGCCTCAATGCTCCATCCCCCAAAGCTAACATGGCCAGGGTGACAGAGACAGGGCTGCCCTCTCATCCATTCACTGGGTCCTTTCTGAGGACAGGAATGCATAAAAACCCAGTGTACCCAACACACACACACACACACACACACACACACACACACACTGCTTTTAGTAACTCTGAACCAGCTCAAGTTAAATAAGAATATGGGGATAGCCTATGCAAGATAAATAAATTAGATGAAATCAGCTTACAATTTACCATTATTTGGAATTTTGACAAAACTTCTGGCCTCACACCAGCTACTGCGGACCTAACAACTACTCAGCATCCCTCTTGCTTCTAAGGAACAGTACGCACAAGAAAGCAGTAAAGATTGTATACTGGGTATGTGGGGGCCACCGAAGTTGCTCCATGACATAGAAATGATGGCAGGAAACCATCCTCTTCCTCAAAGCAGGAGATCTCTCCTGTCTCCTCGGAGCCACTGGAATGCCACTGGACTGAGCAGGGTTAGATGGCACAGGCACACATCACATGGAGGCTCTTTAACCTCTGTCCCTGTCCAGATGAACCCAACTTCACTGTGCTGTCATATCCACTCCCATACCCCAGCTCCTGCTTTTCTCTAAGGCAGAGGCAGATCTCATTAATCCTGCACCTCCTGGTGCTGAATCTCCAGGGATCTTAAGTTGGAGCCCAGACAGCCAGGGATCTAATTCTAACCCCAAAGTTTGGGGAAGTTACTTCATCTCTTCTTTTATACAATGTGGATGGAAATGGCGCCTTCCTCATAGGGTTACTGCAGGGATGAAATGAAATAATATATATATTATATATATATATACGTTTATATATATAAAGGGTTCTTGGCACAGAGAAAGGACTTGCTAGAGGTTAGATCTCACTATACCACTCCTAGTACCACTGCTACTGCTACCACTTAAACACAATGGTCAAGAGGACAACTGCAATATTATTTCCAATAACCCCAGAAATACATAAATACATAAATCAATGTAACAAGGAGATTTGGGAGCCAGCCCCTGGACATTACCAGCCAGCCGCAACGTATTCCCATGTATTGTACCATGGGCAACCCTGGCCCTAAGGAGACAAAATCTCTCTTCCAAGACACAAACCCACAGTCACTAATGAAATGTCAATTACATTTCAAAGTGTAATTGTGGGTCACTTTCATGTGGACAAAGCAGTTTATATGGTAAATTAGAATTTAATAAGGAAGCCCTTTAAAATAATTCTATAGAATTCTTTGAGCATTGTCAGTGCCTTGAGTAAACAAATATTCCACAAAAATTAATAGGAGGATGTGAAGAGGCTTTCACAAATGAGGTTGACCCACTGATGATCGTTAGAACAGATGTGGCAAGAACTGTGTCACCCCAAAACAACGGCCAGATTCTCACTTGAACAAGCATAACAATATTCAATGCTAGGTAGTTTGACATATTTTAAGGGAACTCACAAAAATAAATGTCTTCGATTTTTATTTCATATGAATCCTAAAACGTAGGTTTTCATTTACTTTTAATGTTGACAAATTATCAAAATGGACTGAGGGACCTTAAAAGTCATGTAGTCAAAGTTCAAAAACTGCCTCAAGATAGCTACCTCCTCTTAAACACATATAAAACTGTAGAAATGGATAGTATCATTTAGATAAAGGGAAATACCAACATGTCTGTCACACACACACACACACAAAATCAAACACACAAACAAGCAAAACAGGAAACAATAGTGCCTTCCTGCTAAGCATGTGGTCATCGCCCTCTGGGCACACAGCCAAGAACGGCCCTGCTGTGTAAGTCAGGAGCTTCAGCTGGTCTCATTCTACTGAGTCTTTCTCCAATCTGGGCCTTTGACTCTAAAATTAGCAGGTACGATCACACAAACTCTGCAGAAACCTCCCTTCCCCGACGCTCTTCTAACTGCATTTTACAAGCATCCCACATCAGTGCCAGAACTGTATTCTCCTCTCTAGCTATGGGAATACTGCTCGAACCAGAGAGCAGACATGGTCATTTATAAAGACTATGACTTGCATTGGAACATCACAAAACTAATATGTTCTAAAAATATATAGCAATCAACAATTCACCCATAGTGGGGAGGATTATTTTGCTTCAGCTCAAGACTTTGCCAAGCTCCAGACCTGGAGCTAATGGCTTCTTTGACATCTCCAACTGGATGAAGCACAACTTCCTCAAACTCAACACGACTCCATCAGAAATCATCAAATCTCCACTCAACGCTGCACCCCACCCAGTATTTACCATACAAAAAAAACTGGGGAGCTTTTTTAATGTCCTGATTTAGCCTGGGCTTCAACCACAGTGATTTTGATGTAATTTTGATTTTGATGTCTGGGATGCTATCTAGGCATTGAAGTGTTTTTCTGACCTGCCCCCTCCAGGGTTTAGAATCACTGCTCTAGATATTTTAAATCCCTAATAATTTAATGGGTCTACACCTCCTCTCGTGGGTTGTCAATCTTAAAATGCTCTAAGATTGCTATAACCCTCCACCCAGGGACACTGCAGTCCATATCAATGTGCCATTGGGAGCTATGCAAGGCAGCAGCTCTGTATTTCCAGGCCTCGAGGTCTCCAGCACTCCACGCTCTCTTGTAGCAGCCATCAGCTCTGTCTCTGTATTAGAATCACTTGTGCATCTTTTAAAAGACACTAATGCTCAGAGATCCTGAACCAATGGGCTTGAATCCCACTGATAAATTTTTTAAAGGTCCCCAGGTGACCATAATATGTGGCCAGAGTCAATTACCACTTATTTGGCACCTACCCCAAAGAGAACTACTAATTTCTGCAAGGTATCCAATGGCCATGTGTGCATGAGTCTGCCCTTCTCAGGGCCTACATTCTGCTAATCCTGTCACTTCTCACACTTTCCTCCTTCTGAGTCCTGCTTCTTTAACTGCCTCACCTAATAGATCGTGGCTTACCACATTGGCATGCATTTTTGCCTTTTCGTTTTTGAGATGGAGTCTTGCTCTGTCACCCAGGATGGAGTGCAGTGGTGTGATCTCAGCTCACTGCCACCTCTGCCTCCCGGGTTCAAGCAATTCTCCTACCTCAGCCTCCCGAGTAGCTGGGATACAGGCGTGCACCACCATGCCTGGCTATCTTTTGTATAGTAGTGCAGGGTTTTGCCATGTTGGCCAGGCTGGTCTCAAACTCCTGACCTCAAGTGATCCTGCTGCCTCAGCCTCCCAAAGTGCTGGATTACAGGCATGAGCCACCACACCCGGCCAGAGTCATGCTTTTACACATAATATTCACGCTTTGTCCATGCTTCCCTCTACTCTGCATCACTTACTCTGGACTTGTACCAAACCTGAACATCACTGGAAAAAAATCTTAGAACTCTGATGACTAGGCTGTCTTCAAATTTATATCATATAGGCACTGAAAACTGCTAAATTGTTTTATTTTCATGGAAATTTCACTTTGTTATTCCCCAAGATGACAATTTCATACTTTTCTGTTTTTCTCAAATTTCCAACAAACTCTTTCCCTTCAGTCTCCCTTATAACTTTGCTACCTACTCCACACAGTGGTCTAATGGAGAACTCTTGATCTTCCCTATCATTATTCTTCAGCTTCTGTACCCTCATCCTTCATCCTTCTCTCACCTTACCTCCCTTTGGATGCTACCCTCCTCACCTGCTAAAAGTTACTAAGGGACATCATCCTTCCAATTAGCCCTGATTTCCACTGTTTCATCACTTCCTTCTTCTCTATATGAGATGTTTTTAAGTTGCTCATCTTAAAAATCAACTTCATATCTCCCTCCAGCTACCAATCCTTTTTATGCTGTCCTTTATAGCAACAATCTTTGAAGATTTATCTATACTCTCTGTCACCAAATGCTCACTTCTTCTCCCTTCATTTTATAAAGATACTTTCACTGGAATTAGAATTTTAGTTTTGCAGGGTTTTGTATTGAACACATTGAAGTTATCTTCCGTTGTCTTCCAGTTCCCAGTGTTGCTGTTAAAAGATATCCCATATTCATGGGCCAGAAAATGCAATGTTGCTAAGATGGCAATACTCCTTAGATTAATGTACAGATTCAACCCAATCCCTTTCAAAATTCCAGCTGGCTTTTTTTTCAGAAATTGACAAGCTGACCCTAAAATTCATATGGAAATTCAAGGGATTGAGAATAGCCAGGATAATCTCGAAAAACAAAGGAGGACTCACATTTTCTGACTTTAAAATTTATGATAAATCCACAATAATTAAGATAGTATGGTATTGGCATAAACCCTTGCATTTATGTCTGGTTGATTCTTTACAAGAGCAGCAAGATAATTTTGTGGGGAAAGAACAGGTTTTTTTGGGTTTTTTTGTTTTTTTGTTTTTTTAACAAATAATGGTCGGGCAACTTAGTATCCACAAGTGAATGAATAAAGTTCTATCCTTACTTCACACTGTACACAAAAATTAAGACAAGATTGATCATGAGCCTCCTAAACCTAAGAGACAATAGCATAACAACACTTAGAAGAAAACATAGCAGTAAATCTTTGTAATCTTGAGTTAGGCAATAATTTTGTAGGTACAATAACAAAAGTACAATCAACAAAAGAACAGATAAATTGAACTTCATCAAAATTACAAAAATTTATAGTTTTTTCTCAAAGAACACTATCAAGAATATGGAAAGGCAACCTACAGAATGGGAGAAAATATTTGCACAATGTACATCTGATAAGGGACTTGTATACAGGATATATACAACTCAATAATAAAAACACAAATAACCAATAAAAATGGACAAAGGATTTGAATAGATATTTCTCAAAAGAATACATAAAACCAGTCAATAATCACATGAAAAGATACTCAACATCACTAGTCATTAAGGAAAAGCAAATCAAAATCACAACGAAATATAACTTCACACCCACTAGGATGGGTATAATAAGAAAGACAAACAATAATAAGTGTTGACAAAGATGTGGAGAAACTGGAAATCTTATACTCTGCTGGTAGGAACATAAAATGATACAGCTACTTCAAAAAATAGTTCAGCAGTTACTCAAAAGTTAAGCATAGAATTCCCATATGACCCAGACATTCTACTCCTAGGTATATACCAAAGAGAAATGAAAACATATCTGTATATGAATTGTCATAACAGCATTACTCATATTAGCCAAAAGTAGAAAAACCCAAATATCCATCAACTGATTAACAGATACATGCAATGTGATATATCCATACAATTGAATATCAATCAGCAATGAAAAGGAAGGAAGTACTGGTACTTACTACAACATGGATGAACCTTGAAAACATTAAGTGAAAGAAGCCAAACACAAAAGATAATATATTATATGATGCCATTTGTATAAAATGCCCTGATAAATCTGTAAAGACAGAAGATAGATTAATGGTTGCCTACAGAGGGGGGCATGTGTGTAAGTCACTGGTAATGGGTAAGAATTTCTTTTTGGGGTAATGAAGTGTTCCAAAATTAAATTGTGCGAATAGTTTCATATATCTGTGAATATACTAAAAATCAATAAACTGTACTTTTAGTGGGTGAATTATGGTATGTGAATTATATCTCAACCAAATTGGTTTTTCAAAACTAACAGTAAAATCAATGATGTGGTAGCAATTCTGCAGTGGCAGGAGTGGTGGCCACAGCTTCCAGGCATGTTCCTAAAACTCTGAGGGAGGGGAATTCTCCTCTCTGCCCACAGGAGCTGTGGTCTCAAGGGCTTGGAGCAAATCCTCATTGCTTTTTTTCTCTGTCCTCCCACCATTTAACCTCCACACAGATAAAGTCATAAAGTACAAGACAAAGCAGGGACACTAAAGCCCTGGCTATCTGATCAAAGGACACTGAAAGGAGCATAAAGAACCAGAAAGACTGTGAAGAGGAGGAGCTCAAGAAAGTAACCCTGTAAAGGGAGGTGTGATCTTCTGGCTCACCTCTGAGCTGTGCATGCACGAATCTAACCCTAAACAGTACACCAAAGGCTTTGATTATAGAACTATAGGACTAGCTATCATCCAGGTCCCAGGCTTGCCACTGAGTGGTGCGTAAGCTATAGAAGGATCCAAATAGCATTGCGAAAGCTCTGAAAACAGACTCAACTTTGGAACCACATCCCTGAAAGGGTCAGAACTTGAAGCCTGAACCTAGCTATGTAGATTGCCTGATAAAACAAACAAAATCAATATTCTCCTTATGATAAGACATAGAGTCTGATAACGTAATATTCCAAATGTCCAGGATTCAATCCAAATTACTTGGTACACAAATGACCAGGAAAATCTTTACTACAAGAAAAGAGAAAAACAACATATGCTACTCCGAGACGACAAAAATATTGGCAAAAGCAGACAAAAGCAGCTATAATAACCATGCTCCAAGACGTAAGAATAAACAAATGTAAAGACAGAAGTCAGCCAGGTGCGGTGGCTCACGCCTGTAATCCCAACACTTTGTGAGGCTGAGGCAGGCGGATCACCTGAGGTCAGGAGTTCAAGACCAGGTTGGCCAACATGGTGAAACCCCATCTCTACTAAAAGTACAAGAATCAACTGGGCCTGGTAGCATGTACCTATAATCCCAGCTACTGGGGAGGCTGAGGCAGGAGAATCACTTGAACCCAGGAGATGGAGGTTTCAGTGAGCAGAGATCGTGCCACTGCACTCCAGCCTGGGCAACAGAGCGAGACTCCATCTCAACAACAACAACAACAACAACAACAACAAAAGACAGAAGTCTCAGTAAAGAAAAAAGATATAAAGAAGAATCAAGTGGAAATTTTAGAGATGAAAAATACAATAGCTGACATGTAAAAAATGTTCTTTAGATGGGTTAAATGGCAGAATGGAGATAGCAGAGGAAAGTCACTGGACTTGAAGAGAAATCAATAGAAATTATCTAATTGGAACATCGGAGAGAAAAAAATGAAAAAAATTAAGAGACTCAGGAAACTGAGGGAAAGAATTCAAAAGGTTGAACATTTGTGTCACCAAAGTCCCAAGAAAGGAGTAAGAGTCTGGTGTGGAAAAGAAAATTTGACAAACGGTGGCTGAAATCTTCCCAAATTTAGTGAAAGACAAATTTATAGATTTAAGACACTCAGGGAACCCCAAGCAAAAGAAAATAAAAGAAATCCAGGCCCAGACAAATCATAATCATGTGGCTGAAAAACCAAAGACAAGATTTTTGACAAAAAGCCTGAATACAGCAAGGAAAAATCACCGCATTATAAATAGGAGAACAACCCTCTGAATGACTGCAGAGTTCTCATCAGAAACCACAGAGGCACAACATTTTTAAAGGAATGAAAGACAAGAACTGTTAACCCAGAATTCTATACTAAGTACAAATAATCTTCAAGAATGGGGAGGAAACAAAGATATTCTCAGATGAAAGAAAATGAAGAGAATTAGTCAATGGAGCTGCTCTGAAAGATATGTTAATGGAAGTTTCTCAGACAAGAGTGACACGGGAGGGAAACTTGAAACTTCAGAAATAAAAAGCAACAGAAATGGTACATATATGGATAATATAATAGATTCTTCTCATAATTTTTTTGTTACAAAACCCCAAATAATTTTAATCTCAATTTGCAACATAATCCACATTTTACATATCTATAAGCAATAGAAGTTTTAGTATACAAATGCCTTAGAAAGAATTCAATTTGGTCCAATAATTTTATAGCCAGGATAAAGTCATATTTATAATTCATAATTTTCTGTCAAGGTTTTTAATAAAAATCAGTAATGTTAAATGGAACACTATCATTTTATAGAGGAATAGTATGAAATTACATTGAGAAATGAGAATAGTCATTAAACATTAAGATTTTATTACAACCCAGGCATTATATATTTCTTTACACTTAAGGAATAGATATGAAACAATCTTGAAGTAAAAAATAGAAGGCAACTTGCTTCAAGTTTGTACCAAGTCAATCAAGCAGAAACTGAAGAACCTTGTTTTAAGATGAGAGTCATTTATACTTGGCAAGCGTTTTCTTCCAATGTAAAAATAAAGTCAATGTGCCATTATCTTGACACTTATAAAAATGTTTATAAAAAGCATTTAGGCCATTGATTCTCACAGTTGGATGAATATTGGAATCACCTAGATTAAAAAAAAATACTAATCCCTATACAACATCCCCAAAATTCAGATTCAATTAGTATAAATTAGGCCCTGGGCATATAGGCTGTTTTAAAACTCCTCGGGTGAGTCTAACGTGCACCAGTTTGAAAACCACTAGCTTAGAGACCTGTTCCATCATCATAGAAGTCAGTCTTTAGCTGAATGATTCTATATGCCCTGATTTCAGTGGGTAATGTTGTTATTTTAAGCATCTGATAGGTGTATCTCCCTTGATTAAAAAATAAATACCTTATGGAAGAGATTATATGTTTTATTTATCATTGTCTCCGCATATCTGGAATAATGAAAGGCACATAGCAGTTGCTAAATAAATATCTTTTGAATGAATATATGATTGCCTTATACTTCTTTTACATCCTCATCTTCTAATAGATTATGAAAATTAGAATTCAAAATATATATATTGAACAAATGAATGACTGAAGCAGTTGGGGATAATATTTAAGGCAAAACCAAATCTGATAAAATATATACATATTTTAAAAACACATACATATATATATAAATAGATCAAAAGTGGAAAAAGAATATATAGAAGAGTGCAACATTTGGCAGCTGAGAATTATTTCATTGAGTTTTCAAATATTCTTCACATTCTTATACTTAGAAACAAAGAAGTAACCCCAAACAACTAATTCATTAGCTAATATCTCAGAACTTGCACATGTGCAGATAAATTTTTTTTAAAAAACAGAATTACAGTTTAATCCCTAACACAGCTCAGTTTTCAAAATTCAAGTAAATAAAATTTTAGCACACATCATGATAGCCTTACTGGATAGCTGTGTTAAAAACAAAAAGTATATGTTATGTGCTCTCAATTGAGATCTAGTTAGTTTCCTAGGAGTCTCACATTGATAAACATCTATTTTGGCACTACCTTACATAATGTGTTTATTTAGAAATACCTTATTAATGACAGACTTCCTTTTGAGTAGCTACATTCTCAGATATGGCTTCATTTATCAAAGTTCCACAAGTATTACATACTTTTTAATTCAGCTAGTATCTTAGACTACAGAACTTTGGTTTTCTTAAAATCAGCATTGGTTGCTTGATTGTAGGTTTGTCACCAAAAAGTGCTGCTTCACTCTCCATGGTTGGAAATCTTTTCTGATATATCAAAGGATATTCCTTCTGAAACTATTTTAGTTTTTTTCTTTTCTCCTTTAGAGGTAAAGTCCTGTTTTTAACAATATTTTCTAAAAGTTCTGCAATTGCAGCTTGAGAGGTAGAAATTTTTTGCTCATCAAACTCCTGAGCACTAATCTGCTTACCGTATGAGTAAGTTGGCAAAGGAGCAAATAGTCCATCTCCAGGACTTTCAATATGTCCCCTTTTTAAGTAGTCAAGATGTTTTTCCACTGCAGTCTGCAAGTAAGAGGGTACTTGAAGAATTTCCTGATCATGATCCATTAAGAAAGAAACTAATCTTCCAGCAAGAAGCTCATCAAGGTCCACTTCTTCAGCACAGCATAACACACATTGAGAAACGGTATGTATCAACAGTGATCTCGCACCCATTGCATCATGAAGTTTGGGCATATCAACATTTTGACTCATTCGGGAAATCATACGCATTAAAAGTTGAAGCTTTCTATGATTTGGTGGGGGAAATAACAAACAACATAACTGTAGAGCATCGATGGCAACCCTCTCTAAATGAGGTTGCAGCAAACTTTGTGTGCCAGTCAACACAGAAGAAGCTGGAAGTAAAGAGTCTTCTGAAAGTTCTATTGTACTTTTGCAGAGTCTTTTATTGATTGTGGCACTAGACTCTCCAAGTTCACTTTCCATAGCTGTTTGCACACTTGTGCTGCCTTGTCCAACATTTGGTTTCATGGTAATTTCAGCCACTGGTGTATTGATAATAACTATTCCTTCTTGTACTACTTGTTAAAAGCAAACTCTGAGACCTTCAAAGCTGTTCTGACTTGCATTTCCCATTACACAACTCCTCTTGGTCTTGAACAATCAAAGTAGAGGTTCTCTTAAAACCAGCACTGAATGGCTTTTGAATATTTTCCTCTGAATGAAGATTCAACAGGAATTCCTGTTTGGGCTTAGACTCTAAAAACAGTTTATTATTTTGTCCTTCTATGTTCGGAAAAGATTGATGGAAGACACTGGATGCCTCTTTACTTGAATTCCCTGACACATCTACAATTCCTTCCAAAGAATAGCACCTTGGTTTGCTGTTAGAGGATAGATCACGCATACTACTTAACCCTATTAAATTATGACAACTTCCTCCCATTATGTCATTAGCACTCACTCTTCTGTTTCTTAAATTAACTAGCTGCATTTTCTTAGCACATCTTTCTTGAAATCCTGGATTGCTTATCTGTAGTCTCTCAGTAGAATCTGATTCTTCTTTATTTTTTTTTCTCTACGAAGCAGACTGAGAAGGCGGCACTCAGTTGATTTGAAGGAACTCAAATTGTTTAAGTGAAGGAATTTTGAAGACTGGGGATCATCTTGGATTTTATGTATCCCACTGGATCTATCTGAAACTGTTATGTAGCCACAAACAACTACCACGAAATGAAACAAAAATGAAGATGCAACCAAAATGTTCACAAGTAATTCGTAATATTCAAAAGTAAGTAGAGGTTCAGGGAGATCTAGAAAATAATCTGTGATTGTTCTGAATACATGTCATTCAAATCCAACATAAGTTGGATTATTCATATCATTGCTTCTTGGCCAATTTGCTAGGCACTTCATGGCAGATAATACCCAGTGAGGGAGGTCATCTGATTTGTTTTGTAGTATAACTACTCCATGTTTACTTGTATTGGCCCCATTATATATTGGGGAATTACTTGTTTTGGATTTATGACTTCTTCTAGGGATGGCACACCTAAAATAGTTTGCAGGTAGATCAGAATAAAATATCTCCAAACTTCTTCAACGTCTTCCTGGCTTAGTTCTCTATCATCAACTGCATTTTCTTGATCTTCATTTATTATTTCATGTTTTATTTTCTCGGCATTTTCCTGAGATAAATGTAATCCATGCTTTTCAGCAGTTCTACGAGATAAGTTTTGTAATTTAAAAATACTATCTTTATCTTTGGAAAAGTTCTCTATGCTGTTTTTTCTCAATTCTGGATGCCTTCGTGGTAGAGTTTTAAGTGGCAACGTTGCAGGAAATCTGAAGAGCTGGTTGTTATCATCAACATTTTCTGATCCCCACCTCCCTTTGATATCTTCAATTATACGATTCTTAAGAAATTTCCTCAACAGTTGTTGCCTTGTAACTTCAGGACCAAAATTGCTATTATTTCTTAATAGGTCATAAAGCCAATCCCCTGCTTCTCCTGCTGTGAAACAATTGCCATATTTTTTAAAGTGTTGTCTGTGTTTTCTTAGAGGCATTCCTGCTCGAAAAGATGTGGTAACTTCATTCCACAGCTTGGTGGCCCGATAAGGCCCGGGAGGCACAACCCGACTCTCCACAGGTCTGTCAGCGTCCGGTGGCATCCATGGCAGTGTAGGTGACACTCAAGACCCAGCAGCCCGGGCAGCGGCGAGTCTCGGCACAACCATTGGCCCTGCCGCCAACTTGTATAGCATAGAGGGCTGCGTGGATTGGCCTCACAATTTCTATACAATATCTATAAAGTAAAAGTGATGCCAGGCATGGTGGCTTATGCCTGTAATCCTAGCACTTGGGGAGGCCAAGCCAGGTGGATCGCTTGAGCTCAGGAGTTTGAGACCAGCCTGGGCAACTTGACGAAACCCTGTCTCTACCAAAAATACAAAAATTAGCTGGGCATGGTGGCACATGCCTGTGGTCCTAGCTACTCGGGAGGCTGAGGTGGGAGGCTCACTTGAGTCTGGGAGGCAGAGGTTGCAATGAACCGAGATCGTGCCACTGCACTCCAGCCTAGGTGACAGAGACCCCATCACAAAGAAAAAAAAAAAAAGTGATAACACTGGTGGCACTTTCGGCGTCTGCAGATGTAATACATAAGACACCTACAACATAAAGGGGGTGAAGTAAAGGGACCTATATGGTGGTAAGGTTTCTACATTCCATATTGAATAGTTAAATGTTGTTCTACACAGACTGTGAAAAAATAAGTATGAATATTGTAATCTCTAGAGCAATCACCAAAAAGCATACAAAGAGAATATAAAAACAGAAAAGTTAAAATAGAATACTAAAAAAATTCAAGCATCCCAAAGATAGGAAAGGGGAAACAGGTACAAAAAAGAAAGAACAAACAGTAAACAAATAACAAAAAACTGTCCATCTAAGTACAAACAAATCAATAATTAAATGCAAAGGGCTGAAATATGCCAACTAATAGACATCGATTATTGGAATGAATTTAAAAATAAGACTCAACAATATGCTTTCTCTATGAAATCCACTTTAAGTTCAACAAAATACATAGGTCAAAAGTAAATGATGGCCAAAGATATGTCATGAAAACATTAATGGAATCAAAGCTACAGTAGTTCTATTAACATCAGATATATTGTCACCAGATACAGTAGACTAGAACAAGGGAAATTCCAAGGATTAAGAGAGATAATATGTAATGATAAAAGGTTCAATTCACCAAAAAGAAAAAACAATCCCAAATGTGTATGCACCTAACAACAGAGCTTCAAATTACATGAAGCAAAAAATACCTGGAATACAGTTGGGCAGTTTTTAAATAAAATTAAACATATACTTACGCATGACACAGCAATCTCATTCATAGATACTTATTCTAGGGAAATGAAAACTTAGTTTTCCCAAATGCCTGTTCACGAATGTTCATAGCCACTTTATTTGTGATAATCCCAAACTAGAACCTCCCAAATATCCTTCACAGTGTGAATGAATAAACAAACGGTGGTGCATCCACACAATGACATACTTTTCAGCAATAAAAAGGAATTAACTATTGATTTCACACAACAAGGATAAATCTCAAATCTGCTATGCTGAGTGAAGGAAGCCAGTCCAAACATAATACATAGCATATGATTCCATTTTTATGACACCCTGAACATAGCAAAACTATAGGGGCAGAGAGCAGATTAGTGGTTGCCAGGGGTTAGTTAGGAGTAAAGGAAGGGCTCACTACAAACGGGCAGCTTGGGGGAGTTTTGCCAGGTGATGAAATTGTTCTGCACACTGATTGTGATAGTGGTTAAATAAAATCTATATGTGTGTTAAACTCAGAACTATACAACAAAAAGTCAATTTTGCGGTATGCCAATTCAAAAAGTAAAATTAAAAATGTAACTATATTAGAAAAGACAGGTATGAAATTAATAAGCTAAGCATCCACCTTAAGAAACTAGAAAAAAAGCAAGCTAAACACAAAAGCAGAACAATGAAAACAACGAAGACCAGAACAGAAAACAGAAAAATAAAATATCAAATGGTGGCTCTTTGGAAATATTAACAAAACTGACAAACCCTTAGTCAGATTACCAATAATTCAAGAGAGTACAGAAATCACAAAAATCATGAATGAAAGAGGGGACACTGCTATCAAAACTACAGACACCAAAAGTATTAATTACATGGGAATATGAACTACTTTATGTAAAAAAGTCAGAAAACTCATATTAAGTGGACAAATTCTTAGAAATATACAAATTACCAAAGATTATACAAAAAGAAAGTAGAAAATCTGAATAAATCAATAACAAGCAAAGGAATTAAGCTGGTAACAATACTCTTCCCACAAAGTAAAGTCCACCCTGAAATGGTGTCACTGGTGTATACTACCAAGGACTTAAAGAAAGTATAATATTAATCCTTCACAAATGCTTTCATAAAATACTGGAGGAGGGAACACTGCTCAACTTATTCTATGAAGTTAGCTTTAGTCTGATATCAAAGCCAGACAAAGAAAAGAAACTATAGGCCAATATCCTTCATGAACACAGACATAAATGGTCTTAACAAAATATGAGCAAACCAAATTCAGCAACATATTTAAAAAGATACACCATGACCAATTTGAATTTATTCCAGTAATAGAAGGTTGGTTTATCATTAGAAAATAATGATATTATGTTAACAGAATAAATGAAAATGCCAAATAATAATCTCACTAGATACAGAACATACAGGAAAGCCTTTGACAAAATCTACCATCTATTCATGATAAAAAATTCTCAACAGATTAAGAATATAAAAGGACTCCCGCAACCTGACAAAGGGCATCTTTGAAAACACACAGCCTATATCAGACTTGACGGTGCAAGTGTGCATGCTCTGCACCTACGATCAAGAGCAAGGCAAGGATTCCCTGCGCTTGCCCCTCATGGTCCACATTGTACCAGAGGCTCTGGCCAATGAAATAAGAACAACAAATTAAAGGCATACATATTGGAAAGAAATAAATCTCAACTGACTTTACTCACAGATGAGTTTTTTAGAAAATTATAAAAAATGTACAGAAAAATTACTAGAACTAACACTTGAGTTTAACAAGGTCATAGAAGGGTAGATACTGAAAGAGGAAGAAGAATGTTTCTGTTCAGCTGCTTATGTTCTGTTTCTTGGTCTGGGTACCGGTTTATTGGACTATCTATTTGTCAGCTCCATTTAGATGTCTATCTGGCATCTCAAACTTAATATGCCAGATAGAAATACCGACTTTACTTTCAAATCCACATCCACTGGCAACGGCCCATGAACCATCTCCCTTCCCACCAAATGACATCAACATTTACGTGATTGCTTAGGTCAAACGCTTGGAATTGTCCTTGATTCCTTTCTCTTCCTTGCATCACGTATGCAATTCACCAGTGATGCCAGTGGGTTCCTCCAAATACATCATGAATGCACGTCTACTACACCACTCTTCTCCAGGCTACTATCATCCCTTACTTGAATGAATGCAACAGCCACCACAAAGAACTTTTAAAATGGTTAACTAGAACCTTATCTCCATCTCCACCTCCACCCTGACCCCAGCCTCCTGGCCTAAAATAACCAACAGCATCACAATGTTTGAAGTCTAAGTCCAAAGTCACTAGCATGGCTTCAAAGCCCCTGCACCAGACCCCCCTCTCCAACCTCTTCAGCCTCTCCCATGGGACACTTCAGCCTTCTGTTTGGCCTTAGAGCCTGCCAAACTCCTTCCTGACTTGTAGTGTTCATCCATGTTGTCTTGATGCCTGGACCTATATTTATTCTCCCTAACAGCCTCTTGTTCATGACCTCCTTCTCACTTTCCACAATGTTTAAAAAATATTTTAGAGTGGGGGCCGGGCGCGGTGGCTCACACCTGTAATCCCAGCACTTTGGGAGGCCGAGGCGGGCGGATCACGAGGTCAGGAGATCGAGACCATCCCGGCTAAAACGGTGAAACCCCGTCTCTACTAAAAATACAAAAAATTAGCCGGGCGTAGTGGCGGGCGCCTGTAGTCCCAGGCTACTTGGGAGGCTGAGGCAGGAGAATGGCGTGAACCCGGGAGGCGGAGCTTGCAGTGAGCCGAGATCCCGCCACTGCACTCCAGCCTGGGCGACAGAGCGAGACTCCGTCTCAAAAAAAAAAAAAAAAAAAATATTTTAGAGTGTTGATTTATTTACCTGTAAACTGTTTATATCCCTCTGATAGACTAAAACTGCAGGAGGGCAATGCTATGCCTTTTTCATTCACCTTTATGTGCCCAGCATTTGCATAATCCCTGACAGATAGTTGGCAAGGGTACAGTGAGTAAAGGAATAAACGAAAAAAAATGATGAGTTGTGGGGCATACACAGACACTAAATCTGACGATTCTCCATGCACTGCATACACCAGGGATTCCCAAAGTTTGCTGCACATTAGAATTACTTAGGTAGCTTGGTAAAATCCCAATACACAGATTAAACCCTATTCAATCAGAATGGCTGGGACTGACAGCCATACACTAGGACATTTGAAAGCCCCCCAGCTGATTTCAATGTGCAGCAAAGTTGGGGAACTGCTGACATTTACTTTTTGAAATAAAAGCATATAAAAACAAACTCTTAAAAAGAAAAATATATTCCTTTTATGTATATTAAACATATATGAAGTTCAAATAGCACCTACAATATACTTTATAAGCCCAAATATATCTAGACGTGCTATCTTAAATTCTAACTGTGGTTAATATGCACAACCATTTTTACCTGTTAATTTGCAATGTATTAAAGAAGTTTGTATATAATGTCAAGTAATGCTACAGGAACACTTTGTTTCAATATTAACAATGTTGAAAGTGGTGTTTTTCTGTACTATTTTCAATTTTTAGCTGATTTTACTGGTTACTCGATACTACCTGGCTAATATAATTACAGATATGTATATTTTAATATGTAGATCTAAACCTATCTATGTATCTGTATATATGAATATAAATTCTATAAACATTTAATGAACGATTATTATTTAGCATGTACTCCATTTAAATGACAAAATGCAGGAAACTGAAGATGGAGTTTTGTTTATATAAAACATTTACATATTGACATTTGCTAAGATGAGTGATATGTCCTTTGACAGAATTCATTATCTGGTGAAGCAACATCTTCCACACTCAGTCTAGTTAGTTCAGGCTGCTATAACAAAAATACCATTGAATATGTAGCTTATCGACAATTTCTCACAGTTCTGGAGGGAAGAAGTCCAACATCAAGGCACCTGCAGATTCCATGTCTGATAAGGGCCTGCTACCCATTTATAGATGGTGCCTTCTCCCCATCCTCACATGGTAGAAGGGGCAATGGAATGTCTGGGGTCCCCGTTATGAGGGCACTAATCTCATTCATGAGGGATACACCCTAATGACCTAATCACTTCCCAAAGGCATCACCTTCTAATATCATCACCTTGGGAGTTAGGATTTCAACATATGAATTTGGGGGAGGGGATACAAACATGTAATCTGTAATACCAGTTTAATCCCAGCTTCCACTATTAACCATCTATATAAATTTAGGGGACTTTGTTAATCTTTGTGTTTCAGTTTTTCATCTGAAATGTGAGAACAGCAAACTGGATGCTGGAGTTTTTGATGGGTTTAAATATATGAAATACACACACACATTTGCAGTCGACCAACAGATGCTTATGTAAATGCTCCACTCCTCAAAACATTTTAACATGCCATACAAATAGTGAATGAGATGGTGGGAGGCTGGGAGAGGCAATTTATAATCGACTCACAATCTGTTGACCAGCACCTTTAAAATTGACAACAAAAAGAAATAATTATCAGCAAATGCACTGTTTAATTGTCAAGAAGAACACTTTATCAGTCATTGAAATGAAGCTAATGGCACAGTGGGTAAAAAGTAAAAACAAGGCTATCTGAAGACATGCCCAGAGCAGCCACACAGCCATGCACTATGAGAGAATAGTCTGAGAGGCTTCTTTTCTTCCCCAAATAAAGTCCTCCCAGTTGAGCTCCATGGAAATGCATTCTGGAGTTGACAGCTGCTCAGTGGTTTCCTGGGCCATACAAAAAGCCATGGGACAGCAGCAAATTCTGACGAGCAAGGTGCTCTCTGCAGCCCAGGAACAGGCTGAAGCAGGCTGCCAGCTGAGTCAGTCAGCCCAGGGACAGCTCCATAACCAGCCCTGCGATCACCCTGTGCCTTGCACCTAGGGGCCTCCTGCCGGCTCTTCATGACGCTTTAGACTGCTTTAAAATGTCTTATCACCAAAACATTTGAACACCTTGGAAAATACTGTCCTCTATGGAGGAGAAAAAGAGAACTTTGAAAGACCAGCCCAGAAGGAAAGTGAATGACTATCTGCCTGCCATGAAACATTCTGGCTTGAACTTGCCACTCTGAAATAAAGCTCCAGCTCCAGCACACTCTGTTAATGAGGACATGTTAGTATCAGGCACATAAACACAGTCAGGTGCATCTCCAGAGGGGGATCTCAGATACTTACTGCTAGTTGCTGATTACAGCAACATCAGTTTCTGTGCCACATCCAGAGATTTTTCTGCACACTTTTTATCAAGGCTTCAAACATGATCCCAGTTGTCTGGGAAATACTATCAGCCACTTAAGTTTCCCCTTAATTTAGGAAAGGAAGATGTATTTTCACCGTAACAGCAAAAGCTTATAACACTTGTCTTTTAGAATTAAGAGTCAACAACCCAGGGGGATCCACAGACCACCCAAGCGGATTGTGACGTTGTCCTGGCCTTCTCGTGGGGGTCAGGCCATCTCATCAGGCAAGGACGACCCAATGCCTTCTCGGTGGAACAGTTTTGATTGAAAAGATAGTTAAAAAAAAAAAAAAGTGATACTGCTGTAAAAAGAGACACAACATCACATCCAAACACATTATCCTCTCCTCTGACCTATGCATGCACGTGTGTACGCTCACATGTCCATGCATTTACACACACACACACACACACACACACACCCCTCCCCTCTTCAACACTTACCCATTCCAAAGTTTTATGGAGTTTCACTTTGACTACGCTAATCATCTTTATTCACTTTCTGAAAGACTCAGCTGCTCAAGAAAATAAAATGCCAAAATATATGGACCCAAGGCAGTTTTAAGACCAACACTGTAGATTCATTTAAAAATAACAAAAGCCACATATTCATTCATTCAACAAATAATTATGTAATGAGGATTATTTTAGGTGCTCAGCACACATCAGTGGATGAAAACCTCTGCCTTTGTGGAGTTTATACTCCAATAAGAACAGAGAAAAAAATAAATAAATTAAACAATAGGTTATGAGTCTGTAAGTGCTGTGACTACAACAGAAGACCTGGCTTGCTGGGCAGGACAGGGTGTCTGAAGAGTGGGTTGTAAAATTGAAGAGACTCATTGAGATGACATTTGTGCAAAAGCTTGAAGATCAACTGTGCAGATATCTAGGAGGAAAATACTCTTTGAAGCTGAATTTTTTAAGTAACAAAACGTGATCTGTTTTCCCCACAGAGGATACTACTCTCCTAACCCCGTTCTACTAAATGGGCTTGTAGTTTAAGGGGAAAAGATTTGCTCCTAGACGCCTGAAGGAATGAGTGTAGACATGGGCATGGCAGCAGGGGCAGGAGGCGAGAAAGGGAAGAATGTGAGTGTATCCCTCAGGACAGGTTCTGAATCAGCTGAACCTGGGGCTGGAAAAGCCAAGCCACATCCAGGGGAGAGCCTTGATTTCTCAAATTCATGTTTGATTTCCAGCAGCAGTGCATTCAAAGCTTAATTTCAGTCCAGAAGTCACCAAATTAATATCTGAGGTTAAAACGCACATACACATACACACACAGACACAGAACTGATGAACATTTCCAGGGAAAGACACACAGGGAAGAGTACAAGGACAGAGTGCCACTGCCACGCAGCCACCTGCACCTGTCCACACACTGCAGAGGCGCCCCATCATTGTGCAGGGAGAGGGGAGGTGCATTCTGGGCCTATGCTTCGGGCTGCCCCTGACAGCTGCCCCAGGCCAGGTCCCCTTACCGCCTGGTACCGCTCCCAGTAGGGCCTGGCAAATGGCCTGGCTGTGTCTTAAGCTTATTCCACATAATACTTCCAGTGTGGGACTTCCAGATAGCGACACATGTACTTCCTAACCACTCGGGCTTTGCGGGAATGCTCCAAAGGGCCAAGCCCTTGGTGTGACTTTCTGGTTGGGTCTTCTTGCTCAGTGTATTTCCTGGATGGTGGCTGCCAGAATCTGTGGGGAGAGTGGGAGCAAGGCACAGGGGCAGCCTGCAGCCTGTGGTGTGACTGGAGATCTGACAGCACATGGCCCCTCCCGACTCTCTCCTTCCTTGGTAAGAAGTGGCAGCTGCCCTGTCCTAATAAGGTTCACCTTTCCTTGCATTCAGCCTCAGGTATGTGGGGACAGGGGCATCCCAATTCAGTGGAGACCTGCCTTCCTCTACTAAAGCTACAACCCAATTAAAGGCAAAGACCCCAAGACTTAGGAATACTGAGGAAAACAATGCATGCCTGTGTGTCAACAGCTTTGCAGTGTACTGTGACTGCCAGGGTCTGAAGGAACCGGGGGTCCTTACTCCTCAGGGGTGTGAGCTGAACTGTTCATGTTAGTTTGTCCCTGAAAGTGGGCATTTGCTAGTAAGTGAAATTGGGCTTTAAACGCATACTAGGGAGGCTTGCTATCTAATAGGTTCCTAACATTAATCCCCAGCATGGCACATGTATACATATGTAACTAACCTGCACATTGTGCACCTGTACCCTAAAACTTAAAGTATAATAATAATTAAAAAATGCTAAAAAGTAATCTAACTCTAAAAAAAAAAAATGGAGCATTTTGTTACAAGGCCACCTGCCCCCTAGCTCAGTGCATTTGGACAGCTGTAATGTGATACCATAAACTGGGTCGCTCATAAACAGGCATTCATTTCTCATGGTTCTGGAGGCTGGGGAGTCCCAGATCAGGTGCTGGCAGAGTAAGTCTGAACAGGGCCCTGCTCCTGGTTCATACACGGTGACTTCTCCCTGCATCCTCACATGACAGCCTTTTGGCAAGGGGTCTCTCTCAGGCCTCTCTTACAAGGGCGCTAATCTCATTCCACATGACCTTATCACCTCCCTAAGGGCTCACTTCCCAATCCCATCACCTTGGGGGTTAGGTTGAGAGGGACATAAATATTCAGTCTATAGTACCCCAATGACTTGTACTTCCTGGTTCAAGGTTATCCAAATGGTCAACGCTGAACCATAATTAAATGCAATCCTTACCCAGTGGGCATTAGGACCTTCATGTGGACCCTGGATGAACTGTGGGGTTGCCAGGATCTTGGGTCAGCGCTGGCACTCAGGATGGACAGAAAATGGAGGGAGGTCCTCCTTCTTCACCCTATGAAGGCAGCTGGGCTGCGGGCACCAGCACAGAGCAGGCAGTGTGTGTGGAGTGCAGTGTAGAGGCTGGGGTGCTACTGCAGGCCCCCCATCCCCCACCCTCAGCCCAGGCCCCCAGGCAGCCAGGCAGGGGCTTCCATGTTGGATGCACATGGAAGAGATCTCATGGCAGCCCCTGGAGTAGGTGGGTGCGTGGGTTCTGCCTAAAGGGGGCTGAGTGAGGGAGTTCTGGGGGCAGCCCACAAACTCTGAAAGCTGTGTGCAAAGAGGCTGAAGGCAGAGCCTGGCAAGGGGGCAGCTGCAGAATTGAGAGCAAAGAACACAAGCGGCTGCATTTGCAAGCACCCAAGGCAGTGGCAGAGGGCAGTGAGGGAGAGGATGAGCACAGCGGGTGACACAGGTGGAAATGATGGGCTGATGGGAGGAAATGGAGCGGCTCTTAGACACGGTTCTGGTGGCCGGCCATGGGTAGGACAGCAGGATCTAGGGGTATCATCAGTCTCCAGAAGAGGCCTGGGCTGGGGGATTGATCTGCCCAGTCATCAGCACCATGGGAATGGCCGAATGTGCAGAGAGTAATTCTAAGGACAAGAGCCCAAGAATACGCATAGAGAGAGGGGTACAAGTACCATACCCAAGGAACTCAATAGCCCATACCTTGTCTACAAGGCTGTTCTGCAGGAATTCCGGGGGTCAGCAGGGATGGCTCTGACTGGTCACTTTGTAGCAATAATCTTCACAGGTAAAACCATGGAGAGAGACAACAGGTGAAGAGAAATATACCATGGGGTGCAGCTGGGGGATTCCATCTGGATCCCTCAAAGTGATGGGAAGGACCAGGAATAGCAAACTCACTCACTGCAAATTGTATATCCAAAGGAAAGAGAGATGGAAAAAAATTTCCATTTACCTAACGAAATAGCACATGCTCTAGTTGACCAATGCCCTGAACTACATACAATGCACACAGTGGCACGGAGTGGGGCTCTGTCCCTCGGGAGGCAGCCCTAGTGTTTAGGATGCCCACTCCAATGCTGCAGGTGCTGGTCTGCAGGCTACAGAGTGTTTGAGTGTGTGGATTCGTGGAGTGCCTGCCTGGGCAGAAAAGCCTCTCCTTAGCCAAGGGACATTAGGAAAAAGTGAAATTAATTCGTTGAAAAAGTAAACAAGATGTGTGTGTCTCTCTCTCTCACACACACACACACAGACACGCACATACACACACACACACCGAGTGGGGGATTCATTTATTTCTCTGCTCTTCCTTTCCCCGCTCCCAGCCCCATCATCAAGTATAATGTCTTCACTATTCCGTTTAATGATTTAAACATGATTAGTGGAATGCAGATCAATGCAGACATGAATTCTTGGGGTAAAAATGCAGTATTTCAGCACTGTGGAAGAAAAACTAAACAGAAATGGAAGCTTGGGGAAACAGCTACATCTTGAATGAATAAATTCTACTTGATGAATGTGAAACATTATTTTAGGAATTTTTAATATATCTAAATACTCCATTTCCACAGCAGAGCTTGGGTCACATTTTAGAAGATTGTCTTCCCTCTGTAACACTCTTCCAGAATTCCCCTCCAGAGTTAAGACTGTCCATTCCTCACCCAGGTGCCCTATTTAACCAAAAGGCCAAGGGCACCTCCTGGAGTCCCTGGGTTCCATTTCCTTTATGGCACTATCACCCAAAACAAAAACTGGGCTCAGAACTCTGAAAAACAGCTCTCCTCAGGAATCGTCACGCTGGCACTAATGCAATCTGAAAAGTACGCTTCACTGATATAAACTTTCACTGGAAGGCATCCAGGCAACATGTGCTTTTTATCCACATTTTTAGAGGCTACAGGAGACACCTCTGTTTCTCACACTGCCAACCTGTTACATTAGAACTATCTTGGTGTAATGGAGCAAATTATTTCATATAAACAGCATTTGCTTTACAATAAAAAACAATGCACCATTCCTGTGTACAAGGTAATTGACGGTAAAGAAGCAGGTAGAAGAAGAAATCTCCTTTCCGTGGCCTTTGTGTGTTGAAAAAAGTCTGGATCTCAGAGCCTGGGAAAGGATCTCAATGTACTGTTTTCCTTGTACAACACAGCTTCTGGCTCCTAGTGCAACTTCCTGAACATCGGCCTAGGTTGTCACTGTTAGGATCTGGACACCAGAGTCTTCTTTCCGGGCCACTTTGGAGCCCTAGGGGTGGATGAGAGAGAAATGGAGGAGGTGGGTGCAGAGGGTACCATGCACCAAGGAAGGCCTTGGTCCTCCTGGATCTGTTGTCGGTAAGATGGGGGTTTGGAACTCATTCTCTCCAAGGTTCTTGCCGACCTCAACCTGTGATTTGCAATCACACACTCTGACTGCTTCTGGTAAGGGCTTTTGGAGTCTTCTCAGTGCACCCCAGAAGCCTTCACAACCCAGTCCAGGACAAAGTGCTGGGATCTGCTCCCTCCAAGGAGGGAGCATGTCATCCTCAAACCAAGAAGAGAGTGCCTGGGGTGATTAACCAACAAGGATGGCAGAAGCAGACAGGCCAGCCGCGACAGCTGTCAGGAAATGACTCTTTCTGTAGTATCTGCCCCTCTGGTTTACAGAATCACTTAAAAATAAAGCAGCCATGCATCAATTTCACTCACATCAAGAGATTTCCCACTGTTTTCTTCACTTCCAGTAACACACACAATAAACATTTAACGTTCAAACTAGCTCGTATTTTATTTACATGTATATATGCATTTTTAAAATGGGGCTTCTTCTACAAAGTTAAGAAATGGCTGTCTTTTGGAAATTAAGAGGAGAAAATCAACTTTACTATAGATTAAATTTCTGATTTAAAATAAAAAAAGTATAAAAAACCTAAATCAAGCCTCCCTGGCAGGTAGGCAGGCCCTCTACTCAATACTTAGAAGCGCTGGCAGGAGCCGGCGGGAGCTGTGGGAAGGTGGCTACCTGACTCCAGATCTGTGGGCTCCGCAGCCCCAGCACTCAGTGGTTCTTGAAGACACCACCACCTGGGAAAGACACTAACGAGGGATTTCTCACAGAAAACCACCGAAGTACAGCATATGGGGAGAAAAGATGAGCTAAAGTGAGTTATTGAAAGAGATCTTCTTTAATAAGATCAAGAAGCAAGAAAGAGCTTCTCAAATTGCCTTCTGTATTGGAGAAAGGGCAAAGGGAGCCTCTGAGTATTCCATCAACTTTGCTTGCCAAGTACATCTCTATAGAAAAGAGGGCTGTCATTGGATCTGATGGCTGGAGACGCTAGCCACTGCCATTCAATGTCTTGCATGTTCATGTTCTAAAAAGTCAACAGCTTCTGTCAACTTTCCACAGGGGAAGGAATACAGTGACTGTAGGTACAAATATTCTTGATGTACTGAGCAGTTATATTTTGTATGGCAAATTTAGAAAGTGGGTTTATACATCGGCCTCTTGTTTAGTCAGTTAAATAATGGCCCTTGTGGCAAGCTGTGTTTTCTAAAGATGGTCCCAGCAATGTGTCTCTTCCACAATGTGACCTTTTCAGCCCTTCCAGTGAGAGGAGGGGTTCTGTGACCTATGCCCTTGCTTCTCAGTGGGCTCAGGACTGCTAGGATCAATAGAATACAGCAGACAGGATGCAGTGTGACTGCTAAGGATGGGTGATGCAGCCTCGTTCACTAGAACATGTACACTTGGAGTCCTGAAGCTCCATTTAAGAATGACCCCAAGGTCAGCATGCTGTGAGGAGGCCAAGCCACGTGTAGAGGCCACATGTGAGCACTCCAGTTAGCAGTCCCCATCTTTGAGTCATCCAGACCCAGCTCCAGAATAAGCCTCTGCATGAGCCCAGCCCCAGTCTTCAAGGCTTCTCAGCTGGGGTCCCAGACATCATGGACCACACAGGAGCCATCCCACTGCACCCTGTCTGAATCCAAGGTTGTATTAACCATTAAGTTTTGCAATCTCATTCATGCAAACATATTTTGAAACCTGACTGCACCAATGTATACATCTTCAAAGGTAATGCACACCCCAGGCTCAGATAGCACCTCTCCTTAAATTCCGTCAGTCACACTTCTTCTGACTGTTCACCTGGCATCCAGTGCCCCCTATGGCTGGACATGACATAGTGATTGCAGCCTCAGGGATGCCATCTCTGCTCGAGCCACACAAAGCCACTAATCTCACCCATCATTGACTGATTTCACCATCATCCTATTCAGGGACACTTTCACTGCTTCCAATGAAAATGGCTGACTTTATCTACTATCAGATAAATACCCTCACATATACATCTGTATCCTATCTTCAGCCATTTCCATCAGAAAGATTCTTAAACGTGGAATCGTGGGAGACTGAGTATTAGATTTCAGGATCTTGGTGATACTGCCAAGTGGTTTTCCTGAAATCAATTGCTAGTGAGAATTGAACACAGTTATAAAGCTTGTTGCTCACTTTTATTTTTCTTTTATGAACTGTTTATCCCAGTACTTCAGTCACGTAAGGGAATGGGTTTTTCTAACAGACTGGTAGGTGCTCTGTAGGGGTGTCCTCAGACGTGACGCACAGTGACACAACCCCTCTATGCTGCTGTGAACAGGCAGGCACTGCTGGCATGGGCTCACACTGCAGGGGAACCTGGCAGGGTAGCTGATAATGCAAAGGGCCTGTGGTACTGAGGGAGGTGCCAAGAGTAATGTGAGACAGCCATCAACAGAGGGTGTGCAGGAGCAGCTGGGAGGAGCAAATCCCGGTCTCTAAACTGGACCCAAAGGAATATCACAGAAGAGCATAACCAGTCCTGGAAAGCCCAGAGGTGGCAAAAGACTAGGTATGTTCCCTGAATACGGCAAAGGTCAGTGTGCTTGGATCTGAGACACAAACTGAGGTCAGAAAGCCAAGGACAAGCCAAACTAGGCAGGAGCCTGTAGCCACAGGCAGATGCTAGGATTCACAGGAACCACAGTGGGAGGCCCTGAGGGGTAGTGAGCAGGGACAGCCACACCCAGGGGCACGGGAGATGATGTGGGTGACCCTGCAGGCCTGGTGAAGGGTGGCGGCAGCAGTACTGGCCAGAGGCGCTGGGACCCAGGAGAGGAAGCAGCAGATCAGTAATGATGATGGAAAGAAAGTAATTTGGTGAATAACTTCTCGTGACTTCATGACTGATTGGCTTGGGGGTACAGAGAGAGAGTAAGGTGTCAAACATGACTTCAAATTTTCTGATTATCTCAGTATTAAAGATGCCACTTCTAAAAAGAGGAGGCCTGGAGCAAGAGCTTGGCTGACAGCAGGATCAGAGGTCCCTGTGGAAACCATGGAGACATCAACTGGGCAACTAGTAAACTGAACTGGAGTTCAGCAGAAAGTTCTGAGCTGGAGGTGTAGCTTGGGGAACCTGCACAAAACTGGTATTTAAAGCCGTGGAACTTGAGACCACCCAACAAGAGCTGAGTTAAAAGAACACAACTCAGGGCTGGGCCTTTGTGAAGTCCTGCATTTAAAGGTCAGATAGAAAAGGAAATACCACAAACCAGCAAGGAGAAGGGAAGGGAACAGCCACTGAGCCGGGAAGAAACCAAAAAGCAGTGGCATTCTGGAGATCAAGGGAAAAGAATGCTTAAAGAAGACTGGCAACAAAGGAAAGAATTTCTCAGCTGTTAGAAACCAGAAGAAATGGAAAATCAGAGCTTAACACCAATACTTGCTGCTGAAGGAGTGTGGAGGGGACAATCTCTCCCCCGTCTAGGGGCTTACCTTTTAATGTCATGCAGGAATCCCAAAGCAGAGGTTCCAAAAGGTCAAGACTATTTTCATGATCATTCAATGATCATTCTAAGGAGAGATTTGCTTTTCGCTGTGTTGACATTCATGGTATCGAAGCAATGGAAGAAGCCGCACAAATTAAGGCAATAGCAACCACTGTGCCAGTAGTCTTCATATTCTTCACCATCAAACACTCAAACTTACAAAAGCCAAAGAACAAAACCCAAACAGAAACCGAAAACAGTTTAAGAATATCTTTGATGAAGCAGTGAAAAGTATTAATTGTATTAACTAGCAACCCTTGTGTGTAAGTGTTCCTGATATTCTAAGTATCTCTGCTGTATGCCAAAGAGCGATGGAGGTCCTGAGGCAGAGCACCTGTATGACTGCCTGAGTTGCACCCTGAACTAGCTGTATTTCCATGGAACATCATTTTCCTCACCTTCTATTCATCAAAGCATACTTGCAGGGTTTGAAAGAATAACTGAAAACGATCATTTTTCAGACACTGGTGTCTGGCAAGCATCCTCTTGAAAATGAATGTAGTGAGCCTGTCACTTTAAAGAGAATCCCAATAGTATTTTATTATCGATGATAAAATCTGAGCTTCCCCATGAAACTTCTTGTATCTACTACTGTGAATCTGACTGCTCCCAATACTCAGAGACTTTTCTGATGAGACTAGTGGTGATATTAATGAATGTGATTTTCTGAGAGTGTGTAATGAAATGTGACAATGCTTAGAAGAGCCACCTAACTCAATGGACCACTATTTTCCAAGCGATCAGTGTATCATGTTACAGATCATATGTAGATAAGTGCAAGACAGGGCAAAGAACTGTAATATAATGGAGTATGAAAAGTTTACCAATGTGGCTTCAGATTCCATGTGGCAACTAATTTTAAGAAACTACTTGTTGTTGAATTCAGATGTAGTGTCAAAGATATCCACAATTACCTGAAAAGTCAACTGAAATACTCCTCCCCTTTCCAACTACATAGCAGTATGAGGTTAGACTTGCTTCTCACACTACAACTAAAACAACACACCCCAATACATGGATTGTGGAGCAGATATGAAAATCCAGCTGTCTTCTATTAAGCCAGTCGAAATTTACTAAAACAAAACAATGCCATCCTTTTCGTGATATTTTTTGTTTTTGAAAAATTTTTCATAAAAGCTTATCTATGTTTACATGTAACAGGTTTATAATTGTAATTTTAAAATTGATAGGTATTTTATAAATTCTCAGTATTAATTTCCCATGCAGTAAATATTAACAGACATACCCCACAAAGAAAAGCTCTTTAGGCACCACGATAATTTTTAAGAATGTAAGGGAACCTGACATCAAAAATTTTGAGAACCAGCATCCTAAAGCATTTGCTTCAGGAAGAAGGAAGTTAAACCCAAAGAGAAGGAGGGCATTCCAAAAGCAGCGGGCTTTGTATTGTCTGAGTGCTTGAAATGTTTCACAATTAAAATTTATTACTTTTTCAAAAAGAATGAATAGAAGGTGAGGAATGGCACAGTGAAGGTAGATGATTCTCCTGAGTGTTTTATTGAGAAAGAGTAGGGGAAGGTGTGGAGGCAGAATGGGGAGGCTGGAGTTAAAGTAGGGTCAGTTCAGAAGGGAGCGGCACTGCCCACCTGTGCTTATCTCTTAAACGCGGGCATACAGATAACACGAACACATGATCTATACCCTGCAAGTATGGCACTGATGCATGTAAATCCTGCAAGTACATACTGATGCATCTAGACCCTGCAAGTACACACTGATGCATCTAAACCCTAAGTACACTTTGATGGATCTAAATCCTGCAAGTACACTTTGATGGATCTAGACCATGCAAGTACACTTTGATGGAACCAGACCATGCAAGTACACTTTCATGCATCTAAACCCTGTAACTACACACTGACGCATGTAAACCCTGTAAGTATGCATTGATACATTTTCTCAGCTGGTCCTTTCAGAATTTTGGGTAAGCTTTCGGTACATTTGAATTTTTAAAAATAAATTCTAATCTGTAGATATTTTTATTTGAAACATGTCTCATATTTTTCTGTTTAGAAACTGCTTCTCTCACTCCAAGATTATACTAGCTTTTCTTTCTTTTTTAAATGAAAGAGGAACAGCAAAAAGGTGTGTCCCATTTCCAGACCTGGCCTCTGGAGCTCCCCACACCTTCCACAACCTTCTCTCATTACTGTAGTACAAGGGCAACACCTATTATCCTGACCAACTTGGAAGCTACTGGTGAAGATGGCAGTGCCCCCCAAAACTTGATGCCTTCCATGATTCTGACTCTGGCCCCCAAGCAACCACTCCAGACTGTAACATTCCTGCTGTACCCCAACCAGTGCAGCAGGCATGTGACTTGGGTCTGTTTGCAAAGCAGTGAGAGCCTGCCCTATTTAAGCCATAGATTAGCTGTGTGGCTTTGGACAAGTGAGATAAACATACTTTGCCTCAGTTTCCTCATCCACAAAGTGAGGAGAGCAGCACCTTCCTTGGCCAGAGAATTAAATAGTACACGTAAACACACAAAGCAGGTATGGTGCTATGGTTTGAATGTCCTCTCCAAAACTCATGTTGAAACCTAATTCTCAATGTGGCAGTATTAAAAAGTGGGGTCTTTAAGAGGCAGAGCCCTCAGGAATGGATTAATCCATTCAAATCCATTCATGGATTAATGGGTTATCATGGGAGGGGAAATCATAGCTTTATAAGAAGAGGAAGAGAGACCTGAGCCAGCACGCTCAGCCCTCTCGCCATATGATGCCGTGCGCCACCTGGGGACTCTGCAGAGTCCCCACCAGCAAGAAGGGCCTCACCAGATGCAGCTCTTCAACCTTGGACTTCTCAGCCTCCATAACTGTAAAAAATAAATTCCTTTCTTTATAAACTACCTACTTTCATGTATCCTAGGCAACAGAAAACAAACTAATACAGCTGGGCATATGATAAGCACTAAATATTAGCTACTATTATTATTTATAATAAATGTTATTATCCAGTAGAACAAATTCTCTATCCTCCGACAAGTCTTATTGCCAAATTTGCCTATGCACTTAAGGCAAAGAGGCCAGGAATGTGGACAGAGTGTCTCATTACTGGAACCTCCTTTTGTGTGTGTGGCACGTCTGTGTGTGAGACAGGGTGTGTGCCTGGACAGGGTGTGGATGTGGAAGCTGTGGGTGAGGCTTGGTGACAGGTGAGGGGTGTGTGGCTTTGTGGGCGTGTGGTGCTGTGGGATGTGTCACTGGGTTCTGTGGCCCTCATGCCCTGCTGCCCCTCCACCCTTTCACTTCATTGTTACGTGAGATGCCTGCAGAGAGGTGTCCCTAAGAAGGAAGCCAGGTAGTGAGTCCTAGAATGGAGGCTTCCAGCAAGCAGGTATAGTTGCCTTGATCTGGGAAAGGGAGGTGTAAGCAGGTCTCCCCCTCAGGAGCTCTGAGAAGGCAGCTATGTGGCTCAGAGTCGAAGCATCCCAGAGTTCTGACCCAGGACCCCGCAGTGATATCACAGACAGACTGTAACCGCCCCCCTTCATTCCATCTCATTATGAAATGTGTGTGAGGCCTGTCGTTCTACAAAACAAAGACCCTAAGGAGGAGGGGAAAATGTTGCTTTACATATAAAAGTCAATGTTTAGCTCTAGGTATGTTTTGGGCTTTCTTAGTGGAGACACTGAAAGGGGACTAGTCAGCTTTTTCTCATCAAACAACATGGCATACATGGCCAGAGATGTGGCCACAGACGAGGCTGTTTGAACCTGCTCCAGAAATGTTGTACCAGGATGTGATGATGGAGAACTGGCAATTTGATCTCAATGCTAGACACTGTTTTTCTGAACCAGATGTGATGGCCTTATTGGAGCAAGGAAAAGGGCACTTGATGGTTATAAGAAGCATGAAGACTGTACAGTTATTGGTTGCCTCACCAAGTAGGGCTAATTGGTTACCTTGGAATTTAATTCTTAAATGAAACAGCAAGAAAGCATTTGGTTTTCTAATACGAATTATAAATTTTCCAAATTTGGAACCAAGATAGGAGCTAATCAGCTACGAAAAATGTTCACTTATAAAAATATACATCTCCTACTCTCCATCAAAGAGTTAAAGATGGAGGGAAATTCAGTGACCTCAAGGAATGCTAAGCCTAGGTGGCAGCCTTAAAATACATCAGAGAGTTCATAGTGGAGAGGTACCCTATGAACATGACTAGTGTGGGAAGGCCTTCAGTGCACATCAACAACTTTCTCAACATCAAAGTACTTAGGCTACTGAGAAAGACTTTGAATGTGATAAGTGTGGAAAGTTCTTTTGACTTAAGCCTCAAAGTACATGATAGAATTCATAATGGTGAGAAACCCTTTGAATAAAAACAATACAGGAGGCATTGGAAATGGCAGGCAATATCATATGTATCATAGAATTCATAGCAGTGCAAACTCCTTTCAATGAATAGAACACAGGAAGTTCTTTAGGCAACAGTTCAGTCTTTTAGAGAAATCAGGGAGGGAGCTCACACTGGCATAAGACCCTAGGAATATATCTAACATAGGAAATCCTCCAGTAATGGTCCAAGCTTTGTTTAACATCAAAGAATTTGTAACATGCTTTATTTAACATGGAAAGCTTACTGCTATACAATTATCTTGTAGTTGGCCACTTTACTGTACACTCTCATAATTCTAAGTCATTCCACAGTGCCAGACCCCACATGGCACTCAATAATTAATTTTTGAGTAACTGGATTAACAGATGGGTTCTCTTGCATTTCTAGGTAAATTATATTGATTCTAGGAATAAGTTTTGTTTTTGTCTTTCCAATATTTACATCTTTTTTCCCTTCTGTTTATGAATGCCTTAAATCAGCCTTGTAGACACTAAGAAATATGCGTAAGACTTTGCACTAATGTGCCTGATATGGTGTCATCATGCCAAAGGACTCTTTGGGCTACAAACCACAGGAACCCACAAGTTAGCATAAGCAAACAAGGGAAGGCCAGACACTCCAAGGATCAGAATAGATCTGGGCTTCATGACTGGGCGGGAACCATGGCCATGTTTGCCATGTCTTCAGATGGATGGTCCTTTCCTCCTTCTCATCTCTTTTCTTGTTTTCACTCCAAAATGGCTATTGATGGGCAAAGAGAACAACCTAGTTTCGATGATACAGGTTAACCTACTCAAGGATACAGGACTCTTCTGAGAAGCTATTTTCACATTCCCATGAAAGAATGCCCTAACCGTCAAGTAGCCCATCTTGGCCAATCATCCATAGTTGCAGGTGGGGATTGTGTTGGCCCCAGAGTGGGTAGGGTACCCATCACTGGGTGGCAGCTGCAGGAGGTGGAAGGGCCAGGCCCCTTTTTATAAACATTGCAGCAATGTGAATGGAGGAGAGAAAAGGTACCCTTAGAACAGAGACATTGAGAAAGGTACCCCAAAGCTATCCACAGCATACAGTAGATACTTCAGAGCTCTTTGTAGTTTAGAAAGAGCTTACTCATATAATCTTAACTGCTCCATCCTTCATGGTAAGGCTTTATTTTTAATGTTCATTTTGCATATGAACAGGCTGAGGCTCAAGGAGGTGCAGTGACTTTTCCAAGGCCATAGGATTCCTAAATGCCAGGACCCAAACCCTAGATTCCATTCTATCTTCAGTCTCTCTGGATTGTTGTCCTACAGCCATTACCATAATCTTACACCCAGTTAGATCTCTGGCATCACTAAAGTCTTGAAGAAGTTGGAAATAAATTTCATTTTTTTTATACTCTGAGGGGAGATATACCATTGTAAGTACTATGTAATAGACACAGAATGTCTTCTAGCAGCCACTCTAAGCAACACTGACTGAGCATCTCCTCCAAGCCCACACCTTCCTCATGCAGGGTAGAAACCAGGAGAAACTGCTGGGCCTGTCACATCCAGCCTCTGTTCAATCAGATGGGAATATTTCTGGTTCCTCTCCCACTGTGGTGTTCCCCAAGAAATGCAATCATCTGAAAGTAATCCAAGATGTCTGAAAGTAATCCCCCAAATTTTAACACTGTAAATGTTTCTAATACTAAAGGTTAATTTTAGAAATAAAAATTGAAGCCAGATGATTTTCATATGAATGTTCTGACATGAAAAGGGCAACACATTTCACTCCTCCACAATTATGTTTCCCAAAACTGAAATGCTTCCTGTCCAGTTCAGTGCTGTTGAGGCTCAACATCGTGCCACTCATACAGTCTGGGCATCTTCACTCATGGCTTAATTCTGATCTCAGCAGGGTGGCACATTCAATAGAAACATATCTGTCTCTGCAAGAAAAATTGCAGTTACTGGGAGGGGCAGAGGTAGAACTGTGGAAATCCAATGCTGCCCTTTTTTTTTTTTTTTTTTGAGACCGAGTTTCACTCTCGTCCAGGCTAGAGTGCAATGTCGCGATCTCTGCTCACTGCAACCTCCACCTCCCAGGTTCAAGCGATTCTCCTGCTGAGGTTGGGAGTTCAAGACCAGCCTGACCAACATGGAGAAACCCTATCTCTACTAAAAATACAAAAGTAGCCAATGCTGCATTTTAACCCACCAGCCTGGCCCTACCTGCCCATCACTGCCACTGTTATGCAGTTAGAGGTACAGGGTGCCAGAGCGGGGAGACTGGCTGACTAATGCCTAGCAAGCCTCAGGATCCTCAACAACTGGGAGAGGGAAGAGGATACAATTTAAACTCCACAAGGCCAAGTCCATCTCCAGATTCTACCATGTGGAGCCACCACCGCCCTATAAAGTCACATTGACGGGAGTACATCACACTTCCTAGATGTGTCAGGAACAACAGCAACCAGAGCCCTCTGACATCATGGCTCCTACATGGCGTCAGGATCCCTGCAGGGCCTGTAAAAACTAGGCGGCAGGGCCACCCCCAGAGACTCTGATTCAGTGGGGCTGGGGAGGCCCCAAGAGCCAACAACATGCACTTCTAACAAGTTCTCAGCTGATGCTGATGCTGCAGGCCTAGGGGCCACACTTTGAGAACGTCTGCCCTGATGTAGCTAAAAACCTTCATGTTATGAGAACAGTGAGGCCCTAAAAGGAGAGGCCATGTCTGGAACCCAGGTGTTTTGATTCAAAAACTAGAATTGCTTTATCAAGAGACAGGATAAATAAAAAAGAAGAGGAAGGAAGGATAAAAAGAGAAAGAGATTAAATAGATGCCCTTGACAGAGAAAACAAAACAGCTCCCTGAAGACTGCAGTGTGTGGGCAGGGCACAAGTCCAACCTGGGGTGGAATTTCTGGGTGTGAACCTGGCCTGTGACCTGGTTCTGCACCCATTAATGAGCTGCCTCCCACCAGCCAATATCATGGAAACAACTCAGAAAATGCAGCCATCTCTTGTGCCCTGAAGACCTCCTCTGGGGCCTCTGGCCCTCAATCCATGAATGACAGCCCTGGGAGCTATAGATGCTGCCTCATGATGGGCCCCAGAGCATGCAGGAGAGGCTGCCCCCTTTATGGAACTGCCTGAGAGACAGAGTCACAGGCTGAGGTCCCCTTTTCAGGTTAGGATGAGAACTTGACAATGGAGACACCTATGGAAGTGACATTTTTCCACAGTATTCATGGTAGAAATAGTGGACTGGGAGGTGCAAGTCTTGAGTTTTAGTCCTGACCTACAACTAATGGTCATCTTTTTTTGTTTGTTTTGTTTTGTTCTTTTGAGACGGAGTCTTGTTCTGTCGCCAGGCTGGAGTGCAGTGGCTCGATCTCGGCTCACTGCAACCTCCGCATCCTGGGTTCAAGCGATTCTCCTGCCTCAGCCTCCCGAGTAGCTGGGACTACAGGTACATGCCACCATTCCCAGCTAATTTTTGTATTTTTAGTAGAGACGGGGTTTCACCATGTTGGCCAGGATGGTCTTGATCTCTTGACCTCATGATCTGCCCGCCTCAGCCTCCCAAAGTGCTGGGATTACAGGCATAAGCTAACGCGCCCAGCCCTACTAATAGTCATCTTAAGGGAGTTGCTTGGTTCCTAGGAAATTTTTTTGTTAAATATAAGAAGTGGGTTGATGACTCCTCTGGGATTCTTCAAATTTTGTATTCCATCATCCCACCTTCTATTTTGGTTCTCTTGCTGTGTCCCTCTTTTGAGTAGGAGGGTCAATGAAATGCCCACATCTCTGCTTCTAGTTGTAGAATAGGGAAAGCTCAACTAAAGGGACGCATGCGACACAGACACATGATGGATGAGTAAGGTACAACACGTCCCGGACCAACCCCAGCATCTAAGAGGCTTTCTATTCAGCTTTGTGCTGGCTGGCCTTTGTGCTGATGTGGGTTTCTAGGATCATTCATGAAGTGTATTTTATATTAATTAGCCTTCAAGAGAATTCCATCCAGCTGGCCCCCTCCCTCCTTCTGAAACATGGCCTTCCTTTGGCTGTCTTGACACCCCACCCTCTCCTGGTCCTCCTCCTTCATCACTGGCTGCTCCTCAGACCCTGTTGACAAATGTCATGGAATGCAGGGCTCAGCCTGGATTGCATCTCATCTCCATTTATGCCCTCCCCAAATGCACTCCCATGAAGGCTCTAAATAGCACCTGGATGATGTAGAGAAGATACTCAGTCCTAACCGAGCTCCCCACTTCACATGCCTACTCACTGCAAACCAAGTACTGCCCAACCAGGACTCTTGACTTCCTACCACCACTCCCTCTCCCACTTCCTTCTTCTCAGCACCCACCAAGTTTCTTAAGCCAAAAATCAAAGCCCTCCGCATTTCTCGTCCGCTCCTCAGCAACTATGTGCAATCAGCAGGCAGATCCAGAACACATCTCAAATCCCTCCACCTCTTGTCATCTCTCTGCCACTTTATTTACTTCATAAAACCTCTTGTCTGGCTGCCTGAATGTGTCTCCTGACTGACACCCCTGACTACATTCGATTCTCCACACAGCAGGAAGGGTCATTTTTTAACACAGAAACCGGATGCCATCACCTCCAGTTTAAAACCTCCCAATGACTTCCCATCACATTTGGGCCAAAACCCATACTCCATGGCCAGGCTCACAGGACCTCCACCTGCTCCAGTCCTGCCGCCCTCTCCATAGCATCCCTTGCCCTCCCCTCTCCCCATATTCCCTGACTTGGGCCAGCTTGTTCATCCTGCACTGAGACACACTCAGTCCTAAGCTGGAGCTTCTTTTGTCCTGTATTCCCTCTGTCTGGCCCCCACCTTTATTCAGGTTGCACCTTGACTTTCTTCTCCTCTGGGACCCTTGCTGACTCCTCAGTCTGAGGCAGTCCTCAGTCTCTCTCTCTCACAGCAGACTGTTTCATTCTCTGCACAATAGTGACCACCACCAGATAAAATTCTTCTTTATGTGTATGTGTGTTCTGCCATCCCCCACTGGCTTCTGAGCACAGTCCTCCATTGTGTGTTCACCTCTATGCCTCAGGGAACAGTGACTGGCCCCAGTGGGACACAAGGGCTGGGTTGAGGGGCTGTCCTCAGGGAGCTCTTCTGTGCAGACCCCAGGGTGGGAGGGATACAGACTAGTGGCAGGCTGCCCCCCTGCCTGGCATGCCTGGGGATTCTAAGCAGTCCTGCCACACTGCCATGCAGATGCTCATCCTCCTCACCGCCGGCCACGGGAGACACCACGTGCCTCACACCACACACCAATTGACAGATGGCGTGTGGGCACAGGAAATGAGCCCCAAACTGATTCGACCCATGACACCACTGCACACACAGCACTCAGGAGACTGTGCGGCTGTGCTTCTGCCTCCAGCTTCCCAACCCCCCATGCACCTTCCCCGGAAGCAGCAGGAATGTCCTTTCTGATAATGCGGCAGAACTTGCTCTTCCTGCCCCTGCCTGCATCAGCATCAGGAGTCTCTGGCCTCTTCAGTTCCTACCCTCTGGGCTGATTCTGGCCTGGTAGTAACTGATGCCCTCCTGGGTTATCTGACCCCAGGTGAAGGAGAACCCCACACTGTGTCCAAGAGCATCACACAAGGCTTTTTCCTGCAGCCTCCATGGCTTCCCACTGGGCCAGAGGTGCACTTCCTGCCCCAACCTGGTCTCCCTGTGTCCTCTCTCCTCACTGAGTCCCCCATCCCTCCTCTATGGTCCATTGTTATCTTCTTCTTAGAAGGCATTCCTTCTACTTATTTTGTATGTCTCCTCCTACAAACCAAAAATACATGTTTCCTTCTCATTCTCCGTCATCCTTAAATTACAATACTGGAAGGGGTACGAAGGTGCCATTTTCTTAAGTCCTCCTGGGTTTGTAGCTAGAGCCACCAGTGGAAGGCTTAATGGAAGGAGATGTCCCATCGTACTGTCATTCATAAAAGACCATTTGATTGCCTTCCATTGCACACTTCTCTGATTAAAAATGACTTGGAGCATGTTTCTTTTGCTTTTTAGCCCTGTGGCTTTCCTGTTCTGTAAAATGCCTGATTATACACTTTGGCCATTTTTCCATGTAGGCTCTTCTTGGTTGCTGTTGATTTGAAGAGTTCCTTGTACATCATGCCTTGGTATTCCAGAGATGGTCTCCCAAGCTGTCATCTGTCTATTGATGCTACCAAGGAAGCCTATGTTGATCAGAAATTCTTAATTTTGATGTGATCAAATTAATTATTTTTGCCTTATAATTTGTGCTTTGAAGTTTAATTTTAAAAACCCTTCTACATCTAAGCCTTCTTTGATTAACATTATAGTTTTATCTTTCACATTTAAACCTCTATTTTTAACCTTCATGTAGTGTTTGGTATGGCTCTAGGTTCATTTTTCTCTATATGGAAAATTTTCCCTAATAGAAGCTTACCCTGTGGATATGTGGTTCTACCTTAACATGTATTAAACCTCAGTCACACAAATATCTGTCTCTAAGCTCCCTATTCTGTGCTATTGGCCCATTTGTCTGTATTTACATCAGGACCACCATTTTCAATCACTATAGATTTGCAGTATGCAGTATGCCTTAATATCTGTCAAAGTTTTCCTCTTTACATTGATGGTTATTTCTCAAAAGAGATTATTTAATGTTCCTATCACATGAAGCAGAAAGCAATGTGACAATCTCAATGATACATTCAAATATTCAAATATAAATTTGTCACTTCCTATTTTTGTTAAGTACCAAGCATCAAAGGTATAATATGGGGGAGGGAGGGTGGGAGAAAGCCACAAATTAGTAAATGTCTAATTGATTCATTCATTCAACTAATATTAATGAAGCACCTACAAGTGCTGGCTGGCCTTGTTCTAAAGGCCGGGAATAGAATAGTGAAAAAAAAAAAAAAATCCTAACTTTATGGGACTTACATTTGAGTGACAGAAATCAGAGAATCGCTTCATCCACCTCGCCCCCCAGCCCACCGTCTGGGGGATGCTCCTTCCCTACTGGGCCCACCTGGGCTCCTCCAGTGAGCAATTCATAAGAAGAGAGCCAATCTTAAGTTGCAAATAAATACAGTTATTGTTTCTCCTGGGGTTTACAATCAACCCAGATATATGAATTAATTTACTCAAGATTTAATTTTAAAATAAAAGTCAATGTATTTAGCTTAAGTAAAATAACAGGTCATTTCCTTTGTTGTCCAGAGTTTAGTCATTGGTCTGATTTTGAATAGAGATCTATAAAAATGAAAATAAGATTACTGCGGCTATAAATCTTTTAAATAATAAAATCTAGTTATTCTCATTATGCTTTTAATATTACAAATGAGACTATCCTTTGAAGAAAGTAACTTGGGCCTTAAAGAAATCCAGACAATTCAGATCTGCCTGCTCATTCGAATCCTAGGATAAAAGGTTACTGGGTTACAGACTCAGTTCCTTTGGGGCCCACAGGTGAAATGCACAGACTTTTATGCAGGAAATTTCTCTGCAGCTGGCCTCTCTCCCAGTCAGTGGGAATCACGGTATGATTGAGGCTTTCATCTACTAGGCCCTTGTCTTCGGGAAGGTTGAACAGAGTCGCTAGCACCATCAGTGGCTGCACTTTCATTCTGCAGCCCCTAAAAACCTGGTTCAGACCTCTTCATGGGTCTCAGCCATTGTGAATATTGGAGTGCTGACCTGGAGGAGTGGGTTTCTGAAACTCCAAAGAGGTCTGAGTTGAGAGAGAATTGGAGTTGGGGGATGAGAAAATCGGAGAGGTGTAGCTAGCAGTATGATTGGCTGATCTCTTCTATCTTTCTGGGAGGTGAGAACAGTGGGTTGGAGTGCCAGGGCAGGTGCCATGGAGTAAGCACACCTCCCCATGGAGAGTGGGGCATGGGAATATGAGGCACAGTACAGTTACACACCCAGCCACTCTCCCCGGCCTGCACATTCCTGAAATGCAAATTTTGCTCTCTCTTTAAAGAACACTGGTGCTAGGAGCACAGCACCTGAGACAGGCAGGCTGCCACTCCACAGCTGGGTGACTGGAAGCATGCTTGGGCCTTTGTGGGCCTCAGTTTCCTCTTTGTAAAGTGAGGAACAGGCCCATATGTATCCCTGTAGGGCAAAGAAAGACAGCACAGGAATGTAGTCACACACACCACATGCCCTACCGGAAGCATGGTGTTCAAGCTTCTCTGAGCCTGGCCCCTAGGTAAACACTCTAACTGCTTCATCTCCTGAAATGTTCATGCGGACCCTGCATCATCCTCGTTTCATAGAAGGCTCAGTTAAGGCTTGGAGAGATGCACTAGAAGCAGAGAGTCACAGGAGGGATCACCACCATATGCAGTGAACTTGAGTCTCTATAACATTAGGGGTTCTCCAGAGAAGCAGAACCAGTAAGGGGTGCGTGTGTGTGTGTGTGTGTGTGTGTGTGTGTATCTATGTATGTATCTATGCATTATCTATCTATCTATCTATCTATCTATCTATCTATCTATCATCTATCTGTCTTCTATCTTTCTAGAGAGATTTAAGGAATTGGCTCACATGATTGCGGGGATTAGCACATCCAAAATCTGCAGGGCAGATGGGCAGGTTGGAACCCCAGGGAAGAAATGATACTGCAGCTGGAGTCTGAAGGCTGTCTGAAGACTGATTTCCTTCTTCTTTGGGGAAGCTCAGTCTTTTTTCATTGGGCATTCAAATAATTGCATGAGGCTCACCCACATTAAGAAGGGCAATCAGTTTTATTCAGTCTTCTGATTCAAATATTAATCTCATCTAAAAATTACCTTCACAGCAACATTCAGATGTATTTGACCACATTTCTGGATATTACGGTCTAGCCAGATTGAAACAAAATTTAATCACCGTGATTGTTACACAATTAATGTAAAAGAGCATAAGGAAAAAAGTAGCCACCAAGTCAATGGTGACCCAATGCTCTTCTATTGCTTCCAGTTTTTATTTCATACTTATATTTAGACAGAGCTTTCAAACATTCCTCTTTTCTTTGAGACAGAGTCTTGCTCTGTTGCCCAGTCTGGAGTACAGTGGTGCAATCTCAGCTCACTGCAACCTCTGCCTCCCAGTTTTAAGTGATTTTCCTGCCTCAGCCTCCTGAGTAGCTGGGATTACAGGCATGCACCACCATACCCGGCTGATTTTTATATTTTAGTAGAGACATGGTTTCACCATGTTGGCCAGGCTGGTTTCGAACTCCTGACCCCAGGTGATTCACCCGCCTTGGCCTCCCAAAGTGCTGGGATTACAGGCGTGAGCCACGGCACCTGGCCTCAAACATTACTCTTGCACTTGCACAAGCATGGGGGTGCGGGGGGAAGCAAAATAAATCAGTTAAGATGTTCCAGGAGCTCCTCATTCAGAGCTGCCCTAGTGGATGATGGCACCTCGCTGGTGTCATGCCCCTTGAACTCAGGAGCATGGGAGCCCGCGCTGCCTCTGAGACGTGATTCTAAACTGCCAACCCTCCCCAAAAAGCTGGGCGGGTGGAGGTGTTTTCTCGCTTAGGATGGCTGAGTGATCTTTTTTTATGTATCTTGGTCACAAAACAGAACACAAACCCCTCTACTCATAGGGACCTTCCTTCTTTAGGTTCCATAAAGCAGCAAATTTTTATTGGCAGTGAAGGGAATGTAGACTGGCGGTCACCTCTCAACGACGAGTACCTATTCCATTAATACCGAGTCTAAGCACAGCTGCTCTGTTTCTGGCTTTGCTCTCAGCACCCTCTCCCTGTAGCCTGTCTTTTCCCCCAGAGGACAAGCTCCAGGAGGCCAGGGCCTTGCCCTGTCCTTCTTCACTGAGGGCCCAGGCCCCACCATGCAGGCTGCCTGAAGGAACAGCCCCCATTCCTCAGGTGACACCTGCAAATCGCATGCTTTGTACTCCAAAGGGAGTCGCCCGCCTTCACTCCCAAACTCTATCCTAAGCCTGGACGCATGCTTACAGAATTTTAAGTGCCCTTCCAAAAAGCAAAGACGTGTTCCTATTGCCACTGCCCCAACGAGTGGTCCCTGTGTGTGCTGCTTCTCCGGTGCTGGGAGGAAGTATCACAGCACATCAGTTATGGAACGTTGTATTAGTGTCCCAGTGCTGCCACAAAAAATGCCCAAAAACAGCTGGGCTTAAACAGCAGGCATTCACTTCGCACCGTTCTGCAGGTGTGAAGTTTAAGATCAGGGTGTCAGCAGGGTTGATTTCTCCTGAGGCCTCTCTTCTTGGTTGGGAGACACCCGCCTTTTCACTGCGTCTTCACATGGGCATTGCTGTGTGTGTGGACATCCCCAGTGACTGATATCTTCTTATAAAGACATCAGTCATATAGGATTAGAGCTCACCCACAGGGCCTCATTTAAACATGATTACCTCTTTAAAGACCATATCTCCAAATAAAGTCACATGCTAAGGTATTGGGTAACGTTAGGACATCAACACAGGCATTTTGTGGGGGGGTGGGGGTCCCAATTTAGTCCATAACAAATGTGATCTTCCCCAAAATTCTGAGAGAGGGTGGCCCCATTTGAAGCCAAAGTTACTGAGATAAATGCTGTGCCCGTGAGCTGCCTGCTGTCCTGCATACAGTTCAATCTTTCACTCAAGTGTTTGTGGTGTGCTCCCGATGCCCCCTCATGCTTGCTGTCCAGGTGTCCAGGTGTGGCCATGGACAAGTCAGAGCAGATGCCCATGCTCATGGACAGAGGCATAAAGGCAAAAGCACATAAAATGAACAAGGCAGCTCTGGCACTGACGAGTATTCTGAAGATGACCAGGCAGCATCAAGGAGGGAAGTGGAGTGCATGGGCCTGACAGTGAATTTCCCCTGCATGCTGCACCAACCTGCCAGGGAAGAACCAAAACCTCACTGAGGATAACCAGGAGTCAACTTGCTCCAACACCTTAAGTGCCAAAAGTAAACAATGAGGCTCACTGGACCCCAGCAGGACAGCTGACCCTTATAACAGAGCAAACAGCAGGGCATCAGCTACGTTGTTCTGGTTCCCAGCCCCCACGGCCCCAGAGGCCAGAAGGAAGCCAGGGGGAGGCTCAGCTTGGGGGGGGGCTCCTGTCATGGCTGAGGAGCTCTGTGCCTAGGGAACCCATTGCTTTGCTAGTGGGCAGAAAGCAGATCTCTCCTCTTTTTGCAGGGAGCTGCAATCTCACCTCTCAAGATCACCACTTTCAAAAAGAACTCTGAGACACAGCCTACTGGAAGAGGGGTCACAGGCCTTCAAGGAGGGGCCAGGGTGGAGAGGGCCCCACAACCAAGAGGCAGCCACACAATTATCTGGAGACAGAGATTTCTGAGCAGAGCAAATAGCAAGTGTACATGTTCTAAGCCAGGAGTGAGTCTGGGGTGGATCCTTGAACAGAGAGAAGGCTGGAGTGGCTGGGGTGAATCCAGCAAAGACACGGGAGAGGAGGGCACCTGGACATGAACAGTGGGCTGTGCGGGCCTGCAGGCCATGGAGATGGCTGCGTCTCCTTAATCCAGACGGTAGCCCCAGAATAACACAGTTTCATTCTCAGTTTGCAGATGAGAAAACACTTTCAGAGAGGGAAGCAAGTCTCTCCATTACACAGTTCCTAAGTGGTGGATCTGGGGCTATGTTGGGGGCTGAATGTTTCTGTCCACCCCATATCCCTGTGTTGAAGACATAACCTCCAATGTGCCTGCATGTGGAGGTGGGGCTTTTGGAAGATAATTGTTTAGATGAGGTCATGAGGGTGGGGCCCCCATGATAGGATTAGTGCTCTTATAAGAAGAGATTCTGTCCCCTCTCTCTCCACGTGCATGCTTAGGAGAAAGGCCATGTGAGGACACAGGGAGAAGGCATCCACCTGCAGGTCAAGAAGAGGGCCCTCATCAGACATGGAATCTACCAGCACCTTGACCTTGGACTTCCCAGCTTCCAGAACTGACTGTGAGAAATAAATGCCTCTTGCATATACCACTCACTCTGTAGTACTTTGTTATGGCAGCCTGAGCTTACTAAGACAGGCTGGAATCCAGATCTTTCTGGCTCACACCTAGTTGCTCTCAATGCCTGGCTGCTGCTTGACCCAGGACATGGGGCTTCCCTTCAGTCAAGGTTCACAGGCTGTGGTGGGACAGAAGGCTGAAGATACGGGGGAAGCACCACTGAGTTAAAGATCTCTTCACATGCAACCCAAACTTTTCTTCAGGTGAATGGGGGGAACCACACATTATGCTCTAATCACTGAAACCACACTTCAGACGCAAAAACAAGAAGGTTGTTTATTACACCAGAAACCGCAGAAAGTGAGAAGGCTGGCATAAGGTTGTGACTCAGGCAGAAATCTGGCAGTGATATTAGGAGCACACATCCCATTTGTGGCCAGATGATTATTAATAACACAAGGTACTCAGTGTGCACTGAAAACTCACCCTGGAATATGAACACAGAAGTCCTCCCATGAACGTCAGCTCACCAAGTAGGAGCTTTAGAGCCTGGAAATGAGCCCAGGCTGGCCTCACCTAGACGCGCAGCATGTTTCTGCTCCCAGGCAAAAAGCCCGGGAGGCCTGTACTCTTGTACCTGAGGGTCAGCCAGATATGTGCACCTTGGTCCAGCCAAGGAGAGGCCAGGCACCTATGCCCAGGGTCCTGGTGGCCCATGGTCTCACCACCCCCATGCACTCTGCCAGCAGCCAATCGAGGACACTGAGCTTCAAGCTCATTGTGTGTTCCTGAAGGTCGGGACTCCCCAGGATGCTGTGGGGCCATCAGGATGCAGCCAGGAGGGACAGGAGAGCCGACCTACCCAATGGCCTCTGTGGCTGGTTACTGTGGTGGGTGTCCCCTGGTCACTCCTGGAGGCCCCAAGTTCCCATGCTCTGCTGCACAGAGCCAGGTCCGGGTCTCATCCAGCCTCCCATTCTTAGGCCCCTCTGGGTTACAGAGCTTCTCACCACCAGAATGAGCAGAAGGAGACGCAGGGAAGGTGATACTGCACCTAGTTCACAGTGGAGGAGAAGCAGCCCCAGCGTTTTTTTGTTTTTTTCTTATTTATTCTAAGACCCCTCATAGGTGGATGGCTGTGTGCTTTGCTGATTCTTGCTGACAGCAGCCATGGCAGCGTCTACAAACAGGTCCCCCTTTGCTGTGGATTTCCTGCAGCCCCTGCTGTGCACATGGGCATCCCTCCATGGGTCTCAGAGGCATGCTCTCAGGGTCTCTGCATGCTGTGCCAGAAACAAACAAACAAAGCAGGAAACAACAACCTACAGAAAATACACACGCAGCTTAATGTAGAGCATTATCCAGCAGCCTCAAAAAAAAAAAAAAAAAAAAGCAGAATCAGGTTTCCACAGATCATTCTGGAAAGTAGATATTCCCAGAAACTCCACACTGCAACTAGTCCTCCTAATGAACAATCACTAGCACATTCAACACACTCAACACAGGCAGGATGGTGTGTGCCAGGGCCAGCGGGCATTGCTGAGTCGGCCTCGAACCCCAGGCAACTGGGAGGCCAGGTGCAAGGGCAGAGATAGGTGTACTACTCTCACAGGAGATGGCCTGGCCTGGGGTCTAGCGGAACACCAGGAACTGCACTAACTCAACTCTCCCAGCCTGATGGCAGGTGGCCAGGGCTCTGACTGCCTCAGAAAACAATTTGCCAGAACCCAGCCCTTCTGGTTTGCAGAGGCTCTGGTTTGCAGAGGCTCTGGGCAAACTCTGGGCTGGTTCTGAGCTGCCACTATCTAGGCCAGCAGCGGGCACATCACCTCAGATACAGAGGCATTTTCTCAAAATGCATAAAATTGCATTTTTGGTGCAATAATAACATTTTAAAGTATCGATTAACAAAACAAAAAGGAAAAGAAACATCATCTACTTTGTGGGTGCTAAAGTAGCTTATTTCTGCTACATTTCTACATTGTGCTGTGTGTATGTGTGTATGCAAGAAATATGAGGTTTACTATTAAATTATTTTCAATCCACCACTAACAGCCAAGAGAAATCAGGATGGCTTTAAATCCTAAACCTATGATATGTGACTGATTTTTTACATAAATAAATAAAATTAAAATACTGTCATGATAAATAAATGTAAAATTATGTTTTTTATTTATATATTTTTATATAGACTGATCCAAAGAACCATCATTCACACAGCATAATTGACACACATGGTGTACGCATCTACACATTACACTCAAGTGACACTACTTTAGTATCCTGCAAGCTCCATGTACCAGGAGTGCAGTTACCTCCCATTTTGTTATGGGTTTTACATGAAATCACAAAAAAATAAGGTGTATTAGTTAGGGTTCTCTAAAGGGACAGAACTAATGGAATATATATGTGTGTGTATATATGTGTGTGTGTGTGTGTGTGTGTGTGTGTGTGTGTGTGTGTATATATATATATATATGTAAAGGGGAGTTTATTAAATATTAGCTCACATGATCACAAGGTCCCACAATAGGCCGTCTGCAGGCTGTGGGGCAAGGAGAGCCATTCTGAGTCCCAAAACTGAAGAACTTGGGAGTCCAGTGGTCGAGGGCAGGAAGCATCCAGCATGGGAGAAAGATGTAGGCTGGGAGGCTAGGCCAGTCTCTCCTTTTCACGTTTTTCTGCCTGCTTATATTCTAGCCACACTGGCAGCTGATTAGATTGTGCCCACCCAGATTAAGGGTAGGTCTGCCTTTCCCAGCCCACTGACTCAAATGTTAATCTCCTTTGGCAACACCCTCACAGACACACCAACGATCAACACTTTGCATCCTTCAATCCAATCAAGTTGACACTCAGTATTAACCACCACATAAAGTATAATAATATTCACTCTCACATTACACTTCATTATATGCTGATATCCAGATTATAAGTAACTACTTATGGAGTCAATTTGATGTTATTAAAATTCAGTGCTGCAATAGCACATTTGAGATGTGGGATTAAGAACGCTTTGAGGTACATTTAACATCTCACATCTTTTTTAATAGACCGGCTTATTTTATAGAAAATAATTAAATAAAGTCATAGTCACTTCCTTTTTTTACTCAGTCTTTGAAAGGCAATTACCATCTCTTTGATATAAAAATACTACAAGGACTACTTCAGGTCAAATTCTTCAGGCCTGAATTGAACCCCAATTGAGTGTTGGTGCAAACACTGCTGAGGTTTGTCAGGCTCCACAGTGACGTGGAAGGAGAGGAATCTCTGAATTCACCCAGTCAGGAGGTTCTCCCAGGCCTCTAGGCGCCTCTAAGTGACCTTTTGGCTGAGGGAGAGAAGGATCAAGGGGCAGGTCTGTCTGTCGACTTTTGTGGGTAAGACTTCACTTGAGCAGAGCATTCCCAGACAAATGAAAATAACACAGTTGAAAACCACTAAATCCACATAACCAATAATCATGCCCCAGAGAAGGGGACAGAAGCTCAGAGTGGCCCAGGTCACCAGGTCATTCAGCAGCAAACTCCAGACTAGGAACAGCATTTTCACATTTCCAGGACACATTGCCTGCTGCCCAGGGCACTAGAATAAAAACATCTTGCCGTATCAATCTATATCACTTCAACAACCTTAAAAAAAAGTTATTTGCTAAAATATCATCTTTCCCTTCATTTCTTACCTATTCACAAAACATTCCTTAAAGATTGTATATTTTAAGCTTGCTTCTTATTGTCCCCAAGACACTGATGGCTCTGATTCTCCAGCATATACACCACCAACACACCACTCTGTGCACAGTGACCAAGCTGTCCAGGAAGGCTCAGGGGTGCCTCTGCCCTTGTCTTGCTGAGAACACTGGGGGAAGCACCCTTTTCAAGGCCTCAGCTAGCAGGAGCTCCACAGGGAGCAGAGACTCCACTTCTTTTCCATAAGTGCTGCTGAGTCCCACAGCTAAAGTCACAGTCTTTTCATTATGACTCGGAAGACTGGCTGGCTGAGGTGTGTCACCCTGTTCTCAGAAAGTTTCCATCGCTGCAGTGAGTCACATAAGTGCCTTCCACTGTGACCATCTGAGAGCAACGCTTTAATGCAGTGACCTCCAGAGCAAACAAACAGCCCTGGTGGGGTAGGGGACAAGGTGAAAAGCCAGTGGAGGCCCCACCCACAAGTGCATCTTTCAGGATGCAAGATGGAATTCACAATAAGTTCTCATCCCAGCTGAGCACATCTGCTAAAAAGCCCAAAGCTTCCTTCCCCATGGTTTCAGATCAAGGTGATGATACCAGATGACAAGCTTAATCCCCTTATTGGTGGGTACATCAGATGCCTCCCTAACTCCAGGGGAGCAGAGGATGACAGGGGGGATGAAACAAAACATATTTGGTCTTGCTTGAAGTTAATCAATTTTATCATTACACAGTCCTCAGCCTTTACCTACTATTCACCCCTAACTCTTCAGGATGGCTTCCAAACCTTCAAGGAACAGACCCTTTCTTCAACTGAAATTGCACAAACATAATTTCAAGATATAAAATAGCTTGAAGAGAAAATGTGTGGGACAATAGGAAGAGGCAGCTCCCCCTGGCATTGCTACCAACGTATGTCCAGGAAAGCTTCTTGGACGCAACCTTAAAACCACAGCTCTGATGGAGTGCCTACTTTTATGGTTCATTGGAAACACCCGGGTCCCCCAACTCCCTGAATTAGAATGTCCTTAAAGGGACCCAGGAACCTCTCCCTGAAGTTCAGGGCTGGGTCCCTCCTCCTTTCTGGACCAACCCCTCCCGAGGGACTAAGCCCCCTCCTCCCCTTTCTCCTCCATGGAGACCTCAGGATGTAGTGCTGTGAGGGGTCTGAGAATTTCTGCCTCATTCTCCTACTGCCCCTCGACTTCACAAGTCTGAAGGCTGGTGCAGTGAATGATGGCAGACTTCAGAAACCGACACCTCTCTTGTGCTGGGGAGGGGTGGGGCAGGGATGGCCAATCCCAGCCATGCTAGATGGAACCGAAGAAACTCTCCTTCCCCAGAGGAGCTGTCATCATGGGGGTTCCATAAACATCATCTCACCTGGGCTGGAAATCACCTGCTGATGCACCCATGACAAGTGGTAAGTTTCAAACCAACCCACCTGGCACAAAGCTAAATCCTGTGTTTATATAGACCACTTTGGTTTAAGTGCCACTGAGCTATTTCTGTTAAGCTCTAGGAGAACTGTTCACAACATGTGCAGAAGCAATTGCTAAAGAAATAATGGGTACAGCACATAATAACATCATAATTGTCCCAGGCACCGTGTTGAAAGGCAAGGAAGAAGACAGGCATCAGAAAGCAGCTGTGTGCAGAAGCTCCTCGGCTGGCCAGGCATCTTGAACAAAGAACAGCCAGGAGCCATCCTTGGCCTTTTCTTGCCCGATCTCCACATACACACAGCCCCTGCAGAGGCAACAGGTCGGGTGAGTTAGTTTCCCTGTAGGGTCTAGGATCTGTTGGAAGGCTGGAAGACAGCACTAAAGAGGCCCATCAGCCCAGAGGCTGCCAAGTGCTGAGGGAGGAGTAGTGAGCCTGATTTGTAATGAAATAGAAAAGGCAGGTGTAACCAACCTGGTAACCTAGAGAGCTGGACAATTTGGCAATGGCCTGCACTGGCAGGCTCCTGTAGATGCACCTTGGCAAAGGACAGGCCTGGGCTCCTCCTGACCCTCCCCAGGGCCCACTGAATGCCTGGGATGCCAGCCGACCTCACAGGGCCCTGTATGCAGGAAGGGCCTGACGCGTGAACCCTCTCTTCTATCCACCCCAAAAGATAACTTCCCTGTCTGCACAGGGCCAGAGAGAATATAACCACATCACCACTAAAGGGAGGCCTGTGATTTATCAAAATGTGTCTGTCTTTAGAGAGAGGCATATTTGGAACTGACAGATTTGTAGTTGGCAAAATCTAAGACCCACTGACATCACATTCAGTGCCTTTACTTCAATCCAGATGAATGTGAAGAGAGTTACAGGGCAGGAGGAGAAGGTGTGCTTCTCTGCACAGGGAGCTGCCTGAGGTCCCTGACTCCCGCTTCAAGGCAGACAGCTAAGAGACAGCCTGAGTTCTCCGGAGATCTTCCTCCTCCAAAACCCAACAATAAGAACTACAAATATCTACATTTAATCAATTAACACAAACCAATTAAAATGTACTCTCAGCAACCAAGCAAGGGAGGAGACAAGAGTAATATAAATGTTTTTAAGGCACTGTGGTTTTGCAAAACATCCACAAGGCCATATTATTTAAAACACATTTTAAGGGGGTTTCTATATGGAACTGTAACAAAATATATTTTAAAGATTTGTACATTTTCTACAAGTTTAGGAATTACATTCCAACTAATCTATCATAATCTTAGCAATAAAATTCAAGAGTTTTATGCAAAACTCTTGTTAGCTTCCAATCCTGAAACCTCTGGAAGTTTATTCAGTCCAGAGAACTAAGATCATTTTCTACTGTTAAGCATTAGGGTAAGATTTTTGCTTCAGTTGATATCATTTTCTGGGTCTCATTCAATGCAAAAAGCACATGGCTCATCTTGCAATAATTGGTGCATCTCTGGACAGGACTTTTCCCTGGAGTGTCATTTATGTGCCTTTCAGAAGTACATTTGCACTAATGAGAGATTCCTCATGAATCAGTAGGGCTACCAATGTTATTGGCAACACATTTAAGAAGAGATCATCCAAGCCAGCCTCTTATAATCACTGGAAAATGAGTCAAAGCAGAATGTAGTCTGTTTAATATATTGAACCAGACATTCAAGACTTCTGTCATTAAAAAGGCCTGTTACAATTTTTACTTAAACCCCATCCTTCCATGCAGACCCCTCGTGGAGGGTCTAGTGGGTTGCTGCAAAGCCAACAAGGACCCCCAATGACCACTGCTGGTCCTGGGGGTCAAAGGCTGATCATCCCATCCTTCAGCCACTGTCCCTCCATCAAGTAGCACAGCCAAAGTCTCTTGTCCCAGGATTATGTATAGAAAACAGTTCCCTCTAGCTAAAAAGAGAGAATTTATCAAAATATGTTATCAACAAAAGTGACCACAGAGCATTTCACAATCCAATATAAATGGTAAGCAGGAGAACTGAGTATCTCACAGGAAAGGTATTCTGCCGTCCGTGCTCTGCCTCTGGGGCATCCACTATGGACATGTGGTCTGCAACCCTGGGGATGAAGGCAGCAGACACATAGTGCCCTGACACTGTCCCCATCCTAAGCCATCACCTGACGTCCTGGGGATGTGTACTCATTCACTTTTCCAAGAAGTGGGGTGGCCTTGGCCACATGTGCCACTCTACCACTCTTCCCTCTCCCATCTGGAGATGTTGTAAGCCTCTGGGCTATTTCAATTCAATCTGTTCAATTCTCCCTTATTTGTCAGTTCCTATGTGCCTGGCAATGTACTAGTCTTTTTATAAACATGGCCTCATTGAATCCCCTTATAAGCTCAATAGAGTCAATAACACCGTTCCCATTTTGCAGGTGAAATCGAGCCTCGGAGAAGCTAACTAACTTGCCCACATTGGCTATGGTTCACACTAGATCTCCCCATTGCTGAGCCCCAAGCTCTTCACTGCCATCTCCCAAGAGACAGAGTCTCACAGGGACATGCATGTGTTTCACACCTGTGAAAGGGCTCACACAGGTGAGTGCATGAGTTACAAGTCATTAAAGTTGATGAACGTGATCAATGACATTCTTAACTCTAAGTTCCTTTTATTAAACTCGTACATGTTATTTTCTTTGACTGTCCCCCAAATTGCACACAAGACATGCCACAGGAAAGGCAGAAAAATTCCCAGTCTCCTACCTGGGGAGCTGGCAGTTAAGATCCCCAGCTCCAGTTTTGGCAGGATTATAGAGGGAGAGTTTGGGAAGTGCCTGTCGTGGATTTGGTGGGTTAAGGGTCCCTGCCTAACACTACGGCTATGCTCAGTAACACTTGTCTGCCTGAGATGGTTTAAAACCATCAGCAGAGCCCCCTGGAGCTGGTCTTCCAGGAATTAGTATGCTATATTTGATTAAGATGCTTTCATTCCTAAAGAAGTAAAATGGAAATCATATACCAACCACCTCCACTCCCCCAACCCCCCAAAAAAACCCACAAATACACTGAAGCCTCACAGACTGTTGACCTGAACCTTTCCCAGGAATTTAGAGGAAACCATCCAATTGAGAGAGCCGCTGTTACCAATATGCTGTTTCTTGTATTTAATAACCTCGAGGAAGCTTCCCTGCTGCTGATAGGTGCCAGTTTCGTCTGTCAGTTGAAGTTAGCGACACTCACAGCACGTAGCACTTTTACATAGAGGAGGGGCCAGAAGAGAGAAAACCCCAAAACATAATATTTTGTTATATAATTGAGCTAACAAATGCCAAACACACACACACACACACACACACACACACACACACACACACACAAACAAATCCTCACCAGGTTTTTCCTTCACAAGGTTTCAACTAAAACACAACTCAAGAATTGACACTCCATCAGCAAGTGCCAGGATGAACTGTCAAAGCAATGAAATAAAACAGCAAAACCATCTTCCTACTTGAGCAGCACTGCCTTTCCATTACAGGAGCCCCTGTATGGAGCGCTGGGCTTCTTGAAACACAACTAAGCTTCAAAAGTGATACCCACTGCATTTCCCCAGCACAGACCTCATTCACAGGAGCACTTTCAGAGCATGAGCCGCGACAAGCTTCTCAGAAAACAGGCTCTGGAAAGAGGAGAAGGTGCCTGACTCGGAGGTCCAGCATGAGCTTGAGTTGTACCGTTGTTCTTGACACCACCTCCTTTTGGGTCAGCCCTGGCCTCGGGGTCACTCTCCACATTTACCTAGGACCTTGTTTCACATATTTAGAAGTCTGAGTGTAAGAGACCCTGATGCACTTCCCTTTTAAGGATGCCAGAGCATGACATCAGTTCTGCTTCATATTCTTGACTGTTCCAGACAGCATGATCCAAGGCCTCACCAGGCTCCATCCACAGCAGCACTCACATCAGTGTGAGAGTGGACAAAAGAATGAAACAAGATGCATATTCCCTCCCCTGAGCCTCACATCTGCAGAGCCAAAGTGTGGACTTCATTTAGCAGACAAGCCTGGAGTAGGGAGCTACAGAGCTGGACCGAAGGAGTCCAACTTCAGGCTGCGCAGGCCCCACACAGGCTAGGCGAGGCTGGGGCTTGCTTCCTTTTACATTGTCTAATCGTGTGTGGCTCCTGCCTTTCCTTTTTAAACTTGCTGGGCAATTGCTCAAAGTGGAGACTGAAAAGCAAAATCACTGAGAAGCCAAGGGACCAAGAAGTGCCTGGGGGACCATGAGACAGACTCTGACAGGAGAGGAAGCAGGCATAAGCACAGTGTAGACTGCAGGGTCAGCTTCCAACACCTCCATTCTGACTAGAGAGATACACACTGACTTCAAACCAGCTGAAACTCTGCTCTCGATTTGCATCCCTGGTGCTACTATTTTTAAGGAACACTGAGGAACGTTCCTGTAATAGAATCTGGTATCCTTTCACCACTGGCGATTCTGAATTCCAGCTCTTAGGAAGTAAAGTGTATCCTGGGAGATACATGACCATCCTTTGCTGTCTACCCAATGCCAATCCCTTTCTTCTGCCTTCCCATCAGAATCTGGCTTGAGCGGTAGTGGTGGGTTACTGCGTCTAGCGTTGGGCAATGGATATAGACTACTGTAAGACAATGGTGACAGTACTGTTTCCTGCTTTCCCTGCCTCTATTGCAGTTAGTGCTAGTGCAATAAAACCTGAGCAGAAACCCAGTTCCAGCCAAAAAAACTTAAGCATAAACCTGCCCAGCAGATTTCCAGGAAGTATTTGCAATCCTAATAAAATAGTATCAGAAGCAGCTGGTACTGACCAGCTTTTCTTCCCTTGAACTAGGACACAATGGCTAGTGCTTCAGCAGCCACCTTGTGGCCATGTGGTCCAGAGAATTAGAGGTCAGCCTAGATGGGTCAACCCTTTACACCAAAGCCAGTAACCTTGAGACTCTTCCTTGTGAGTGAAAAGCAAGCCACACTCATTGGTCAGTTTTCTGTTACTCAAACCTGAACAGATTCCTAAATAATACACAAACAAAAGCACTTTATTTATGCACATCAGTGATTCAGTGATAACAGCTACAACAATTCATTTCCTGTGTATAACTATTTCTTAGTCCGTTAAAGACTTCCACAAAATGTATCTAATTAGACCCAGTAACATCTTGTTACCAGGTGAGTGTGTCTTCCCCACTTCAGAGATAAGAAAACACACTTGGAGAGGTGAAGGGGTAAGTGCAAGGCACTCACAGCCAGATCTTCTCCAGGGCTTCTATGGAACCACCTTCAGCCTGCAAGGTGGTGCAGATGGTGCAGTTCTTCAGGCAGCTGGAGAAGGGCAGCTTCGGGAGGCCAGAGGGGTCCCTCCACACAGCAGCCCGGCACACTCATAGTTCTACGGAGCTGGGTCTACTTACAGAGAAGGTGCAGGTGGGACAACAGGGATGCTAAGGTGGGCAAGGGCCTACCTGAAGAACCAGTGGAGCCTCACTGAAAATTTCACCACTGTCATGAACAGAACTGTGTCCCTGAAAATTCCTATGTTGACGTCCTAGCCACCAACATGACTGCATTTGGAGATAGAGCATTTAAAGAGGTAATTAAGTATAAATGAGGTCATAATGGTGGGGCCCTAAACCAATAGGGTTTGTGTCCATATAAGAAGAAAAAGAGACACCAGAGATCACTGGTTCTAGCTTCATGCATGCGTAGAAAAGAGGCCATGTGTGGGCACAACAAGAAGGCGGCTGTCTGCAAGCTGAGGAGAGAGCCCTCACCAGAAACTAGCCCTGCCAGCACCTTCATCTGGGATTTTCGGGCTCCAGAATTGTGAGGAAATCAATGACTGCTGTTTAAGCCACCCAGTCTGTGGTATTTTGTATGGCAGTCCAAGCAGACTAAGGTAGCCACCTCAACTAATGCCAGTGGCCTCTATGTCTGCTGCTCCAAAGAGCCATTTTAGTAATGGTTCTCTACTAACTGTTGGAGGCTAGGCACTACAAGGACTAGGCTGGCCCCTTCTGGAATTCTGTCCAAAAGTCAGTCTCTCCTAGCTCTGTGGTATCAGCCAGCTCAGGCCTCCATCCCCAGGAGGCTCTGAGCCCTAAAGGACACCCAGCAGGGCAACACAGGGTACTCTCTGATGAGAAAGTCCCCAGTCCATGAGGTGCAAAGCCAAGCCACTGCAGCCTGTATTGTGTGCCTGTGAAGGAGTGTGCCTTGCATTGAAAGTCTCAAAGCAGGGTCCAGGATCTCCTATGGAGCAGGAGGGGCTGCAGTGAGAACAAACATTATACACAGGTGAGGCATGCAGAGAAGGTGCACGGATTCAACCTCTGTCTCAGTCCCCACTTTCCAGGGCAATTTAAATCACATTTGGTGGAAAATATAATAATACTTCTAGCTAGGGAGAGACAGTGATGGCTGCATCTAGTAGAGCAGGAATGGAAAGAGGTAGACAGAGGGAGAGATGTTTAGGAAATGAATTATTGAGACCTTTTGGTTGATTTGATGTGTGTGTGTGGCATGGTGTGTATGTGCATGGTATGTGTGTAAGTGCGTGTGTGTGTGGTGTGTGTGATATGTATCCATACTTGCATGTGTGGGGGGGTATGATGTGGGCTGTGTCTGTGTGTGTGGTATGTGTGAGTGTGTGCTTTGTATGTATGTATGGTGTAGTGTCTGTAGATGTGTGTAGCGTGATGTGTATGTAAGTGCATGGGTATGTGTATGACATCTGTGGGGTGTGTGTGCGTATGTGCATGTGAGTGTGCGTTTATGGGCATTTGGCATGTGTGGCTGGAAAAGGAGACAGTGAGAAGCCGCAGGAGTGAGCAGGATCTCCACCGCACTCCCGGGGCTCCGGGTGCTGGTTAAAGGGTAGTAGAGAGGTGCCTTCCTCTTGCCCTCACAACTGCCTCACCATCCTCACTCTGTAGGGAGGATACAGAGCACAATGAGGTCTGCCATCCGCCCAGTGCCGCCAGCTGGCCAGGCCCTGCTGCGGGCAGTCCGCCTGGCCAGAACACCATGTTCCCTGGACTAGGGCAACCTGCTTTTTCCTATCAGCCTTTCAGAGCTGTACACAGAGCAACAGTGAGCATTCACTCACTCGCTCACTCTGCACAGCGGGAGGGGTCAGCTTCACTCTCGCTGGAGCCCACCCCTGAGGAGACCTGAGAGAGGACTGAGGCTGCGGGAGGATGCTGGTCACTGCTGCCTTGCTTCACCCAGCCTTCCCAGGGATGGGGCAGGTGGTGACCAGAGCAAGGCCTTCTGCACTGGTGGAAGCAGCAGGGGTTGAGGGAGCATTAACAAACAAGTGGGCTCTGCAAGTGGACCCCGGCTTCTGACAGTATCAGAGCCTCAACCCGTGCATCACATGGGCCTCATCTCCCAAACATGTCCTGGACCCACTGCCATACTAACCAGAATGCCCCAGCTGACCCTGTTCAGGGAGGCCCAACCAGGGCTTCCACACTCCTCCACAGGCCCCCAGCTCACCACACAGACGTGCAGGAATCAGGCAGTTACGGCATCAACTGCCCTTCAGCTACGCCTTCCAAGGGTGGCCACATTAGCCACCCTGAGGTAATTTGAATGTGAAAAGGACAGAATTTAAATTACTCTGCCTCATTTACAGTTGTCCTTGCTGGAGGAGAGAAGAAAGAGCCTTGGGAGAAATTTCAGGTGATGGTTAATAGCAGCTTCCAAGAAAATGCACGCCCTGAAGCCATTTCATGGGCCAGTAAAAAGAGCCAAATCTCCCTTTTTGGTGCTTGAACGAATTCCAGAAGACCTGCCTCATGGAATGCCTATTTCTGGACCTCAAGAACCCACCTACTAATGGCTGCAATGAAATGCATTCAAGAGACAGAACACTCCAACTATACCATAAAGTGTCCCTATCCCCTGCTCCCACTCCCTGCAGTCTCAAATAGTGTCACCCTTCAGAATGTCCCCGAGTACATGGTATAACTGCCAAGTGTGAAGTTTCAATCCATCCACCATGTGAGGAGCTTTGCTAGTCCAAGCCACACACCCCAAGCTGAGTCTCCCCTTGGTCCTCAGGACCCTTGATCTTAACATGCAAGTGATAAACATCTTCTAAAATATAAGGGTTTAGCTGTCATTTCTAAGGGCACTAAGCTCCACACACACACACAGGTATGAGGTCATGCCACATCATCTATTCTCCCTCAGGATGGATTCTCAAGGCCAGGCCCTTCCCTGGCCACTTTCGGAACCCAACCCAAAACACAGAGAAGGTAGAAGCAAGACACCTGATGCGGCAGCTGTCAAACGCCGGGGAGCCCGGGAATTGCTGGTAGCATGTGCTCAATAGAGATCCTCCAGCCTCATGTTAATAGAGTTCCATTCAGCAGGTAATGGTCCAGGCCAAGCACGTGCAGGTATACGCATGCCCTCCCCATGCCAATGCCGTTGCTGATGCAGATGCTGATACCTGGGTCCATGGATCAGGCACAGAGTGTTCCACTCACTACCATCCAGCATTGTTAGGCTTCTGTACAGTAGAAACTCAATAAATTTTGGTTAAAAGACTAGAAAAGGAAGTAATTATGTAAAGTGTCTTAGGTCACGATGATTTACTGCATGACACACCATATAGCTTTCTGACATGAAGAACTATTCTACTGCTCCAAGATTCAGCAAATGCCACATTCGTGTCTTACCCTCCCCATAAACACTGGGTCTGATAAATGTGTGGGGGAGGTCAGGGGTAAAGGAGGACATTCTTTGGTCAAATAAGTTTGAAGAATACTGGATTCCACTGAAATAAACAATTTCTATGTTGCAGGCCTTCTCAGAGCCTTTGACATGCTAATGGACATTGTGCATCTTTAAGAAAAAAATAGTACATAACATTCAAGCTTATTGAGTCAAAGAACCTTTATTTTGTAATGGAAGATATTTTAACATCATGAAACATAACTTGGGAAACTTCCAGTTTCAGCATTTCACAAAGCTTTCTAGTTTTCAAAATGTTTCTGTAAATATCAATCTCCTAGAATATCCAGGCCCAATTCCTGCCTCCGCAGTGACACCTGGACAACAGTCAGGAGGCTCTACTTACGTTCACCTGAGAATGCTTGAAAAGATTCCTTAACTGGGAATTATGGAAAACCACCAGAGGAATTACTGTAATGCCTTAATTCTAAGACACATGATCAGCCTGATAAGAAATTGGCAAGAAAAAATAAAAAAAGAAACGGTGAGAGCATCAATCCATGTAGACTAGGTCACCATGGGGTAACAAATAGACCAGCCGAAACCCTAGTAGCTCATACCCACAACAGCTTATTTCTCACGCATGCTAATTATGCACTATAATCAGCCAAGGGCTGTGCTCCACAAACCCTCTTTCTGGGTTTCAGGCTGATGGAGCAGACCACCCAACCACTGGCATCGGCCATGCAAGGGTGCTCTAAAGGATCATGTGCCAACAACTTACTCCAGCTGGAAATTACACACAGCACTCCCATTCACAATTCACCAGGCAGAATCATCCCCTAGGCCTGCCCTGCCGCAAGAGGCCTAGGAGTCAGCCCAGCCGAGTGCCCTGAAGAACTGAGAATCCCACCAACAGCACTGATGATGACCATGGAGGGCTATGCCTGCTGTAGCCCTGTTCATGTGACACGTCCTAATTCAGGGATACTAAGACATAAACAAGAGCCTTAACATTTAAGAAAATGGAATTCAAAAACCTTGCGTAAGTTCTTTTTTTTTTTTTTGAGACAGAGTCTCGCTTTGTTGCCCAGGCTGGAGTGCAGCAGTGCAATCTTGGCTCACTGCAACCTCTGCCTCCTGGGTTCAAGTGATTCTCCTGCTTCAGTCTCTCAAGTAGCTGGGACTACAGGCATGCACCACCACACCCGGCTAACTTTTGTACTTTTAGTAGAGATGAGGTTTCACCATGTTGGCCAGGCTGGTCTTGAACTCTTGACCTCTAGTGATATATCCGCCTAAGCCTCCCAAAGTGCTGGGATTACAGGTGTGAGCCACTGGGCCCAGCCTAAAAATCATGCGTAAGTTCTATTCATGTTTACTGGGCAGTTATTTTTTTGCATAGATATGAATCTATGCAATATGGGCCAAGTATCTATTCATTATACCACAGCTCTGAGTAAATACCCTGCCTTGCCATGGCTGGAATGAACTCCTAGGGCAGAGTCCTGAAGCTCCCACATTGTCCCTGCCATGTTCCCTGACTCTCAAATCCCAGGCTTGCTGCAAAGGAGACAACTGGGTTTCTTCAACATTGGTTCCCTGTCTCTGAACAGAGGCACACAGAACTCCCCAGCCCTTCTGCTGCTTCCAGGGCCTTCTAGGGTGCTGTATCTAAATCTGCAATTGCACAAATCTATGCAATGTGGAAACTCCCCTCCAAACACCCCCTGCCAGGACGTTTGTGCTGCTGTAGCCATAGCAGCAATTACATACAGACCTCTGATTTTAGCAGAGGAAAGCAACATGCCCAAGTGGACACTGAATCAGAGGGCTCCCAGCAGAATGACACTGCTGCAGAAACCAGAGCCACTGTCAACTCCTCAGTCCCAAAGGTGAGTGACCATTCGCATCTGTTCTCCCATCTGATCATCACAGCCATCCCTCAAGGGTGGCTGGGGTGATGTACAATCATTCTGACTTACAGATGAACAAACATCTACCCAGCAAGGAACGAGCTCAAGGTCACTTAGCTAATTTGTGTCTGAGTTCATTGAACATCCAGTGCTTCTGACCTCTCTGCCACTGGCCTTCTGCCAAAGCCCGTGAGGGGCTGGAACTGTGTGAGTTCACTTTGCAAAGATCCTCTGGTCTATGGTTGGGTCCATTCCGGAAACAGGGCGCTAGGCTATGAAGTGGTGGCGGCAGGATGGAGCCAGGCTGGGGGGCCTCTCCCACCACGGGCCATCTTCCTACCCAAAGCATAGCATTGGAATCCCACGGGGGTTGTTTTGAAAGTTGTGTCGTGACACATAAATGTACGCATTCAGTAACAATAATGAATAGAAAACTTCTACAGAGATGAGGAACACTCTCTCACAAGGACATTTATTGGCAGCTCTCTCTCTTTGCCCATAGGACAGATGTTCTGGGAGAAAGGTCCCCACCATGTTCCCAGCCGGCACAGCAGGTGGTGACTTACACCATTCGCCATGCTCCTCCCTCAGCCAACAGTGACCGACCAGAGGAGGCACATGCCCCAGTTTGGGCCACTGATGCATGAGGAGATTCTGCTGGCCTCCAGGAAAAAAACCACTGAACGAGTGAAGCATTGCCTGCTCTGGGCACAGGTGAGGATGCTGCTTTGAGGGCTCCGGCCTCTTTCCAGCCCATATCAGAAGATGAAAAGCAGTGTGCCCTGGAATGCTTTTCATCCAATCACTCTGTGGTAACATCAAACCTTGGGTAGAGGGCCCACAGGTACACATGCAATTCTAGCATGTCCTTCCTGGACTAAACAAAGGAGATATTTGATTCCTTCTTCACAAAACCAGAAAAGGGAGGAAAAAGCTGTCTAAAATACTAGTCAGTTTCTTCCCCTTAACAACGAATCCCACTATATTAAGAAAAATCACTTTAAAAATTAGAATCACATGGCTGGGCACGGTGGCTCATGCCTGTAATCCCAGCACTTTGGGAGGCTGAGGCGGGCAGATCACGAGGTCAGGAGATTGAGACCATCCTGGCTAACACGGTGAAACCCCGTCTCTACTAAAAATACAAAAAAAAAAAAGCCTGGCACAGTGGCGGGCACCTGTAGTCCCAGCAACTCAGGAGGCTGAGGCAGGAGAATGGCGTGAACCTGGGAGGCAGAGCTTGCAGTGAGCTGAGATCGTGCACTCCAGCCTGGGTGACAGAGCGAGACTCCGTCTCAAAAAAAAAAAAATTAGAATCACATGTTAAACATACACTGAGACATTTACTACTTAAAAGAATCCTAGGGTAAATCCTTTGGCAAACAAATTATTAATGCCAGAATTTAATTTATGTATATTAGATTTATAACTGTGTTATGTTTTTCATATGCACTCATGCCTGCGTGTCCCATGGGAAGGGCGTTCTCAGCAAGGGCACTTGAGAGGGGATATGAACCGCAAGAAGGTGTCTGTCATGTGACGGTACATTAAGAAAGGCAAACTAATAAAGAAACCAAATAACCCCAAAACTTGCCTCAATTCACTTAATTCACAATTACAACAAAATTTCAGAATTACATGTTCAGAACCCAAATAAGCAGAAAATAATGAAGTGATGCAGCTCTTGGGCACGCCATCATGCTGAGGCTGTGAACTAGTTTCTGTCTATGAGCACCGTTTCCCTGGGTCCTCTGCTTGATAGGTTTTAAAGGTCCAAATATTTCAACCGGGTGGCTCCCATTGCTGTCCATGCTTTTCATCCAATTTAAGTCAGTTATTCACATCCAGTTTCTCCTGTTTGTATTACACCACCCTAGATCATTTGCCCCCCCCCATCACTCATGGCTTATCAGTGAGATCTTGCTGAAAGTCTAGAGAAGCATCCTGTGGTCAGGACTGATTAAAAATAACTCCATTCTAAGGAAGGAGATGCCCTTCTGCAATCGAGAAATCAAACACCAGGAGATTAGGTGCCTTTTAGTGACATTTTTCTGTTTTGTTGTGCTCCATCCAGAAATTCAATATAATTTATGGACTAGAATGAATTCTATAGAATAAGTATCTCTCCTTTGGGTCTTTCCTTTGCTGATCTTTGAAAAACCCAAGGCTTTTGTTCTCCTGTGGGCTCCGAAAGTCAGGACATGTTGGCAATTTCTGAAAGCATGGATTGACTCTACATGGGAACCTAAGCTTCCTGGGTTTTTGGTAAGTCCTGCCCACAACTAAGGTGATGTCCTGTGTCACCTCTCAGGCCAAGGGCCAGCAGAGCCTGAAATCCAGCCACCACCCATGCCCTTGGCCTGGGCTGCAAAGGGGCAGCACCTTATTCATACCAACCTGCTGCCCACCTGCCTTTCTCCAAGTTGTACACAGAGGCACTGCTGCAGCTTAATGGTATGTGTCCTTCCAACATTCGTAGATAGAACTTAAGCCTCAAGGTGGTGGTATTAAAAGCTGAGGCCTCTGTGGGTGATTAAGTCATGAGGGCCTCCCACTCCTGAGTGGGATTCATGCCCTTAGAAGAGAGCCGTCAGAGAGCTGCTCCCTCTTCCATCTCTTCTGCCATGTGAGGATGTCACGTTCATCCCGTTTGCCCTTCTATCTCCCCCCAACTGAGGAAACAGCAACAAGGCACCATCTATGGAGCAGAGAGCAAGGGTGCATCAGACAATGAATATGCCAGTGCCTTGAAACTGGACTTCTCGGACTCCCAAACTGTGAGAAATACATTTCTATTATTTATAATTACCCAGTCTAAGTGATTTTGTTATAGCAGTGAGGATGGACTAGGCAGGTACCACATATGCTAGCAACAGCCTTGATGCCAAACATTTTAACACAGTCCTTCCAAGTCTCTAACTGTATCTTTAAAAAATAAAAGGACAGGAACAAAGAGGTACAGAGAAAAGATGATGTTCATTGCATCTCTCTTTATAGGGAGAAAAAAATAGAAACCACTAACATTTTCAACAAAAGGGTATAATGGTAGTCACAGGTGTTACTAACCAAGTGTGTCTGGCTTCCCTGCTTCCAGGTGAAGGGAGACAGCGGCCTCCCTGTCTTTGAGGGGTGAGACCATGGGCCTGGCTTTGACTGATAAAGAGTGGGCAGAGAGGTGATGTGCCTCTTCCAGGTGGAAGCCTGAGAGCCACGGCCTGACCTCCCACACTCCTATCTCCATCAGCCACTGTGCAGTGGCTGCTCTTTGGACCTGCAGTGTGACAGCCCCTGCTGACTGGGGATGGACAACGGATGGTAGTAAGACATAAGCTTTTCTAAACCACGGAGATTCTGAAGCTGTTTATTACTGAAGCATTACAGAACTCATGGTGATTGATACAGAAATGAGCATCTGCTAGTGGTCTGCTGCTGTAAAAAATTTAAAAATAATTTATGTAGTCCTGGTATCATGGGATGGGTGGAGAGTTTGGTAAAACTACTTCCTACAAGCATCTTTCAGGGCAGGTCCTCTACTTGATGAGAATAAGTGGAGGACAAAAGGTCAGTCCTGTGGGACAGAGGGACACTGACGGCTGGGTTTGGCAAGGTGATACAAGAAAGAGATGAGCTCAGAAAAGAACTGGCCAGTTTGTAAGCAGAAATGAATGGAGTGGTCCATGCATGTAGAGATTTATCAGGCTGGAAGATGAAACAGCTTCTCTTCTCCAAATAATAAGAGATTAAGGATGGACTCTGAGCTAGAAAACCACATTTTAAAAGCAAGGAGCTAATGAAGGGCAGAACCCTTGAATTGCTGTTATAAATCACAAATGGAATAAAGGCCCAGTAATTTCTTTTTGTTGGATAAATGGCTTAGGGGGAAAAGTATAACCTAAAAACTAAGAATATGACACTTTTGGGGAAGCCTGATGAGCTCAAGAAGGCTGCAAATAAGTTGGGTGCTAGAGAGAGGAAAGTAAGCATGCTTTCTGCAACTCTTCTGTAAGTCTAAAATTATCTAAAAACCAAAAAGTAAAAAAATGTAGACCTGCATTTATTAATGCACATGGATGTTTAGTAAATATTCAGAGAGAAAAGAATATGACTAGTGTGATCTATATATTTGTAGAGCTAAATAAATAAAATCTGGAAGGACAGATACCAGTATTGGTTGTTTGGGAATATGGAATTTTGAAATTCCAATGTATTTTATTTTGTCTATCTGTGTAGTCTGTTTTTTTCTAACGTAATCATATGTGTATAATTCAAAACCACTTCATTTTTATACAAACATATATGCTTATATACTTACATATACATACTTATATATTATACAGGTAACATAAACTAAATATACTACATTATATATAACATATAAGTAACATGTAACAAGTCGTTATATATTATGTCATATATAATGTATCAGTATATATGTTATTTTTATACGTAATATCAAATATATTCGATATATGTAATTATCAAAATTATAATGACAGTATTTATGGTTTTGTGATTATGGAGTAGGTATACAGGCATTTTAAATATCTAGTCCCTCACCTCCACACTGTGAAATGGTTATCATTCACATGGCAACTAAGAAGTTGAATACAACTCACATGCTGAGTGTCAGATGCAAAGGCTGATTAAAGAAAGTCCACTCCTGCCCCACTCCATCCTTAAACATTCTTATTATTTGCTTCTGCTGGCAACCACTTAATACTTCATATCACAGGAAGCAACAATGGAAAGCTAATAATAGCAAAACACAGAAATCAGTAAATTATCTTGCAAGCAGGCAATGGAGCATATAAATTACTACTGAAAAGTAACTGAGACTGTCTATAAGATGACTTCAAGTCTATACATTTAAAAATATAAGGTATAGATGTATCCCACTTAAACAATCACCCACACACCATTTGCCTTCAAAGTTTCAAGTAATAAAGTCAGAGTTAAATCCCGTTTTATCCTGGCACTTCTCTTCAGGTTCCTTTAGGTTGAGATCATCACTTGACTATTTTTTGAGCTATATTTTCTACGAGATATCGCACGATTCTTCCCCATGTAAACTGACACTGATGCAATCGTTATGGTCAACATATACAGTGTGTCAGGCACAGTACTAAATGCTTCCCATGCATTTATTTATTTTAATCCTAGTAACAAGACACTATTGCTATCCTCATGCATGGATACCTATTGCTCTCTCTGCCTGCCTGCTTCATAGAAAACTGGCCCCACCATTTTCTGGTAGCTGTGCTCTTATAACAGGTCCCAACACTGGATCCAGTGGTTGGCTGCCCACAAGCTAGACCAGAGTACTTCTCCAGGAATTTGAAATCAGGGCTGAAAGATTCTTTTTATTTTTTCAATTTGTAAATTTTCATTTTTTGACCAGCTTTATTAAGATATAATTCACTTACCATAGAATTCACCCATTTAATGTGCACAGTTCAATGGTTTTTAGTATATTCACAGAGTTGTGCAACCATCGGCACAATCTAATTCTAGAGCATTTTCATCACCCTGAAAGAAACCCTGCACCCACCAGCCGTCACTTACCATTCCCTCCGAGGCCCCCAGCCCTAGGCAACCACGAGACTACTTTCTGTCTCTATTGGTTTGCCTATTCTGGGCATTATATAAATGCAATCATATAATATGGGGTCTTTTGTGACTGGCTCCTTTTGCGTAACATATTTTCCAGGGTCAATCGTTGTGGCATAAATCAGTTTTTCATTTCTTTTTTTTTTTTTTTTTTTTTTGAGACGGAGTCTTGCTCTGTCACCAGGCTGGAGTGCAGTGGCGCAATCTCAGCTCACTGCAACCTCCACCTCCCGGGTTCAAGCGATTCTCCTGCTTCAGCCTCCCGAGTAGCTGGGACTACAGGCGTGTGCCACCACGCCCAGGTACCTTTTTTTTTTTTTTTTTTTTTTAGTAGAGATGCGGTTTCACCATGTTGGCCATGATGGTCTCAATCTCCTGACCTCATGATCTGTCTGCCTCGGCCTCCCAAAGTGCTGAGATTACAGGCGTGAGCCACTGAGCCCAGCCCAGTTTTTCATTTCTTTATGTTGCTGAATAATAACACAATATACAATATGCCATTGTATATTACATTTTATTTAACCATTCATCAGTTGATGGGCCTTGGATTGGTTCTAGTTTTGGTTATTATAAATAATGATAATAAACACTCATGTACAAGTTTTTGTGTGAACATGTTTTCATTTCTCTTCCCTAGAAGTGGAATTACTGGGTCATATGGAAATTCTATGTTTAATTTTTTGAGCAACTACCAAACTATTTCTCAAAGAGCTGTATCATTTTATATTCCCACCAGAAACATACATATGATAGTTCCAATTTCTCTACCTCCTTGTCAACACTTGTCTGTGTTTTTGATTCTACACATCCTAGTGGATGTAAAGTGCTGTCTCATTCTGCTTTTGGTTTTTGTGTTGTAATGACTGATGATGTTGACTATCCTTTCATGTGTTTACTGGCCATTTGTATATCAACTTTGGAGAAAGGTCTGGTCAAGTGTCTTTTCTATTCGTTATTGAGCTGTCTTTTTATTATTGGGTTCTAAGAGTTCTTTATATATTCTGGATATGAGTTCCTTATCAGACATGATTTACAAATATTTTCTCCCATTCTATGGACTGTCTTTTTGCTTCCTTAAAGGTAGTATTTGCAGCATAGAAGTTTTTACTTTTGATGTGATCTAATATATTTATTTCTTCTCTTGTTCCTGGTCTTTTGGTATCGTACAGTGGTAGCTCTCTGAAGTGAGGCAGCTACTGGTGGTCATCTGCTCCCATGTGTATGAGGAACTCAGTAGGGAGACAGAAAATGGCATAGTGAGAAACGGAGCCATGTAGGCAGACACAGGCATGGGCTTCCCAAAGCGCTGCTCTCTGGGGGCAGGCATACCCTAGACCCAGCTGCACCTGACTGGGAACCCTTGGGCATCACGGACCCCGCACCCTAGCTCCCTCCAGTTTCTGTTATTTATTAGGAAACAGACAAAGAAGCAACAAAGAAAACAAGAAATTCGACCAGCGTACCTAGTTTACAGATGAGAAAACAGGTTCCAAGAAGGTCCAGTCAACAAAGCAGGTGCTGTGGAGGGACTGTGATTCCCCAGCCTGCACCCCCAGCCTGGCCACCCTGCCTCTTTGTGGGCAGAGAAGAAACATCACAAATAACCAGACAAGCTTCTCTTCACTTGCAAAGAGATTCACAGAAAACTTTCTTTAAATAGCACACTGCAAGTGTCAGTTGCCGGGACTTTCTTACATAAGAGAGATCAGCAATTGTAGAGCCTGAAGAGACTTCATCTCTAATCCAGGCAGACCCCTCAGGACCAAGAGGGCAAATCACTTGGGAAATGCACTGTAACACACATTTCTGGAAATATCTTTGTATAGACTTGACCTCAAAGTGGAGGGGAAGGCTGCGTACCCTAACGGAGGACTCTAAGATCTCCATAGACAATAACTACTTAAAAAGACACTCTTAATTTTATAAATTCTCAGAATAAAACCTACAAGACGTATGGTTCCATGTAAAAACTACAGAGAGTAAAATGGGGCAAAAAAAATTTGGCCTGTGGGGCATGCATTTCAAGGGGTTGGAGAACAATGTTCAAAGGATGTTCCAGCTACATGCTGAAAACTTTGTCAGCCTCTCTGCAGCCTGTGTTTCAAAGACAAAAAATACCATACACATAAAGCTCTGCTCCTCGATGTCTCCCCAGGACACCTCTTTCGCACACAAAGCCGGTGCTGTGGAGGGACTGTGATTCAAACTCAGGCCTGCACCCCCAGCAGAAATCGAGAAATTCACCAGGCAGGTAGGAGCATCAGCGACCTCCCACCAATCTTATTAAGCTGGGCTTCGAGGGAGGAGGATGAGTGTCTTTGCTCCATCCCCAGGGGTGTGGCCTTAAGAGGGAGCATTCCACATGTTAGCCAGTAAATCACAGCTGCTTAAACAAAATAGCTAACTTATGTATTTGATTGTCAAAATGCAGACTCCCACACCAAGCAATCTCTGCCAACAAAGAGGATACATTTATTTTAAAAGAGCTAAAATTACTCATTATCCTGTTTTTGAGAGTCGCCATATCTGTTACATAAATATCCTTACAGCAAAGAATAGGTAAGCGTAAAGTTAGCAAAATCATTACACTCAAGGTTTTCAAAGGACACGCCTCCTGAACCTACCTGACGTAAAATATCTCAAATTATTTTCTTCTCAAGCAAATATAGACAAGGATCTTGGCTGTGAACTTCATTTCTCTGATTGCACGTGTACCTTAGAACCTAAAACTCAGAAGAGAAATTCATGTGGTTCACAGGAGGACGCCAGAATATCAAACTAGAACTGCCTGGTCACGAGCCCTCAGCAGCAGCCTAAATCCCATGCTGGAAAATTTGGATTTCATTGTGTTTCCAAAAGGAGGTCTACTTCAACAATGTCAAACTTAAAAATAAGAAACAGTTCATGGCATAAACTGTCATATGTCATTAACCTGACACCCTGAAAGAATCCATTCATTCATGGGTTATTTCATTCATAATGCATCTTTATACATTCATTGAACATCTTCCAGACAATCTTACAGGCTGGTTAGGTAGGCAAAAAGACGAAGACACAGTCCAAGGCATGAAGAGCATAGTAGGGGCAGCACTAGCCACTAGGCAGATCACCTGTTAGAGCACCAGCAAAGCAGGGACACTGAACCAAGGCCTTTGTTCAGTTTCTGGAACAGACTCCTTCATGCTCAGGACACTGAAGCCTGCTCCTTATGCCAGGCTGGCTCCAGCTCAGCATCTGGGTCTTATCCAAGCACTCCTCAGAGAGGCCTTCCTGAGCCACATCTCACCCCCGACCCTCCATCACTTCACCTGTTTTATTACCATAGCAACACCTGCCGCTTTGCAAGGATGCTCCATGCATGAATGCCAGCTCACCAGGTATCCTCCATGCCCACAACACACTGAGCATTCGGCAAGTCATATTTTTCACTACAAAGATAATGAAAGGAAAGGAAAGACAAGACAGCCAAACAGAAAGAGCTGCTAAATTTCAGAGAAATGCCTCTTTACTGTAAGAAATGTCTTCCTAAATGATTGTTCTAAAGATAACAAAAACATTATGAAAAGTCTTGAAGTTATCACCCTCATTTTTTAAAATAGCCTCTTCGACATAGTGATCGTCAACTGTTTTGCTAAGAAAGATGAAGCCATTAGATATTCACACATCCGCTCCCTTCACCCAGCCAAAGACTCTCCTAAGTTATAATACTATTTGCAAGGTTTACATCATTTACATCACATACTTTCACTGTAATTCATGCAGATGGCCTGTCTTATTTTTATGTTTATACATATCCAAGGTTTGCCACCCATTTATACTAAGCTCTGTACTTTTATTCACTTCTATTTTGGCTGGATTTTGATATTCAATAGTTTTATTCAAAACCCTTATTCAAAAGAGCTCATAGCAGCTAAGCTCTCTGATTTATGGCAGGCTTGAAAAAAATCTATTATCTTTGTCTTTATACTTGGGACAATTTGGCTAAATAGGAAATCACTGAGGGCCCCATTGTTCCACTCAGAATTTCTCAGAAACCAGTATCTTTCAGAAAGTGTTGCTTGACAGACGCTGACCCAGTGTGATTCTACCTACCTATGTTCCTAACCTTTTCTGCTTTTGTGCCAGGTAAGAATCACCATGGAAATCGAGAAATTCACCAGGATGTCAGTCAGTCTTGTTCAGTCTTTTTAATGCTTACTTTATTAGTCCATTTTCACACTGCTGATAAAGACATACCTGAGACTGCGCAATTTACAAAAGAAAGAGGTTTAATTGGACTTGCAGTTCCATGTGGCTGGGGAAGCCCCATTATCATGGCAGAAGGCAAAGAGGAGCAAGTCACATCTTACATGGATGGAAGCAGGCAAGGAAAGAATAAGAAAGATGCAAAAGTGGAAACCCCTGATAAAACCATCAGATCTTATAAGACTTATTCACTACCATGAGAACAGTATGGGGGAAACTGCCCCCAGGATTCAGTTATCTCCCACTGGGTCCCTCCCACAACATGTAGGAATTCTGGGAGTACAATTCAAGATGAGATTTGGGTGGGGACACAGAGCCAAACCATATCATTCCACCCCTGGGCCCTGCCAAATCTCATATCCTCACATTTCAAAACCAATCATGCCTTCCCAACAGTCCCCCAAAGTCTTAACTCATTTCAGCATTAACTCAAAAGTCCACAATCCAAAGTCTCATCTGAAACAAGCCAAGTCCCTTCCACCTATTAGCCTGTAAAATCAAAAGCAAGCTACTTATTTCCTAGATACAATGGGGGTACAGACATTGGGTAAATACTACTGTTCCAAAGGTGAGACATTGGCCAAAACAAAGGGGCTACAGGCCCCATGCGAGTCCAAAATCCATTGGGGCAGTCAAATCTTAAAGCTCCAAAATGATCTCCTTTGACTCCATGTCTCAAATCCAGGTTATGATGATGCTAGAGGGGGGTTCCCATGGTCTTGGGCAGCTCCGCCCCTGTGGCTTTGCAGGGTACAGCCTCCCTCCCAGCTGCTTTTTGGGCTGGCATTTGGTGTCTGTGGCTTCTCCAGGCCCATAGTACAAGCTGTCAGTGGATCTACCATTCTGGGGTCTGGAAGATGGTGGCTCTCTTCTCACAGCTCCACTAGGCAGTGCCCCAGTAAGGACTCTGTGTGGGGCTCCGACCCCACATTTCCCTATGCACTGCCCTAGCAGAAGTTCTCCATGACAGCCCTGCCCCTGCAGCAAACTTCTGTCTGGGCATCCAGGCATTTCCATACATCTTTTGAAATCTAGGTGGAGGTTCTCAAACCTCAATTAATAATTTCTGTGTACCCACAGACTCAGCACCACATGGATATTGCCAAAGCTTGGGGCTTGCACCATCTGAAGCCACAGCAGAGCTCTGCGTTGGCCCCTTTCAACCATGGCTGGAGCAGCTGGGACACAGGGCACCAAGTCGCTAGGCTGGACACAGCTTGGGCACCCTGGGCCCAGCCCACGAAACCACTTTTTTTCCCTTGGCCTCCAGGCCTGTGATAGGAGGGGCTGATGTGAAGACATCTGACATGCCCTGGAAACATTTTCCCCATTGTCTTGGGGATTAACATTTGGTTCCTCATTACTTATGCAAATTTCTGCAGCTGGCTTGAATTTCTCCTAGGAAAATAGGATTTTCTTTTCTATCACACTGTCAGGCTGCAAATTTTTCAAACTTTTAAGCTGTTTCCCTTTTAAAACTGAATGCTTTTAACAGCATCTAATTCACCGCTTGAATGCTTTGCTGCTTAGAAACTTCTTCCACCAAGTACCCTAAATCATCTCTCTCAAATTCAAGGTTCCACAGATCTCTAGGGCTGGGGCAAAATGCTGCTGGTCTCTACGCTAAAACATAACAAGTCATCTTTGCTTCAGTTCTCAACAAGTTCCTTATCTCCATCTGAGACAACCTCAGCCTGGACCTTATTGTCCATATCACTATCAGCGTTTTGGGCAAAGCCATTCAACAAGTCTCTAGGAGGTTCCAAACTTCCCCACATTTTCCTGTCTTCTTCGGAGCCCTCCAAACTGTTCCAACCCCTGCCTGTTACCCAGTTCCAAAGTTGCTTTCACATTTTCACGTATCTTTTCAGCAACATCCCACTCTACTGGTACCAATTTACTGTATTAGTCCGTTTTCACACTGCTGATAAAGACATAACTGAGACTGGGCAGTTTACAAAAGAAAGAAGTTTAATGTGACTTACAGTTCCATGTGGCTGGGGAAGCCTCACAATCATGGCAGAAGGCAGGGAGGAGCAAGTCTGGTCTTACATGGATGGCAGGAGGCAAAGAGAGAATGACGAAGACGCAAAAGCAGAAACCCTGGATAAACCCATCAGATTTTGTGAGACGTATTCACTACCATGTGAACAGTATGAGGGAAACCACCCCATGATTCAATTATCTCCCACCAGGTCCCTCCCACAACACGTGGGAATTATGGGAGTATGATTCAAGATGAGATTTGGGTGGGGACACAGAGCTAAACTGTATCATTTACCAAAATGCAATTGTTCCTTTTGAATGACAGAGCCAAGTCTGGCCTGTATATTTACACAGTTTTCTTTTTATTGTATACTTTAATGTTCTCCTTCTTTTCTAAAACTCTTTGTTAGAAAATCAGGCCAGGTATGACGGCTCATGCCTGTAATCCCAGCACTTTGGGAGGCTGAGATGGGTGGATCACTTGAGGCGAGGAGTTTGGGACCAGCCTGGCCAACGTGGTAAAATCCTGTCTCTACTAAAAATACAAAAATTGGCTGGGCATGGTGGGGTAAATCTATAATCCCAGCTACTCAGGAGACTGTGGCAGGAGAATTGCTTGAACTTGGAGGGGGCGGGGGTTAGAGGTTGCAGTGAGCCGAGGTCACACCACTGCACTCCAGCCTGGGTGACAGAACAAGATTCCATCTCAAAAAAAAAACCACATAAAATCAAATTATGGTGAGGCTTTGTTCCTTTTGTGTGGTCCTATCCTGTCCATGGTGTTTGCATTGTCAAGGAGGCTTCCTATTTTGTGGCTTCCTGGTTAATCTCTGTGATGGCATCATTTTGGTTTTTTCTTTTCCACTTTCCATCCTGAATTCTGTCAGCTTGGGCCCTACTTTCCTCCATCTCACTCGCTCCTCTGAGTCTTCCTCCTATGCTTAAATTCTGCTTTAGAGATCAGCAGTTTCTTTTTGAGTATGGAAATTTATTTTTTTGAACTCTTGAGCTGGTCACTGAATCATTCAATTCTTCCTCAGACATTTGCTTATGTCTTTTTTTTTACATTTTTGTTAGTATTTTCTTTTTTAATTTTTAAAAACTTTTAATGGACACATAACTGTGTTTATTTCTGGAGTGCAATGTAATGTTTCAATAGATGTTTACATCGTGTAATGTTTAAATTGGGTAATTAGCATACGCATCAAACATTTACCATTTCTTTGTGGTGGGAACACACAAGATCCTCTCTTCTCATAGTATATTGTACAGTAGGATAACTATAGTCAATGACAAGTAATTATACAAACTCTTTCTTTTTTATGTTCAGGTTTTTCTGCATGCTTGTTCTTTTGCAGGCCTTAGTCATCTTTGAGATCAGCTACTCATGGAAGGACAGTATGGAGAAAACGGGTGAAGTAAGGTGAGAGAGTGTATGGTTCTGATTCAAATTTGCCTGGAATATTTTATCACCAATCTGTACTTTTTTCTGTCCTGGGAACCCATCTCCCTGAGCTTTTGGCCTTCAAGGGTAGCACTGGCTAATACAAAGCATTTATTGTCCCTGTCCTCTGGGCAGGGATGTGTCACAGCTGCCTCCCGCATCTCCCTCTCCCGCTTTACCCCAGGCAGGTCCCTAAGCCAGGGGCCAGAAGATGTACACTATGACTGGAGGAGGGCATGGTCCCTTCTTCATTGCTGTGCCTCTGAGTGTCCATGCATTGAACTGGCTCTATCCAAGCAGAGAAAAGTGCTCATGCTCATTTCCTTTTGCATTTGATGCCCCTGGTCCATTGTACATGCTCCATAAACATCTGTTAAATGAGTACATGATCATGTCAACTAATGAAGCAGATAAAACCAAAGAGACCAACAGAAAGGTGAACACAGGCAGCAGGCAAAGCAAACTATGGGGCAGTAGCGGAAGCGCCCACAGGTCAAGACTAGAGACATGAAGACACCCTCCCTCTCCTTGGAGGACAGGGGTGGCACTAGACCTGGGACAGGGTCTGCTTAGGCACTGTATTATTTTCTGTGGCTCCAACAAATTCTCTGACTCAAGCGTGGCCTGGCACCATCAACATGGTAAGGAACAGGTTCCAGACAGGGAGGCCTCCCACATTTGATCTTTCATCCATGCTGGTTTTGTTCTGGAAGTCACACCCTGTGAAGATGAAAGAAGGCTTCTGCCATCTTTCGTCTTGGTTCCATGGGCTTCTGCCCACTACTGGGTGAAAGCTCCAGGAAGTGGAGACCATCTTGGCATGATATGAGGATACTAGACATTGGGTTGTTCCAATAAAGATGTCAAACATTCCCAACCTTCACCATGTGCAGATACCTGTAATGCGAGGCAAGTAAATGCATGGACACTGCAGAGCCTGTCTGTGTGGACCAATGCCCACCAGCCTCAGGGTGGCCATTCCCTCTTGGGGACCTCCCCCTTTCAGTTCTGAAGAAAGATCCTATCTCCAACACAACCCAGGGAGACAGAAAACATCCAAAATGATTCTGGCACAGGCTGTGTGGAATGGGAGCTCAGAATCTAAGCAGACTCACAGAGAAGGAAAAGGCTGTTCCTTACACCTGAGTCTTTTACCTGAGACCCAGACACACTTAACCTAAGAGTTGGAAACACTTCCAAACAAGCCTCAAAGCCACTGCTCAGGGCTCAAAGTGAACACGACAATCTCTGCTGCCGTGGTAGCCTCTTCTTGCCCTTCTCTTCGTCTTTCTCATGCCCACCTGTTCCTTGTCTGGGGCATTCACCCTTCCTCTGGGTTAAGGGACTTTGGGGCATTCCAAACATACCTCAAGAGGCATGAGGCTGGTGGCTGTACAGTCTCATCACCACCATCTGCTGCTTGCTCGAGTCCAAGCATCTGTGTCCCACAGTTCCTGTTTCTTGTTCAAACTTGCCCAGGTTTATGCCTTAAATCAAAACCTTCAAGAAGGCAACAGCTGGCTCTTTAAGTCTGTAAACACTCTTAGTCAATGATTTTAAACGTTCTGTTCATCAATGCCAAATCAATACCAAATCAATGAAGTGAGACCTCATATCTGAGTCAGACACAAAAAATGGAAATGAAACATCTGTCCTTCCCTCTGAATATCTGCAATACCAATGGAGAGAGAAAGGTCAAGACAGCATTTCAGGATGTTACAATGTTTTAGGTCCTACAAAGTGCTTTCACATGCCTGAATGGATCTGTGTCTGACAATGACCTTGAGGGGTACTGTCTTCATTTTACATATGACAGAAGTGAGGCTCAGACTGGTCAATTTTGAAAGATTAGAGAATGCTGCAAAATAAAATGGCCAAGGTCAACACTGGAACTAAGCAATTGGAGCTACATCTTTTTTCTCTGCTACAGAATGAAAGATCTTAATTAAAATTGTTTCACCCTGTTGTTCCTGAACTGACCTCCCACTTATACCACAATGATGTGGTGATAGTACACAAAGATGTGAGCTCAGTTTCCAGAATCCAGTACGAAGAGACACATTTACTGAAGATGTCCTATGTGTATGCTGTGCCTGATGTCATTGTCAGAATTTTCTTAGTCATCACCATCACTCAGTGACATCGTTGCCATGTTATGCACAAGGAAAGTGAGTGTGAGCCAACAGGTTAATATTACAAACTCAATCACATTGGAGCACAGCTGAGAACATGGGATAGAAGTTTGGGATGTTAGTACAAGGGCATGGTAATCAAGGCAGTGTGGTAATAGCAGGACCAACAATGGAACAGAATAAAGGGCCCAGAAATAGACCCTCACTTACATGACCATTTGATTTTTGACAAAGGCACCACTATAATTCGTCATGGATAGGATGGTCTTTTCAACAAATGATGCTGAAAAATTTGGGTATCCACATAGAAAAAAGAAACTTCAATCCCTACCTCACACTATACACAAAAATTAGAGATGAATCACAATGCTCAATGTAAAAGCTAAACTATAAAGCTTTAATAAAGAAAACAGAATATCTTCATGCCTTAGCATAGGCAAAAGTTTCTTAGGACACAGAAACAACAACCACAAATAAAAAAATAATAAATCAGACTTCGTAAAAATTTTAAAATTTTACTTCCCCAAAAAACTAGCTGCAAGTCAACAAGTACAACAAACCTAGTAAAAATCAGTAAAAGAGATGAATAGGTAGTTCGCAAATGAAGAGTATGTGAATGATCAATCAATGTCTTCAGCATCGTCAGATAACAGGGAAATGCAAATGAGAACTGCGATGAAACCCACTACTCACCCACGCCAATGCCCTAAGAAAGCAGGCTGCCAGTGCCAAATGCTGGTGAGGACGCCCAGTGCCCAGAACCCTCAGACCTTGTGGGCAGGAGAAGAAAACAGTTTTGTAAACTTCTCTGTGACCCGATACCATTCCTAGGCATTAACCCAAGAGAAACTAAAGAATCCGTTCACAGAAAGCCTTGTACAAGAACGTTCACAGTAGCCTTATTCCAACAAGCTCCAAACTGGGAAGAGCCCAGGATTCTAGCCACAGGAAAGTAGCCAAGCAACCCCTGGCACGGTGAGGCAATGGAATGCAGACAGTGACGAAAAGGAGCAGGACACTGATAAAGCAGCGGCACAGATGGATCACAGGGGCATTCCGCCGAGCAATGACTGCCCATTGTGGATCCCTTTCATGTGAAGTTCTAGAATAGGCAAAATTAATCTGTGATGGAGAAATCAGACAGGTTGCCTGGCGGAAGGGCTGGGGCAGGGCATGAGGGAGATTTCTGGTATGATGTGAATGTGAGTGTTCTGTATCTTGATATGGACTTGGATTACACAGGTGTATGGATTTGTCACGGCTCATCTCATTTGTGCATTTCATTTTACCTCAAAAGAAAAAGAAAAAGTTGGGCTGGTAGGTTGAGAACCTGGGCCAGTGTTGCAGGGAGCCCTTACCTCCAAGCTTGACCCAGAGGTATCTCAGGCATCCTGCCTCCTCCGCTGGGGCTCTCTTGGCCAAACCTATGTCAGATGATGGGGAGCCAGAGAAAACCTACAGGGGTTCTTGGCATGGCAACCTGAAAGGGAACCTCATGTGCTCAAGAGTGTCATGTGACAGGGAGAGCACAGGCCCATCACAACACTACATCACAATACAGAAACATTTACACGGGCACAGGAAGGAATGAGTGGTCTTTCCATCTCCAGACAGACACAAATCATTGATACTTTAAAAAAAAATAGTGGTATATTACACATAACATAAAATTTACCATCTGCAACATTTTTAAGTGTACACTTCTAAGGCATTAAGTATATTCACACTGTTGTACAACCATCAACAGAACTGTTTTCATCTTGTAAAACGGAAACTCTGTCCCCATTAAACAACAGCTCCACATTACCCCCCTCATCCCTCGTCGCCCACAATTGTACTTTCTGTCTCTATGAATTTGACGACTCTAGGTACCTCATGTAAGTGGAATCATTTAGTATGTGTTTTTTGTGACTGGCTTATTTCACTTAGCATAATGTCCTTGAGGTTCATGCATGTTGTAGCATATGTCAGAATTTGCTTTCTTACAAAGGCTGAATAATATTCCATTGTATGAATATGCCAGATTTTGCTTATCCATTCATAGATTGAGGGTCACTTGGGTTGCTCCCACCTTTTTGCTACTGCTGCTATAAACACGGATGTACAGATTTCTGTCCAAGTCTTCATGTTCAATTCTTTTGGACATACACCCAAAAGTGGGACTGCTGGATCCTACGGTAATTTTATGTTTAATATTTTGGGGAACCACCATTCCTATCAACAGTGAGCAAGGGCTCCAACTTCCCCAATTCCTTACCAGCACTTATTTTCTGTTTTTATTTTTGATAGTGGCCATCCTAATGGGTGTGCAGTGATGTTCTTGATCCTTTTTAAAAGAGGATACAAGCCTATGCTCCTTTCCCAGAGAAAAAATGAAGAGGCCTTTATTTCCAAGATGATTTCCCAGCAGAGGGCTGAGCTCCACAGCTGAGAATTGAGGCAGAGAATGCCCAGGGATGGCAGTGGAGGCTCTTTCTCCTCAAAATGCCCAACTCAAGTGATCTCCCTACACATTTGCCCACGAGGTTTGGCCAATACACATTTGATGCAAGCATGTGTATAATTTCTGGTTATTAGAAACTAAACAGATTTCTTTATGCTCCAATGCAGAAGGTAAGAAGCAGAGAATATTTACCAAATAAACCATTTCCATTTATAAAATCTGTATCCAGGCTTGAGGGCTGCAGAAACATTCTCACGAATGGCAATAGCCTTGCAGCAAGTGGTATTTATTTGCTTCCTATTGCATCAAAATTGTAGGAAAATATCCATTCTGACCACTGAAAGACCAATGCTTAGCAAATATGTATTTATGCAGTTTAACCAATAAAATGTATTTAAGTCAATATAAAAGTGTTGTAGTTACTATTTATTGACACTCTTTTAGAACCAGGCTAGATTTAAATATCTTAGAATTCCAGATATTAGCAGTTATCGAATTCCTCACTTCAGTATTTTGAGTGAATAGATCATTACAAACAAGATTTTAAACTTTCTTGTAAGTGAATTTAGCTGAAAATGGTAGAAATCTGAGAATCCATCATAAACTTGGGAATACTGGGCTCAGTTTTCACAAGCCATAGAGAAGATGGCCCTGGAGGCCCCGCTCTGCTTTTTGGGGGGTCCTCCCCTACTCATCTCTGTGCAGAGCCCACATTCTTCAGAGCCTTTCTAATGAAACAGGGAGGCCGTGGAGGGCCTTCAGTTTAGCTGCTGTAAAGCTTCCTATGATGTTTTTTCTAACTTTACATTAAGGACATCTGTCCTGAAAAGAGTAATATTCTTTAGCTTTTGCTTTGGGCAGAGTCATAATTTGAATGGCCTCAGGTGCCCTAAAACCAGCCAAAAGTGCTAACAAGAGTCACAGGCATTTCCTTCCTCTGGGTTGAAACAAATCAAACAGATAAAAGAATACATTCATAGCAACAAGGTTGGAGTTCACGGTGCAATTCTGCCAACTGCCTGGAACAGAACAAAGCAGAAAGGAACAGAACAGGAAGCTCCAGGGACCAGTGTTGCTGTAAAGAGAGATGGCAGGATGACCGCCAACAGCTCTTTCCCCAGTCAGTCTTCATCTTGCTGGTATATGGTTTTGTTTTGTTTTGTTTTGTCTTTAAATTAATCAATCATGTTTATTTAAAGTTTTCTTAACATTAGACATTTTTAATGGGAGTAAAAATATTAGTGAACATTTTATTTCTTCTCTCCTATTCTAGCCACATAAGCCAGTTTAATGGATGGTACAGATTTCAGATGTAATTTGTAAAATATTCCAGGAGCTGCCTCTTGCTGGATCTGGTGTCTCAAGGTGTTGACAGAGAAGTTCTATTATGTATGTATTCTTTAGGCCAATTGTCGAATCCAAGCACTATACATGACTCAAGACAATGCTTATGATGGTTGACAACTTAAGTAAAGCATGCAATAGATAAACGCTGTGTCTGCTTCTATATCTGACCCAGGAAGTATGTAAAAGTGGTTATCTGCAGTGTATGAACACTACTAATTCAGGCAGCATCCTAAAAGGGTAATTGCAAATAGGACTGAGGTGCAGATGTGTGGATGAGTAAGAATCTTTCTGAATAATTAGATGCTGGCAAGACAAATGAAGTGAGATCACTGTGAAGAGTAAGTGTGAGTGAGCAACGATGGTGCAGGACACAAACTATTATGGGGAGGGGTGTAACACCCCATCCCCCAGCCCAGGGCTAAACATCTTGCCACAAGCACCAGTGGAAAAAATTAAATACATATTACACAAGGTCTGCCAGCCTGTTCATCTGCCAGGAAAAGATGACTGTCTCAGTCTATTGCTACAGATTTTGACGCTCTCCCTGTAACTTATTTTGCTTTTACCTTGGATGAAAGTGAACAAGGTTCAAACACAGAAAAAATATGGAGAAAAGCTAGGTTTACCAGATAAAACAGGATGTCCAATTCATCTTGAACTTCAGATGAACAACGAATATTTTAGTATAACCATGTCCCATGTAATATTTGACTCAAGCATATGTTAAACCATTATTCATTATTCATCTGAAATTCAAATTTAACTAGGCATCCCGTATTATTATCATCTTCCAGCTGGCAACTAAAAGAAGCACAAACTTGTTTGACCTTCCAAAAACCATCTTTCAGCTGGGCACCATAGAGAATGGTGAGGCCATGTGCAGCAAATCCCCACTGATTTTTCACCGCAAATAATAAGTACAAGGCAGCCAGGGTTGGTCTTCATTGACAAGAAATGCAAGTATGCTGTTTTATTCCCTTTCAAAATTATATATTCCACTTTGTTCTCCAAACTGCCCTATTGTTTGGACCTAAATATAGATATTTCACATACGCACACACACATATACACACATACACATACATACAAACACACATACACATATATACCCACATACAAATACATAGGTATATACATGTACACACATATATATACATACACACATACATATATCTGTATACACATACACATGTATGCATACACACATACACATATGTAAACATACACACACAGACACACACACATGGGTTGAGTATCCCTTATCCAAAATGGCAAAATGCTTGGGACAAGAGGTGTCTGGGATTTGGGAATATTTGCAGTATACTTACTAGATGAGGATCCCTAATCTGAAAATCTGAAATCCAAAATACCCCAATGAGCATTTCCTTTGAGTATCATGTCAGCATTCAAAAAGTTTTGGATTTTGGAACATTTCAGATTTCAGATCTTTGGATTAGGGGTGCTCAACCTGTATATACACAAGTTGAGGAGACTAACTCAATATTTAAAGCATATCCCCTGTGATAACACCACCGAGAAACCAAAACTTTTTTTCCGAAACACAGCACTGTTTCATAATTCGCCTCTGATTCAAGACACATTTTCAAGCAAACTCCAAAAGTGATGTTCGGTGGTAACATTTTAAAATGCTCTCTCTAATGCAGAATTGTGGTGCAGAAGTAGTCTTTCACAATTATCCCCAGGGCAGGCCATTTTAGAATCTAAAAAAAGGGTACTTGTATAACTTAATCACTTTTCAGTTCTTCTGAAGTACTCTCCTTTTTTACTCTCTTTGCACTTTTCATGAACTTATATCACTTTAGATTCAGAAGATCTAAACAAAATTTACAGTATGGAATTTAACTCAAAATTCCTTTCTCAGAAATCCTTGCTAAGGATAATATTTTCCCAACTAATTGTATGAGGCTCATTTTAAGATACCAAAGAGAGTACAGAAAGAGTACCAAGATGCCTCATGAAGACAGACACAACAAACCTCCACAAAATATTAGCCACTAGAATCTAGCAATATGTAAAAAGAATTACGTACCATGACCAAGTAGGCTTGATTCCAGGGATGCAAGGCTAGTTTGATATTTTTAAAAATCAAGCCATATAATCCACAATATTAACAGGCTAAATCTAAAAACCACCAGATCATATCAACTGTCTCAGAAAAAGCATTTGGCAGATCCAACATATGTGCATGATATAAAAACACTCAGCAAACTAGAAAAGAACTTTCTCAAACTGATCAAGGCCATCTATAAAAAACAGATAGCTATATCATAATGAATGCACAAAGACTGGATGCTTTTTCCTTATGGTCAGAAAACAGAAAAGAATGTCCATTCTCACCATTGCTATTCCACATAGTACTAGAAGTTCTAGCCCATGCAATAAGGCCCAAGAAGGAAATGAAACACATAATGATTCATAAAGAAGAAATAAAGCTATCGCTATTTACAGATAACATAGTCTACATAGAAAATAATAAGGAATCTACAGAAAATCTTCTAGTACTAGACAAATTCAGCAAGGTCACAAGATACAACATAAACATACAAAATAAATTGTGTTTCTATATACTAGCAATGCCCATATGAAACAAATTAAAACAATATGATTCATGATCACTCAAAATAAAATGCTGGGCCAGGTGCAGTGGCTCACACCTGTAATCTCAGCACTTTGGGAGGCTGAGGTGGGCGGATCATGAGGTCAAGAGTTCGAGACCAGCCTGGCCAACATGGTGAAACCCCATCTCTACTAAAAATACAAAAAAAAAAAAAAAAAAAAAAATTAGCCAGGTGTGGTGGTGTGTGCCTGTAATCCCAGCTACTCAGGAGGCTGAGGCAGGAGAATCGCTTGAACCCAGGAGGCAGAGGTTGCAGTGGGGCAAGATTGTGCCACTGCACTCCAGCCTGGGTGACAGAGCAAGACTCCATCTCAAAAAAAAATAAATAAAATAAAATACAATGTTTAGGTATAAATGGAACAAAACATGTATTGGACTTGTATATTGAAAGTCACAAAGCAATGATGAAAGATATAGAAGAATAAATGAATGGAGAAACATACCATATTCATAGATTAGATGACTCAACATAATAAAGATGTCAATTATTTCCAAATTCTTATCAAAATCCCAGCAAGGTGTTTTTGTAAATATGGACAAGCTTAATCTAAAATATTTATGGAAAGGCAAAGAAGTTGGAATAGCTAAAATAACTTTGAAAAAGAGGAATTAAATGAGACAAATCATTATACCTGATTTTAAGGCTTATTAAGTAACTATAGTAATCAAGACAGTGTAGTATTGGTAGAGGAACAGACACATAGATCAATGGAACAGAATTAAACAACATAAATAGATCCATACAAGTACAGCCAACTGATACCTGACAAAGTAGAAAAAGCAATTCAATGGAAGAATCACCTTTCCAAAAACAGTGCTGGAGCAATTGCACATCCATAAGCAAAAAAGTGAACTTTGATCTAAATATCATGTCTTATAAAAAATAATCAAAAATGGATCACAGCTTTACATAAAATGCAAAACTACAAAAGTTTAGAAGAAATTGTAGGAGAATATGTTTTGTACCTAGCACTACATGAAAAGGTCTTAGATGTGACGCTAGTCACTTTTTTTAAAAGTACGTTAAAAGTAATAAATTGGACTTCAGCAACATTTAAAAACAAACAATAACAACTTTTGGTCTACAAAAATTTATTTAGCAGAGGCTAAAGGTTAGTCATCTCTACCTCAACCACTAGCACTGCCATCATCCAGGGACCAAGCCAGAGACCATGGCCCTATCCTCCACATCACCCTCTACCTCTCCACATTCAATCCACCCAAACCCACAAAGACCAGGTCTCCAAGCCAGGCCTCTCTTCCCATCTGCACCCACTGGTCTAAGCTGCCACATCTCTCTCCAGGAAGCCTGCAGAACCACCACTCCCAACTGATCTCAGGCTACCCCCACTAATAATCTTGAGGACACCCACCACTGCTCACTGATTTTGAAGATGCTACACTATTCCTAACTGATCTCAAAGACCCCCCCCCACTACTCCTAAGTGATCTTGAGGGACCCCCATTACTCCTAAGTGATCCTGAGGGACCCCCATTACTCCTAAGTGATCTTGAGGGGCCCCCACTACTCCTGATTTTGAGGGCCCCCTACTACTAACTCATTTTGAAGGCCCCCTACTAGTCCGAACTCATTTTGAGGGTCCTCCACTACTCCTAACTGATCTTGAACCCCACCTCCTTTATAATCCACTCAACAGTCAGAGAGACCTTTGCCAAATGCATGTTGGGTCATGACTGAGCCCTTTTCCTTTGAGATCCACAAATACCATAACAGATCCGATGGACTGGAGGACCCAGACAGATAGCTGGGTTGGGGTGGGGAGTTCATGACACTGGTGTGCTGCTCTCCCAGCCCCTGCTCCATGGCACTCCATAGGGACAGCTGGTGGGAGAACCAGCAGAGTGGCTGGCCAGGTGAGCCCTGGCCTCAGGGCCAGGTTCCTCTGGCTTGGAGCACCGTTCGAAACACCATGCTGGGGAAAGGGGCACCCTCGTCCTGGCCAGCAGTGGCCCCAGGCTCCAGCAACTGGATTGCTTCCCACAGTGGGCAGGCGCTGGCCTCAATACTGGATGTCACCACTATTCAGTGACAAAGCCACAAGGCAGTGACTACTTTGGGGAACAGGACACATGCTCACATTCCCATTTCTTCTTCTGTTTGCTCGTCAGCAGGATGGTATCCATGGGGCCAGGTAAGCACCTTGAGGGCCCTTGGACCAAATAAAAGAGTGGACTGGCTGTGACCAACAGGATGAGGGCTCACAACAATCTTATTTTAAACTCTAAAGGAAATGTAACCTAATTTGAGGTGGTAAAACAGTAGAGCCAGGCATATCCTGCCAAAGACACACCCCTTGCTGCAGCCTGTCCTGGCATCCACTCAGCACCTGCACAGAAGCACGTGTGAGAGCCCTGCTCTCCTCTTCTATAAACTTCTATGGCTCCATATTCCAGGGACATCCCGGCTCCATTGAACCAAAAAGTGGGTTGAGAAACTAACTTGTGTGTGTGAGGGGATTCGGACAAGCTCTAAGAAGGGTGTCACTGCACCATGGTCAGGTATAAATAAGGGCATCGGTCACCATGTGCAAAGCCTCTTGGGACTAAGTTGGGATATAAACTCTTATATCAAGGCTGGGATTCTTAAAACAACATTAAACATCTTGTAATAACTTCCCTGGGAGATACTGTGGGCACTCACTTAATAGATACAAAATATAAATGATATTTTGGAAGTTGTATTATTTACTTTAAAAAAACTTTTTTTTTGTTTATGTTATTTTGTCTTGCTAGCTCTTTAACTTGACCAGACTCTAACTACACAAAATAAAATCTCTTTTTAAAATAAAAATGACCTACAATGACTAGCAATCCCCATTAAAATTTCAAGACACAGGCAGCAGTTTCTGAAATAATTGTATAGACTATTATAAAATTGAAGCTTAGGCCAGGCATGGTGGCTCACACCTGTAATCTCAGCACCTTGGGAGGCCAAGGTGAGTGGATCACCTGAGGTCAGGAGTTCAAGACCAGCCTGGGCAACATGGTGAAACCCCATCTGTACTAAAAATACAAATAAATAAATAAATAAATAAATTAGCTGGGTATGGTGGCGCACGCCTGTAATCTCAGCTACTCAGGAGGCTGAGGCACGAGAATCATTTGAACCCGGGAGGTGGAGGTTGCACTGAGCTGAGATCGCACCACTGCACTCCAGCCTGGGCAATACAGCAAGACTTCGTCTCAAAAATTAAAAAATAAAAATAAAAATAAAAAATAAAATTGAAGCTTAAAGCTCACTCTCTAAATGATAGTAGTCTATTCTATTAGAATGATGAAAGGTAACATTACACTCTAGAGGTTATCAAGCGTCCTTTAATGTTACATATAGCATGAAGTTAACTGGACTGTTTTTCGGTCTTTTTTTCCCCCTTTAATAGACACTGGTAGTGGTGGAAAACATGCTTTTAAGGTAAATGCTCAGGTTTCAGAAAATACCACACAAGAACAGGAAATATTAAAATGGACAATAATGCCCAAATATTTCTCTTGAGGATTTAGATTTCACATTACTCAATCTAGTACATCCCATTACGAGAGTTTCCTAAAATAACTTTATAGAATTTGCTATCTACCACGGAAAAGGAATAGAATCTACTATCTATCACTATCCATCTACTACTGAGGATACAATCTACTATGTGCCATGGCAAAGGAATACCCAAAGTCACAGGCTTGTCACAGTACCACGCTGGGAGGGCTTCTGACAGACCACAACACCCTGCTGCTGAGGAATGCCGTCACCTGTGCAATGTGGAGAACAGAAAGTTGAACCTCTGCCAAGCAACAGAAGAGCCTGTGGTCTAGGTGGACCTATTAATCATCACTATAAAATAAAGCACCACCTCCAATACATCTGCTTGGTACACAGAGGTGGGGGCTGTGGTGTGGCAGAATTGCCTGGGGTGTGTGGTCAGAAGACTCAGGCTAAGCTCCAGCCCCTTTTTCTTCGTCACAGAGTCCCTTGGCAAGGCACTCAACTTGGACTTCAACCCAGGACCAGAAGATACTGTTGGCCTCAGAGAGAGTGAGAGGTGATTCTGACAGAAGACAGAGCCTGGGTCAAACCATGAACTGCCTCGGAAATGAGGCTGCTGAATGGTGGATGTCCTCAGCGTCCAAGGCACGCTCTGAAACACAGCCCTGACGATGCAGGACACAAGGAAGCCTCGAGGACACATGCAACAAGTGGTCAGTGACAATGTGGTGGCTCTACGCTGCCTCTGCCCCTCTACATAGTCACTTCCCTTACTACCCACCGAGTCAGTGTATCAGGGACAGCATGTGCTCCGCTGGTGGATGACACTGGCTGAGCATAGCAAGAAAAAGTTAATGGAGTTGCACGAACAAACACTGAACTAAAACGTCTTCATTTAAATACAGAATCTGCCTCTGTCAAGACCAGTACTCCTCTCTCAGATTTCTAAGAGTAACTGCTTACTAAAATGCCACTGTATTCCTGCTTGACCCAAAATTAATCCAAAATATACTCCAGGGCAATCAGAAAACTTCATGTACTCTATCTGGAAACCTTATTCTAGCTTCTACCTGCTGGAAAGAGTATTTTTGGAGAGATGGAATATGTCCTATGCTGAAGACCTGCATACCTGCCACCCAGCAATTCCACTCCTAGGTCCACCCAACAGAAATGCATCCAGATGTTTGGCAGAATATGCTTTAGAATGTCTCTCTTCCCATCTCCACCCATGCTCTAGAATGTCCAAAGCCATACTGTTCATAATAGCCCAAACTGGCGACCACCTGCATGCCCATCAACAGTGAATGCTGTATATTTGCACTGCACTGAGAATTAATGAGCTACAACTACACACAAGGCCCTGTATGAATCTCACACACATAATATTGAGTGAAAGGAGCAAAATGGAAAACATGCATCCTGCATGGTCCCACATACATAAAGCACAAAACAGGCAAATCTATGGTGTTAGAAGTGAGAGCAGTGGTGACCCCAGGGGGGTATGAGGGGCTCCTGCAGTGTGGGTGTGTTCTGTGTCCTGATCTAGGTGTGGATTATGAGGTGTGCTCAGTTACTTGGCTGCATTTATTAAGCTGCAAACTTCTGACGTGGCCTTTGTGCATGAGATTCTACTGCCATAAAAAGTGGTGCAGCCAAGGACTAAGGGAAAGAGAGGCTAGCAAGAGGGAGTGCCTCTCATGCCCTGCTCCCAGAACTTGTTTTTTCCCACCAGTTAAGCCAGCAAGAGATCAGATTTTCACAGCCGGAAGTGAAGCTGAATCCCTCTGATGGCTGGTTTCAATGGAGACTGTACTATCTACTCCAGGGAATGGGGGCTGGTGGGGGACAGAGAGGACACTGCACAGGCCAGTAATTAAGGTATGCTATTTAACTATCACAAACGCACTCTGAATTCTGACAAGATTCGTGACTCTCCAAATTTACTGTGACTCACCTGTGATCTCCTCAAAACTGTGACAAAACCCTGACCTACTTAGGGCTGGGAAAGTGCCTGTAAATCACATCGCTGCCTCCCTATTTAAAGCATGTCTCTCATGACTTAAGCCATAGTAGAACAGAAGAAAATCCCAAATCCACTGTTGGGCCCAGAATTCCAAAAGATGGGCTTATATTTGCTACCTGCTCCAAAAACCCCAAATGCCAGTGTGACATGCATCCTAATTAATGCTCTCGGTTCCAGGAAGCCAAGGGCTGAGGGAATGGACGAGAAACTGCTGTGCACAAGCCTCCTAGAAGCACTGCTCCCTTCCTGCACACATCCAGGCTCACACCACTGCTATGCAGACCCTAGTCCCCATCCCACAATAGAAATGAGAAGGAGGACAGCCAGGCCTGGCTGCCCTTGTGCTCTGTCCTCACAGCATATGTGAGGAGTCGGGAAGTCTATCCCACTGGATTGCTTTCCTGAGGTCCAAGGGGCAAAATTCCCTAGGAAGGTGGCCTGGACGCTGGGAACAGTTACCTCCCCAACTTCTGGGGGAATTTCTCTTAGAAGGTTTAGTCTTCCCAGTGACAAGACATTTTTTTTTTCTGATCATAGCATTATAACTCAAGACAATTTTTAAAATATTTTTTCTCCAAAAAAAAAAAAAAAAAACCCCAACCATTAAGCCTTAACACAGTCAGTCTTCTTGAAAACATGTTCTGGCAGTGATCCTTATTTCTTTTGACAGTGATTTTTCCACACCTATGCTACTTTTCCAGCTCTTCCTTTAAAAATGTATCATTTTGAAATGACAATCTGTACAATTTCCATTTAACACAATTACAGCAGCCTTCTAGGCCCTGGCACAGAAGCAAGGCAATGTCCACAGCTTCTGCAAACATCTGTAACAACATCACAGATGAGCCCTTGCTTGGCAGAACCCCTGCTGAGCTGGGTGACAATAAACAAACCCTGGCTGTGTCACAGTCATTGTTTTTGGCCTGTTTTGTTTTTTGTTTCATTTTTTCTGCTACGCCTAACTCAAACTTAACAGGTTAAGGACTAGCAGGGCCACCTGCATCACATAATGATATGATGTCCAGGAGCATATGTCTGTTCCCTGTGGGCAGGTTCCAAGCCCTGCACCAAAGCACTCTTTGATGGTCCCCGATACACTGGAGTCATGTTTACTCCCTGCTAAACCACACGGTTTACATTGTGAGGTTCACGGTTTACACGGTTCGCACTGTGAGGACCACCCAGCCAGGCAGGAGGGCCATGACCTCAGGGGAGCAGGGCCACACCTTCAAGTTTTCCAATCAATCAGACCTCATTAATTCTCTCTGCAAAGCCCATCCAAAGTTCTAAGGACATACTCACTTCGACGGAATATTTGAAAATCAGGGGGAAAGAGTGAACTTTAATCATCTTATCATTTAAAGACACTTTCCACCTTTTCTCTGTGCCTTTTGACCTCTAGCATCCCAGGCACCCACACTGACACAGTACAGGATATGACAGAAAAGAGAATCAAGAATCGCACACTGCGCTGGGTGCGGTGGCTCATGCCTGTAATCCCAGCTCTTTGGGAGGCTGAGGCAGGTGGATCATGAGGTCAGGGGTTCGAGACCAGCCTGACCAGCATAGTGAAACCCCGTCTCTACTAAAAATACAAAAATTAGCCAGGCGCACGCCTGTAATCCCAGCTACTCAGGAGGCTGAGGCAGGAGAATCACTTGAACCCAGGAGGCGGAGGTTGCAGTAAGCCGAGATTGCACCACTGCACTCCAGCCTGGGTGACAGAGTGAGACTCCGTCTCATAAAATAAAATAAAATAAGAATCACACACTGGTTCCATGAGACCCCTTCCTGATGACACTGGAGATGCCTTCTTGTCCTTGGCCTCCTAACAGCCTGCTGTGAAGATACCTGCCTGTGTCTCCTGGTTCCTCATATACAACTCCCAGAACTCCTGATTCCATAGCCAGTAACGTGTCCCTCAAAAGGTGGAGGTTCCTCTACACAGTTCACCTTACTAAGCAGAAAACATCAATTACAAAAGCAAAACCAACACTCCCAACCTTCCGTAAAGGAAAAGACCTGATGCCACATAGGTGGATGGGTCCCACAGGAGGCCACGAGAGGCAATGCCCTGCCAGGAACAGTGCAAATCCTTTCTTCCTGTCACTCAGGGCCCTGCTTACTGCCTCGGGGACCATTCCCAGGACTTGGTGTCCCCATCTGTGAGCTGGAGACATGGCTACCACTGGCAGAGCTCCCATAAGAATTCATGTGGGATACAAGGAAGACCCTGCTACCCCCAGCAAACAGAGAGCCTCCTGTATGAGCTCTTCTCTCCTTCACAGTCGATAGGAGGCACCCTCCATGGTGGGCTCCTGAGAGAGCCCCGAAATAGGCTGCCTTCTTGCCATTCAAACCCCTTCTGGTTCCCATGTTACAGCTGGTTTAAAATAATAATTAAAAAGCAGGATTCTTCAGCATGCCAGCCATCCCTCCTCCCCAGGCACTGGGCATCCTCTCACCTGCGCTAGGCGACATAAACCTGTTTCCCTCATGGCTCTGAACACACCTTGTTCCATGTCCTGTACCTCTCCATCTCAAGGGGAGGAGAATTGAAAAGGCTGCGGAGCCACACTCAGTGCAGATTCTGGCCCCTACTTCTGTCCTGATTCTGCCCCAGGTTTCAAGTAGGTAGGGTGCACACTCGTGCACATCAGAAACCACGCGGGTAAGCCACAGGAGTAGCCAATATTTACATGCACCCACCATCTCTCTCGTCCTCTGTGAAGCTGGCCTCATGCCGGCTCCAACCACACGATGCACCCAGGGCCACAGAGGATCCGGCTCTGGGCAGGGGAATCATGCTCAGCACTTGGCCATGTTTTACAGATCCCCAGCCCCCAACCAGCATGTTGAGGCCCCCTCAGGAAGGGCTGGCCTGGGGACTCTGCGACCTCCCACTGCTCTTCATACTAGGCCCCTCCTAGCACCTCTGCAATGCCATCTTCCACCCTGTACCCTCTACCCACTCTGGCAGACGTGCCAGGACCCAGTGGTATTCTAACCTGGCCTAAGCACTTGCCAGGGAGGGCCTGAGTGAGCATGGAGCACAAAGCGCTTGGAGTGCAACCACAGACAATCCACAGACCCGTTGGGGGTTGGTGGCTCCCCCATGCAGGAGGAGGTCTGGGGACTCTACGGGACACCATGCACAAGAGAGCCCACAGGCCTGGGGTCTGATAAGGAGGATCTCTCAGGATGGCGGCCCCACAGTGTGGGATGCCAGGGACTCAGCTGTTCCAGGGGCTGCCTCCACCTGCTCCTCCCCTGCCCTTGGCTGGCTCTGCCCCTCTGCTGGACAGGCTCTCGGGCTTCAAGCCCCTGCAACTCCACAGCCCTGCTCTGCTCACCTTTGTCCTTCAGACTCTCTCTACCTCCTGTCTTCTGGGACTCTGCTCTTATTTCCAGTTGTCTGATTTCTTCCATATTTCCCAATTCAGATCCCCAAGGAATCCCACTTTCAGATATGATCAACATGACTCTTTCCTGAGCGCTTTCCACCAGATGGGTAAGTTGGCCCACTGGCCAGTCTAGAGCCTGTGGCCCAAACTGTCTTTTTCTTTTTTGGGTAGAGGTTTGTGGAGGAAGGGTATGGGATTACATATAAACTCTTTGGGTATGTTGCCAAGGACTAAGTTAAGAAAGCTGGAAGGAGCACATATTGCAGATATCAGAGTAAAATTGTGAAGGGAGCCCACTGAGAACCCTAAAGAACAGGAAAAAGGGGAGAACTCTGACAATGGAATAAGAACGGGCAGGAACTGGTATGGCTCACTCGTCTCCAATGACCTGCCAGGCTGCACTGGCAAGATTCATCTACTCAACCTGGAGCACCTCCGCAGCAAAGCCATGGTGCCCAGCCCCCGGTGAGCCCCCATCAATATCCAGTTCAACAACCACCGCACATTCAACACAGTGTCACATGGCCACTGAAACCTCGGTTTAAGAAGAATATTTATAACACGGAAAAGGCTCAAGAAATGATGTCCGTGACAAGAAAAACCAAACCAGATAAAACATTTTTTAGCATATATGATTATTTACTTTTTTCGCATATATGATTATTTATGTCTTCTCCAACGAGTAGGTATTTTTCTAAAGAGTACTTGCTACTTTCACGAGTTTAGACAAAAAGTCTGTTGAAAGAATAAGCAGATGACACAATGCCAAGGGCAGCAAGATTTAGGATAGACTAAATTTAGAGATAGAGACAATGAAAAGCCAAGGGTCGCCTTGTTGTTCCCTGCTAGGCAGGGCAGGGAAGGACAGTCCTCCTCCTCTCCCAGGCTATGCCAAGAGGGCAGGGCACCCCGCAGGCCTGCCGTAGCCTGGGCATCCTTGTGAGTGAATGGGCCTGCAAAGGGCTAGCACAGTATGTCAGGGCACACAGAGGGCGTGATGGGGCTGCAGTGGACCCTTTCCATAAATATGTGTCCCAGGTGTAAATACAGTTCATACATGCTGCATGCTTCTGAAACAATTCCACCCATTCCCAACATGCAGGAGGGCAGTGCCTAGAGCCAGGCCACTGTGCACACATGCCTGATACTGAGTTGGTTGTGAGTACATGATAGAAATGAAAAAAGGGTGTGATCATGGTCAAAGAGCAAGACAGCCGCTCTCCTCCACTAAGGACTAGTGATGTTCCTTCTCGTTCCTTTACTACGAGAAGGAGGCTATTTGTAAAGGTCCCAGGTCACAGTGACTTGGTAATACATACTTTACTCCAGGGAAGCAGTAAAATGGCCTCTGACTCCCACATCTACTGGGGTTGGTTACTGCAGGGCTCTGTGGGGGCACTGAAGGCATAAGGGTTTGCAACACAGGGAAGACCTTGCTTTGGAGATCTGAAGAGCTCTGATAATGTCGTGACCATGAAAATCACTATTACCATGGATAAGATTCACAAAGCCATGCGGACCTGTGTCTTAGTCCATTCACGCACTGGTATAAAGAAATACCTGAGACTGGGTAACTTATGAAGAAAAGAGGTTTAATTGACTCACAGTTCCACAGGCTTAACAGGAAGCATGGCTGAGAGGACTCAGGAAACTTACAATCATGCTGAAAGACCAAGGATAAGCAAGCGCGTCTTACCACATTGGAGCAGGAGAGAAAGCAAAGGGGGAAGGAAGTGCCACACATTTTTAAATGATCAGATCTCGTGAGAACCCACTCACTATCATGAGAACAGCAAGAGGGAAGTCTACCCCCATGATCCAGTCACCTCCCAGCAGCCCACACCTTCAACATGTGCAGATTACAGTTCCCACATGAGATTGGGGAGGGGACACAGAGCTAGATCATATCAACCTGCAACTTGCCCTTCAGGAGTGAGGTCCCTAACTGCAGAGTCCCTCGAAGAACACACATTCAGTGAGGCAGGCTCATGGCTTACAGGAGCGGCCTCACTGCCTGCAGGTGCTGAGCAAGGAAAGGCAGGGAAAGGCTTTGGGAAGGGAAACCAAAGGTGTCACACGAGAGGCAGGGGCTAGGGTCTTGAAGAGAAGGCCCTGCTGGGCACGCAGGGAGGGGCAATAGCAAAAACAGGGGTAAGGCAGCCATGACTGCTGTGGGATTGAGATGAGGGGGACGTGCAGACCAGTCTGCCTGGGGAAGCATCAAACCCTGAACTTTAAGTAATGGTTCCCCAGTTGTAGGTAATACTCTAAAAAACTGTGCTTTTTATTTTTAAAAAAAAACAGTTTTCTCTCACTGAGCTTGCAGAATTTAAGAAATTTCAGTCAGAAGTCCACAAATAGGCTCCAGAACATCCCAGCCATCAACCTCTAAGCTGCCTCTCTCCTTTCTTTGCCCTCCGGCCTTCCCAAAGCCTTTCCCTGCCTTCCCCTGGTCTGACTCAGCAGTCATCTCTTGAGATCATGTGCTCTTCCATATCCAATGCTTTGTATTTTTTAATCTCGTTGATAGCAAACAAATAGAGTTCTGAAAAATATGGTATGCTCAGTTGTGAAAGGCTGGTGAGTTCTTTGCCTCTGCCCAGCTGAGAGTTCCTGGAGGGGCCCACATTGCTCCAACAGTAGCTCAGCACTCAAAGTCAGAGAGCACGCACTGGGCACTCTCAGGCCTTGGCATACAAATGCACCAGTTGCTGCCCTGTCCTTTTATGGATCCACATCCCAAGCTATTTCCAACTTCAGAGTTAGAAACAGGCCTGCAGTTGCTTGTCTGTAAGGATTTTATTTCTCCTTCACTTATGAAGCTTAGTTTGGCTGGATATGAAATTCTGGGTTGAAATTAAGAATGCTGAATATTGGCCCCCACTCTCTTCTGGCTTGTAGAGCTTCTGCTGAGAGATCCACTGTTAGTCTGATGGGCTTCCCTTTGTGGGTAACCCGACCTTTCTCTCTGGCTGCTACCTGACTTTGAACTACACTACAAGGCTACGGTAACCAAAACAGCATGGTACTGGTACCAAAACAGAGATATAGACCAATGGAACAGAACAGAGCCCTCAGAAATAATACCACACATCTACAACCATCTGATCTTTGACAAACCTGACAAAAACAAGAAATAGGGAAAGGATTCTCTATTTAATAAATGGTGCTGGGAAAACTGGCTAGCCATATGTAGAAAGCTGAAACTGGATACCTTCCTTACACCTTGTACAATAATTAATTCAAGATGGATTAAAGACTTAAATGTTAGACCTAAAACCATAAATACCCTAGAAGAAAACCTAGGCAATACCATTCAGGACATAGGCATGGGCAAGGACTTCATGACTAAAACACCAAAAGCAACGGCAACAAAAGCCAAAATAGACAAATGGGGTCTAATTAAACTAATGAGCTTCAGCACAGCAGAAGAAACTACCATCAGAGTGAACAGGCAACCTACAGAGTGGAAGAAAATTTTTGCAATCTACCCATCTGATAAAAGGCTAATATTCAGAAGCTACAAAGAACTTAAACAAATTTACAAGAAAACAATCGACCCCATCAAAAAGTGGGCAAAGGATATGAACAGACACTTCTCAAAAGAAGAAATTTATGCAGCCAACAGACACATGAAAAAATGCTCATCATCACTGGCCATCACAGAAATGCAAATCAAAACCACAATGAGATACCATCTCACACCAGTTAGAATGGTGATCATTAAAAAGTCAGGAAACAACAGGTCCTGGAAAGGATGTGGAGAAATACGAACACTTTTAGACACTTTTACACTGTTAGTGGGAGTGTAAACTAGTTCAACCATTGTGGAAGACAGTGTGGCAATTCCTCAAGGATCTAGAACTAGAAATACCATTCAACCCAGCGATCCCATTACTGCGTATAAACCCAAAGGATTATAAATCATGCTACATAAAGACACATGCACATGTATGTTTACTGCAGCACTAATCACAATAGCGAAGACTTGGAACTAACCCAAATGTCCATCAATGATAGATTGGATTAAGAAAATGTGGCACATATACATCATGGAATACTATGCAGCCATAAAAAAGGATGAGTTCATGTTCTTTGTAGGGACACAGATGAAGCTGGAAACCATCATTCTGAGCAAACTATTGCAAGGACAGAAAACCAAACACTGCACATTCTCACTCATAGGTGGGAATTGAACAATAAGAACACTTGGACACAGGGTGGGGAACACCACACACTGGGGCCTGTTGTGGGGTGGGGGGAGTGGGGAGGGATAGCATTAGGAGAAATATCTAATGTAAATGATGAGTTAATGGGTGCAGCACACCAACATGGCACACATATACATATGTAACAAACCTGCACGTTGTGCACATGTACCCTCAAACTTAAAGTATAATAATAATAATAATAATAATAAAGAAAGAAAAAGAAATAGGCCTGCAGGCTCTCTGGTTTGTGGCTGGCCCCATCCTTCTGCTCACACCCACCACAACCCTGATGCATACAAAGCACTTTTACAACCTTGCTGCAGGCAGGACAATGCACCAATAAAGGGCACAGCTTCAGAAGGTTCTCACCTCAGAGAGCCACTTAAGGCTCCAAAACCAACAACCCAAGGAGTTAACATGCAAAGCGGCCCATGGTACTCTTGGAGGCCTGACAGAAGCAAATACAACCTCATTGGCCAGGCACATCCTGAAGCCAAGCCAAAAATGAGGCTGCAATCCAGTGACAAAACAAAAGCAGCAGTAATTCCCCAAGAATAAGAGCCAACAGACACAGAAACAGCAGAACCAGACAACAGCTCCCACCCCACCAACACCACTACCACCAAGCTCAGGTAATAAATGATTACTTGGAGACCAAAATAATGCTTTAAAGGTTGATTCAAGCATTTTTAAACATGATTAAAACACTAAGTAAACAGTATGGCAATATTAAAAAGACCAGGGTGATGAGAAATGAAGAGAATGTGTGTAAATGAGTACTATAATCACAAAATCAAAGACCAAGAGGCTGGTTTTTAAAGTGGATTTGACATGGATTAGGTAGAAGGTAGATTCATGAAGTGGAAGGATGCATTGAGGGAATTATCCAGAATGTACCAAAGAGAGCTGGAAGAACAGGTAATGTGAGAGAATGGCTAAGAAATTAGAAGATGTAATGAAAAGGATCAATAAATGACTAATTGGAGATGGAAAGAAAAGAGAGAAGAGGTAGCAGGCAACCTATGAAGAGTTAGTGGCTAGTAATGTCATAGAATCAATGTCATACATGGATTCTCTACTTAGGAAAGGCCAGAGAAACTGATGGTTCATTCTCTAATCTTCTCAAGTAACCCAAAAAGATCAAGACGGCTAATTTTCCAAGATATCACACATTCTGGTTGTACAGGTGACCCCAGGATGTAGTGTTTTCCAAACACCAGTTTATTTTGTCTTTTCTCCACATTTGCAATAATACCATGATGGAGTTGGATGGAGGTGATCATTTGAACTAATCCTTTGGGTCCTGCTGACCTCCTGTTTACAGGGATGCTAGGGCTTGGCCCTTCTGGCTTCTCTAAAGCCAGAGTTCACCAGTTACACATCCCCATGATTGACAATCCCATGTGAACTCTACAAACTTGGAGGCAGGCAGAGAAAGAAAAGTATTTAGATACTTCAACTGATTGCCATTTTGTGTTGTTTGTTTTGTTTTGTTTTGTTTTGTTTTGAGACAGGGTGTCGCTCTGTCGCCCAGACTGGAATGCAGTGGCACAATCTCAGCTCACTGCAACCTCCGCCTCCTAGGTTCAAGAGATTCTCCTGCCTCAGCCTCCCTAGTAGCTGAGATTACAGGCGCGCACCACCATGCCCAGCTAATTTTTGTAATTTTAGTAGAGACGGGGTTTCACCATGTTGGTCAGGCTGGTCTTGAACTCCTGACCTCATGATCCGCCCTCCTTGGCCTCCCAAAGTGCTGGGATTACAGGCATGAGCCACTGCGCCCAGCCCTGACTGCCTTTTAACGCAAGGTAGACTTTTTGCCAGCAATTGAAGACAGTAAGTGTGGGTGCCCTCTCCCTTTCACACCACTTGCTGGCAGGAGCCCCAGGGGCAACAGACTGAAGGAAGTGCCCACAGGACATTCCACAGTAGGCCAGGCTGAGGGGAAATCTTCATCAACTCTTGTTCCTTGGAATTTAGGATTTCTCACTTTTAAGTCGCCATGGCCTTTGAAACTAAGTTTTGCAGATGGAGAAACTAAAAAACTAAGGGTTGTTAACATATAACTATTTTAAACTGAGAATTTAAAACAAACAAATCTCAAATTATTGCAATAAACTATTCCAAAATACAGTTTGGGTTCACAGATTTGTAACTACAAATAGCTTATAATACACAAAGTTCATAACCTTCAACTTGATCTGATAAAGTACCTACATGCCTCCTCCATACAAAGGACCAAGTCAGACATTTACGAAGACAGCTTGTGCCATGTGAGTGGCCAACTGGCCAATTCTGTGCTCCTCAATGGGCTCATCTGTGAAGTGGGCTTGAACACTGATACCTGCCTGGCAGGGTAGCTGTGAAATCTAAACTAGATAATATAGGCAAAGCACTTGGCAATGATTGCTACTCTTATCACTTAGAAATTACAGCGCTAATTTAATATTCATTACATTAATGATTTAATTAAATTACTAAAGCAGTAAGAATTCATTCAAGGTTATACTGATGAATACCCAAAAGGTCACAGACTTCCAAAAGACAGGTGGTCACTCCAAGGCCACCAGGACCAGGCAGTATACAGGGACAGGCTGAGGAGGTGGGGAAGAGTGGGGACAGACGTCCAGGGTGGTACCTGCCACCTCCCTTCCCCCCAGGCTGCTCTGCAAGGAAGGGCCTGGGTGGCCCTCGCTGGGATGCCAAATCTCTAATACAATAGCTTGTCTAATCTAATAAAAGAGCCTTTGTGAAGAATTGTTCTGGAGTCAAACAAAAACTCTTCTTGGAAAAGGAGCCCTAAAGTTACTACACAATGCTCAGCATCCGTGCAAAACAGTGACCTATTTCTCAAAGCACAAGAAGTCCCCAAAGATTACAAGCAAAACCCCTCAGCATCCACACAATCATCCAGCAGACAGCAGCTTCTCAGCTTCGAGCAAACAATCTACTCCTCCACACTTTCTTTGAAAGCCCCAGAAACAATGAAAAAGGAAAGGGAGAGAGAAAACTAGAAAGAGAAATATATTCCACCCCCAACAAATCAAGGAGACAGACACAACCACAAGCCACAAACTACTGAGTGTACCAGAACCAATGCAATCAGGAACAGACACAGAGAGCCAGCACCCACCTCCTGAACCTGGGGAGGCACATGGGCCCCGCCAGGAGAAATGGCCTAGCCCCAATGTGGTTGGTCATGAAAGGGCTGTGTGGATACAGAAGCATGGCCACTGAGCAGGCCTCAGCCTGTGGACTCGGCCTTGTACAGAGAGAAAGGCAGCAAATGTATGACAGAAACACAAGAGGTCTGCTATGAACAACACCCAACTTAAACCCTGAAATCTAGGGAACACAGCCTGCCTTAGACAAAGGGAATTCATGTGGAATAAATGTATTTCAGACCACAAACTTGAATCCAGTGTGCATCCCGCCCTGGCTTCACCCTCATCCTTCTTCTTCAACAAAGACCTGACCCCATTCAAAAGTGACTAAAATCACAAAGCAACCAGCATGGGAATCAGGCACAGAAGAGAGGGTAGGGAAGGAGAAGAGCAAATGCAGATGCCTGAGAAAATACCCATAAAGAAACAGATAAAGTGACTTTATAAAAATATTTCCCATTTTTTCTATTAGTTTTTTATTACTACTGTAACAAATTACCACAAACTGAGTGGTTTCAAGCAATATAAATTTATTTTCTTATAGTTTTGAAAGTCGGAAATCTAAAATCGGGTTAAAATCTAGCTGTTGGCAGGGCTGCATTCCTTCTGGATGCTCCAGGGAGGATCTGCTCCTTGTCTTTTATGCTTTTTAGAGGCTGCCCTCATTCTTTGGCTTATGGACCCCTTCCAGGAAACACATCACTCTGACCTCTGCTCTCACTGCCACAACTCCTATGCTTCCCTTGTGATGACCTGGGGCCCACCTGGGTCGTCCAGGATCATCTCCCTGTCTCAAAGACCTTCACTTAATCACACCTGAAAACTCCCTCTTGCCACATAAGATGACATATGCAGAGGTTCTGAGAATTAGGACAGGAACATCTCTGGGGGGTCATTATTCTGCCCACCATAAAGAGAAACGTTTCCCTCTTCTTTTACAGCTTCTGAAACCCCCATATGCTTCAGCTCTTGGTCCCCCACCTCCAATGATGTCAGGCAAAGTCCTGAAGCTGCCATCACTCTGGTTCTCATCTTTCTGCCTCCCTCCTTCCACTTTTAAGAAAGACCCTACTGATTATATTGTGCCTATGCAGACAATCCAGGAATAGTCTCCCTATTTTAAAGTCAGCTGACTAGCAACCTTAATTCCATGCTCAACTTCATTTCATTTTTCAGTTCCAATTTCCTGCCATGCATGGTAACATATTCACAGGTTTGGGGGATTAGGATACTGACATCTTTGAGGGGTTGTCTTCCTGCCTACCACACTTTCCTAAAAAGGAAAAAAAAAAACAACAACAACAAAGAAGAGATCATAAACCAACAGAAAGAGAATCAGAGCATGGAAAAGAAATGAAGAAATAAAAATTAAAATAAATGGAATAGGGATGAAAACCATATTAGATGCAACTAAATAATAGAATAAAGGCAATCAACCCCAGAGATAAGCAAATGAAATGGAGAAGAATATGAAATATCAACTTTATCAAAGAGATGACAAATATAAGACAAAAGAAACAATGTGCATATAATTAACATTCTTGAATTGTTAACAGAAAAAAGGTCATAGATATAATACAAGAAAACTTCTGAAATAAACTGACTTATCTCTGTCAATTACAAGGGTTTTACTTTACTTAGTTTAAAAGAAAGTGATACAGCAATACCAGCATCCAGAAACATTCAAGTAAATTAACCGAATTAAAAGAATCACATGAACATCTAGGCAAAACAGGCTGACTTCAAATTTCTCATAACTCTGTGCTAAAAGACAGGAGAAATATCTCTATATAGTTTTAAAGGAAATTATGCAACTCAAGACCTTTATAATCAGGCAAGAGTTATTTTCAAGCTTGCAAGAATTCTTCAAGTTTGAGTGTGCCATGAGCCATGTGAGAAGAGAACAAGAAAGGAGGAAAACAGAGCCAGGGATTAAACAAACTATACAATGAACTCCAGACAACCGAAAAACAAATCGAAAAAAAAATCCTCAAGAATGTATCCATTGGAACTACTGATAAAAAGACTGATACTGTGTGATCCTGGAATCTATTTAAACAGAGCACTAAGAATAAGTAACTGTGGAAACAAGTTATCTAAGAGATGACCCATGTTATGTTCCTTGACAATGTAAAAAGTTATAGGGTGAGTAACAAAATAGGGAAATGGGTGGGAGGAAAAGGAAGCACTAATATGCAAATTTAGTAACCTTTCAACCCCTGAGTGAGCAGATGCCAACCCTAAATACACAGTAGTTTGCAAACAGCAAATGCAACATTAATAAACAGCAACAAGCAAACAGGTATTTCATAGGTTTCCCCTAATTTTACAGGGATTGAATGGAGGCTATAGTTGCTCCCCAAATCCATCTCTTGTTCCTGGGCACTCAGCTAACCCACAGGACTATAAATTGAGTGGCCGGGGGACATTACTTCCTGCACATCAGTTGGCTCTGCTATAGGAGCCATGCCTGGGAGGGGCTGCCACGTCAATGGTAACTCCAGGCTGGTCTACCCAAACCAAGAAAGGGAACTTTTAGAAACTTTTATGCTCTAAGAAATAAGACATGTAACTTAAATTCAGCAAGTCTTTAATCACTAAATAAAAATATAATTTAACTGAGTACTTTTTTAGTTAAAATAGCATGTATTGTAGACTAAAAATGTAATAATCTCCAACAAGTATTCTATGTATGTTCCTATGTGTTTAATAGTCTTGGATATCCACAGACCATTTCTAGAAAGATGCACAAGGAGCAATTAGTAGTAATGCCTCCTGGGAAAGGCATGGGGATTGAGGGAAGAAAATGACTCCCATTTTACTGTTTTGCTGAACTTATTCTTTTAACCTGTGCAAATATTAGATTTTTTTTCATGAAAAATAAATAAGCAAAGGAAAGAGTAAAAACTAGTATGACTCGATTTTTACAGAACAATGTACTCCCACTGCCTTGCTGTATGCACAGAGAGGAGCAAAATGCTGAGAGTGTGGGGTTTGAGAAGCTCTGTATTAGTTTTATCTTTGTAGATGTCACTGTTTTTCATGGAACATGTTTCACAAAGTTTCCCCCAAACAGATGGTTACACTCAAAACACCACAAGCAAAGTGAAGCTCACTCAGGACCGGCTTCTTCTCAACCCCTCCTCGCCACACGTTAATTAAACTCATCTACAATCTATGTAAAAATTAAAGTGATGACGCACAGCGGACAAAGGTTTGAACAATCCTTTGGTATGCTCCCTAAAAAGGAAAGAACACAAGGAAATTCTGACGTCTGCCCAACGGGTCCAGATTGTCATTTCTGGCTCTGAGCTCTTTCGCAGCCGGGAGCATCACAGAAGTTGGTGGAGAAGGGGCTTGTTGGACAGAGCGCTGTCACTGGGCCAGCCCCTGCCCACTGAGCCCCTCTCTTTTTCCAGGTGACCTTTCTCTAATAGTTGACGGCCGGCAAACGCCAACCATCCCTCTGTTGTCCTCACAAAAATAATCCTACAAGAACAATCCTGAAAGGTACCTAGTCTTACCCTCATTCCACAACATGGAAATAGAGGCTTAAAGAAGTGAGACACTTCCTTGAGACGCCTCAGCTCCCAGGCTGATTTTAGACCCAGCTCCTGGCCCAAACTTGCCCCAGCCCTGAAGAAAAAATGAATGCACCTGGACAGTCTGTGCTCTGTCCTGAAGGAAGAGGGGCTAGGAAAATAGCCAACGAGAGCCCACGGTAGCACCTAGGGCCTGCTGTCACCTGTAAGGCAGATGTCACATACAGGGACACTGGAGCTGGTAGCTGAACTGCCTTAGCCAGGAGCCGGGCCTCCCAGCAGGAGGCAGCACAAATGGAAAGCAAACCCAGTGTGGGGGCAGGGGCTGGGAGTATCTCACTCTCACCCAGGCCTGGCCTGGGCACTCGTAGTCCCCTCTGCTGGCACTTGGGTTCTCACGCCCTCCCCCTTACACACTCGGGAAAGGAAATCACATAGGGATGGCAAGCTGTCCTGGGAGAAGCCTGGGACCCAGGAGGAGTGTACAGATAGAGTAAATGCAAGCCACAGGGCAGTCAGCGCAGCCTGAGCCGGGCCCCTCGATGTTAGGAAAATTGTGACATAAACAGCACATGCTCCAGGGCGGGGATGACATGTGACTCCAGACTGCCCCCCACGTCCTTCAACACTTGGCTTTCCCTTGCTCTGCTATCCTGGGCATCTCCTGGACCATGAAGGGTATTACCACTTGATTGCTCACTTTTTCTTAGTAATGTCTACTTTGGACTTTCAATTCTGAAAAAGGGCTTTTCTGCTGAGACTGCAGCACTGAACCACAAGCCCTCTCTATTATAATGTGTGCAGTAGTTCAGTTCCTTCTTGGGCAACTTTTCCAAGAGAAAGAACATTGAAAGGGAAAAAGAAAATCAACAAGGGAAGGTTAATTACTTAAAACCAGTAGTACTTTACGAAGAACGCATGGTTTCCCACTCAACACCTTGGGGACAAAAGTATGTATATCACTGTGTCGTGGCACTGTTGTCTTCCCGGAAAGGGCAGAACTTATTCTCCTGCCAAGATAAAATAACAAGGGGGCAGGTGATAAGGAGTATTGTTCAGGGGCAGAAAGGTGAGGTCAAAAGGCCCGAGCAGCCCGCTGAGGACCTCTTGGAGCAGGGAGAGAGCCTATAAGACAGGTGTGGCAGGTAGCCAGAGGGCAAGGGTGGCAAGGAGACTGAGGCAGACCACAGCCACTGACCAGAGTAGTCATAGTCAAGATGTTCTGGGAGGCCTGAATGCCTGAGCCCTGAGGTCCAATGCCTCTTGCTGTGCAGTGTGGCTAGCATGGAAGGCTTCGTTCAAAGATCCCTCTACAAAGGGGAAATTCCAGACAGAGAAAATTGGGGCCAGAGGAAGAGGCAGCAGCTCAGCCATGTACATCTGCCAAATGCCCAAGTGCAGGGGGATGGGACCCACCTTGCAGAACAGGGCAGCAGGAATAGTTAAGGGCACAAAGACTCGTCCAAGGAAAACACTATTAAGGAGGGAAAGCAGGTGTTTGCTCTCACGGATGTACAATGCTATACAGATGCTGCTGCCACAGAAGACAGCAAGCCTAGAGACACAGGAGAATGAGGCAAACATAACAAGAACAACGGCCAGGTTCCCCGTCTTGCCTCACATCCCCATCCCACTGCACACCACCAACCCGGCCAGCCCCACCATTCACTGGGCTAGCCGCTGTGTTAGCCTCGGCAGAGTCAGCCTCACAGTCTTCATTTCAGCCTCTCACAGACGTCACTAAAATGTCAGGGAGGCAGTGGTGGAGCCCACCAGACCAACTATCACCAGGTGAGGGGCAGTCACATGGGGCCTGAAGACAGGGCATCCCAAGTGTGCCAGTCACTCTCACCACCGTGGAAAACCACAAACTGCCATCCTCAGTCTCCTCAACTGTAGAATGGGAACAACTTCCCTCCTGACAACAGAGTTATTGGGAAGATCAAATTAGATAATCTACACAAAAGTATTTTGCAAACTGCAAAGCACTATAAAACTGCAAAGACATGATGATATGCTGTATGCAAGTTAACAAACCTGGCAAACAGTTTGATTTCCTTCTGCATGGCTGTACATCTTACTATTGTTTGTTTTACTAACAAAATTGTATTTTTTTGTTGTTATTTTATTTTTTAACTTGACAAAACTGTATGTTTTTGTTGTTTATATTTTGGTGTACAACACATCATGTTGTACATGGAAGGGCTAAATAGAGCTAATCAATGTATGCCTTACCTCACATGCTTATTACTTTTTATGGTAAAAACACTTCAACTCTACTTTTAGCAATTGTCAAGTCTATAATACATTGTTATTAATTTAGCCACCACATTATACAACAGATCTCATGAACATAAACATTTGTAAGCCAGCTATATATTCAGTTAAGTGATATAAAATTATCATTTGATCAAATAGTAAAGGTTCTACCAGTTCACCTTGCAGATGTCTTTCAATTTTCTGCTTTAAGGAGACCAACTTTCTTTCCCCCTTGTGGGATAATATATAAGAAGAGAAGAGGAACTCATGGTCCTCCCTGTTTCTCCTGGACCTGTCTCCCTGCATTTATAAAGTTACAAGAACTTCCTTGAAGCTAGTGGTTCTCAAACCCAGAATCAATAGGGGCTTTTATAAAAGTCCCAATGGGTTCCAAGGTTGCGGCTTGGTTGCTGATATCAGAACCTCTAGAGGAAGTGCCCAGACATTAAGATTTTTAAAGTACCCCTATCGTTTCAATAGGAAGTGGAGGACCTCTGGCCCGGGCCCTTCAGAGAGCCAGGACAGCCGCAACTCTGAGCACGTACCCAGCAGTGACACAGGCCTGGCAGTGGTATCTTCCTTTCTGGGGAGATATTAAGAGATTTTGAGGTTTAGGATTTGCCACCATTTTTTAACATAGGAAGGTATTGTAATCAATTATCTTAATCGATCACATGTCTTTTCTTCCATTATGAATTTTCTTTTTTCCTTAAGGATTGTTTCAAATATGACATATCCATGTGACCTTCCATTTTCTCTTTTCTATCACTAACATTTTCAAGGTAGTACAACTAATTTATTTCATTCTTAAAAATCTATGGAATGGAAAATCTGAAACTATAATTCTTCTTTGAACTCACACTCTGCTGTATGACAAGCAAGTCCCATTACAACTAATCAGTAAATTATCTGGTTTTTGTTTATTTGCAACCCAAGTAAACACAATTTTGCATGCCACTGAACTGCAAGCTTAAGTATGAAATGTTTCAAATTTTATATAAGCAACTTTCTCAACTGCGATGCTTTTGAACTCATGGGAGCTAAGCAATTCGAGAAAAAATGATTAAATTTCTAATTTTAATTCCCATAGAGCTATTAAATGCATTTAACAAACATGAATGGAGAGACTGTTCTGAACAAGGTGCCTCAGAGATGTAATAAAAAATAATGCATGAGCTTCTCCTCAAGGGCTTAAGAGTCAAAGGGAGGAACGATGTCCACACAACTCATTTCTAATTATAAATACTTGTTCAAATGCTCAGTATTCTCCTCGACCCCAGAAGTGGAGATAAATATACATATATATATATATATATATATATATATATATATATATATATATATATATATATGTATGTATGTGTGTATATATAGATGTATGTGTGCATATATATATATATATATATATATGTATGTATATATATATATTTTTTGGGACGGAGTTTCGCTCTGTTGCCCAGGCTGGAGTGCAGTGGTGCAATCTCGGCTCATTGCAAGCTACGCCTCCTGGGTTCACGCCATTCTCTTGCCTCAGCCTTCCAAGTAGCTGGGACTACAGGCGCCCGCCACCATGCCCAGCTAATTTTTTTTTTTTTTTTTTTGTATTTTTAGTAGAGACGGGGTTTCACCATGTTAGGCAGGATGGTCTCGATCTCCTGACCTCGTGATCTGCCTGCCTCAGCCTCCCAAAGTGCTGGGATTACAGGCATGAGCCACCACACCCAGCCAGAGATAAATATTTTTAAAAGACACCTAATTTTTCCTACCTGTTCTCTCACAGCATTGAGCAGGGCTTCCCTTCCCCTTGATCACTCAGCACTTTGGGAGAACTAGGGAACTAATTTTGTACAGAATCATGGAGTTGAAAGGGGTATCAGAGTAGGCAGCTGCGGTTCTTCATTTCACATGTTCAGTTAAGACCTAGAGAATATCCCCAGAGTGGGGACCCAAGCCAGAATGAGGCCTCCTCTAGGCTGGGGGCACTTTCTTTCCCCAGCCTGGACCAGGTTCTCTAGTCACTAGTCAACGGGCATGGAAAGAGTCTAATGTGAATGCAACCACACACCGATCTTCTAATAAACCATACATGCTAAGCAGTGGGCTGGCTCACCTGTATCCACTCCTTTTCTAGGCCCCTGAAGCACCTTTTCTGATGATGCATTTCTGAACATACTGCTTGCCAGATTGTAAATGGGATAAGTCAGCTTTGGTAGAAGAAACCTTGTCTACCTCTTCCAGAACAGGCAGAGGACCCTGGAGGGATGTCCCAACTGGTTGCATGCCGTGTCTGAGAACCCAGAGTCAGTGGGCACTTAAAACCACGTGGACCCAAGAGCTGAGTTCACATTCAATACCTCAACAAGGTAGAGACAGAATAATCAAGAGATTTGGGGATGAACTGCAACCCATCCTGGCAATTCTAGGACATATTTCCAAGGGATTAAGTACAGCCTTTCAATGTGCCTACCCAATAGCTGCAGACCCACAATGCCAAGTTAAACAGACAACCAGAGAGTTTTCACTCAATCTAATAATCTAATGCTGTACTTGCAAAGGACCCACATCCTTCCTTGGGGGGACCATGTCATCCCACAGATGGCACAGACACCCCTGTGTCCTTCACCATGGCAGTCAACACCAATGGCAAGAGATGGCCAGTGGTCTCAGAGCCAAGGACATGCTCTGGGAGCAGCTCTAGGCTCTGCAAGGGAATATACTTAGGGTGGGGGTGACAGTGCAGACCCTAGCCTGGTGTCATGCCTCCCCCAGGGGAAAATGCCAAGACCACCCTCTCTGGTAGTACCTCAGGTCACAGTCACTGCCCACTCTCCTCCCTGAAATCTACTCCCAGGACTCTACCTTTGGAATGCTATTCTTTTCCTCTCTCCCACCCCCTAGTTTTTCATGTAAAGGACTAATCTTTCATCATCCCCAAGGATAAGGAAGTACGTTCTGTAATGATCCTGCCCAATGAGCCCTTGTATGCCTGTTATTCTTATGCACAGCAGCACCTGAGATACAGGAGACATAACCGGCTTCCTGGGGAGTTCACTATCTACTCTGAGTGAGAGGAACTTCACTTAGCATGGCTTAACAGAGCTTGCTTGTATTAGTTCATTTTCACACCACTGATAAAGACATACCCGAAACTGGGAACAAAAGGAGGTTTAATTGGACTTACAGTTCCACATGGCTGGTGAGGCCTCAGAATCATGGCGGGAGGTGAAAGGCACTTCTTACATGGCAGTGGCAAGAGAAAAATAAGGAAGAAGCAAAAGCGGAAACCCCTGATAAACCCATCAGATCTTGTGAGACTTACTTATTATCACGAGAATAGAACAGGAAAGACCATCCCCTGTGATTCAATAACCTCCCCCTGAGTCCCTCCCATAACATGTGGAAATTCTGGGAGACACAATTCAAGTTGAGATTTGGGTGAGGACACAGCCAAACCATATCATTACGCCCCTGGCCCCTCCAAATTTCATGTCTTCACATTTCAAAACCAATTGTGCCTTCCCAACAGTCCCTGAAAGTCTTAACTCATTTCAGAATTAACTTAAAAGTCCACAGTCCAAAGTCTCATCTGAGACAAGGCAATTCCCTTCTGCCTATGAGCCTGTAAAATCAAAAGCGAGCTACTTACTTTCTAGATACAATGGGGGTACAGGTATTTGGTAATACAGCCATTCCAAATGGGAGAAATTGGCCAAAATAAAGGGGTTACAAGGCCCAGGCAAGTCCAAAATCCAGCAGGGCAGTCAAATCTTAAAGCTCCAAAATGATCTCCTTTGACTCCATGTCTCACATCCAGGTCACGCTGATGCTAGAGATGGATGCCCGTGGTCTTGTGCAGCTTCACCCCTGTGGCTGTGCAGGGTACAGCCTCCCTCCTGGCTGCTTTCAGGGGCTGGTGTTGAGTGTCTATGGCTTTTCCAGGTGCACGGTGCAAAGTGTTGGTGGATCTCCATTCTGTGGTCTGGAAGATGGTGGCCCTCTTCTCATAGCTCCACTAGGCAGTGCCCCAGGAGGGACTTGTGTGGGGGCTCTGACCCCACATTTCTCTTCTGCACTGCCATAACAGAAGTTCTCCATGAGGGCCCCACCCCTGCAGCAAACTTTTACCTGGGCATCCAGGCATTTCCATACATCTTCTGAAATCTAGGTGGAGGTTCCCAAACCTTAATTCTTGACTTCTGTGTACCCACAGGCTCAACAGCACCTGGAAGCTGCTAAGGTTTGAGGCTTCCACCCTCTGAAGTCACAGCCTGAGCTCTATGTAGGCCCCTTTTGGCCACGGGTGGAATGGCTGAGACACAGGGCACCAAGTCCCTAGGCTGCACACAGCTCGGGGACCCTGGGCCCAGTCCATGAAACCACTTTTTCCTCCTGGGCCTCCAGACCTGTTCTCCAGAGGGGCTGCCATGAAGGTCTCTGATGTGGCCTGGAGACATTTTCCCCATGGTCTTAGTGTTTAACGTTAGGATCCTTGCTACTTATGCACATTTCTGAAGCTGGCTTGAATTTCTCCTCAAAAAATGGGGTTTTCTTTTCTACTGCATTGTCAGGCTGCAAATTTTCTGAACTTTTATGCTCTCTTTCCCTTTTAAAATGGAATGCTTTTAACAGCACCTAAGTCATCTTTTGAATGTTTTGCTGCTTAGAAGTTTCTTCTGCCAGATACCCTAAATCATCTCTCTTAAGTTCAAAGTTCCACAAATCTCTAGGGCAGAGGCAAAATGCCACCAGTCTCTTCGCTAAAACATAACAAGAGTCACCTTTGCTCCAGTTCCCAACAAGTTCCTCATCTCCATCTGAGACCACCTTGGCCTGGACCTTATTGTCCATATTGCTGTCAGCATTTTTGTCAAAGCCACTCAACAAGTCTCTAGGAGATTCCAAACTTTCCCACATTTTCCTGTCTTATTCTGAGCCCTCCAAACCGTTCCAACCTCTGCCTGTTACCCAGTTCCAAAGTCACTTCCACATTTTCGAGTATCTTTTCAGCAATGCCCCACTCTACTGGTACCAATTTACTGTATTAGTTTGTTTTCACCCTGCTGATAAAGACATATGCGAAACTGGGAACAAAAAGAGGTTTAATTGGACTTACAGTTCCACACGGCTGGGGAGACCTCAGAATTACGGCAGGGAGCGAAAGGCACTTTTTACGTGGTGGTGGCAAGAGAAAAATGAAGAGGGAGCAAAAGCAGAAACCCCTGATAAATGCATCAGATCTTGTGAGACTTATTCACTATCACGAGAATAGCATGAGAAAGACCAGCCCCATGATTCAGTTAACTCCCTCTGGGTCCCTCCCACAACACATGGAAGTTCTGGGAGATACAATTCAAGTTGAGATTTGGGTGGGGATACAGCCAAACTATATCATGGCTAATGACTTTTAACTCCAAGAATCCCCAAGCCACAGAAGCCCCTCCATTCTTTTTACCCACACCTCCTCTTCCTACACACACACACACACACACACACACACACACAAGTCAAAGCAAGTTCATCTAAGCAATGCCTTGGTTACAAGTGCAAACTATGACTACATCAACTGTCAAAGGATAGAAACTGGGCTGATGGTAAGTGAGACAAATACTGTCTCCAGTTCCTTTTATTGAACAACTTATCAATCTAGAACTTAAGAACCCATGGCATACACTCACTCATCTGCTCCACCCTAAAGCCTACAGGATGGCCCAAGAGATATTCTGCCCTTGTGGCCCCCCCCTGGGGTTGTGCCCAAGGTCACACAACTGGTCATCAAGTCCAAGTGAGCTGGAAGCATGTCTCATTTATTTTTACTGTTCAGTGATGATTCTTTCAAGAGATGGTATATTATTTAACAGACAGTCAAAACAAATACTCCAATTCATACATTTTAAAAAGAAAAAGTTAACTATGTACCTCTTGGATGTCAAACAATTTTTGTAAAAGGCATGAAAAATTATACATGCAAATGTGTTGCCCACACTACAATAACACACGTTGTCTTGAAACCTCAAATCATCATTAGAGGAATTGTGAGGAAATGGGCTGCAACCATGGTATGGTTTTTAGACCCCCAAGATAAAAGGGTATTGCATGGACTTCAGGGATGATGTAAGGTGATCTGGGGAAGGAGGACGTGCTGAGTCCCAGGACACTGTGCATTGTGTGGTCTCTTCTGCAACGAAGACATGACAGGCTAACAGGCTAACCCTAAGCTTACTGTAAAAACTCGGAGAACTTAATTCATAGAAAGTTCCTAAAATGTGAGCGCAGAAATTATTTGGGTAAATTATTTGAAGATGGGTGTGTTAGCCCTGGGGGCATGAAAACTGGGGTCTTCTCAGAGGTAGCAAGGTTCAACCTGTCTGCACCACAGACAGACGTCTGCTCTCACTCCAGGCAGCCACCTCCTCTTGAGTGAGCTCCTAAACCTTTGTCTCAGTAACTGAGAAACTTAATCTAATCTCACAGAGGGATGGGTGTATGGTCTGTTCACACCAATCCCCAGCACCATGTGAAACTTAACAGTAATCTAATAAAACAAATGAAACGCTGAACAGACAAGGAAATGAATTTCCAAGGTCTAATTTTATATTTCATAAAAGTCAATACTGCATCTTACTCATGTGTATTCATTCAGACATCAAATTTCCATTATATTTATAAGGAAAACGAGATTAAGAATAAAATATGCTCAAATAGAAAATATTTCCTTGGAAGGAGAAACGCAAAATACTTCAATCCTACAAAATGAGTTTACTTTAGACTTATCTACTTAACTAAGAGAGATGTATTTAAAACTTGTATTAGCATTAATGTGTATTTGACTTCTCAGAATGTGAGATGCTGTAGAGCAGTAATTGCTAATAGCAAGGACTGGGGTTTTGTGGAATCATGCAATTTTACCAAACAAGGCTTTAGATGCATGGGAGACTAACTCTTTCCCTTTGCCAAGAGGAACCTAGAGCACGACAGGCCAGACCTTGGCCAGCTGTAGCTGCTGCATGGCCCACTCCCTCCCAGTCCTAGTCTATACTCCCCCACTTCCTGGTCCAGAAATGCTGTGTGCAAACCAGCCAGCTAAACACGCCTCCACAACACAGGCAAGTAATAAGGCAGCGTCCGGCCCTTCTCTCCATTTCAGCTTTTTAAAGACTTATTTTTAACCCACTTCTCCCGTCTGTTACTATGAATGATGAAGAACACCATTCCAAAAGTGTGATGAAGGCGGTTCCCCCCTTGTGGCATCTGTGTTAAGGCCATCTTATTCTTGGTCTCACACACAAACTTTTTGGGAGACATGGCAGTCTACCAATAGGCAAATAAAATTCTTTTTCCAAGGTTCAAGGGTAAAATATTTTCACATTAAATACGTTACAAAAAAGAACCAGCATATCTTATTCCCATTTTGTCCTCAAGGATGAACAGCTTCTAAAGGGATTTGGCATCACCTATTTTACATGTAGTGGCGCTTCCCCTTTAACCATTTACAGTGTTCAATCAAGGTGAAGAGCCTGATTCACTAAAGCTGAAAAACATGTTATTCCCATTTGCCCCCTTGAAATCAGTAGTTCAGTTTTCCACACAATTTAAATGGAATGAGAAGCATAAAGAAATGCCCAGTCATAGCACTGGGCTAGTTCTCTAGTAGGGCATCTGTGAAACTTCTTTCCTTTTAAAGTGTGATGTTCCCTTTCGCATGGGGCCTCCATGAGGAACCTCAGTAGGAGAGAGGAGTCTTTGGTCTTCAGTAACACACCCAGATGCTGCAATGACCATCTAAGCATGGGAAACACCCATCCCAACTCACCAAAATAGCCCTGGAGCACAAGCTGGCCTCTCTGAGTTCAGTCCCTGCGAGGAAAAGTCTCCCAGGGAACATGTGGTTGAATAACCTGGCACACACTTAAAATCAGATAAAGCACATTTTAAGTGAAAAAGCACAGTTGCTTTTTCTTGTTTTCATTTTATAGGGAAAAATAAAAGCACAGTAACGAAACGTTTTTCATCAGAGAAATTTTGAGGCCAAGAGCCCTTCCCATCTCATTTAGGCACGTCATGGAAATAAATGTGGCACCATCAGAAGGTCAGAGGCCATGACTTGCACACAGCTTGCTCAGAGCAAAGTGCCCCTTCCCTCCTCCACCAGGCTTGGGGGCCACAGGAATTACTTCCTAAGTGGACATCCGCCACCTATAATTCAGTGCAAGGGGTCAAATAGGCCCCTCTGGGAAGTACTACCACACAGGGTCCCAGGGCCTAAGTCAATCGGGAGTCAAAGCCAGGAGCAAACATCAAGGGTGTGCAGGAGAGGATTTCCACGGGGTTGCCCTGGCTGGCACATTCACGCCATGACCAGGACACCAGCCTGTAGTTCACTGAAGTCAACTTTCTCCTCTCCAAACTAACACTCACTTCCGCAGTCTGAGAAGGCACTCAATCCTGAGACTCAAAGTGTGCTAAGAGCCACCTTCCAAAGACATGGAGCCACTGAAGCAATCTCTGCTAGGGAGGCCTACATTCCAGACTCCACAACCTCTGGTCATTCAAGTATGTGCCCCCAACCCTTCCTTAAGTTTCCATCTCTTGGAAGACAGGCATGCGGGAGCGGAGGGGGAGGGGCGGGGGGCGGGGGCGGAGCACACCGGCGCACACACATGCACCCACCTCAACTTGGAGATCCACTCCCAAGGTGGCTCTGACACAGGCCCGCCAAGCCGCGTTTAGCACGCCCCCTGCTGGCCCACAAGAGCTAATTCAACCTTTCTTCCGTGGGCCTAAGGCATGAATAAATGACCTTAATATCCCAAAGGGAACAGAAAGAAAATCAGGGCAATTTTTACTTCTTAGAAACGGAAGATGTGACAGTGATCTCTTTTGGGAAATCACTGACAACTCCCAAATTTAAGCACTCTAAACATACAAGCGGGATGAAGAGGCTTTAAAGCGGTTGTTTTAAAATGTTTTGGGGAAATAAGTGACCCACACCTAAAGATTTAGTGGAAACACTTCCGTTTGAAGTTTTACTAGTACTACAGCGAGTTAAACCATAAACGTGGTGAATATTTTCACGAGTCTACAGGTGAAAACAAAAAGATGGATACGGGGCCAGATTGATTTCACAGACTCCATTTTCAAAGAGTTTGCAATGCAGACCCTGAAAAACCAATCTTCATACTATTGAGGACATGTTGTAAAGAAGAATCTCTGCCACAACTCAAGAGTTAAGTTCTACAGCAACTACACACAGCGGGAGCAGTGTCATCCAAAAGCAGCTCACTTGGAGCCAGTTTCTCATCTCACTTAGGCACACCATTGGGAATAAATGCGGCACCATCAGGAGGTCAGAGGCCAAGAATTACACACACTTGCTCAGAGAAAGGTGTCCCCTCTCCTTCTCCACCAAGCTTGGGGGCCTCAGGAGTTACTTTCTAAGGGAAAACCTGCCATCTATGATCCAGGCCCAAGTGAGACCCGCACGTGGCAATACTTCGTAAAGCGGCGATTTCCACCCATTATCAGCCTGAACACTAAAGGCCTAAGTAACCACTGTTTTCCCATTCTTTTCACACCAATACAGGGTTCAAGAGATTGAAGTTCCTAACCAGGTCCCAACTTTTGAGTGGCATATGGTATTAAATTCCTTACAGATCCAATAAAATCACACTAACAATTTAAGGCATGCTTATTTTAACCAATTAGGAGGTGTCATTAATTATTAAATACAAAAATGTCAATACTTTTGTCCCTTATTGGATATCCTTTCGATATGATAGGCTTGAGTAGATACTCAGATTGCCTTGGGAACTTGCTTAGTTTTGTTCCCATAAGAATTGGTACTAATGGCACACTCACAATAAAATAATGGAGTGTTGATCCCATTTAGTGGGGAATGTTTATCCAGAACTGAGTGTGCCGTGCAGATCTACCTCTGTTCTCGTGAACCCTCTTTGGGTCTTGAAGAGGCCTTTGAAGCTGGTGGGACACACGGCTGCTGGGAGGACCCTAGTGAACCTGCCTCCCCGCCTTCGCCCAGGGCAGGCTTCTCCGGGCACACCCTGGAGGAGGAGGAGGAGGATGGTGAAGGACACCTGCAGATTTTCCTGAAGCAATTAAGACCTGTAAAGATTTAGGCCCCGCTGTCAACCTTTTCCTGGACACATTATCTGCCTCATCATATTTTTAAAAATTGTTCCTCTTACAGCCCACTTCCATTTACAAAGGTATCACCTGGCGGTAACCATGTGCATGTCATACATGACTTTCCCCTGGATCCTTGTGCTGTGGATGAAGCGTTTCCCTGATCGGGGTCTCACAAGTTTCCCTTCAGCTACTCTTAAATCTATACATTCTCAAGCCAATAGACAGAAATAAAAGTCATTTGCACTTGTGTGAGGTAGCTGAGTTTACAGAGCAGAGGCAAATCCATTTTATTACAGAGATTCTCAAAGGGCTGCAATAGCTTCACCGGGAGGGAGGAGGGTACACTTGAGCGGTTGTGTCCAATGAAGGAAAGTTTTAGTTAATGATGACATCACTGACATCTCCCAAATTTAAAGGAGCACTTAAAGCACCGCAGATGCAATTTTTTCCCCTCCAGTGAGGAGATACTAGGGAAGGCCTCTGGGTTCACAGCCAAATTGCCTTAATGGTTTGCCTGCTGTCCAGCGAGACCCAGCAGAGCGAGCGGGACGGCGGTGCGCCGGGCCGCGGGGACCCACGCAGTCACAGCTCCGGTGCCCGGCGAGCGGCCTCGCGCGCGGCTCGGGGCCGGGCCCTGCCCGGCCGTCTGCAAGAGCCGCGGGACCCCCGACGCGCGCGCACGGACCGAGGGGTCGGTCGCCCCACGCCTGGCATCACGTTCCAGTGCGGACAGCCAAAGGGCTGAGCGGAGGCAGCAGCCCCGACCCAGCGGTAGCGCCGCGCCCTGCCCGAGAGAGGCGCGCCACGCCGGGCCGGAGCCGGTGGCCCGGGAGCCCGCGGGGTCCGGAGCGGAGCCCGCAATGCAGACGCGCCGGCGAGCCCAGCCGGGGCCCGCGCCCCCCGCGTCCCCGCGCCCCGGCCCCGCGGTCGCCCGGCCTCAACGCCCACCTGCCTCGCCACGGAGCTCGGGAAGGAGACGGCGCCGGCCCCGCGCCCGGAGAGCGCACCTGCCTGGTCCGCGGGCCCGGCCCCGCCGCCCGCCGGCAGCACCGCGGCCAGCGCCGTCTTACCTGCCGCGCCGCGCCGCTCCGCTCCGCCAGCCCGCAGCGCCGCAGTCGCCGCTACCCGACTTCCATTTTCTCTCGCTTTAAAGGAAAACCAGATCAGCTGTTTTGCTCCCGCTCGGGCTCCGCGGCCCCCTCCCCAGCTGCCGCTCGCGGTCCCGGTGGGCTCTCCTCCCCCGCCTCCTCCCGCGCTCCGCTCCGCCCCTCGCGCCCCTCCGCTTCCGCCCGCGGCCGCGCACAACGCCCGCCTCCCGGCTCCGCCTGCTGCCTCCGGGCGCGCGCCCTCCTCTGACGTCACCGGTCGCGTTCGCGCCCCGCCCCCGCCCCGCGCGGACGTGCGCGCGCCGCGCCTGTGCCCCGCCCCCGCCCCTCCGGGGCCGGGCACGGAGAGCGCGTGCTCGCGGCCGCGAGCCGAGGAGGGGACGTACAGCGCCCGCGCGCCCGCGAGCCCGCTCCGGCTCTCCCATGCTTGCCCCTCGGGGTGCTCCTTCTGCACTCTCCGCCTGGACTGCAGGAAAAGGCTGCTTAAACAGCCTGCCTTTTCCTGCTGCCTGACTCGCGCCATCTGCGGCCACCTGTCTCGTTTCTTCCCCCTGGCTGCCGCACCCTTCCTTCCTAAACATCCCAAACTTTCTCCCACCCAGGCTGTCCAGGCTGCAGTTTCTACGCCCTGCGCTGGGGCCTGTGCATCACGCCTAATCCAAAGCTGGTCCTTTTACCTCCCAAAAAGGTTCTCTGACCTTTTCCCATTTTTTGCCTTCCTCTAAAGACTTTTTCACGCCACCCCTTCAGATGGTTCCCCTCCCTGATGGCAAGACCTGCTCGCTGCTCTGGGCCCTTCTCACGTCACCCTGTAGATGTAGTCACGCTTCCTTATCCCAAACAGGACGTTATATTGCAGATGACCCATACCATCCTGGTGTACTTCTAAACAATCATTATTTTACTTTTAGTTTAGGACTTTTTGCTTGACTTTAAACATTGTATATGTTTAATAGTGTTTAATAATTTATTTGACTTTTAAAATTGATATTCAGTAAAATTGGTTATTTGATATATAATCCTGTGATCTTGAACCCTTGTTTGGATTCATGTAACCACTAGCGCAATAAAGAGCTCCCTAGTTCTGCCCTTTTATAACAGCGCCCCCGCCAACCCTAACTTTTGGTAACCACTGATAGGTTCTCCATTGCTACGGTTTTGTCTTTGTGAGTGTGTCGTATACATGGAATTACGCAATATGTAACATTTTGAAACTGACTTTATTCCCTCATCATTATACCTTGGAGATTCATCCATGTTATTGTGTATAGTAATAGTCCTTTTTATTGTTGAGGGGAGTCTCATTATTTGTACCACATTTTGTTTAGTCACCCACTGGAGAATATTTGCGTGGTTTCCAGTTTTTGGCGACTGTGAATAAACATTCTATAAACATTTGCATGCAGCGTTTTGTACGGACAAATTTTTTAAATTAGTTGACTAAATATCTAGGAGTGCAATTGCTAGATCTTATGGTAAATTTGTTTAACTTTATAAGAACCAAACAGTTTTCTAGAGTGGCTATAGCATTTTTATAACTGTCAGCAAATATGAATCCCTTTCCTTCATCCTCACCAGCACTTGATATTGGCTATCTTTATCTATCTATCTGTCCATCCATCCATCCATCCGTCTATCATCTATAATTTTAGACATTCTAGTAGGCATATAGTGCTATATCGTTGTTAATTTTCAATTTTCTACTGAAAAATTATGTGGAGCAACTTTTCATATGCACCTGTATATCTTCTTTGGTGAGATGTTTGTTCACATCTTTTGCCCATTAAAAAAAAAAGGTTGTTTTCTTATGGTTGAGTTTTAAGAGTTCTTTGTGTATTTTGGATAGAAGTACTTTATCTGATACGTGTTTTGCAGGTATTTTCTTCCAGTGGAAGCTTGTCTTTTCATTCTCTTAAACAGTCCTGTCCTGAATTTAGGGGAAGTATCCAGTTTCTTACCACTAAATATGATGTTAGCAGTAGGATTTTTTTAGTTCTTCTTTATCAAGATTAGGAAGTTCTCTCTATTCCTAGTTTGCAGAGTTTTTATCATGAATGAATGTTGGATTTTGCCAAATTCGTTTTCTGCATCTATTGATACGGTCATGTGATTTTATTTTCTTTAGCTTGTTGATATGATGGGTTACATTGATTTTCAATTGATTTTCAAGGAACCGGTCTTGCATACTTGGGTCAAATTCTACTTGGGCATGGTATATAATTGTTTTTATACACCATTGTATTCAATATGCTAATATTTTGTTGAAGACTTTTGCATCTATGTTCATGAGAAATATTTGGCTATAGTTTTCTTTTTTGTAATGTCTTTAATTTATTTTGGTATGCCGGTAATGCTGGCCTCATAAAATGAGTTAAGAAGTAATATTTACTTGTATTTTCTGTAAGAAATTGTAAAGAACCTATATCAATTCTTCCATAAATGTTTGGTAAAATTCCCTGGTGAAACCATCTGAATCTGGTGATTTTTTTGAGACTTCATTAATTATTGATTCTTTGTGGATACAGAGCTATTAGGTGATCTGTTTGCTTTTCTGTAAAATGTAGTTGTATCATTCAAGGAATCGGTCCTTTTTATCTAATATTCAAACTTGTGGGTGTAAAGTTGTTCATCATAAACCTTTATTATTCTTTTAACATCTATGAAATTAGTAGAGATGACGCCTCTTTCATTTTTTGATATTGGCAAACTATGCCCAATGTCTTTTTTTCTTGGTTAACCTGGACAGGTTTATTAATTTTAATCATCTTTTCAGCTTTTTCTTTGTTTTGTTGATTTTTTTCTATTGTTTTCTATTTTCAATTTCATTCTCTAATTTTTATTATTCCTCTTTGTTCTGCTTGTTTTAGGCTTAAATTGCTCTTCTTTCTCTATTATCCAAGGTGACAATTTAGGTTGTTGATTTTAGATTTTTCTTCTTTTCAAATGTATACATTTACTGCTATAAATATCCCCGCTTTTACTGCATCCCACAAATTTAGAAAAGTTGTACTTTAATTTTTATTTAGATCAATGTTTTTAGTTATTCTTGAGATTCCTCTTTGACCCAAATGTTTTTTAAAAATGTGTTGTTTAGTTTCCAATAATTTGGGACTTTCCAGCTATCATTCTGTTCTTGATTTCTAGGTTACTTCCATTGTGGTATGAAGACATACTTTGTTTAATTTCTATTTTTCTTTAATTTGATAAGGTGTGTTTTATAGATCAGAATGTGGCCAATGTTGGTGATTATTCCATGCCAGCTTGAGAAGAATGTGTATTGTGCTATTGCTAGATCTACAAATATCAATTAAATAAAGTTGATAATGCTGTTTAGGTCAATTATATCCTCACCGATTTTTTGCCTATCTGATCTTATCAATCATGGATAGAGAAATGTTGAAGTATCCTATGATAGTGGATTGGACCATTTTTTCTTTCAGGTTTATCATTTTTTCCTCACTTATTTTGACATTTTATTCTTAGGCACATGCATATTTAGGGTTATTATGTATTCTTGGAGAATTAGCCCCTTTATGATTATGAGTTTCTTACCTATCCCTCCCCTCACATCCCTGATAATTTTCCTTTTTCTCAAGTCCCTTTTATCTGAAATTAATGCAGCTACTCCAGTTTTCTTTTGATCAGGGTTAACATGGTATATCTTTCTTCATCCCTTTACTTTTAACCAAACAGATACTTTATATTTAATGTCAACAAGATATAGTGGGGTCTTGTTTTGTTATCTACTCTAGCAATCTGTGTCTTTTAATTGGTGTATTTAGACCATTCACATTTAACACAATTGTTGATCTATTTGGATGAATATCAATCATATTTGTAACTGTTTCCTACTGGTTGCCAGTGGCGGCTTTTTCTGCCTTCTCTGATTTTAATTGAGCATTTTGTGTGGTTCTATTTTATCTTCTCTTAAAGAGTATCAATTATACTTTTTAAAGAATTTTTTAGTGGCCATTCTAGAGTTTCTTTTTTCTTTGCTTTGCTTTTTTTTTAAGACAAAGTCTGGCTCTATCGCCTAGGCTGGAGTGCGGTGGTGCCATCTCGGCTCACTGCATCCTCTGCCTCCTGGGTTCAAGCCATCCTCCCAGCTTAGCCCCCTGAGTAGCTTACCATGCCCAGCTAATCTTTGCAATTTTTGTAGAGACAGGATTTCACCATGTTGTCCAGGCTGGTCTCAAGCTCGTTAGCTCAAGCAATCTGCCTGCCTTGGCCTCCCAAAGTGCTGGGATTACAGGTCTGAGCCATCATGTCCAGCCTAGAGTTTCTAATATAGATTTTCTTCTTTTACTAATGTGTGTTCACCTTCAAATCATGGTATTGTTTCACATGTAACGTAGATATCTTATAAGAGTGTGTTCCCAATCCTCCCTCCCATTCCTCGTAGCATTGCTGTTAGTCTTTTCTCTTATCCATATGCTACAATGACCTGTTACTATTTTTGCTTTAAATAAGAAGTTATCCTTTAAATTATTAATGAAAATAAAAATAAAAGATTTCATTTTACCTCCATTTATTGCTTCTCCAACACTTCCTTTCTTAATATAGATCCAAGTTTCTGACCTACATCATCTTCCTTCTGTCTGGAGAAAATCTTTTAACATTTCTTGAAGGACAGGTCTGATGGTGAATTACCTCAGCAAGTAAGTCCCTATTTTTCTTCTTCTTTTTTTTTTTTTTTTTTTTGAGACAGAGTCTCGCTCTGTCGCCCAGGCTGGAGTGCAGTGGCGCGACCTCGGCTCACTGCAAGCTCCGCCTCCCGGGTTCACGTCATTCTCCTGCCTCAGCCTCCCAAGTAGCTGGGACTACAGGCGCCCGCCACCACGCCCGGCTAATTTTTTGTATTTTTAGTAGAGACGGGGTTTCACCGTGTCAGCCAGGATGGTCTCAATCTCCTGACCTCAAAATGCGCCTGCCTCGGCCTCCCAAAGTGCTGGGATTACAGGCGTGAGCCCCCGTGCCCGGCCTCTCCTTCATTTTTTAAGAATAATTTTTCTAGATATAGATTCTTAGTTGGTTATTTTTTGTCTTTCAAACCTTTAAATATCTCACTCCACTCTTTACTTGCTTGGATGGTTTCTGATGAGAAATTCCCTGTGTTTCTTGTCCTATTTTTCTATAGGCAAGCCACTGCACTCATACCCCCAATTCAGCTTTTTTCAAGATTTTCACTTTTTCTGTCCTTTTTTTTGTTGGTTTTTGCTTCGGTATTCTGCAGTTTGAAAATTATATGCCTAGTTTCATTTTTTGTTTCTTTAATCCTGTTTGTTTTTGTCTGACCTACACAGCTTTACAGCTTGGTGTCTGTCATTCATGTTGGAACGTTCTCAGCTATTATTACTTCAAACATTTATTCTACTATGTTCTCTCTTCTATTTTGGTCAAATAATTACACATATGTTAAAACTGTTGAAGTTATCCACAGATCTTGGATGTCTGTACTTCTTTTTCCATTTATTATTATTTTCCCATTTCAGTTTGGGAAGTTTCTGTGGACCTATATTCAAGCTCACTGATTCTCTTCCTCAGCCATGTCAAGTTGTGTGACAAGCCCATCAAAGGCATCCTTCATTGTCTGTCACAGTGCTTTTGATTTTTAGCATTTTTTTTCTTAGAATTTACATCTTTCTGCTTACATTACCCATGTATTCTTGCAGGTTGTCTACTTTTTAAAAAAATTTATTTATTTTTATTTATTCATTTATTTTTTATTTTTTATTTTTTTGAGATGGAGTCTTGCTCTGTCATGCAGGCAGGAGTGCGATGGCATGATCTCGGCTCACTGCAACCTCTGCCTCCTGGGTTCAAGCCATTCTCCTGTCAGCCTCCTGAGTAGCTAGGATTACAGGTGCACACCACTAAGCCCAGTTAATTTTTGTATTTTTAGTAGAGATGGGATTTTGCCATGTTGGCCAGGCTGGTTTCAAACTCCTGACCTCAGGTGATCTACCCACCTCAGCCTCCTAAAGTGCTGAGATTACAAGCATGAGCCATGGTGCTCAGCTGCAGGTTGTCTACTTTTTTCCATTACAGCCTGTATCAGCCAGTGTTCACCAAAGAGGTATATATAATACACACATACATAAATACACATACACACACACATATATATATAATACACACATATATTAATATTTAAACATAGGTATGTATGTTTAAGGTCTGGTGTGGCTGTAAGGATCAGAGGCTTCACATTGCTCTAGTGTCCTTGTTTCTGTCTCCTCTCTTGAATTTGGGCCTCCCTGTGTACTCCTCCTTAGAGACAGTCTGTGTTGTATAGTTCTTTATTTGTAAGCCATTGTGATTACAGTGGGGCCCTGTTGGTGTGGTGGTAAGGTATGGGTAAGGGGAAGTGTTGTATAATCTTCCAGTGAAATCTCAATCTGTTAGTGAGCCTGTGTCCCTGTCTCAGCCTGTTAGTGGGCCTGTGACTCTCATAAGTGTTTCTTCTGGCCCAGCATTCCTCCTTCCCGCTGCCCCCTTAGGTGAGACAGAGACATCCAGGCTGTGGGGCTGGGTTGAGAGGAATTTCCTTTTCCACAGCTCTGGGAAAAGATGCTGATAAAGGTTTTTTCCCATTAAGAGTAACCCTGTCACATGGAGAATGCTCTGGATACACTTCACAAGGATTGCTTTTTTCCTCTTTCTTCCAGAGCCAGGAGGGACTCTTCTTTGGCTTGCCACTGTGAAACCTGGTGATGTTGATGGAGGTCATGTTCCTGAAGGTATGAGGGCCCTCCCGAGACTGAGCCACCAGGCGTTTCTCACTCTCAAGCTAGTCCATGCCCAGACTCCAGTAATTTGTCAAAATTACCATTTAAGTGTTCCTATCAGTTTATAGCCCTAGCAGCTTCTTCAGGTAAGCAGATTTCAGCTGTGACTGTCTGGTTTCACCTGTCTCTTCAGATTTCTGGATGACAATTTGTCCTACAACTCAATTCTCTGATGGGTCCAAAAAAAGTCATTGTTTTCCCATTTTTCCAGTTTCTCTGATTGTAAAGACAGCTGCAACAACATCCAAGCTCTTTACAGTCAGAGCCCAAACCATAATTCTCACTTTTCTTGTGGTTTTAATATGCAATTTCCTAATAGCTTATGATATGGAGCCTCTTTTTATGGATGGATTCACCATTCTTGTATTCTTTTTCATTAACTTTCTGTTCAAGTAATTTTTTTTCCATTTTGATGGGATTTTAAAATATTCTTACTGTTGAGTTTTGGGGTTCTTTACACATATTCTTTATATAAGTCAGTTATCAGATATGTGATTTACAAACATTTTCTTCAGCTCTTTAGCTTGACTTTTCATCATATTAAGAGAAGTTTTCTTTCACAGCAAACATTTTGCATTTTTATGAAGTCCAATTTAGAATTTAAAAAAATTATGTGGCTTGTGCTTTCGGTGACACATCTAAGTACTCTTTGCTTAATTCCAGGCAACAAACATCTTCTGTGTTTTCTTTGAAAAACTGTATAGTTTTGCAATTTACATGTATATCTCTAACCCATTTTGAGTTAATTTTTATATTAGGTGTGAGGATTGGGTCCAGGAACATTTTTGGGGTCATGCAGATATCTAGATTTCTAGCACCATTTGTTGAAAAAGCTATCCTTTGTGCATTTAGTAATATTTGCACTTTGTTCAGTTGTCAAAAATCAATCATGTGGGTCTGTTGGGTTTGTTGCTGGATTTTGTTTTGTGTTGTATTGATGTATTTGTCTATCCCTTCAGCAACTGCATGCTGTCTTGACTACTGTGGTTTTTATTGATTTTTTAAATCAGATATTGTGAGTACTCCAGTTTGTTCCTTTTCAAAAAAATGTGGCTGGGCTAGTTCCTTTGCCTTTCTGAATAACTTAGAATCAAGCCTATGTGTACCTATAAAAACTCTTTCCAGGGTTTTGATGAAAATAGATTTAGATCTGTGGCTCACTTTGGGGAAAATGAAGACTTTTTTTTTTCTTTTTTTTTTTCTTTTTTTTTTTTTTGAGAGGGAGGCTCACTCTGTCTTCCAGGCTGGAGTGTAGTGGTGGGATCTTGGCTCACTGCAACCTCTGCCTCCCGGGTTCAAGCGATTCTCCTGCCTCAGCCTCCTGAGTAGCTGAGATTACAGGTGTGCACCACCACACCTGGCTAATTTTTGTATTTTTAGTAGAGATGGGGTTTTACCATGTTGGCCAGGCTGGTCTTGAATTCCTGACCTCAGGTGATCTGCCCGCCTCTGCCTCCCAAAATAGTGGGATTACAGGTGTGATCCACCATGCCCAGCCATTAATATCTTAATTATATAGGGTCTCCCAACAAGTATACATGGTATAGGTCTCTCCATTTATTTAGGTTTTCTTTGATTTTTCTCGTTAATGTTTTATAATTAAACATTCAGATTCTGTACATGGTTAGGTAGATTTATTTCTATTTCCTTTGTAGATGTAGTCAATTAAAAATTTTTTTCCATTTCTACCATTCATTACTAGTATATATAAATATGATTGATTATTGTCTGCTGACCTTATATTCTGCAACCTTATTAGTTCTAGGAGCTTTTTCATACACTCCATTGGATTTTTCTGTGTAGATAACCTTGTGTTCAGTGAATGAAAGCTGTTTTCTTCTTTTTACCCATCCATATGCCATTTATTTATTTTTCTTGCTTAATTACACTGGCTAAAACTTCTAATGAAAGAATGAAGAGAAGAGATGGGCGTAGACATTCTTGCCTTGTTTCTGGCCTTAGGGGCACAAATTCAACCTTTCATCATTAAGTATGTGGTTAGCTGAAGGCTTCTGTAGATACCATTTGAGGTTGGAGATCCCTATTAGTTCTGGGAGGCTGAAGCAGTTGGATCGCTTAACCCAGGTGTTCAAGGCTATGGTGAGCTGTGATTGCACCATTGCATTCCAGCTTGGGTGACAGAGTGAGACTCTGACTCTAAAAAATAAAAAAAAAATAACAAAATGAAAAACCACAAAACATTTGTTGAAGGCTGAATGTACTTATTTGCGAAAATATTTTTACATGTCCCTTCCCCTTTTGAAATACAATTTTCTATCTACTAGCAAGCCTTGGGATATAATGATGATGAAATCTGTGCAGTGGTAGGAAGTATAGTCAAGGAATATTATTTTGTGTACTACATAAAATGTATTTATGTATCACGTGTACTACATCATGAAATGAATAAGTGAAATGGGGACTGTGACTTTAAAAAATTATAACTTTTCCAAGTATATGCAAAATTATGATCATTTTCAATGAAATTCATTAATTATGGCGAGCATATTGCAATAGACTGTGAAAAATGTATTAGCTTTCTAAGACTGCCATAATAAAGTACCAAATATTAGGTGGCTTAAAACAACAGATATTTATTTTTTCAGTTCTGGAGGCCAGAAGTCCAGAATCAAGAAGGTTGACCTTTTCTGGAGATTCTAAGAGAGCATCCATTCCATGCCTCTCTCCTAGGTTTTTGTGGCTGCTGGCAGTCTTGGGCATTCTTTGGTGTTATGGATGGAATGTTTGTTTTCCCAAAAAATGCATATGTTGAACCCTAGCCCCAAATGTGATGGTATTTGAAGATGAGACCTTTGGAATCGATTAGGTCATGAGAGTGAGGCCTTGGTCTGGTGGGATTAACGCTGCTGAAACAAGAGCCTCCAGAACACTTGATATCTTTCTCTCTGTCTCTCTCTCTCTCTCTCTCTCTCTCTCTCTCTCTCTCTCTCTCTCTCTCTCTGTCTCTGCACACACCAAGGAAAGGCCATGTGAGCACACAGTGAGAAGGCAGCTGTGTAGAAGCCAGAAAGAGCCCTCGGCAGAACCTATGTTGGCACCGTGATCTAGGACTTCCAGCCTCCAGAACTCTGAGAAAATAAACTTCAGTTGTTTAAGCTACCCATTCTGTGATATTTTGTTATGGCAGCCAGAGAGGACTAAATATGCTTAGCATCTAGATGCATCATTCTAATCTCTGTGCCCACCCTTTCATCCTTTCTCTCTGTGTTCTTTCCTTTTCTTTCTCTTACAAGAACACTGGCCATCAGATTAGGGACCTATCCCAGGTCATCCAGATGATTTTAATCTCAAAAACTATAACATAATTTTATGGGCAAAGACCCTACTCCCAAAAAGGTGATATTCACAGGTACTGAAGGGTAGGACTTGGACATATCTCTTAGCAGGAGAGGAGGGACAGTTTAACCTGCTACACATGGAATGGAAATAAATAGTTTCATGGGGGTGAAATCTAGGGGTGAGAGGACAAGACATTTTCTCATCATCTTCAATGTGTTGGGAGGGCTGGAGACATGACTGCATTTCAGTTGTCTTCATAGCAAAAGAGGTCATGCATAGATGACACTGACAGGTTTGTCTTTGACTCCTTGATAAAAAGAAAGTATGGTTAAGGAGCAGTATTTTAAGGAAGTCATCAGTGATGAACTACATTAAATAATACTGATACTGTGCCCCCGATGAAAATCACCAGCTGAATAGAAGAGTCTGAGAAGAAGCCAGCAGTATCGATTTGGAACCTCCCTAAATCCCCAGGTAAAGAGAGAGCAACTAATAAAATAAACCAAATATACTTATCGTATCCCAAATACCAATGTCAGAAAGAATGGAGACAAGCCATCAAGAAAGAATAGCCCAGTGCGGTTTCAGAAACTATGTGAAGAAGTGAAAGGAAGAAAAGGAAAAATAAAGATGGTTGCAGCTTGATGTAAATCCCTTCCATTTCTTTCTTACTAAGAGTATCATGCATGCACATTGACCTTTAAAAACAGTTTTACTGGCTGGGCCAGTGGCTCACACCTGTAATCCCGACACTTTGGGAGGCCGGGGTGGGTGGATCACTTGAAGTCAGGAGTTTGAGACCAGCCTGGCTAACATGGTGAATCCCTGCCTCCACTAAAAATGCAAAAATTAACCAGAGATGGTGGCAGGCACCTGTAGTCCCAGCTATTCAGGAGGCTTAGGCAGGAGAATCACTTGAACCTGGGAGGTGGAGGTTGCGGTGAGCCGAGATCATGCCACTGCACTCCAGCCTGCGCGACAGAGCAAGACTGTCTCAAAAAACAAAACAAAACAAACAAACAAAAAAAACAAGTTTTACTGTATAATTGACATGCGATAAACCAAACATACTTAAAATGTACAGATTGATGGATTTTGACATACATGTACACTCAAGAAACCATCACCACAATCCAGGCAATGAACATTTCCATCGCCCCCTAAGTTTCCCTGTACCCCTAAGTCATTCCTTCCTCCAGCTTCTCCCTACTCTTCCCCCATCCTGTCCCCAGAACACTACTGATATGTTTTCTGGTGTTGACAATTTTAAAAATACTTTCTCTGCATTCACTGAAATAGTTTTTCTCCTTTAATATTTAATAATTTTTATAATGTTATTGCATACTATTTTCTAATGCTAATGCATACTATTTTATACCTTCTTTACTAATGTTCTCCTTAGGATAATAGCATTTATATTTGTAAATAAGATTGGCCTATGGTTCTTTCTCATGATCTTCTTCTCTGCTTTTGGTATCAAAGTCATACTAGATGCATAAAATGAGTTAGGGAAGATATCGGTCAGGATAGGTTAGGTTATAAGGCACAACAAAAGAGACTGAAAACCTCAGATAGTTAAAAACAAAACAAAACAAACGTATATTTCTGGCTCTTGTTACATATCCATCACTGATCACTAGGAGCATCTATGCTCCTCATAGGCACTCAGGGCCCACATGAGTTCCTTTCTACACATCTCCACCACTGCTGCAGAAGGCAGAAGAGAGCATCATGAACCTCGCAATGGCTCAAGGCCATTTCCACTCACATTCTATTGGCCAAACCAAGTCAGACAGCTGTGACTTCTTACCAGGCGAACTTCCCTGATGACTATCACCATCTGCCCTTCTGTCACCAAATACTCAGTTCTGTCTTCTTTCTATGCACAGAAGAGTACACCTTTTCATCAAGTCCAGATGTGGCTCTCCTTTGACTAGAGACCTGTGGCCTGAAGTGACAAATTGCCTTTTTGCACTTCACTCCTCTGTCTCTCTACCTTTCTCCACCCTGCTCTGGGCCGTGGGAGGACAATCTGCATCAAAAGCCTCCCTTCTTCTCTGGCTTCCAGTTGGGTTTGACAAGAGATGAGAAAGAGGAAACTGAGTGAGGTTGGGTTGCATATTGCTTTTGCTCCCCATCTGTGAGATGGCCACTGGCTGGCGAGCTAGCTGAATTTGGCCTAATTTCCAAGGGAATCGAACCTGCAGTCCACCTGTGCCTGAAAGGAGATATTAGCATTGCATCCATGTCTACTCCAGGAAGAATGGCCTCTGTTTCTCTGGTATTTGGAGATGAGGCCTTGCTCATATTACCTTGGGAGGTAATGTGAACAAGATGGAAATTAATACTTATTGAACATTTTATGTAATGTGCTTATTAAACTATCTGAGGACTTATTTTTTGTTATTTCTTTTTGTGATGCCATTTGTTTACAGTACAAATACAGATCATAAATTTATGATTCAATGAGTTTTGTCAAATGCACACATGCATATAACCCGTACCCCTATCAAGATGTAAAACATTTTCAACACTATGGAACATTCTTTTTTCTTATTCAAGATATATTTTTACTCATCCTTAATCTTTGTATTTCTGTACATTTTAGAATCAGCTTGTTCATTTCTACTAAAATATCTGCTGGGATTTTTATTGGCACCATCTTTGATTCTATAGATCACTTTGAACATACTAAATATATTGTAATCCTAAACATATTGAATCCTCCAACCCATTAACATGATATATACATAATACATGTATTGACGTCTTCTTTAATTTCCCTAAAAGTGTTATATAGTTTTCAGTTTACAGGTCTTACACATATTTTATTAAATTTATCCTTAAGTATTTAACTATCCTTAACTATTGTAAGTGGTATATAAATGCTAATTTTTCAAATTATTTTTGGTAGGATGAAAAAATACACTCAATTTCATATATTGACTTTGTGTATTGCCACCTTGCTAAATTTACTCATTAATTGATTTTTTTTTCTTGTTGTGGATCTCTTAGGATTTTCTATTAATACATAAGTAATCATGTCATCTGTGAGTCAAGGCATGTTTACTTTTCTTATTTCCAGTATTTATGCTGTTATTTCTTTTTCATGTCTTAATGTACTGGCTAGGACATCTAGTACAATATGAAGATGAAGTGGTAAGCATATATTTTGCCTGGTTTCAGCTTTTATGAAGGCACCATTTGTTTTCTCACCATTGCATATGTTAGCTGTAGGTTTTTTCTAGAGATCCTTTATTAAATTGGGGAATTTTTCTTCTGTTTTTACTTTGCTGATAATATTATACTATGAATAGGTGCAAATTACTGTCAAATGCTTTCTCTGTATCTATTATGATGATTTATGATGTTTTCTTCCTTTAATCTGTTAATGTAGTGAAATACATTGATTTTTTAATAGATAAACCAATAATGCATTCCTGGGTACACCCCACATGTTCATGATGTATTTTTATATTTGATAGGGTTGATTTCTTAAGGTTTTATTAAGGATTTTTTGTCATTCTTCATTGTATTTTGTATCTAATTTTCATTTCTTGCAATGTCCCTGCTTGGTTTTATGTCAGGGTTATACTAGCCTCATCTATTCTCTCAATGACTTTGTGAATACTTCATCGTCTTTATTTAAGTATCCCATTTCTTTAACAGATACATGCAGACTTTATATATTAATATATTGCTGTGTCCATTTTGTTCAGCTGTACTTTACAAAGAATTTCATCTTTGTTTTTTAATTTATTTGCAAAAAAAAGTTTATTATGTTTTCTTATTATCTTATGTCCATAGGACCTGTAGTGATGTTGCATTTTTTCTGTTAGTGATATTAGCATTAGTAATTTTTATTTTTTTTTTTTTTAGGCAAAATCTCATTCTGTCACCCAGGCTGGAGTGTGGTGGTATGATCTTGGCTCACTGCAACCTCGACCACCTGTTCTCAAGCAATTCTCCCATGTCAGCCTCCCAAGTAGCTGGGACTGCAGGGACATACCAGCATGTCTGGCTAATATTTTTAATCTTTTGTAGAGACAGGGCTTCACCATGTTGCCCAGGCTGTAAATTTTTGTTTTGTTTTGTTTTGTTTTGTTTTGTTTTGTTCTTGATCTATCTTGCTAGATAGATCAAGGGTACATTCAACACAATTTATCACTGTTGATGTTGACCTTAATCACTTGGAGATAATGTTTGATAGGTTTCTCCATTGTTAATTTACTTTTTTTTTTTTTTTTTTTTTGAGACGGAGTCTCACTCTATCACCCAGGCTGGAGGGCAGTGGCGCCATCTCAGCTCACTGCAAGCTCTGCCTCCAGGTTCACACCATTCTCCTTGCTCAGCCTCCCAAGTAGCTGGGACTACAGGCGCCCGCCACCATGCCCAGCTAATTTTTTTGTGTGTTTTTAGTAGAGACGGGGTGTCACCGTGTTAGCCAGGTTGGTCTCAATCTCCTGACCTCGTGATCTGCCCGTCTCAGCCTCCCAAAGTGCTGGGATTACAGGCGTGAGCCACCGTGCCCAGGCTGTCCATTGTAAATTTACTTTTTTTTTTTAACTTCTCCATACTTTATTCTTTGGAAGAAATTTACTATGCACAGCCCACACTTAGGGAGTAAGGCGTTATACTCTACCTCCTAATGGGTAAAGTATCTACCTAAGCTGTTTGAAATTCTTCTGCACATAATATATTTCTCTTCTTTCCCATTAACTTATTTAATCATTTATCTATGTCTGTATGGATATATGGATATTTATTTTAAACTTAGGGTTATAATCTAAAACTACTTTGTTTATTTTGTTTCTCAAGTTGTTCTAGGCTTGACCATTGGGGGCTTTCTGTGTTATTTTTATTAGTAGAATTTTTTATTGAAGAATAATTGAAGTACACTAAAGTGAACATACCTGAAGGGATCTGTTTGATCAGTTTTGACTTGCATATATGCCTATAAAGCCATTACCACAAACAGGATAACAAACATTTCCATTTTACCCAAAATTCTCTCTCCACCGCTATCCCAAAGCAACCATGATCTCATTCAGTCACTACATGTTAGTTTGCATTTTCCAGAAGTTATATAAATGTAATCACACAATATGCACTTTTACCTTGCTTTTCCACTCAGCATAATTGTTCTGAGATTCATTCAGTTGTTGTGTGAGTTGCTGAGTAGTATTCCATTGTATAGATATACCACAATTTATAAATCCATTCACTTGTTGATAGTCATTTGACTTGATTCCAGCGGTTGGCCGTTATAAATAAAGCTGCTATGTACATGTCTACAAGTCTTCGTGTGGCCATATGTTTTCGTTTCTTTTGGATAAATAACCGGAACATTGACTTATATGGTAAGTGTATGTTTAATTTTTAGGAAACTATCAGATTGTTTTCCAAAGAGCATGCCAATTTGTTTATATTCTTGCTAACTCTTGGTACTGTCAAAGATTTTTTAATACTTTGGTGATTACAATGGGCATGGATGGTATCTTATTGTGATTTTAATTTGATTTCCCTGAAGACTAATACCGTTGAGCATATTTTCATGTACTTGTTGGCTATTTATATTTCTTTTGTGTGAATGCTTATTCAGATATTTTCCTCACTTAATATTAGCTTGTCTTTAGTTTTTGTTTTGTAAGAACTCTTTCTTCTGAATACAAATCATTTGTCTGATATGTTTGTTGTAAATATTTTCTTTCAGGTTATAGCTTGCTTTTTTTCTGTTGTTAAAGTTTCTTAATGGTTACCTTTGTATGGCAATTTTTTATTTTGATAAAATTCAATTTTTAAAAATAATTTACCATTGTTGTGTTCTATCTAAGAAATCATTTCGTACCCCGAAGGTCACATAGCTTTTCTACTGTTGTTTTTTTTTTTTAACAAATTTTATAGTTTTAGGTTTCAGCTTAGGTTTTTTATTCATTTGGGAGTTGTGTTTATGTTTTGAAGTAATGGTTGATGTTTGTTTTATTGCAAATGGCTCTCCTATTGTTTCAACACTCTTTAATGAAACTGACTTGAAACTGTTGTCAAAATGAAATCTAGCCTCTCTGTTCTGTACATTTATCTATTAGTCTGTCTCCATGCCAATACTGCACTGTCTTGATTACTGTTGCATTATATGATGTCTTGACATCAGGTGGAGTAAGGCCTCCAATTTTTTTTCATTTTGGTTATTTTTCTTGTTTATTTTTATAAAAGGCCATTGCATTTTTATATAAATTTGAATATTATCTAGTCAATTTCTTTTTAAAAGATTTCTGGAATCATTAATCTATATATCAATTTAGGGATATTTGACACATTAACAATATTAAACCTTAACAATATTGTGTCTCCTGTTTCTTAAGAGGGGCTTGCCAATATCTGGATTTTCATTTATTTAAGTTTCTTCGCATTCTTAGCGCTCTATGGTTTTGTAGGTTGTTTGGTTTCTCGCCTTGTACTTTTTATATCTGTGCTGACTTTCTATATCCTAAGTAGAAGCAGAAGCCATTTTTCTATAGTTTATTTTTAGCTTCTGATTCAAATGGTTTATAGCTTCTTTTTAAAATTTGTTTTTATTATTTTCTTTATAAAATAGCTTTATCGCAATATAGTTGAAGTGCAATAGTGTACACAACATTTAATATGTACAGTTTGGTAAGTTTTAATATAGTGAAACGGTAGGAGTTTTCCCTTATCCCCCCTCGCAGGGCAGCTCAAACCCCTAGGGGGAGCATGCAGACAGGCAGGTCGCGGGGAGCTGGGGCTCTGATCCCACAGCAGCCTCTGGGGTTGAGTGTTCACAGCTCCCGAAGCCCCAGTTGATGTGTGTTACAATGTGCTCTTTCAGCTTAGTCGTCCGCAGGCAGCTTGTGTTAATCAGATCAATTAGACCCTCTGCCTTATCGCAAGATAGAGAGCTTTCTGTATCCCAGGTTCTTGCCCTAGTGTATCAGAAAAATCAGATCACATGTGGGCTTGAAGAACGAGTGCAAGGTTTTATTGAGTGGTTAAGGTAGCTCTCAGCAGACGGATGAGTAGACAGAAGGGGGATGGAGTGGGAAGGTGGTCTTTCCCTGGAGTCCAGCCGCTCCATGGCCGGGCTTTCCTCTGACCTCCCTGGGCTGAATTTCCCTCCGTGACCGTGTCGCTGTGCTGTTAATGGCCTGCCGGCATCTGTCGGTGTGTTCTTCTGCCAGTGTGTTCCTCTCAACGCCCAGCTGCTTGTGTCTGTGCCCGCTAGGGTCTCGGAGTTTTTATAGACACAGGATGGGGTGTGTGGCGGCCACAGTGGTCTTGGAAAATGCAACATTTGGGCGCAAAAACAGGAGTGCCTGTCCTCACTTAGGTCCGTGGGGACAGGCCTGAGGGTGGTGGCCTCCCCAGGGACTGTCCCCCCTTCTCTACCCAGAACTTCCCTGCCCTGCTCCTGTATCAATAGTATACACCTATTAAGCTATCATCACAATCAAGATAATGAATATATGACATTCTCCAATATTTCTTTATGTCCTCTTTGAATCACTCCAATACCACTGCCCCTATACCTAGGTAGCCACTGATCTGCTATAACTATGTATTGGTTGCATTTTGTAGAACTTAAATAAAATTCTGCTTCCTTCACCTGTCGTAATTATTTGAGATTCATCTGTGCTGCTGCATGGATCGTCTGTTCATTGCTTTTGTGGCTGAGTAGTATTGCATTGTATGAATACAGCACAGACTGTTTATCTATTCATCTGTTGAGGGGAATCTGGGATGTTTCTGAGTTTGAGGTATTAAAAATATGGCTTCTATAAACATATCTGCTCATTTCTTTATGTGGATGTATGCTTTTATTTAACTTGGGGAATAAATTCATAGGAATGAAAAGACTGAAATACATGGTATATTAATTAAGTGATTTTCAGATGTTAAATCAACCTCGCATTGCTAGGATATATCCAAATTGGCCAGGGATATAATCTCTATTATATAGTGCTAAGTTTGGCTCGCTCACATTTTCTCAAAGATTTTTCTGTGTTTATGAAATAACTTGATCTGTAGTTTTCTTTTCTTGTAATGTCTTCACCCGGTTTTGGCATCAGAGTACTTCTAGTCTCATAGAATCAATTGGGAAATATTCCCTCTTCTTCAATTTTCTGTAAGAGTTTGTGTAGAATTGTTTACCATCCTCTGTGAAGGCATTTAACCTTGGAAGATGTTTTCTGTTTATTTTGTTTGTTTTAAGGACGTCAAGTACAATATTAGTTTCTTTAGTAGATAGATAATTCATATTATCAATTTCCTCTTAACACTCTAGTTTGTATATTTTAAAAATATTATCCATTTCATCTAACTTGTCAAATTTATTAATATAAAATTATTCTAATATTTCATAATTATTTTGCATATCTATAGATCTGTAGTGACATTCTATCTCTCATTCCTGACACTGTAATTTATGTCTTCTCCCTGTTTTCCTGATTTGTCTGGCTAGTGGTTTACAGCTTTATTAAGCTTCTCAAAGAACAAACTTTTTATTTATTTATTTTTATTATTTTTATTTTATTTTATTTTATTTTTTTTTTTTTTGAGATGGAGTCTCACTCTGTCGCCCAGGCTGGAGTGCAGTGGCACGATCTCGGTTCACTGCAAGCTCCGCCTCCTGGGTTTACTTACGCCATTCTCCTGCCTCAGCCTCCCAAGTAGCTGGGACTACAGGTGCCTGCCACCACGCCCTGCCAATTTTTTGTATTTTTAGTACAAAAAATTATATTTTAGACGGGGTTTCACTGTTAGCCAGGATGGTCTCGATCTCCTGACCTCGTGATCCGCCCGCCTTGGCCTCCCAAAGTGCTGGGATTACAGGCGTGAGCCACAGCGCCCGGCCCAAACTTTTTAATTTTATTGACTTATTTCTATTGCTTTGTTTTTCTGTTTCACTGAGTGACACCTTTATCTTTTGATAATTTCAGTTCTTCCATGTACTTTCCATTTCATTTGCTTTTTTTCCCTGGTTTCCTAAAATGCACTCTAAGGTCATTGATTTGAGACAATTTCCTTTTCTAATTTAGCTGTAGTGGAAGCCCACAAATTTGACCTGCTGTATTTTCATTTTTTCATTCAATTTATACTTTCTCATTTCCCTTTAGAGTTTTTCCTTGATTTGTGTTCTTTAGCAGTGTGCTACTTAGTTTCTAAATGTTTGGGAATTGATTTTTCCAGAGCTCTTTCTATTATTGATTTTTAGTTTAATTGCTTTGTGGTTAGAGAACATATTTTGTATGACTTAAATTCTTTTAAATTTAATAAGATTTGTTTTGGGGCCCTGAATATTATTGACCTTTGTAAATGTCCTGTCGCATGTGGAAAAAATATATATTCTGTTGTTGGAGGTTGGAGTGTTGGAGTGTTCCATAAATGTCAACTAGGTCAAGTGAGTTGACATTTTTGTCAGTCTTCTCTATCTTTGCTGACTTCCTGTCTACCTGTTTTATTAATTATTGAGAAAGGGTTATTGAAATATTTGCCTATAATTAGTAATTTGTTTATTTCTCCTTACAGTTTTATCAGTATTTGCTTCAAATATTTTGAAACACTGTTAGTGGATGTATACATTTTTAGAATTTTTATGTTCTCTTGATAAATTGAACCCTTTATCATTGTGAATTAATGTTACTTTTGGTCAGAATATTCTGCAGTCCAAAATTGACTTATTCTGTTATTAATCTAGCAACTGTAGCTTTCTTTAGATTAATTTTAATACATTATATAATTTTCTGTTTTTTTCTTTTATGTATTTTGTTGATTTATATTTAAAATTATCCTTTTTGAAGACAACGTACAGTTGAGGCTTGGATTATCTGATAATACTGACTTTTAATTAAAGTTTTTAAACTCTTTAAAATTGCTGTAATTATTGACTTGCTAGCTTTAAATATTGCTATTCATTTCTATTTGTCTTTTCTGTATGTTGTTTCCCTTTTCACCTATTTTCTGCCTGCTTTGGGGTAAGATGAGTATCACTTATAATTTGATTTTAATACCTGTTGGCTTATTTGCTATAACTCCTCATTTTGTTGCTTAGTGGTCTTTTTAAGGTTTATAGTATACACGTCTAATTTATCGCAGTCCTCAAATGATGTTATTTCACTTCAAATATAGCATAAGTACCTTACGACAGTATATTTTTAGGTGTCTCAGCTTTTGTGCTATCCTTATCATACATGTGATTTTACATATTTTATAAACTCCACATTACATTGTTATTATTGTTTAAAAAATCAATATATATTGTTTAAAAATCAATCATCTTTTCAAGAGATTTAAATACAAGGAAATAACCTTGTGCATTTATCCAAGGTGGTTACCATTTTTGGTTCCCTTCACTCCTGTGTGTAGATACATACTAACTTCCTTCTGCCTGATGGACTTTCTAGAGCATTTCTTGTTATGTGGGCCTCATGGTGATGAATTATTTTGGCTTTGCATGTCTAAAAATGTCTTTATTTTTTCTCATTTTGAAACGTATTTTTTTTTCTGGGTATAAGATTCTAAGGTTTTCTTTCACTGCTTTAAATATATTGTTCCACTGTCTTCCTGCTGGTCTTGGTTTTTGTTTTATGAGAAACTTGCTGTCATCCCTATTTGTGTTCCTGTGTGCATAATAAATCTTTTTCTTCCCCCCTGGATGTTTCTCTTTCTCAGGAATTTTGAGCAATTTGGTTATGGTGATTATGGTGCCTTCATGTGATTTTTTTCATGCTTCTTGTGCACAAAGTTTGTTAAGTATCTTCAATAATTGGGTTTATAATTTTCATCAAATTTGGAAAGTTTTTGGCTATTATTTCTTCAGATATTTATCTGCCCTGCCCCTTTTATTAACACTGATTACACACGTTAGGGCTCTGAATGTTTTGTTATACAGATTACCTATGCTCTTTTCATGTATGTATTGAGTCTGTTTTAATTCTCTCTGTGTTCCTTCTTGGGTAGTTTCTACAGCTATGTCTTCAAATTCGCAAGTCTGTTTCTCTGCAATGTCTACTTAATGCTATTCAGTGCATTATATTTTTTATCTCATTCTTGTAGTTTTCATTTTTCAAGTCTGATTTGGATCACATTTCTATTTAACCTTTTGAACATGGGGAATAGAGTTGCAATAACAATTTTAATATTCTTGTATGCTAATTCTAATATTTGTATCAGTTCTGTGTTGGTGTGATTGGTTACTTTTTCTTCTCGTGTTACCTCATATTTTCTGCTTCTTTGTATGCTTGATAATTTTTCATTGGTTGCCCAACAATGTTAATTTATCTTGTTGAGTGATGGATTTTTTTGTTTTGCTGTAAATATTCTTGAGCTTTGTTTGCCACTAAGTTACATCGAAGCAATTTGATCCTTTTGCATGTGCTTTTAAGATTTTTATACAGGACCTCATGTTCAGTCTATGGCTACTTATTCTCTGCTACTGAGGCAAGACCCTTCTGAGTATTCTAGTGGCTCAGTCCATTTGTGCAGCCGTAACACAATACATGAGAGTGGGTAATTTATAGAGAATAGAAATTCATTTTTCACACGAACATTCACACAAAATTTATTTTCTGAAGTCTGGGAAGTTCAAAATCAAGGCACTGGCTGACTTAGTGTTTGGTGAGGGTATCTTCTCACAGTGTCTTCACATGGTGCAGAAGGCAGAAGGGATGGAAGGGCCAAAGGCACTAGGGTGCTCCCTTCAACCTCGTTTATAAGAGCACTAATCCATTCATGCAGGTGACACCATCATGACTTAACACCTTAAGGCCCAGTCTCTTAATATCATCACCTTGGGGTTTCAGTTCCAACACATGAATTTTGGAGGGACACATACTTTCAAGTCATAGCATTTACACAAGGTCTCATAAATTATCTACCAGTTTGGCCACAAATTTTGGCCTGGTATGAGTGCTAGGCACTGTTTAATTTTGGGGAGTTCTTTTCTTAGAGTATTAGTCAGGTTCGCCAGAGAAACAGAACCAAAATAGATATATATAGGATATATTCTCTCTATATATTATAATAAATATTATATTAATATATTGATATATTAACATTAATATATGATTATAATATAATATATAATTATATTAATATAATTATATAATATATTAACATGAATATATTATATAAAATGTTAACATTAACATATGTGTTATATATATATCATCATGATAGATAAATATATATATTTATTTGCTAATTATGAGGAATTGGCTCATGTGACTATGCAGGTGGAAGAGTTTCAGGATCTGCAGTCTGCAAGCTGGAGCCCTATGGGAAAGTAGACGGTGCAATTCAGTCTAAGTCCAAAGGCCTGAGAACCGGGGGGAGTCAGTGGTGTAAACCCGTGGGAGGGCAGGAGAAGTCAGAATGATATGTCTCAGCTCAAGCAGTAAGGCAAGAAAAATGGGACAAATTCTTTCCTCTGCCTTTTATTCTTTTGGACCCTCAGTGGATTAGATAATGCACCCCCACCTTGAGGAGGGCAATCTACTTCACTGACTCTACCAATCCAAATGCTAATCTCACCCAGAAACACCCTCACAGACACGCCCACGACAATGTTCCATCTGGGTACCCATGGCCCATTTAAGTTGACACATATAATGAAACATCACACCCAACCTCCGGTAGTTTATGCACATGCATGCCTTGATCAGTACTGCTGAACACTCAACAAGGACTCTATGCTGATCTCTGGAGTTTTCTCCCTGTGCAGCTCTGTTCTGTGCACGCTATCTGCCTTGTTGTCCTGGAATCTCAGCTGTCTCTTCAACTCAGGGACTCTTTAGGGTTCTGCCTGAGTTCCACTTTTCTATGCCATAGCGTGGAGACAATGTCAAGGCAACTGTGGAGTTCACCGTTTTCTCTCTCTCAGGAATCACTGTCTTTTGTTGCCTAATGTCTGGGGACTTAAAAACTGTTATTTTGTATATTTTTTCTGTTTTTTTTTCTTGGCTGTCTCAGGCATGAGAGTAAATGTATTTCCTGTTATTCCATTTTATCTGGAAGGTGAAGTTAGCGTTTCTTTTTTGCAGAGATTACTACCTCCCTGGCCCATTGCGAGGCCTCCTTTGCAATTATGATCCATCACACTTGTGACCACAGTATCTCCTTTTTTGTTTGTTGGTTCAGTGGGATGAACAGCCTCAAATTTAGGTCCCAAATTCAAAATATTGATCAATTTCAAATCCGTATAAATCAAATTATTTTAAAGTGCTAACTGTGCTGCATATCTTTTCAAGCCCGAAGACAAAGAAAATGACTCACTGAGGAGCAGTAGAAGCAATGACGAGGATGATGTCACACATTTGCTTGGTGTCTACTCAGCACTTGTGCTTGACATCTATGATCTCATTTGGTTCTGAATCCCCCAGAGTGGTGGGCACTATTACCATCTCCATCTGATGTATGAGGAAACTGGGGACACCGTGTATGGAAGGATGACCGAAGATTGGTTAAGACTAAACTCTCAGCTTTGCCGAAAGTAAGACAGCCCATCAGGAAGGTGAAGAGCCTTGGACAACTGTGCCTCCATCAGGGCCTTGGTGGTAAGGTTGGCTTTTCTGGTGGGAGACAACCCACTGCTTTCTCAACCCTTTCTGTTCTTACCTTAAAGTCCTACCCAAGTAGACCTCATTTCCAGGAAGTCTCTTTAATAAAGGGTGGCTCCCTCCCATCCCAGTTCCTTAGTGACCTCCTGTAAGTGGTATCATTTTAGTTCCACCTCTGGGGAATATGTGCATAAAAACCTTGGGTTTTCAAAACAAGGCTCAGGAGAGAATATCTGAGAGTAAAGGACATGAACACTTCTCTTCATATTCCCAGGACCCTCCAGTGAACATGCCTTGTTTCCATCTGCCCATCACCTTTTCCTGCCTTCTTCTGATGTTAGGATCATTCTTTTCTGGGAGTAGACCACTTATAAGGATTTAGGTGGGTTTCCCAAGCAGATATCTCATGTTCTGGGTCTGCTTGGCAAGCCAGAGTGCCCCAACCCAGATGATGAGCATGGTTCAGGAATATGCATGTAATCCATATCAGGATGATCAGAATCCACTCAAAACTTATCTTTTTACCAAAACTATTCAAAAGCCCTCCTCTCCTAGGGTTGGGAAGGTGTATATGGAGCTAGAGCTTCTACAGCATGGAAAGAACCTGTGAGCAGTGCAGGAGTCAGAGCCCAGGGATGTTACTGGGTGTCTTGACCCAGCTGTGCTCCTGGACATCCAAGTTTTGGAAACCAATACTTCTAGCTTTTGTTCGTGTTCATTTGAGCTTAATCTCTCTAGCTTACTCGTTTTTAGCTTTCTACTGAGAAGCCATATCCTCTCCACTAACTGTTCCAGGAGTGATTAATCACCTTACGAAGGAAGACCTTGCCTAACACCAATTTTCAGATGATATCCCAACATTCATGAGAGGTGGAGGGGAGTGTTCCTCCAACTTGACCCAGCAATCATCCCAGAGCCCCTGATGTCATCACAGCAGCCTGGGCTTGCTCACCCGTGTTGTTGTGAGCCTCAGCGATGATGGTGCTGGGTCTGCAGAGTTCTGGCTGCAGGATGGAGTTGGAATATTGTACTCAGTGGAACTGAGCTGGGGCTGAACAAAGGCAAATCTTCTGCCCTGGGGATTAGGCATTCATCTGTGCCAACTCTCTTAAATATTTACAGATGTGGATTCGTGACAATAAAATTTGTGTAGGTTATATTTAGAGAGAAAACGAAGAAACATCTGAGGAACCCCTGCTGTGTGCCATGTCCTGTGCTGGATGCTTTCTCAAGGTACTTCATCTCATCTTCACAAGCTTCCTGGGGGCTATTTTGGATGCTCCATTTTATAGATGAGGAAACTGAGGCCGAAAGAGATTATATGACTTACCCAAGGCCATGCAGGTCAAAGTTCTAAATGATACAGCCAGGACTCAGCCCTAGGTCTTCTACTCTAAGTCAGGTTTGCTGTGAGTCGTGAAGTGGGTTAAAATGCATGTGACAGAATACCAACAAAATAGGGTTGGTCAGGAGATAGGCAGCCTACACTCTAGAAAGTCAGCAGGAACCAAGGTACCTTCTGACTGTCTCCTCTCCCATCCTAATCCTCATCCTCATCCTCACACACACAAGCTAGAGGCCACATCCTGTCCATATTCCAAACAGAAAGAAAGGGAAGGGGAAAGTCCAAAAATGGATGTTCCAGCAAAGTCTGCCCCAGTATGAGATTTCTGCTATTGCCATAATAGCTTACCAAAAATGTAGTCACTTTGAACAATGCAAAGTTATTATTTGAGAGTTCTTAATGTCAGAAGTCTGACACCGATCTCATTGAGCTAAATCAATAGAACAAAGGGGCTGCCTTTCTTTCTAGAGGTCCTGGGGGAACATCTGTTTCCTTGCCATTTCTAGCTTCTAGAGCCACCTGCATTCCTTGGCTCATGGCTCCCATCTCTCATCATCATAGCCAGCAGTAGGGTGAGTCCTCACACTACATTTTTCTGAGTGCTTCCATCATCACATCTCTCTCTTTGAACAGAGCCAGAAAAGGTTCTCCACTTTTAAGAACACATGTAACTAGTTGGGGCCACCTGCATAATTCAAGAAAACCTCCCTATATCAAGGTCTTTACCCTTAATCACATTTGCAAAGTCATTTTTACCATATGAAGTAATACATTCTCAGGTTCTAGGCATTAGGATGTGGGTTGGGTGGCTGTTATTCCAATGGCCACAGCCCTCTTCTAATAAAGTTTCCCTACAAGCTTCATGTAAAATGTCTTGGCCATAATAGAGTCGCCAAGTTATTCCTGCAAGGGAAGCTGGGAAAAGTAAGTTGTTTACTTAACTGGGCACATTGGCTTCACCAGCAGGGAAGACTGAATATTAGGTAATCTACTTGCTATTTCTCCTACACAGGCCTAGAGTTACACAAAACGTACTTGGGAGTTAACTTTCTTTTCTAACTCTCTGAAAAGGTTTGTCCTTGGCAACACATCTCCTTCCCTTTCTTTGGCCCCCAAGTGATACCTCATGATAGATGTATCCATATACTCACCTATAAGTGTATCTATCTATCTATCCCTCTATCTCTATATTTGCATTAAGTAGACACAGAGAAAATATTTGTTGAATAAATGGAGATTTGATCTCCTATATCTCATGTATTTAGCCTGAAAAAAATGCTAAGATTCTCTTAATTTCATAGAACTGTGATATAGATCTGTGATACAGCAGAAGTAACCCTGCAGTCTAAAGAGAAGATCTGAATTCAGTTCTACCTTTGCTGTATGCTAGCTTGGATGACAAAAGGCAAAATGTTTCACTGTCCTTAACTATGACATATAAACAATGTCTATCCCAGAAGACAGTTTTAAAATTAAATATACTAAATGGTACAGAAAATATTTCTGATTCCAGTAATATTTTGCTCTGTACAACTTAAAAATTCTTACAAAGCTCTGTAAATACTGTATAAAATAGAACAGACATGTTTTAAATGCATAGGTGAGCTTTCAACAAGGAAGAAGAAATCCTTGTGTGATAGAATCAATAAGGCAGCTTAAAAACCAAAAAGGAAGCATAGAATGCTGTAGATAGGTTTCACATTTTTTCTTCTAATGTTGAGACCACATTTTTCTGGGAGTAGACCACTTATAAGGATTTAGGTGGGTTTCCCGCAGCAGAGAGCTCATGTTCTGGGTCTGCTTGGCCAGCCAGAATGCCCCACCCCAGCTGTCAAGCATGGGGGATTACAGAAAATTCTAGGCCCCACAGGAGGCAGGTTTGAGTACTAGAACTGAGAATTCTGTATGAATGGTAGACCAAAAAAGAACTGTACCTCTAGAAAAGAGTGGCTTAGTAAAGAAATATAGTCATTAACTTAGAAAATCAACCAGAAAACTTACCTATCTCTGCTTGGACTCTGGGTAAGAGAAAAAGTTCAACACACATATTCAAAGCCAGAACTTGCATTGCATGGATTTGTGGAGATCAAATTTGCAATAACTGTGTCTTTCCAAAGCTCATAATCTAAAAAAACTAATATAAAAATAGATTCCATGCCAGTTATAGCCAAAATCTCTAAGCAGGAGAAAATCATAGAACAGTTATGTAGTAGATCTTACAGGAGAAAAATTTACATGTCAAAGTTATACCACATTTGAGGAAATAATCCACAGTGAATGAAAGACAGCAGAAACAATATATAGCATTAGAGTTCCCTAGGAATATTAGAACTGACAAAGACTGTAAAACTCAATTAGTATTTAAAAAGCAGATTTGACACAATTGAAGAGAGAAATAATAAACTGGAGGATAGGGAACAGGAAATTACTCAAATGCAGTATAAGAAGATAAAGAAGTGAACAAAAGATTAAGAAGCACCAAGGACAGAATGAATAAATCTAACATGTCTACTTGAAGAAAAGGGGAATAGCAAAAATGAAAGAGAAACAATATTCAAAGGGATAATTGTAAAAATAATGGAAAATATGAATTTTTAGATTCAATATTCATAACAGATCTTGGGACAAATAATTTAAAATATATTCATATCTGGACATGTAATTGGGTCAAAATTTGTATATTATTTACTGTATTTACTTTTATTTAATGTAATTCTCAAGCATTTTCTCATATGATAAAAACAGTTGTCCCACAATTTTAGTGTCTGTTCAATATTCTAATGTCTCATGATTTATTTACTCACTCACTGATATATAAATATTTATGGATTTATCCCTCAAACTAATATTTGTAGAGGTAACATGATGTTGCTCATCACTGCATAGAAATCTTCATACATTCAAAATTTACTTAGAATTCTAAAAGCAGAACTATTAAATGATATAACCTTTTTACGGCTCTTAAATTTTTTTTCAAACTTCTGGATTAATCTGACAAACACTACCTCAGGTGATATACATCGATATCAACAGTGATAAGTCATTTTGACAGTATGTGATGAATTGATATGATATGGTGTGATGAGAATGACCTGTTACCTACGTGGTTTTCCTCCCAAATTCATGTAACTACAATATAATCATTTCAGTTGAAGCACATTATTTATACTAAATACCTGACTTGTACTCCTCAAAATGATCAAAGTCATCAAAACTAAGAGAGACGCAGTCTCATTCTGTCACCCAGGCTGGAGTGCAGTGTGTCATCTCTGCTTACTGCAACCTCTACCTCCTGGTTTCAAGCAATTCTCCTGCCTCAGCCTCCCAAGAAGCTGGGATTACAGGCACCTGCCACCACACCCTGCTAATTTTAAAACTAAGAAAATTCTGATTAACAATCACAGCCAAGAGAAGCCTAAGAAAACATGACAGCTGCACATAATGTGCTATCCTGAATGGGATCTTGGAATATAAAAAGAACATTATGTGAAAATTAAGGATATCTGAACAAAGTATGGGATAGCTACTATAAAGACACATGCACACGTATGTTTATTGCAGCACCATTTACAATAGCAAAGACTTGGAACCAACCCAAATGCCCATCAGTGATAGACTGGATAAAGAAAATGTGGTACATATACACCATGGAATACTATGCAGCCATAAAAAAGAATGAGTTCATGTCCTTTGCAGGGACATGGATGAAGCTGGAAACCATCATTCTCAACAAACTAACACAGGAACAGAAAACCAAACACTGCATGTTCTCACTTATAAGTGGGAATTGAACAATGAGAACACATTAACACAGGTAGGGGAACATCACACACCGGGGCCTGTTGATGGGTGGGGAGCAAGGGGAGGGATAGCGTTAGGACAAATACCTAATGTAGATAACGGGTTGATAGGTGCAAGAAACCACCATGGCACATGTATACCTATGTAACAAACCTGCACGTTCTGCACATGTATCCAAGAACTTAAAGTATAATTTAAAAGAATAATAATGTATAGCTCAGTGTAAAGCCATCTGGGCCTGGGCTTTCTTTGTGGGAAGATTTTTAATTACTAATTTAATATTTTCCCTTGTTATAGGTCTATTAAGATTGTCAACTTCTTCTTGAGTCAGTTTTTGCAGTTTGTGTCTTTCAGGAAATTTGTTTATTTCACTAATGTTATCTAATTTGTTGGCATACAATTTTTTCATGATATTCTTTTGTAATTCATTTTTATTTCTATAAGGTCAGTAGTAATGTCCTCTTTTTTGTTTCTGATTCTATCAATTTAAGTCTTCTCTTTTTAAAAATTCTGATCAATCTAGCTAAAGTTTTGTCAATTTTGTTGATACTTTGAAAGAATTAGGGTTTGGTTTCATTTATTTTCTCTATTGTTTTTCTTTTCTGTATTTTATTAATTTCCACTCTAATTCTTATTATTTCCTCCTGATATGGTTTGGATAGTTGTCCCCTGCAAATCACGTGTTGAAATGTGATTGACATTTCACATGTGAAATGACCCCCAGTGTTGGAGGTGGGACCTAGTGGGAGGTGTTTGGGCCATGGGGTCAGATCCCTCATAAATGGCTTGATGCCCTCCCTGTGGTAATGAGTTACCAGGAGATCTGATTGTTAAAAAGAGTCTGGGACCTCCCTCCTCTCTCTTGCTCTCTCTCATCATGGGATGTGCCTACTTCCTCTTTGCTTCCTCCATGATTATAAGCTTCCTGAGGCGCTCACCAGAAGCCATGCTGGTGTCCTACTTCACAGCCTGCAGAACTGTGAGTCAAGTAATTTTCTTAAAAAATTACCCATCCTCAGGTATTCTGTAGAGCAATGCAAAATGGATTAACACAACTGCCTTATGCTTGCTTTAGGTTTAGCTTGCTCCTCTTTTTTCAGTGTCTTAAAATGTAAGTTTAGGTTACTGATTTGATAACTTTTTTCTTAATATAGACATTTGCAGCTCTAAGTTTCCCTGTGTTATATGATACTGCTTTTACTGTGTCATATAACTTTTGATATGCTTTGCCTTCTTTTTCATTCATATCAAAGTGTTTCCTAATTTTTCTTTTTATTTACTTTTTGACCCATTGACTATTATAATAGTGGTACTCCCCAAACTGATCTACAGATTCAATTCATTCCCAATCAAAATCCCAACAGCCTATTTTGCAGAAATAATAAGCTAATTCTTAAATTCATATGGAACTGCAAGGAACCAGAACAGTCAAAACAATCTTGAAAAAGGAGAATAAAGTAGGAGAAGTCACACTTCCTGATTTCCAAACTTACTACAAATCAAGAGTAACTAAGACAATGTGATACTGGCACAACGATATACATATTTATCAATGCAATGGAATTGAGAGTAGAAATAAACTCAGATATCTATGGTCAACTAACTTTCAACAAAGGTCTTAAGACTATCCCACGGGGGAGGAATAGTCTTTTCAACAAATGTTGTTGGGACAACTGAATATTCACATGCAAAATACAATTTTTAAGAATCTATGATTAAAGGTGGAAAAAAATATTGGGCTAGAGGTCATAAGATTTAAAGTTTAGCCTTGGCACTGCCAGTAAATAAGAGTGTAACTTTGGAACAATTATTGTACCTCTTTAGGCCTCTATGAGGGTTTTGGAGCAAGTAACATGGCTGCTCAGGTCCTATCCACATCCAACCTCTTCTTAGCCTGTGATGACTGTATCTCATGAGCTGTGATGATGTAGTGACAGAACAGGTGGCGCACCTTGGTCCAAAGCCAAGAATACCATTTTCACATATTCAGCACTTTGCCCCACCATCTGATGCTACTTGGCCTCCTTTGCCTGACCCTAGATCCTAGAGCATTCCTCCAGGGATAGGCATTTGATATGGTTAGACTTCGTGTCCCCCCCCAAACCTCATCTTGAATTGTAATCCCCAGGTATTTAGGGAGAGACCTGGTGGGAAGTGATTGGATTATGGGGGCGGTTCCCCCATGCTGTTCTTATGATAGTGAGTGAATTCTCAGGAGATATGATGGTTTTAGAAATGCTAGTCTTTCCTGTGCTGACTCATTCTCTCTCTTGCCACCCTGTGAAGAGGCGCCTTCCGCCATGATTATAAGTTTCCTGAGGCATCCCCAGCCATGTGGAACTGTGAGTCAATTAAACCACTTTCTTTATAAATTACCCAGTCTTGGGTATTTCTTCATAGTAGCATGAGAATGGACTAATACAGCATTTCAAAGTGTCTCCACAGTAACTACATTGTAGTTTATAACTTTGAGCAATTCCCTCATGTAGCCCTGTTATGTGATAGAAGGCTTTTATTTACTTATTTATTTATTTTTCCAGGCTGTAAGGCACAGAATGAGCCTTGTTCAAGTGACTATAAGGTGAAAAGTTTTATGTGAAAATATTGGTACATATGGAGAAACACAGGGTGTGTGATCAGCAGGGGATCTGGTCTTCAGGGGAAGTCACATACCTATTCAGGAGCCCATGGAAAGTCCTCACAGAGGGTGGTAGGCCTTGAATCAGGCCCCTGTGTCTGGCTGGTGGCTCAGGTGTCAAGCCTAGTGTTGTATCCAGGGTTGCACAGTTCCATAGCACAATGTGCAGCAACTCACCAGAAAAATGCATCTCAGAAGGGGGCCAAGGGCTTCACTAGACCTTGGAATCCCATGGAATATCAGAATGATGGTGACTCATAAGAATAGCCATTCTGTTTTGAGTAGTCACTTTCCAAACACTAGTTCCAACACTCCCATCCATGCAGGATATATGTTACTCTCCCTGTTTTCCAAATGAAGAAAGAGAGGCTCAGAGAAGTCAAGTGACTTGCTTGGTCACAGCCAGTGGGTTTCACAGTCAGGCCTCTGCCCTGATGTGTCTGACTTCAATCCTGGATATTTTGCCCTGCACAGTCTAATCTATTCTACTCAGACCTTGATTATTTTGGACCCAGCAGATGGTGTAATAATGTCTTGTTCTAAGTCATGATGCAGTGGAGTGAGTTGTTATGGCCTGAGTTGTGCCCCCTTCCCCACATTCTTATGTTGAAGTACTAACCTGCAGTGTGACAGTATTTGGAGATAGGGCCTTTAAAGAGGTTAATTAAGGTTATATGAGGTCATAAGGTGGGGCTCTAACACAATAGGACTGATGTCCTTATAAGAAAAGGAAAAGACAACAGGGCTGCAAATGCACAGGGAGAAGGCCGCGAGAGGACACAGCAAGGATGCGATCATCACAAGCCAAGGAGAGGCCTCAGGAGAAAACAGCCCTACTGAACCCTTGATCTTGGACTTTCAGCCTCCAGGTTGAGCACCTGGATTTCTGTGTTGTTTGTTTGTTTTGTTGTTGTTGTTGTTGTTGTTGTTGTTGTTGTTGAGATAGAGTTTCGCTCTTGTCACCCAGGCTGGAGTGCAATGGCACGATCTTGGCTCACTGCAGCCTCCGCCTCCTGGGTTCAAGTGATTCTCCTGCCTTAGCCTCCTGAGTACTTGGATTACAGGCGCCCACCACCATGCCTAGGTAATTTTTGTATTTTCAGTAGAGATGGGGTTTCACCATAATGGCCAGGCTGGTCTCAAACTCCTGACCTCAGGTGATCCACCCGCTTTGGCCTCCCAAAGTGCTGGGATTACAGGTGTAAGCCACTGTGCCTGGCCTGGATTTCTGTTTTTTAAGACCCCTACTCTATGATATTTTGTTATGGCAGCCAGTTCTCAACACTGAGAGAGAGAGTCAGGGTCAAAGATCTCTGCAGTCCCTTCCAAAATCTAACGTTGTGTCAGTCGAGAATGTTTGAACTTTTCATCTGCTTAGATCTCTGGACTACATAAAACTCCTAATTCCAACGTCTTGTTTAGAACCTAGCGGTTCACCTAGCCCTTGAGACTGCAGGAAAAGTGTCCAGCACTCATTCTGGGCACTGTATTTGGGGATTTGCATTTGTCTGTCCTTCCGCAGAGGGTCCTTGCTGTGCAGAATGGCCTGGGGTTCTCTGGGTAGGTGGCGCACAGCAGGTCTTCTGAAAGTGGCATTTCCTGCCATAGGAACGAGCATGGAGACTGTCCATAAGGATATCCTGGGTCGATGTCAAAAGCCCTGGGGCCCAAGTAACCAAGGGAAATCCCTCAAGACTGAATTGGGGGTGGAGTGCTGTATAACAACCAGATTGGTGAGTGAGGCTGCCTCATTAAAAAGATAGGTAGGTACAGTGCACCACAGAGGTAGTGATGTTCTGCCCCCGAAAATTCACATGATGGACCCAGGTGTGTGTTTGTTATGTTTTTAATATTATAAATGCTTGAGATACACTTTAAATTTCACAACTTCACCAACATGTTTCTTCTTCCTATATGTTCCCTCCAAATACTGGTGAGCCCGGGCGCCTTCCAGCCCAGCTCATCAGCATACACTTTGAGTACTTCTTTCCTTGCCGTAGGGAGAAGCTCGGTGATTTTCACCATTGAGAGCCAGCCTGAGAGCCCAGAACAGCTCTGGTGTGTGGCTTGAGGGCAGAGCCCACAATATCCCCCACCCTCGCCTGCCACAGAAATTCATCCCATAGGTGAAGCAAGGAGGCTCCACTCACTCCGCGATTAAGATGCAACCCCAGCCCAGAGCAGTGTGAGACAATGTGGAAATGCTTCGGGTTGAACTGTTGTATCAGCTTAGCTCTTAAGGAATAGAAGAAAGAGATAAATCTTGATGTCTAAATTTGAAGGGAGTTGGAGGGCTGAAGGGCTGTATGTGGGCAGTGTGAGGAAGTTAGGAAGAACTGGGTCCAGGTGAACCCACTGTCTTCCCCCAGTGTCCACAGTAGTCTCTGGGAGCCCTGCGTGGAGGGTACCCAGAGAAAGGGGGACCCAGGCAAAGCCCTTTGCCCTCCACTGTGCCTCTCTGCAGCAGGAAGAGAACAGAGACCATACAAAGAGAACACTCATACTAAACTTCTTCAGGTCCTTCCATTTCCCTCCAACCAGCCTACCCAGCCTCATGCTTCTAAAAAAGTCCCCCTAAAGCCACCGACATGACTGTACAGTCAGGACCGGCCACGCTGGAGAGCTGCTCCAAAACTTCAGGATGAAACCTGGTCTCTCAAAGTAATTCAGCCTGTGATTTTCAGCAATTCAAAACTCTATTTGTTATTAGTGCTACCAATAAATCTGAGAGAGACAAAAAGCCCCTTCCAAATGGCATTTCAATATTTACCTCTGCAGTTGGTAGTATGTTGATTGTTGATACCCAGAAACAACAGATTTCTTTTTCACAATGTGTCCAAACTGTCCCGCCTTGCCCCACTGAGGCATCAGCCAGCACCTCCTGCAAATAACATGCACGGTAGAGCGTAGAGAGAGACTTGGCATTTCAGAGTCTACTTTAAATTTTATCAGCATTACACTTTCGAGATTCAAGTTTGAAGCAATAGTCTGAAAGGAAAGCATTTTGAATTTCAAAAGCTGGGCCCTGAGAAACAATATGCCTTCATACTGAGTTTGTTTTCTTCACCCTGAAAAACAGATGATGTTTTCCTGGGCTGGGGAAGGGATGAAAGAATGTCAGAGGAAAAAGCAAGAAGTGGAGTCAGGAGATCCAGGAAAACGTGCAGGGCTCTCCCCAGTGCCTGAACCCTAGCAGCGAGGACAGGGTGGAGACAGTGGAGAGGCGGGGCGGAAAGGTGGAGCTAACCCCACTTCCTCTGAGTGCCCTCCCTTCTCCCAGTGTGGAGAAGGCTCTGGCTATCCTGCCACTTGGACTGACGGACACACACAGTATCACAGAGTTCCTTCCCACTCCAGCGTCGCCTGGGAGGCAGTAAACTACTTCCCCCTTGTCAGGAGTCAGGCACCTGAGTCCTCCCATGTTCCCTCTGGCCGCAGAGTGCCACAGGCTGCAGAGGGCTCCTTCCAGACCCCTAGGAGTGGCCTGAAATAGCTGGGAGGATGCTGTACTGGAGGGGCCCTGCACCCAGGAACAAGGGGTGACTGAGCCTCGCCCTGCACACACTGACGTTCACCCTGACAATGCAGCCTCAGGGATGACAGACAGGAGATGATGGGACAGACACCCAACCCCAGCCACCCCTAGGTCATGGCACAAAGGAGCCATCCAAAATAGCCACACTTGGTGGCAGCTGGGACAAGACACACACATACGTGCATGTGTGCATGTGTGTGCGAGGGAGACCTACGTTCCTTGGAATTTCCTTTCCGCCATTGGTGGAAGGGAGCTTACAAAGTAACTTCTGTTGTATACACATAGAGCTACATTTTTTGGAAACTTTGGGATTCATGTCCTACTAGTTTCTTTCATTTATGCTTTACAGCTAATGTTAGGCACATAAAAAAAGATATTATTGAGAGTAAACTTTATTGCCAGCACTTTAGAGTACAAATAGATGTAATCTATTTCCACCTGCAGTTGAAAACTTATAAAAAAAATTCACTATGGAGTGAATATTTTACTGCTATGGGAACTGTAAAACAAAACAAAACAAAAAAAACCTGTAAAAAATCTGTAAAAACAAAACAACTGTTAAAAAAAAACAAAGACACATAAAATTACCATGTTTTTAAATCCCTGAGGCAAAATCATCAACAAAATAAATAAATCCATTAGACTTTCAAATCACAATAATAATGCCCACAATGATTTTCTTCTGCTGTACCTATAAAACCCCAAATAAGAAACGATCTCATCTATAGATGTAAGGCGATAACAATTCACTCCACCTAGCGTGAAGCCCACAGTGAATGTGGAAGCTCAAAGAGACATTTCTGTGCCCACTGGCAGAAGGGCTATCAGGGGATGTGACATTTGCTCGTGGATGTCAACATGGAGAGAAAGCAAATCTTCAGTTTAGAAGAACTGGGTTAGATCAAAGCCACTCACCCTTATGCAAGAGAAGGGATCTCTTTTGAGAAGCCCGCAAGTCACTAGCAGACAATGAAACCATGAGAATGGCCTGGCGTGGTGGCTCACGCCTGTAATCCCAGCACTTTGGGAGGCCGAGGCAGGCGGATCATGAGGTCAGGATATCGAAACAATCTTGGCTAACATGGTGAAACCCTGTCTCTACTAAAAATGCAAAAAATTAGCTGGGTGTGGTAGTGGGCGCCTGTAGTCCCAGCTACTCCGGAGGCTGAGGCAGGAGAATGGCGTGAACCTGGAAGGAGGAGCTTGCAGTGAGTAGAGATTGCGCCACCGCACTCCAGCCTGGGCAACAGAGCAAGACTCCATCTCAAAAAAAAAAAAAAAAAAGAAAGAAACCATGAGAATGGACATGCGTTGAATGAGGACTGCTACCAGGAATACTTTACATGTCCTATCAGTGTAATTCCTGCAAAGGCCCCTGTGAGTGGGCTTGGTCTGCATTTATTATGCAATTCCCCAGGCGTCCTCACTCTAGCAGGGGAGCCAGGATGATGCTTCAGGTCCCCAGGCATCAGTGTCACCTCAAAACTGCCCCTGCACATTAATGTTCTCTGCAGACTCACATCTCATGGACCTAGCCCAGTTCACGGCCTGTGACCTGGCTTCTGGGGCTAAATGCAGGAATGTCTGAACCCTCTTGGTTTCTGCCATAGAAAGCAAACCCCTGCCTCTCCGAGACTAGAATTTCCGCAGAGTCTCTGTCTTAGTCTGCTCAAACTACCATAACAGAACACCATGGACTAGAGGGCTTAAAGAATAGACATGTATTTCTCACAGTTCTAGAGGCTAGGGGTTGGGAATGGGGCGGACCAGGGTCCACTTCTGGTGTGGGCCTTCTTGGATGCAGACCTCTGCCTTCTCACTGAATCTTACATGGCAGAGAGAGAGAGAGCAAGAGCAGTCTCTCCCTACAAAGGCACTAATCCTATCCTGACAGCCCCACTCTCAGGACTTTAGTGATTCACCTAATCACTTCCCAAAGGTCCTCCCTCCTGATAACATTGGGGATTAGAGCTCCAACAAGTCAACTTTGAGGGGACACAAACATTTAGTCCATAACAGCTCCAAATATAGAAAACGGTGTCAGTTGTGCAACAGCCACAAACAAACAGTGAAGACCCCGATTCTCCCTCTCTCCAGCAGGGGCGGGCCCGTGGGTGAATTTACTTGAGTGGCCAGGATCTCATGTGGTACAAGATGCGGCTTCCTGGCACGGTTGGGAGTGTTAGGGATAATTCAAATGCTGGGAGGTTGGGAGCCTCAAAAGCGCAGACTCTAATCCTCACAGAGGGTCCAGCTTGCCTGCTAGTGGCTGTGGTTCTGCTACCAGGAAATACCTACAAAGCGAATGAGGTATTGGCTGCAAGCTTTTCATGTGTTCCTGGCTCCTGTGTGACTGAGGCCCCAGGTACAGGCGGACATTTCCCGTTTCCTGATACACTGCAAGTGCTCACACTTGGATGCCTTGGTATGTGCAGCTCTTTCATCCTCGCACATCTTCCCCATTTGCCTTCCCAGCAAATTTTCTTTTCTTTCTTTTTTTTTTTTTTTTTTTTGGAGACAGAGTTTAGTTCTTGTCGCCCAGGCTGGAGTGCAATGGTGTGATCTCGGCTCACTGCAACCTCCACCTCCCGGGTTCAAGCGATTCTCCTGCCTCAGCCTTCCAAGTAGCTGGGATTTCAGGTGCCCGCCACCACGCCCAGCTGTTTTTTTGTATTTTTAGTAGGGACAGAGTTTCACCATGTTGGCCAGGCTGGTCTCGGACTCCTGCCCTCAGGTGATCCACCCGCCTCGGCCTCCCAAAGTGCTGGGATTACAGGCGTGAGCCACTGTGCCCGGCCAGCAGCAAATTTTTGCTCACTCCGCAGCACCATTTCAAATATAACTTCCTGTGACACCTTCCACAGTCCACTAGGCAGTGACCACATCCACAGGTATAGAAACATACTTTGGCTCTTTCTCTTTTACATTTCATTATAATTATAATTCTTTTGTATCGTGAGCCCTGGTTTTACATTTCATGCCACAGCAGATGCTGCTGGTGCCCTGCCTGTCCAAAGGCTGCTTCCCACACACACCTGAGGTTGTTTGCCTGAATGCTGTGTGCTGGTGTTGGGTGTATACTTGAACCACACACAAGGCAAGCCAGAATGTGAGGTTCCAGAAGCAGCCCTCAGCCAGAGAAGCTGGTGGGGAGTGGGTAGGTGAGCACTCAGCCTCCCCAGCCTTGGGTAGGATGACTATGAGCATGCTCAGAGCCTCGTCCCAGAATGGGCTCCCAGCGGTCCCCAACTCAGACAGGTCCCCAGCACCTAGGTCAATGCCTGACTTCAATTAGGTTCTGAATAAGTGTTTGATGAATAAAATCAGCCCTGAAGTTGATCACAAATTCATTCAGTTATTCATGGATGCAATTAACATTTCTGGAAGATCTATCAGATTTCAGCCACTGTACTAGAGGCAACATCATATATTTGAGTCATCATTTTAAAGAGACTAAACCATAATATAGGAGATAATACATGCAAATACATAGTATAGTTATCTATCTTGGTGTAACAAATTACCCCAAAATTCAGCAGCTTAAAACAACCATTTATTATCTTACATACTTCCTCTGGGTCAGGATCCACATGTGGCTTGGCTGGAACCCTCTAGCTCAGGGTCTCCCATGGGGTTGTAGTTGGGCTGTCAGCTGGCACTGCATCATCTGAAGGCTGGGCTGGGGCAGGGGGTCCACTTCCAAGGCAGCCGCTCACATCGCCGGCAAGCTGGTGTTGGCTGCTAGGAGGAGGCTCAGCTCTTCTGTGGACCCCTCCATAGTCTGCACGCATTTGCTGACATGGATTCTAAGTAACTTGGGAAAAATGTCTACTCTCGGCTCTCAGCTTTGTTCTGTCACCCTCTTGGTACCTTGACTTCAGGAAGAAGTCAATAAGCAGTATCCCACAACTTTCCCTTGTTGATCACTCACTGGGAAGCTAAAAATCCCTTATGCACAAAGACAAGAATGTTAGAGATATGGAACCACTCAGCTCCACACTCCTGGGGAAGTTGGGATTTCCAGCAGAGCCAGGGAGAAGCCCTCCTATTTCCTCATTCTTGCCATACCAGCAGCCAATCACCTGGGTGCTAGCTTGGCCACCTGCCAGCTATTTGACTTTGGGGAGGTTATTTAGCGTTCTCTGCCTCAGTTTCCCCATGTGCAAACTGGGGATGATAATAGCACCCTGGGAAGCATCCCTGCTGCTCAGCGGTGTTCTGGTGTTCAGGTCTTTTTTGAAGCTATGGAGATACTAAAATCAAAAGGGTTCTTAGAATGAGATGCTCAGTTCCACTTGAATGAGGACTGGGGAAAGATGAACAGCGAGACTGATATGAGCTGAGTGGGGGCAGAGCTCAGGAAGTCTGGGTACCCAGAAGGCAGGGGGAGGGAAGGCAATGGAAAGAAGAGTGGCAAGCTAGCAGGCCGAGAGTGGCAGCTACTGAGGTACACTCCGGAGAGCAGACCACTTGCCTGGGCTGCTCAGTGGGTGGAGTGGTAGGCATGCTGGCCCATGGGGATCCTGGCAGGGGGTGGGTTCTGGGTGCAGCCACATAGATTTTTTGGGACAAGTGTGAAGTGGCTTGAGAATGCAGAAGGCATTCAAGTTTTAGGGTGGCTTTGGCGAAGCCTGAGGGAGTGTTGGTGTTCTTGCTCCAACATCCATCTAGGCACATCCATCATTGTACCTGGAAGATGCCGGAGGCTAGCATGGGCCTGTGGGCAGAGGACGATGGAGGGGGAGAGTCAGGAGCAGCATCCAGAGGAGGGATCACAGAGCACGCTCTTCTAAGCTGTCCCTTCTTCCCAGCAGTGTGAAGTCCCAGATCTGCCAATTTTTCAAGAGGTGCCCATATGTTAATTAATTATATTAATATTGATAACTACTTCATAGTTGAGATCTGCACTTGGCAAGCAGTGATGAGGCCTGTTTCATGCACTGCTTCTAGTCCTGACATTGCAATGCCCAGATAGGAGCAAGACACTTGAGCCTGTAGAGTTACAGAGCTTATGGGATGCCTCTGGCTCGCCTGCAGCCACCTCAGGTGACTAGCTTTAGGAAAAGACCAGACAATGCCTTGGGTCTAAATGAGAAGAAACCAGAAAGTCAGCAGCAAAGGCCCCACTTGGCAGAGGTGATAAATTCAGGTCCCAAAGCAGGAGCTCCTTGCTTTGTCCTACAAGTAAGTCACCCTGGGCCCATGGATTGATTGACACAAATATCCACAGGGCACTTTTTGTGTACCAGGCTCTGAACCAGACTTCTGGTGGTAGAGACAGATGAGTGACTACACATTCAAAATGCGTTGTGCTCAGTGGAGTAGACGTTTGCAGGACATGTGGTAGAACAGGGAGCAGCCCTGAAGGAGACTTGTTGGAGCATCAAGTTGCGAGAAACTGACCCCCAAACAGGTCTTTGAAAGGAGAATGGCAATTTGATATTAGGCAAGGAGGAAAAGGTCTTATCAGTGAGAGGATCAGTAAGCATGAAAGTTCCTGGATAAGCTTGGGAATTACCAAGTGTTGAGAATTCATGTGATGTTGAGGTAGAGGTGAAGCGATGATTCAATGTAGAAGGCTGAGGATGCTGCTGGCCAGATCACAGGGACTTCTTCTTGCCAAGAACAGAGAACTGTTGTGCAAATCAGTTGTGTAAACAAAACAAAAATGTCTGCAGGAGGAACAGAAAGCCAAATACCACATGTTCTCACTTATAAGTGGGAGCCCAACATTGGGTACTTATGGACATAAAGACTGGAAGGATAGACACTGTGGACTCCTAGAGGCAGGAGGGAAGGGAGGGAGCAAGGATTGAAAAACTATGCACTGGGGACTATACTCAGTACCTGGGGGAGGGGATCATTCATATCCCAAACCTCAGCATCACAAAATATACCCAGTAACAAACTTGTGCATGTACCACCTGAATGTAAAGTAAACGTTGAGATTATAAAAAAAAAAAAAAATTCTGCAGGTACTGCCCTTAATCACTTTCACTTGTGTTAGAATTATTTAACTGAATGTTAAACTATTTTGTGTTTAAATAAAAATGTAATAACTACAGTTGACCGTTGAACAACATGACCCATGAACAAAAATTCTTTTTTTTTTATATTATTATACTTTAAGTTTTAGGGTACATGTGCACATTGTGCAGGTTAGTTACATACATATACATGTGCCATGCTGGTGTGCTGCACCCACTAACTCGTCATCTAGCATTAGGTATATCTCCCAGTGCTATCCCTCCCCCCTCCCCCTACCCCACAACAGTCCCCAGAGTGTGATGTTCCCCTTCCTGTGTCCATGTGATCTCATTGTTCAATTCCCACCTATGAGTGAGAATATGCGGTGTTTGGTTTTTTGTTCTTGCGATAGTTTACTGAGAATGATGACTTCCAGTTTCATCCATGTCCCTACAAAGGACATGAACTCATCATTTTTTATGGCTGCATAGTATTCCATGGTGTATATGTGCCACATTTTCTTAATCCAGTCTATCATTGTTGGACATTTGGCTTGGTTCCAAGTCTTTGCTATTGTGAATAATGCCACAATAAACATACGTGTGCATGTGTCTTTATAGCAGCATGATATATAGTCCTTTGGGTATATACCCAGTAATGGGATTGCTGGGTCAAATGGTATTTCTAGTTCTAGATCTCTGAGGAATCACCACACTGACTTCCACAATGGCTGAACTGGTTTACAGTCCCACCAACAGTGTAAAAGTGTTCCTATTTCTCCACATCCTCTCCAGCACCTGTTGTTTCCTGACTTTTTAATGATTGCCATTCTAACTGGTGTGAGATGGTATCTCATTGTGGTTTTGATTTGCATTTCTCTGATGGCCAGTGATGGTGAGCATTTTTTCATGTGTTTTTTGGCTGCATAAATGTCTTCTTTTGAGAAGTCTCTGTTCATGTCCTTCGCCCACTTTTGGATGGGGTTGTTTGTTTTTTTCTTGTAAATTTGTTTGAGTTCATTGTAGATTCTGGATATTAGCCCTTTGTCAGATGAGTAGGTTGCGAAAATTTTCTCCCATTTTGTAGGTTGCCTGTTCACTCTGATGGTAGTTTCTTTTGCTGTGCAGAAGCTCTTTAGTTTAATTAGATCCCATTTGTCAATTTTGGCTTTTGTTGCCATTGCTTTTGGTGTTTTAGACATGAAGTCCTTGCCCATGCCTATGTCCTGAATGGTAATGCCTAGGTTTTCTTCTAGGGTTTTTATGGGTTTAGGTCTAACGTTTAAGTCTTTAATGCATCTTGAATTGATTTTTGTATAAGGTGTAAGGAAGGGATCCAGTTTCAGCTTTCTACATATGGCTAGCCAGTTTTCCCAGCACCATTTATTAAATAGGGAATCCTTTCCCCATTGCTTGTTTTTCTCAGGTTTGTCAAAGATCAGATAGTTGTAGATATGCGGCATTATTTCTGAGGGCTCTGTTCTGTTCCATTGATCTATATCTCTGTTTTGGTACCAGTACCATGCTGTTTTGGTTACTGTAGCCTGGTAGTATAGTTTGAAGTCAGGTAGTGTGATGCCTCCAGCTTTGTTCTTTTGGCTTAGGATTGACTTGGCGATGCGGGCTCTTTTTTGGTTCCATATGAACTTTAAAGTAGTTTTTTCCAATTCTGTGAAGAAAGGCATTGGTAGCTTGATGGGGATGGCATTGAATCTGTAAATTACCTTGGGCAGTATGGCCGTTTTCACGATATTGATTCTTCCTTTTCTCTCATGGGTAGAAAAATTCTTTTACACGGATTTTCAGTAGAGTTCCACTTTTACATGGATTTTCTTCTGCCTCTGCCACTCCTGAGACAGCAAGACCAATCCCTCCTCTTCCTCCTCCTCCTTAGCCTACTCAACGTGAATACAATGAAGATGAAGACCTTTATGATGATCCACTTTCTTGTAATGAACAGTAAATATATTTTTTCTTCCTTAAGATTATCTTATAACATTTTTTTCTAACTTACTTTATTGTAAAAATATTGCATATAATACATATGACATACAAAATATGGGGTAATTGATTATTTACATTATCAGTAAGGCTATGGTCAACAGTAGGCTATTAGCAAAGTTTTTGGAGAGTTAGAAGGTATATGTGGATTTTCAACTAAGCAGAGGGTCAGTGCTCCAACCCCCATGTTGCTCAAGGATCAATTACAATTTAAATAATACTATTAAATATATATTTAATAGCATACATTGTGTATACATATATATTTATATATCTGAAATATATACACACATTTGTAAGCATTCAAAAATAGATATCTTATATTTTGTTAATATTTTGTAACATAGTCATAAAATAAAAGGTGAAAAATATAATATTCACGAGTTACACCTACACCTTGACCCTATTCCCCTGCTGTGTTCTCTCCTCGTTGGTGCATTTGATTGCAAAGCCAATTATTTGCCATGTTTTGCGGAGAGGAGAGAATGAAGATAAGACCCTCCCACAGCACTTCCTTTGGCCAAAACATGGTCACCAACATTTGGGAAATATTTTTGCTAGATCAAATCACAGTTTAAGTAAGTGCTAAATTTATTACTTTTCCATCACGTTCCTCTCTCAGAGTTTCCTCATGCATTCTGGAACCTGGGTGCAAACAGGCCAGAGTCAGAGTCTATGGGCTGGATGTGAGGAATGTTTCCAGAGTGGTGCACAGGTGGGGAGCAGCCCTGCTGAAGCCTCACCAACCCCCAAAGGCAGTGCTTGTCATGTCCCTACTGGGAAAGACTTAAATCCTGTCTCCTCAAAACACTAACAACCAAGGCTAAGCATAAGTGTGGTTTCCATTTCCATTAAAATGTACGTTTTTGCACCTGGCTATGTTAAGGCTCTGCCGTGTGGAATGTGATAGGCCCAGCTGAGCATGCTGTTCACCCGTGTCTGATAGCCTGGACAAGGAGACCAGTCACCTGGGGGTGACACATGGTGCATGGGTCTCCAAGCTGCTCATTCCCAGGACATCCATCTGGAGCAAATAAGCAATAATGATGTTAGGAAAGGAAGTCTTTCAGTAAGTGCCTCAGGAATTCTCAACAGGCCTCCACGAAGATAAGATTACAAACATGTATATCCATAAACACACATCACTGCTTAAAATTTTTCTCCCAGTAGAGAGCCTCAATAGTAGATGCATTTAGACAAATCTTTTCTGTGGGAATACACTACTTCTGCTCTGGAGAAATAAATATCAAATACAGTCTAATGAAACTGCATTAGGGAAACAAAGCATTAAGGAAAAGGAAAACCCAGGACAGAGAATAGATTTGGGGTTTGGGCTTTTCAGATGCAAAAGAGAGAGCCAGTCTCCTTTGAGGGGTATCTGTCTGGCATCTGCTTTATTTCATCCTGTTAGTGAGATTTGAAGGAATAGAAAAGTGATTTCATGTTAATAGGATTGGACAAGAGAGCATTATCTAGGATGGCATTTTCCTTAGATGAGGTTTTGGGTACTTCTTATTGCAGTCAGTTCATTTATATTTTAAACACCTGCAAGACTACAGTGAAATGAACTCCCTCTTAATCATCATTATGGAGAATGAATAAATACATGCATTTATCTTGCACCAGGTAATTGGCTGTGAAGCATTCTGTGATCCTTTCATTAGGGTGATGAGATCCAAAAATAGATGGCAAGTAGGTTTATTAGAAACTAACAGGCCCACCTGAGGTGTAAAAAAATCCTGTAAATGCAGTGGTTTGCAGCAATTGTGTGCATGTGTGTGTGCGTGTGTGTGCATGCATGTGGGTTTTGGAGGGAGCAGCAAGGTGGAAAAATGCAGGAACTACCTCATTCTTCTACCTGCCTTAGGTGCCCTTCTGTGAAATGAAGCGAAATGTTTAGAAAGAACGTATTTCAGTATTTTAAATACTGTTCCAGCCATACTTACATATGCTAGTCTCATATCTGTCCTATATAAGCACTCTGCAAATTTTAGAACACTATATAATTTCATAGGCTCTATAATGCTTTGATTAATTAACAATTAATACTTTAATTAGCACATTGTAGTCTGTAATATAAAATGTAATTATCCATAACAGTCAATCTTGCATCATTAAATTGACCTAACCAGAACAACGAAAAAGCAAATAAACAGTGTAATTCACCCTCTTTGGAAAATCCCTGAGAGGGTTTCTCCACTCCTTCCTCTAGTGTTCCAGTTTGAGATCCTGTTGAGTAGATCTAGTCTGTTTCCATGAGCTCCTCTTCCGCCAGCATTACCTGCCATATTGAAATGCTGCATCACTTCAGCTGAGGATTAGGCTTTGGCTAATTATAATGGTATATTCAGAGCTCTGACTTGGATCCTAGCAAGAGTGACAGTATGGAAGGCGGAATGTTGGTTCCCCATGATTCTGACCCTCCAATCTAGTGATACATCTGTGAATATGTCGAGATGGCAACAGAAAAAAATGAATACAGCCTGGGCGCGGTGACTCACACCTGTATTCCCAGAACTTTTGGAGGCTGAGACAGGAAGATCACTTGAGCCCAGGAGTTCGAGACTATCCTGAGCAACATGGCGCGACCTCGTTGCTACAAAAAATACAAAAATTAGCAGGGCATGTTGTCATGTGCCTGTAGGCCCGTTTGCTCAGGAGGCTTGAGGTGGGAGATCGCCTGAGCCCGGGAGATAGAGGCTGCTGTGAAACAAGACTGCACCACTGCACTCCAGCCTGGGTGACAGAGTGAGACTTTGTCTCCAAAAAGAAAAAAAAAAAAAGGAGAAGAATATAGAATTCAGTACTTGGAAGTGGTGTCCCGTTATAATAAATTCCTAAAAATGTGAACATAGATTTGGAATTGGGCAGTGAGCAGAGGCTGAAACCTTTTTGAGAAGCATGATAGAAAAGGCCTATATTGCCTTCCACAGACAGTAAAGATGCATATTTTAAGGGTTCTGGTAGTGAGAACTCAGAAGGAAGTAAAAGACTTGGTAGAGAAACCATAAATTCTCTTAGAGAGTAGCCATGTCACCACAAACATACTTGCAGTGAGCCAAGATCGCGCCCCTGCACTCCAGCCTGGGCGACAGAGCGAGACTCCATCTCAAAATAAAAAGAAATGCTATTGAAAACTAAAGAGAGGGGATCCATGTCATGTATTGGCAGAGAGCTTAGTAAAATTGTGCCCTGCAGTTATATGAAATGTATAACATACACAACAATCTTTGTCATTTAGCTGAAGACATTTCCAAACTAAGTGTTGAAGGCACAACCCAGACTCATCTTGTTGCCTATAATAAAACATGAGAAGAGAGAGATACATTCAGAAAATAACTGTTAAGCAAAAAGGAACCATGAGTGAATGATTTGGGAAGTGGCAGCCTATCCAAATAGCAAACACTGCTAAAATGGAGAAAATCACTGTCAGGAATGCATACTCTTGAGAAAAACTGAGAGTATGGTTTAACAAACTTTTGCTAGTGTCTCAAAAACATTAAAAAATTGACTTTATTTTTGATCATTCAGTGACACAAAAAGCTTTTGGAAGAGATTGAGAGTGTGTGAAATCAGTAATTTGAACAAATCAAGGAGGAAAAAGTTCAAAAAGTTAACATAATTGTGTCTATAAAAGTGTGGTGAATGAAGGTCGCAGAGCACAATGTTTGCCAAATAGAAAATTGTCTATTTAAGTCCAAGATCCAGACCTTTCAGCTGCCCTGGAATTGGTACCTTCCTTGTGTGCATAACACTATAATATTTTTTTAAACTATGTGAAAATGACGGAAACTAAAATTGAAGTAGAGCCTTCATGATTTCCGTTTGTCTTTGGTTTTCAGTTCTTTGAATACGGTGTGACTCTTTTTTTGGGTATTTATTCTGCTTGATATTTTCTGAGCTTCACGGGTCAGTGGTTTGGGGTCTGCCACTAATTTTGAAAAATCACAATTGCCCAATTTTTACTTCTTCAAATGTGTCTTCTTTCCTGCTCCATTTTTCAGCTCTTCTGGGATTCCAATCATCTGTATGTGAGAGTGATACTGTTGCACAGCTCTTGAAACACTTGTTTTGTTGGATTGTCTTTAGTATTTTTTACTCTTTGCGTTTCAGTTAGGGCAGTGTCTACCTCCCTAGCTTCAGTTTCAGGCACATGAATCTGGATCTTGGGAGTATGCCTTGCACAATTGTTACAGCCTCATCTCCACTTGGAATGTGATGTCTAGCAGTATTTCTGCTCCTCTATTTAGGGTAGAGCTTTATTTATTTTCTTGTTCCCCTCTCCCATCTGAGGTGGATTTTTATGAGAGCCTCAAGCTACAATTTTTCTTGCTGTTTCCCTTGCAGACTGGCTTTTGTATCATAGGGGAGATAGACGAGATATTTCTAGGTAGAATTTTATCAGTTGCAGCCCTCTCATTCCTTAGTCAGTATTATGAGGATGAGGAAAGCTTTCCCAGGAACCTCCCCAGTCATCCCCATGAGTACTTGGTGGGCTTCCTTGTTGGGTGTTGAGGGGGGACCTAACAGAGGGTAGCAACTACCGTGTGTCCGCAGCCCCCAGGCATCTCACATGCCTACAGTAGTACCCTAATGACTCTTATGGTATCTGTTATTGTCTGCCCCTGGTAAATAAATGTGAGGGTCCTGTTTCTCCCCCTGGTAGCCTGTGTCTCTGTACATTTTAGTTTAGTGGCTTGGCCTGAGTTCTCAGTTCTCTGATGGGTTAAGGAAATCATTCCTTGGTTGTTTGTTCAGCATTTTTGTTGTTGTTGTAAAGATGAGTGTGAGATTCCAGCTGCTATATCTTGGGGGTGAAACTGGAAGCAAGCATATTGCCTTTCCAGTCCTTACCATGATGCAGAAACTTTGCATCCATCCAAAGAGTCAAGATAGGGTATTAAGAGAAACCACCATCTCTGTTTATGTTATATTTGTTATGTAGAATAAGCATATCCAGTTTAATATGGAGAAAAATTAATAAATATAGTTTATCAAAAAATTAAAGGCACTCCAGTTTTGTTTTGTTTTTACTGTGCATTTCTTTCAGAAACTGCATTGTTAAAATTGGATGGTAAATCATATTTTATTCCTAGAAAGAATGCTACAATTGAGGCTGAGTACCCAAGTAATCATTTAGGATCAAATAAATCACAATCATAATGATACACTAACCACTCAACCTTAAATTTTTCTGACCATTTGAAATGGCTAAAGTAGGCTCCAATCCCCCATCCCAAGTAGCCATAAATATATTACCCACTCAATTTATTCTAGATTATTAAGGATATAAAATGATCTATGATGTACCACAGAGTTAACAGTAGAAATCTGAACTGTAACACAATTAAACCTGAATTTAATAAGATATATTAACTAATATATTAATGAACTATGATTTCTCTCAAAATTTAGAAAGACTTCTAATAAATAATTTGTAAAACTTAAATCTCTTTAGTGGTCTCATGAAGTTCAAACTGAGGTTTTCTTTTTCTTTTTTATAATGAGACAGAGTCTCACTCTGTCACCCAGGCTGGAGTGCCATGGTGTGTCTCGGCTCTCCACCCACTGGGTTCAAGTGATTCTCATGCCTCAGTCTCCCAAGTAGCCAAGTAGCTGGGATTGCAGTCACATGCCACCATGCACCACCATGCACCACCATGTCTGGCTAATTTTTGTATTTTTAGTAGAGATGGGGTTTCACCATGTTAGCTAGACAGGACTCAAACTCCTGGCCTCAAGTGATCCACTCGCCTTGGCCTCCCAAAATGCTGGGATTACAGGTGTGAGCCACCCCGCCTGGCTGAGCATTTCTTTATGTTGCTAAAAATGCCCTTAAAATAACATGACATACTCGATAACTATTTATTTATTTATTTTTTAGAGACAGAGTCTCCTTCTGTCACCCAGGCTGGAGTGTAGTGGCACAATCATAGGTCACAGGAGCCTCCAATCCCTGGGCTCAAATGAGCCTCCTGCCTCAGTGACCTGAGTATGTAGGACTACAGGCACTTACCACCATGCCCAGCTAATGTAACTTTTTGTAGAGACGAGATTTTGCTATGTTGCCCAGGCTGTTCTTGAACTCCTGGCCTCAAGTGATGCTCCTGCTTTGGCCTCCTGAACTGCTAGGATTATAGGTATGAGCCACCACACCTGGCCGTCAATACCATTGTTCAAAAAGTAGACTGCATTTTCCTGCAGCACCTCCTTGCATCATCAAAGTAAAGAAAGGTTGTGGATATTTATATACTAGGTTTCACAAAAATGGTAAATGAAGCACAGATTTCAAATCCAGGGAAGGTTGTATAGCTCATCTACAGAAGTTCCTGCAATCCTCATTAGGGTCAAACCATTTATTATTACTGCCTTGAGAGTTGGACTTTTATAGGCTGCTTGGGTCCTCTTGGTTCCCAAACTGCGCTGGTGAATGTGCCTGTTGGAATGCAGGTCAGGGGCTGCTGAGTTCTCCCATTCGTTTGCATCAGCTGCCCTGGAGCAAGTCACAGTGTTGGCTGTGCACCCAAACCTGGACCAGAGTCTTACAGAATGGTGGAGTGAGGGGGAAGGCAAATTCTCTCCCAAAAAGCAATGATAAAACTGAACAAAACTTTTGTCAAAAACATCCATTTCAGGACTCTGAAACTGGCCAGAGATGTACAACAAATTTATAAGAGTTTATTCAAGAAAGACTGCTTTCAAGTAATAGCAGTGGAAATTTGGGGTGTGTTAGCCTGGGATTTCTCCCTCTTTATGTTAAACTTGACAAAGACCCCAAAGAAACTGTCATATGTATGTTCAAAGAACTCAAGGAAAACTTTTAAGAAGGAAAGGAAATAGGAATGTATGAAGATCATGTTTTCTTACCAACTTTGTTCAGCAATATTTTGTGGCTTTCTATTAAGCCATATGACACAACTTTCCTATCTGATATTAACATAGAAACACTGGGTTTCTTGTGGTTAGTGTTTGCAAAGTGTATTTTTTCATTTTTTTTTTTCTTTCAACATTTCTGTGTCCTTGAATTTAAATCAGGTCTCTTGAAAACACCATATCGTTGGGTCAGCTTACCCTGTTTTATGATGTATTTTTCAAGAAGTGCTTAATCTATTTCCTTTTAATGAAATTTTTGATGCAAATGAGTGTACATCAACCATCTTGCTATTTGGTCACGATTTGTGTCATCTGACATTTTATCCTTCATTAGTTAGTTTTCTGACTTTTCTGGATGGTGTATTTTTATTACTGTCTTTTTCATTGAGTTTTTAGCTATATCTATATTTTTAAATATTTCTCTTGAAATTACAACATGACTTAAGAAATAGAACTTATTTTTTAGACCAGTTTTAGGTTCACAACAAAACTGAGCAGGAAATACAGAGTACCTATCTACCCCTCCTCCCCTATCTTCACCACAGGCACAATTCCCCCCTTTATCATTCTCCTGCACCTTAGTGGTATAGTTGTTATAATTGATGGCCCTACCTTGATGCGTCATCACCACTCCAAGTCATAGTTTACACTAGGGTTCGCTCTTGGCGCTGTATATTCTATAGGTTGCGAAAAATGCATAATGACATGTGCCCACTGTTGTAGTATCCTACGGAATGATTTCACTCCACTAAAAATGCTCTGTATTCTGCCAATTACAACATATATTCTTATTAAACATTTTGTCTTGAGATAATTCCCATGCAGCTCAATACTGAGATAGATTTATGTATATTTGTCAAAGATAATACAGAAAGATCCTGTGTACTCTTTACCTAGGTTCTCTCAAATACAATAATCTTGCAAAACTATACCATGGCAGCCAGGAAATTGACATTGATACAATCCACTGATCTTATTCCAGTTTCTTCAGTTTTATAGTACTCACTTAGGTGAGTTCAGGTGTGTGTATTCAGCTCTATGCAATTCTATTACATGTGTGGTTTTATGTATCCACCACTTCAGCCAAGATACAGAAGAGTGCCACCACAGGGATCCCTCACTTTGCCCTTTTATTACAATACTCACTTCCCTTCCACACTGATCCCATTTCTAATCCTGGCAATCACTAATCTGTTCTCTGCCTCAGTTATTTTTTTAAAATCTCAATAATGCTATATAAATGGAATCATACAGTATGTAACATTTTTGAATTGGCTTTTTTCTTCACTCACTGTAACTCTCTGGAGATTTATCTAAATTGTCACATATATCAATAGTTTCTTCTTTTTTATTGCTGAATATTATTCCATGGTATTCACATATCACATTTTTTTAAAGCCACAGACCTACTGAAGGACATTGCTTCCTAGATTTTGTTTTTCTTGTTATTATGAATAAAGTTGCTAAAAACACTTGTGTACTGATTTTTATGTGAACCTCAGTTATCGTTTCCCTGGAATAAATGCCCAAGAGTGCAATTGCTGGATCGTATACTAATTGTATAGTTATTGTATAAGAAGCTGCCAAACTGTTTCCTAGAGTGACTGTACTAATTTACAGTCCTTCCAACAATGAGTAACTGATTCAGTTTTTCTGCATGCTTGCCAGCATTTTATGCTGTTACATTTTTGTTTTAGCCATTCTGATAGCTATACAGTGATATCTCATTGTGGTTTTAATTTGCATTCCTCTGGTAAACAATGAAACTAAACATTTTTATGTGCTTATTTGCCATCTGTATATTCTTTTCAGTGAAATGTCTATTGATATATTTGGCTTATTTCTAACTGGATTTTTGCTTTTTTACTGTTGTGTTTCGAGAATTCTTTACATGGTCTACAGGGTAATACTTTTTTGAGTATGTGTTTTGTAAATACTTTCTCACAGTATGTAGTCTGCATTTTCATTGTTTTTACAGGGTCTTGTGCAGAGTAAAAGTTTTTAATTTTGATGAGGTCCAGTTTTTATCTTTTTTTCCTTTAAAGGATCGTGCTTTTTGTGCCTAAAAAGTCTTTCCTAGCCCTAGATCTCAAACACCCCTCCTGCTTTTTTTTCTAAAAGTTATACAGTTATAAATTTAAGTCTGTGATCCATTTTGAGGTTTTTCTTTTTATATATAAGGTGTGAGGTTTTGGTTGAGATTCCAATTGCTCCAAAAGATCTACTTCTTCCATTGAGTTGCTTTTGCCTTTATGTCAAAAATCATTTCAGGATATTTATATGGGTCTATTTATGAGTTCACTATTTTGTACCACTGATTTACATGTTTGCTTCTTTACCAATACTACACTTTCTCCATTACTGTAGCTATGTAGTAAGTCTTAGTATTGGGTACAGTGTTTTCTGTCACTTTATTCTTATCTTCCAAGATTATTTTTTGTCTACTCTAGGGTCCCTGCTTGTCCATATAATCTTTAGAATAAACTTGTCAACATCTACAAAAACTTGCTTAGATTTTGGAGGGAATTATATTAAACCTATAGGTCAATTTGGAGAGAAAGTGTACTCACCATGTTGAGTCTTTAAATGAACATAGTACCTCTCTCCACTTATTTAGGTCTCTGATTTCTTTCATTAGTATTTTGTCATGTTCAGCATTCAGATACTGTACACTTTTTGTTGGGTTTATATCTAAGTACTTCATTTTCTTTGGAGTAGTTGTAAATGGTATTGTGTTTTTAATTTTGGTTTCTGCATACTCATTTTTAGTATATAGAAATATTGAGAGGTGAAGTCAGCTGGACTTCCTGGGTCGAGTGGCGACTTGGAGATTTTTTGTGTCTAGCTGAAGGATTTTAAATGCACCAATCAGCACTCTGTAAAAACGCACCAATCAGTGCTCTGTGTCTAGCTAAAGGATTGCAAACACACCAATTAGCACTCTGTAAAATGGACCAATCAGCACTCTGTAAAATGGACCAATTAGCGCTCTGTAAAATGGACCAATCAGCAGGACGTGGGCGGGGTCAAATAAGGGAATAAAAGCTGGCCACCCCCAGCCAGCAGCAGCAACGCGCTGGGGTCCTCTTCTGTCCCGTGCGTAGTTTGTTATTTCGCTCTTCACGATAAATCTTGCTACTGCTCACGCTTTGGGTCCGCACCACCTTTAAGAGCTGTAACACTCCGTGAGGAGGTCCACGGCTTCGTTTTTGAAGTTAGTGAGACCACGAACCCACTGTCAGGCAGAAACATCTGAAGGAACAAACTTCGGACATAACATCTTTAAGAGCTGTAACACTCACTGTGAAGGTAGGCGTGGCTTCATTCCTGAAGTCAGCGAGACAAAGAACCATCCGGAAGGAACCAACTCTGGGCACAATGTGATTAATATTTTTTGTGTTGATGTTGTATTCTGTTACTTTGCTGAAGTGACTTTTAGTTCTAGACCTTTATTTTTGTATATTCCTTGGAATATTCTATGAAGATGATCATGTCATCTGCAATTGGAGGTAGCCTTATCTTTTCCTTTCTCTTCTGCATGTTTTTGCTTTTCTCTCCTTGCATTATTGCAGCAGATAAAACTTCCAATATTATGTTAAATACAAGTGTTGAGAGGCGGAATCCTTGTTTTGCTCCTGATCTTAGAAAGAAAACATTCGGTTTATCACCATTAAGTACAATGTCAGCTGTAGGATTTTGTAGGTGTTTTTTATCGAGGTCACTTAGTTCTTCTGTATTCCTAATTTAGGGAGTTTCTAGCATGTGTCAGTACTAAATTTTGTCAAATTCATTTTTGTGTCATTTCCTTCTTTAGCCTGTTAGCATGGTGGATTACATTAATTGATTGCAAATGTCAAACCCACCTTACATTCCTGGAATGAATCACACTTGATCACTATTTAAAAATGTTTTTGTACATTTTTGTATTTAATTTGCTAATATTTTGTTGATGGCTTTTGTGTCAAAGTTTATGAAAAACGTTTGTCTATATTTTTCTTCTTTGGTACTGTTTCTGTCTTGTTTTGGTATCCGCCTTATAAAATGAAGTATGAAGTGTTCCTTTCTCTTCTATTTTCTAGAAGAAATTGTGTAAAATTTCTGTCAGTTCTTTAAATATTTGGTAGAATTCTCCAGGGAAATGAAGTGGAGCTGCAAGTTGTTTTTTAGGAGCTTTTAAATTATGAATTCCATTTTTAAATAGTTTTCTTTACTAGAACCACTTAGATTATCTGTTTCGTGTTGGTTGCATTTTGGTAATTTTTGGTTTTTGAGCAACTGATTCATTTTTTCTACATTGTCAAATTTATGAGCATAAAGTTGATTATAATATTCCCTTTCTGCCATTTTAATGGCTGTGGGCTTTGTGGTTAGTTTCATTACTGATACTGTTGATTTGTGTCTCTTCTGTTTTAATTTTGCCAGTCTTGCTAGAGTGACATTGATATTTTTGAAGAAGCAGCTTTTTGTTTTATTTTTTCTACTTTCCTGTTTTCCGTTTAGTTGATTTCTGCTCTCACCTTTATGATTTCCTTCTGCTTGCTTTGGGTTTCTTTGGCTAATCTTTTTCTAGTTTTTTGAGGGGAAAAACTTACTGTTTTGGGTCCTTTCTTCTTTTCTAACATAAACGTTTAGGGTTATAAGATCCCCCTCAGCTCTGCATTAGCTACATCCCACATATTTTGATCTATTGTCTTTTTATTCTTATTCAATTCTATGTGTACTTTTTGAAATTTCCTTGGATCTCCTTCTTGACCATAGACTATTTAAAGGTGTATTATTTAATTTCAGAGTATCTAGAGATTTTTTTCTGTTGTCTCTCTAGGTCATGTACTTTTAACTTATCACAATCTATTTGTGAATAGTATTGTGAAACTTCATTAAAAAAGTGTAAGAAACTTACAACAGTGTAATTCTATTTTCCCCTCAATCTGGAGTTGAGCTGGTTTTGGTCTGGGTTGTAGATTTAATTAATTTCAGTTTACCACAGGTTTCATATATTTCAAAGGTAGCAGCCAGGGCCCTCCTTTCATTAGGAATAGAGAGCTAAGACTCTGAGGTCTCCCTAAGCTTTCTCGCTCATTTCCAGCTTCCCGTACCTTGGAAGAAATCCATGTTGCAGCCTGCCCTGGCTTCCGACTCCACAGGACCTCTCCTTCTGTCTGCCATCCTACCCTGTCCCAGGTGCCCAGCCATCACTCTGTATTTGAGATGAAATGTCTGAACGAAAAGATTTATGGGGCACGTAGATGAGTGTACTTTGGGGGCGCTTCTGGGTTTGAATCCATCACGCCTGGCCTACAGGGTCCTTCTAGATTTCTTTGGTTTCTTTTTGTCTCAGCCAAGAGCCGAGTCCTCCCTGCTTATGGCTGGCTTGTTCTTCCCACCACACCCCAGAGATAAAAGCAGTTGCAGGTTTTTATTGCTTTGGACAGGCTCGTCCCTCCCTTGAATGTTGTGCGTTTAGACTTCTATGCATTTTCAGGTCTCTACTGATTGTCACGTGTGATGATTGGAATAAATCAAGATTTCCTCATTGTTATATTGCGAGCAACAGCTTTTTACAACCTTTTACACTCTAACAAGAAGCAGAGCTCCCACTATTCTGTTTAACCAGCAAAACCTCTCAGCAACCTCATCTGTCACCCATGGCCTTGGAGTTTGGGAGCTAATGGTTTGGTTTCCAACATGTTTGAAAAAAATGTCATAATGCCTCCCCCATAATTTTGTCACAAATCGTATCTGTCTTTTCCAAAGTGCTACTCTCAGAAAAAGATACCTCTATATCACAGATACAAAAATTCGGGGAAATCTTAGTTATTCCAACAGGTTGAGTAATTCTACTTTTCTCATTCAAGGCTGGAATTGGACACCTATTAATATTAGACCCTCATGTAAGTGTTACCTAAATTCTCACCTCTCCATACATGAATAAGGTCACAACTTTAACTGCTATGTCTTGCTTCAGAAGTTGGGCTAAGTAGGACTTCCTCTAAGTTAAGCACTATTCTGAGCACTTCAACAGACCGAGTCTTTTATAAGACTTACCTATCAACAACCTTATAAGGCAAGTATCATTATAATCCCCCTTTCAATGCATAGATACCTTGAGTGATGTGGCTAACGACCCATGGTTAGAAACCGAAGACAGGAAGTGTAGAGTCAAAGACAATGATCTGGCCGAGCACAGTGGCTCATGCCTGTAATCCCAGCACTTTGGGAGGCCAAGGTAGGTGGATCACCTGAGGTCAGGAGTTCGAGACCAGCCTGGCCAACATGGTGAAACCCCGTCTCTACTAAAAATACAAAAATTAGCCGAGTGTGGTGGTGCATGCTTGTAGTCCCAGCTACTTGGGGTGCCGAGGTAGGAGAATTGCTCGAACCCGGGAGGCAGAAGTTGCACTGCAGTCCAGCCTGGGCGACAGAGTATATGCCATCTGAAAAATAAAATAATCAAAAAGACAATGATCTTTTCTTTTCCTCTAAGCTATATTGCCATGCACAGTCTGTGCCTCATTACCATTGGGTCATAATGTCTATGGCTGAGCCAATGATGCCTAATTTAATCATTTTGAGGAGTATGGTCAAGTCAGTTGCAGTCACAAAGAGAACACCTCTGGTTTGTACCATTTTTTTATTTGTTTGCTTTGGTTCAGAATTCTGTTTTTTAAAATGATTTCTTTTACTCTTACTATTATTTTATTACTGTTACTTTAAAAATTGTCATTACCCCATCCTATCTCCTTATCTACCCAAAGCTAACCTTGACATTGGTGTGGGGAAGACTTAACTTTTTGTGAAAAGTGTTTGCTGCCCTTCTTGAGGCTCATGCCTGTAATCCCAGCACTTTGGGAGGCCGAGGTGGGCGGATCACGAGGTCAGGAAATCGAGACCATCCTGGCTGACATGGTGAAACCTCGTCTCTACTGAAAATACAAAAAATTAGCCGGGCGTGGTGGCGGGTGCCTGTAGTCCCAGCTACTTGGGAGGCTGAGGCAGGAGAATGGCATGAACCTGGGAGGTGGAGCTTGCAGTGAGCCGAGATCGCACCACTGCACTCTAGCCTGGGCGACAGCGAAACTCTGTCTCAAAAAAAAAAAAAGAAGAAAAGTATTTGCTTCCCTTTCCTGGGGGAGGAGTAGTTTCTCCACCTTGCTGCCATTAGGATTGGCTGTGTGAATTGCTTTGGCCAGGGAAATGTGGGCATAAATGATCCTTGTCCCTTTCAGCAGAAGTAGTTTCACTTTTTCTTTTCCGTGTGCCATGAGCCTGGCAAACTCTGAGAGTGTCTGCTTTATCTACCAGATTCCAGAGTGAAGAGGATTTGGTGCCATGGTGTGGCTGATGGATATGTAACATAATAGGATGGGAAAAAAAGCGAGGGGGCAGGGGTGTGGAGCATTATTTGTTATTGCAGCATAACTTAGCCTTTACTTATAAAGGGTGCCCTGCCAAGACATGTTTTTATGATTTTACTAAACGTGTTATATAAAATATATCTCTAAACCATATGTGAATTGGTTCTCAAAGTGTGATCCCTGGATCACAAAAGGGTGAAAGCAAGATAAAATGGTTTCAGTCTTTTGGGGGGAAATAAGATAAAATATATTTACATAATAATACTAAGACATTATATGAAATTTTTTTACTCTCATTCTTTCATGAGGATACAGTGGAGCTACCTAAAGGTGTAAATGCTCTGATGCCTAAGGAAATGAATACTTGCATTCTTGTGTTTCAAAACTTTTTTAGCTTTAATTTCTTATATAGAAAAAATTAATAAATGCAACCCAAATGAAATAAATCTCTTTGGAACTTCAATAATTTTAGGAGAGTAAGAGATTCCTAAAACCGAAAAAGAGAAACATTGATGTAGTTTGCTGTTTAGTATATTTATAAATTTTACTTAAGTGATATTTGGTGACTTGCTTTTTAAATTCAACATTCCGTTGAGGTCTATCCCGATAGGTCTTTTCCTGTAGCCTGCACGTTGTTGGAAATGCCTCATAGAGTAACTCTGTGATTTTACTTTACTTACAGGACTATTGTTACATCTGTGGGAAGGAACCACAAGACAGTTGCTGAAGTATGAAAAAGACAGTTACTAAACTGTCTTTAGTTCAGTAACTGTCTTAGTAAAGACCTGATAATTTACTTTTTTACCTTAGGTATTGGCATATTCCACACATCTGTACTATTCTTGAATTTGATCACTTAGGAACGAATATGATTGGAACTCATTCATGTTTAGAGAGGGTGTCAAATTGAGAACCAGGCAGATCCACCTACACTAAAAATGACCCTAAAGTAAATTGGTGGAAGAAATCAGATCCCAAAGACTACTGGTGAATTTTGAAGTCTTCGTCAGTATATCCATATTAAAAGGAGATGACAGAAGCCAAAATAAAAGAATTATGGGTTGACAGGACAACTGGATTAAAATAAATGTCAGTTTCATTTGAAAGGGCTAACTTGAAGGTAATTTTTGAAAATAAATTTTGACTCCAGCTCTTCAGAGGATCTAAAGTGACCTTGATGGGCAGTGGAAGAAATCAAAACATGAAATTCCTTGAATAAAAATTTATTGACTTTACAAAATAAGTAAATAAATGAATTCAACCTTCTCTCGCTAAGTTAGTGTATGAAAGTGGGTACACATTAGACTGAGCTCATTCCTTTCAGCTGTTTATACTGTTATAAAATAGTTTCAAAAAGCGGAAAATACCTGCTCTTCAAAGTTTTTGGAACATGTGACTTTATAAAGCATATGCATTTGATCACCTTCCCAAATGCCTTTCTTGTGCCAATGAATAATACATTTGCTTCACAATTGAAGTAATATACCCTCCTGCTCTGCTTCCTATCCTATTGCCAAATTCAGTGACTGAATGGGCATTTTCATATTCAGTCCCCTAACTATGACCTCTCGATTTTACAGAGAAGCTTAATCCCGGTTAGTCTCATTCTCTCACTGGGGATTCTCTGTTTCCTTGAGGGGCCTCTGAGATGAGAACAGCTTTGCAAGGACTGGGAACCTGTGATGAGCATAGTGTTGGAAACACTTGAGGCCTTTGTTCTTCCAGAGTAGACATCTCCAACTCCCAGGGACCCCTGCTTTCCCTCTGTCCCTGAATGCTGATTATGGGTCATGAGATTATGTAACAGACAGTTCATACCCTCTGCATGCAATTTTTTCCTACATATTTTGTTAGGGAAAAAATAAAATATACACAGTAGAGAGACTAGTATACTAGTAATCTAGTGTACTAATAACCTAGCTTCAAAATTGCCAACACATGGTCCATCTTGTTTCATTCATTTCTTCACCCACTCCACACTCTCCCCACTGCGTTATTTTTAGTCAATTAGTAGACATCATACATAAATCCTACAGTACTTGTCTCCGAAACACATTGATTCTTTTTTAGAAAACATAACTGCCGGGGGCCGGGCGCGGTGGCTCGAACCTGTAATCCCAGCACTTTGGGAGGCCGAGGTGGGCAGATCACGAGGTCAGGAGATCGAGACCATCCTGGCTAACACAGTGAAACCCCATCTCTACTAAAAATACAAAAAAGAATTAGCTGGGCGTGGTGGCAGGCGCCTGTAGTCCCAGCTACTCGGGAGGCTGAGGCAGAAGAATGGTGTGAACCCGGGAGGCGGAGCTTGCAGTGAGCCGAGATTGTGCCACTGCACTCCAGCCTGGGCGACAGAGGGAGACTCTGTCTCAAAAAAAAAAAAAAGAAAAGAAAAGAAAAAAGAAAACATAACCGCTGGGCATGGTAGCTCTTGCCTATAATCCCAGCACTTTGGGAGGCCGAGGCAGGTGGATCACCTGAGGTCAGGAGTTCAAGAGCAGCCTGACCAACATGGTGAAACCCCACCTCTACTAAAAATACAGAAATTAGCTGGGCGTGGTGACTAACGCCTTAATCCCAGCTACTGGTGAGGCTGAGGCAGGAGAATCGGTTGAACCTGGGAGACAGAGGTTGCAGTGAGCTGAGATCGTGCCATTGCACTCCAGCCTGGGCAACAAGAGCAAAACTCCATCTCAAAAAATAAAATTAAATTAAAAAAATAAAAATTTAAAAAACATAACCATAATACTGTTACTTATACCTGAAAGTCTACAATTCTTCAATATCACCGAGTTATCCAGTCAGCATTCAAACTGCTCATTTCGCATCAAAAACGTTTTTATAGCCGGTTTTTTGGAATTAGGTTTCACAAAAGGTCCAGACATAGATTGGTTATGTCTCAAATCTATCTGTAGGTTTCCCCTTCCCTATTTTTATATCTTGCAAGGTGTCTGTTAATAAAACTGGATCCTTTGCCCTGTGGAACATCCCACAGTCTAGATATTGCTGATTGCAGCCCTGGAGTGTTGAACACGTTCCTCTGTCCCTTGTATTTCCTATAAACTGGTAGTAAAACATGGTCTTAATTAGATTCAGGCTCAATATTTGTGGCAGGAACGCTGTATGTTTAGTGCATTTGCTTGCTATTATGTTGCATCAGGAGATACCTATTGTCTATCTCCTTTTTTGATGTTAATATTGATCTGTGGGTTCAGATGTTATCAGGATGATCTATCCATTATAAAATTTCCTATCAAATAATAGTTCCAGCTGCCAATGATGACCATTGCCTGCATACATTACTTCATTAGGGGTTTGAGAAAGCAAATATTCTAATTCGATCATTTCTTCTGAATTCATTAGCTGTAAAGGAATGCATGCTCATCAGCTATTGGGTTACCGTGAGTTATGAGTCAAAAGGCAAATGAGGTGAATTGTGCATGTGGCATTCCCCCACCCACTCTCCATGTGCTCAGCCTTGTCTGTGCCCTCATGGGCTGCATCAAAAGCTCTGTTGCCCACTGGATTCTGCTTGGGTATAGCTCATGGGAGTCCTGGAATGAGATCAAAGGGAGGAAGGAGAATGAGGATGGAGTTTATTCCCCTGTTTCCTTCCCTGTGCTGTGCCCCGGCGGGCTGCATCCATTACAGCTGTCTCTGCACAGACCTCTCTTACCTGGGTTTTGATAACCACTCCTTCTTTTGCTCCTCCGATCTGCATGAGATCATGGCCCCCTAAATGCCGTGGTGATCATGGCATCGCCACCCTGTGGTGCTGCCCTATTCCTTGTGGTTTCCCTACAAATACTGCCCGTAGCTTTTATACAACCCTTTTACTAAGTCTCATATTACAAAATTTGACTGTAGTGCCTGTTTCACATTGGGAGGTATATTATCCTTCCCCTCTTCCTTGTTTTTTGTTTTTAAATTTTATGGACATAACAGCTGTACATATTTATGAAGTTGATGTGATATTTTGGTACAAGCATACAATGTAGAATGATTGAATCTGGATAACGGGGATATCCATCACCTCAAACATCTATCATTTCTTTGTGTTGGGAACATTTCAAATCTTTTCTTCTAGCTATTTTTAAATATACAATAAATTGTCATTAACACCAGCCACCTTATTGTGTTATCAAACATAGAACGTATGTCTTCTATTGAGCTGTATTTTTGTACCTGTTAAGCAACACCTCTTCACCCTCTGCCTCCTCAGCACCCTTTACAACTTCTAGTAACCACCATTCTATTCAATTCACTGTGTCCATGAGATCAGTTTTTTTAGGTCCCACCTACGAGTGGGAACCTGCAGTATTTTTGTCTTTCTGTTCTGACTTAGTTCACGTAATGCCCTCCAGTTCCATCTGCATTGCTGCACGTGATTTCATGCTGTTTTATGGCTGAATAGTATTCCGTTGTGTCTATCTACCACATTTTCATTTTCCATTCATCTGTTGATGGACACTTAGTTTGATTCCATATCTTGGCTATTATAGATAGTATTACAATAAACATGGGAGTGCAAATATTTCTTTGATACTGATTTCCCTTCTTTTTTTTTTTTTTTTTTTTTTGAGATGGAGTCTCTCTCTGTCACCAGGCTGGAGTTCAGTGGCGCGATCCCAGCACACTGCTACCTCCAACTCCCCGGTTCGAGCGATTCTCCTGCCTCAGCTTCCTGAGTAGCCAGGAATACAAGCATGCGCCACCATGTCCAACTAATTTTTGTATTTTTGGTAGAGCCAGGGTTTCACCATGTTGGCCAGGATGGCCTCGATCTCCTGACCTCGTGATCTGCCTGCCTCAGCCTCCCAAAGTGCTGGGATTACAGGCATGAGCCACAGTGCCCGGCCTAATCTGTTGTCTAAATCTAATTTCTATGATGAGAGTTCCCATTTTTAGGAATGCTCCTTGGTTACTTTCAAATGTGCTCTGTTTTTACAGTCTTGTCTTTCTTCAGCATACTTTTCACCCCCTCTTTATGACCTCAAACATTAAATGTGTGTATTTCATGCTCTGCGGCATAATTCCAATATCTTCAGGCTTTATGTATCAGCTTCTGAAGTTTGTGGTTTCTGCTGACGTGTGTTCGTGATGGCTTTTTTTCCTTCACAAATTCAGTCATTTGGATGAGCTCGTGTTCTTTGGAATTTTGTGGGAACTTTTAGGCCTGAGTTTAAAGCATGTTTTTGTGGAGAGGATTTTCGAAGAACTTTTTTTCAGTACTCTATCCTGCAGCACCCCTGAGAGAGCTATATAGACCTGCAACCCGCTCTGCAGAGGAGTTGTCACCTGGTGCACCCACTGAGGAGCTGGGTTCCATTCAGCCCCTCTCTCCTCTTGCTGTGCAGGCTCTCTATGCCTCTCCACCTGAGTTGTATGCTATAACTCTTGCTTTAGATTTAGACTAAGGATTTTTTGTTTATTGCACAGCTTGTCTCCAACTCATGGACTCAAGCGATGTTCCCAACTCAGCCTCCCAAGCAGCTAGGATTACAGGCTTGAGCCACCACGCCTGGCTAGACTAATGATTTTCAGACAGAATGTTGCAAACTCTTAGTAGTTCATGCTTATTTTAATAGATTACAAACAGGATTTTAAAAACAGACAAGAATAATATAACAGAAAAATAAAATGTTTGGCTGCCTCACAGACAGGGTTGTTTTGTGAAATTCAGTTTTAGATATAAACGTGTGGGTGCATGTTCATGCATGTGTGTGTGTGTGTGTGTGTGTGTGTGTGTGTATTTGAAGGTATGTGCACTGGGTAAAGACATATAAAGTTAGAAAAACACTGCTGTAGATCAGCAGGGACCAGAATATATCCTCAGGACAAACTCTAGCTCTTCGTGTTTTCTCATTTCTGACTACATTGTGTCATTGAAGAAATCTTTACTACTTTATGGTTATAAAGTAAATCTCCTATACTCTCTTTTTAAACTTTATTGCTTTGCTTTTTGCCTTAAATTTATAATCCACTTGGAGTTGATTTTTACGTATATGGTGAATTCAGTACAGTTGTTCCCCCTTATCCACTCCCGTGTTCTTTTGACACAAACCTATTAGTGTTTGATAGCTAACTTGCTTTCTGGCACACAAAAATCCCAGATTCATGTAAAGTTTTTATCCCAAACCTGTAATCGTTTATTTCGCCAAGGGTCCCTGGTTCTTTTCTTAAGGCAAATGATACATACCACAATTTGTGTCCCAGAGGTGTTCGCTTTTATGTCATAGGCATTACTTTTAAGTTTTGAGTGGGCAGAGCTGGGAAATGCATTTACTTTTTCAAAAGGAGAGACAAGAAAAGAGATTGTACTAATGTTTCCAATTCAAATGTAAGTCTATAGGAGTTTTACTTAACTTCTTCATACTTATGTTAGAAATCTTGGTTTCTGATGACAGTAACCACTATTTGCTTCATTATACTATATATGCACACACGTAACTGTTTTAAAACAATACTAATATTAATAATAAAAAGTACACTACTGAGTAACAATAGTTCTTTTAGTTCAGTGCATCTATCTCACTGAGGGTGTATAGTTAAAGTGTTGTGGTTGGGGTCACTTGAAATAAATCTTCCTGGAAAGTTTTTGCCACCAACTTCTAAACCATTGGGATTAGTCACATCAGTCCTTACTGATGGACTTTCAAGGTTGTCTTTTGCTGTCATAAATAGTGCTGTGATACATAACCCTGCACATATGTCACTTCATATATTTGCAGTGTGTTTTATGGATAGATTCCTAGAAATGGGATTCCTAGGGAAAAGATAAAACATTTTTCTTGATTTTGTGAAATTCCCCTCTGTTGGCATGGGGGCATTTCATACCCCCACATTATATGACTGGGAGTGCCAGTGCCAGTTTTTCCACAGCTTTAATGTATATTTTTAAGCTTTTGGGACTTGCCAATCTGATAGGTGAGAAACGGTATCCCAGTGTAGTTTTAATTTGCATTTTTCTTATTATGGTAATATTGAACTCAGCCTCATAAGGTGTCTACTGTTAAAGTGAGGACATTGATGGGGAAGGAAAGGGGTCCTGTGTGGGAAGCCCTAGAAGACACACTTTTCAGCAATGCTTTGAGGAATAGGTTTGTGAGGGGACTCCTACATCCTTAAAGAGCTCCCTGACCGCTCTTCTCTGCAGGCCGGACCTTACAGTGGGAACCATAGTTACTCAACTGGAAAGCTTAAATGCAGTGGGAATAAACGGATTACAGGATGTCAGGGGCCAAGTTGTGGAACTCAACTGCAGAAAACAAGGTGGGCATAGTTACTGTAACGAATAGCAGAGACAAAGCAACAGTGAGAATAGTCTGACTCATGTAGACTCATGGCATTGGGTAATTAGTCATGCGTTCCTAGAAGTAAAGTAGATAGGAAGCCCACTACATTCTTCCTTCATATATATAAACAAAAAACTTCCAGGTTAAATGAATGGAAGTCTAACTCAAATCCTAAAAACAGAGATTCACAGCCCCTCAATAAATTCCCAGACTTGAGCAGTTTTCAGACTCAGAATCCCTTGAATGAAGGAGAAGCTAGATCCTCTTGAGGAAGAAGCCTGGCACATTACTGACAACTTATACTTTTAATCTTTCTGTTATCCTTCCCAAAGGGTCCTGGGACCTTCTGGCAGGGTAACTGTGCATTTCCAATAAAGAAATAATCAGAACTTTCAGGGACTGCTGCATACTGTCCTTTAACTGACATTTATTCCAGGAGACCTGAAATATCACTGGCCCTCCAGGTAGAGTTGAGGCTTATGGAGGTCAGGTAATCAGTAGATATTTAGCTCATGTCCAACTCACAGTGGGTCCAATGAGTTGTTGAACCCATCTTGCGGTTATTTCCCAATTGGAATAGACATACTTAGCAGCTGGCAAAATCTCCACATTGTTTCCCTGACCCGTGGAGTAAGGACCATTATAGTGGGAAAGGCCAAGTGGAATCCATTAGAGGAAAGTAGTAGATTTAAAGCAATCCTGCTACCCTGGAAGGATTACAGAGATTAGTGCTGCCATCAAGGACTTGAAAGGTGCAGGGCTGGTGATTCCCACCACATTTCCATTCAACTGTCCTATTTGCCCTGTGCAGAAGACAGGTGGAGTCCAGAGAATGACTGTGGATTATCATAAGCTTAACCAAGTGGTACTCTAGTTGCAGCTACTGTGCAAGATGTGGTTTCATTGTTTGAGCAAATTAACACATATCTTGGTACCTAGTTATGCAGCTGATCATCTGGCAGGTGCCTTTTCTCCATACCTGTCCACAAGGACTATCAGAAGCAGTTTGCTTTCCAGCAATACACCTTCATTGTCCTACCTCAGGAGTGTATCAATATGCCATCCCTATGTTATAATTTAGTTTGCAAGGAACTTGGCTATGTTACTTTTCCAGAAGACATCACACCGGTCCATTATATCGATGATAAACTGACTGCATAAAAACACTCAGCAAGAAGTGCAACTAGTGAATAAGAAGTACAAGTACCCTAGATTTATTAAGACATTTGCATATCAGAGGGTAATAAATAAATCTGACTACAATTCAGGGGCATTCTACTAAACTTCTAGGGATCCAGTGGTGTGGGACGTGTTTAGATGTCCCTTCTAGAATAAAGCATAAATTGTTGCATCTGGCCCTTCTAAAACCGAGAAAAAGGCATAGTGCCCTTTTCTTATAGTGGGTCTATTTAAATAGTGGGTCTATTTAGATTTGGAGGCAAAATAATGGATCTGTTTAGATTTAGGTGCAGTCAGTTTATTCCAGATTATGCATCTGGAACAGGGAAATATCCACAAGATGGATTCAAGGACCCACTGGACCAACTGCCCATCTACCTAGTGACTAAAAACGCTGCTAGTTTTGAGTGGGGCCCAGAGCAGGAGAAGGCTATGCAACAGGCGCAGGCTGCTGCGCAAGCTGCTCTGCCACTTGGACCACATGGTCTAGTGAATCCGATGGTACTTGAGGTGTCAGTGGCAGATGTTGAGGCTGTCTGGAGCCTTTGGAAGGCCAGTGTAGGTAAGTTGCAGTATAGGCCGTTAGGATTTTGGACAAAGACTCTGCCATCATTTTCATATAATGATTCTCCTTTTGAGAGACAGCTCTCGACCTGCTATTGGGCCTTGGTAGAAACTGAATGCTTGACCATGGGCCATAAAGTTACTCTGCCACCTGAGCTTATCATGAACTGGGTGTTTTTGGACACAAAAAGCCATATAGCTGGGTATGCACAGCAGCACTCCATCATCAAATGGAAGTAAAATATACATGACTGGGCCCGAGCATGTCCTGAAGGTACAAGCAAGTTACATGCTGAAGTGGCCAAATGCCCATGGTCTCCACTCCTGCTACACTGCTTTCTCTCTCCCTGTATCTATGACCTCGTGGGAAGTTCTCTATGATCAGTAGAGATCACACTAGAAAAGACTAGAACCTTGTTTACAGATGTTTCTGCAGGATATGTAGGCATCACCAGAAAGCGAGCAGCTGTGGCACCATGCCCCTTTCTGGGACAGCCATTAAGGACAGTAGTGAAGGGAAATCTTCTCAATGGGAAGAAATGGCCAGATGTGCAATTGTATACCAGATCCTGGGCTGTAGCCTGTGGGTTGGCTGGATGGTCAGGGACTTAGAATAAGATTGAACTATTGGTGACGAAGGTATCTGGGAAAGGAGTATGAGCATAGACCTCTCTGCATGGGGAAAGAATATGAATATATTTATGTCCCATATGAATGCTCAGCAAAGGCTTAAGTGAGCAGAGGAGGACTTTAATAATCAAGAAAATAGGATGACCCATTTTGTGGATACCACTCAGCTTCTTTCCCCAGCCACCCCTGTCATCCTTCAGTAGGCTCATGAATAATTTGGCTATGGTGTCAGTGATGAAGGTTTTCCAAGGGCTCAGCCACATGAACTACTCTCACCAAGGCTGACTTGGTTACAGCACCATAATAAAGGGATAGCATTTTGTCCTCACCGAAATGCATATTTTCTCTGGATATAAATTTGCCTTCCCTGTATGCAATGCTTCTGCCAACACTACCACTCATGGACTTACGGAATGTCTTATCCACCATCATGGTAACACTCTGGGTGAAACCATTCAGATCCGCACTGTTTTCACTGGAAGGTTAATAAATCTGCATGTAAGTTTTTGTTGTGTTTCACATGTTTATCTTGTTTCAAGTATGGTAGGTTGTATTTTTCTAGAAAGTTGTCCATTTTATTTAATTTGCCTTTTTAGGGTACAGCAAATTCTTACTTTCTTTTTTTTAGTTCTGTTTTTTTTCCTACTATTTCTTTTTTTGCAATCAGTTTTATCAAGGACTTATTAATTTTATTCATTTTCTCAAAGTACAAGCCAATTGTGTTTACATGTTTAGTTTCTATTTGGTTAATTTGTTCTTTTACTTACAATTTCCCTTTTTTCCATCGTATGTGAAAAAAATGGAAAGATATACCATGCTCATAGATTGGAGACAATATTGCAATACCATCCCAATCAAAACTCCAGCAGACTTCTTTATTTTGTGAAAGTTGATGACCTGATTATATACTTTATGTGTTGTGTATGAACAAAGCAAGAGAAATGACACACTGGGGAAAAGTATTTGCCTTTATATAGCAGACAAGTAATTTGTTTTCTTAATCATTTCAAATCAATAAGAAAAAGACCAACAAACCAATATTAAAACATGCAAAGGACTTGAATAGTCAGATCACAGATGAGAAGAGTTAAATGAGTCTTAAACATAGGAATGATGTTCAAAATCATTTAAAATATTTAAACTGAAACTTAATGAAGTAAACATGTACAAAATTACAATAAAAATGGACATACCCATAACCATGAAGAAAATTTTAGTATTAAAGAAGCCAATCAGACCAAAAGTTAGTAAAGATAAAGAACATTTGAATAGCATAATTAACAAGCTTGAATTAATGAATATATGTTGTAGGAGTTTGTACCCAATTAGGGATTATATAAACTTTTTACTGACATTGGAAAGTACTAGGCCACAAAGCCAACCCCAATGAATACCAAATAATCAATTTCGTACACATAAGATGATAGTCTCTAATAACTATTCAAAGATGAAAATCAATGCCAAAATATAGCCAAAAAGCCTTATTCCTTTGGAAATTAAACATACTCTGCTAAATAATTCAAGGGGTATATAAATCAATTGAAATCATGAAATATTTATAAGTGAATGATAAAGAGTGACTGTGTATCAATACCTGAGTGATGCTGCTAAAATGGTAATTAGAGGAAAATTTTGAACTTCAGGGGCATCCATTAGAAAAGAAAAAAGACTGGCCATTATTGAACTAAGTTTGCAAATCAAAATGCTGTAAAAAGAAGTAATCCCAATGAAAGCAGAGCAAAGTAAATAAAGCAGAAACAAACATGTATCAATGAAAGATGAAGCAAAGAAACCATGATGATAGTCAATCCATGAGCTATTTCCTCAAAAAGGGCCAGATGTAACTATACGTCTGGCAAGACCAAACAAGTGAAAGAAAGAAAGTACCAGTAAATAATATTAGAAGGACTATATCATCAGATACAGTCATAATTTTAAAATTATAAAAGAAAACCTTGACAAAACAGTTTGTCATTACATTAGAAAAATTAAATGAAATATATAATTTTCTAGAGTATATGTAAAGTACCAAACTTGCCACTGAAATGAAAAAAAGAAGGCATATGAGTAATCCCATTAGCATTACAGAAATTACAATTGAAAACCTCTCATGTTCTCCTTCAAATTGTACTAGGCTTATGGTGTTTCAAGTGGGCTTTAGAAAACTTTCAAATAACAAATACTAATGGCTTCAATTTCATTGCTACATAGAATACATAGAGAAGGAAAAGTAATCAGCTTAAATCATGAGGCTAACATAAGCTTCATGCCCAAACCTGAGACAGACAGAATACTAATTTTAATTACAGTAATGTGGGGGAAAAAATCACAAATATGTTAATACAGGATACACTTCAGAAATGGTTGAATTGAGAAAATTTTCCAGTGGAACTTACAGCACTAAAATATGACAAGTAAATATGTGATTATTTCAAGTTCTTGAAAATGTGCAATAAAAAGCCATTTATGATCAAATATTTATCATAATAGTAGATTTTCATCATGATTATATTATGTATTGAGATTAATATTATATAATAAAAATTAAAACAAATATTATACTTAATGGTTAAATTTCAGAAGCGTTTTCTTTATATTCAGGACAAAACAAGAATATCTGCTATGTTGATTTTCCTTCAACAATATCCTAGAGATCTTACCAAATGCAATAAGAAAAGAAAAAGGTAGATTAAAAAATAAAGTGTCTGTTCATATCCTTGGCCCACTTTTTGATGGGGTTGTTTGTTTTTTTCTTGTAAATTTGTTTGAGTTCATTGTAGATTCTGGATATTAACCCTTTGTCAGATGAGTAGATTGCAAAAATTTTCTCCCATTCTGTAGGTTGCCTGTTCACTCTGATGGTAGTTTCTTCTGCTGTGCAGAAGCTCTTTAATTTAATTAGATCCCATTTGTCAATTTTGGCTTTTGTTGCCATTGCTTTTGGTGTTTTAGACATGAAGTCCTTGCCCATGCCTATGTCCTGAATGGTATTGCCTAGGTTTCCTTCTAGGGTTTTTATGGTTTTAGGTCTAACATTTAAGTCTTTAGTCCATCTTGAACTAATTTTTGTATAAGGTGTAAGGAAGGGATCCACTTTCAGCTTTCTACATATGGCTAGCCAGTTTTCCCAGCACCATTTATTAAATAGGGAATCCTTTCCCCATTTCTTGTTTTTCTCAGGTTTGTCAAAGATCAGATAATTGTAGATATGCGGCATTATTTCTGAGGGCTCTGTTCTGTTCCATTGGTCTGTATCTCTGTTTTGGTACCAGTACCATGCTGTTTTGGTTACTGTAGCCTTGTAGTATAGTTTGAAGTCAGGTAACGTGATGCCTCCAGCTTTGTTCTTTTGGCTTAGGATTGACTTGGCGATGCAGGCTCTTTTTTGGTTCCGTATGAACTTTAAAGTAGTTTTTTCCAATTCTGTGAAGAAAGTCATTGGTAGCTTGATGGGGATGGCATTGAATCTATAAATTACCTTCAGCAGTATGGCCATTTGGATGATGTTGATTCTTCCTACCCATGAGCATGGAATGTTCTTCCATTTGTTTGTATCCTCTTTTATTTCATTGAGCAGTGGTTTGTAGTTCTCCTTGAAGAGGTCCTTCACATCCCTTGTAAGTTGGATTCCTAGGTATTTTATTTTCTTTGAAGCAATTGTGAATGGGAGTTCACTCATGATTTGGCTCTCTGTTTGTCTGTTATTGGTGTATAAGAATGCTTGTGACTTTTGCACATCGATTTTGTATCCTGAGACTTTGCTGAATACTGGGGCTTGTTGTGGGGTGGGGGGAGGGGAGAGGGATAGCATTAGGAGATATACCTAATGTTAAATGACGAGTTAATGGGTGCAGCACACCAACATGGCACATGTATACATATGTAACAAACCTGCACGTTGTGCACATGTACCCTAAAACTTAAAGTATAATAAAAAATAAAAAAAAAAACATTTGCTATTTATAGACAAGTTTATTATTATTATTATTTTACATAAAAACCCAAAATAATCTGAAGACAACACATTTAGAACTATTAACTGAGTTTGGGTTATCAGTTTCTGGATTCAAGCTCAACATATAAAAATCAATGGTGTTTCAACACATCACCAGCAATTAGTAATTTAATCTTTATCCATTTTCTAATGACCTTGCATTCTTTATGTGATCAGAGTTCTGATCTATGTTATTTTTCTTCTTGCTGAAAAATATATTTTAACATTTCTTGCAAGGCAGGTCTACTGGTGACAAATTCCCTCAATTTTTGTTTGTCTGAGAAAGTCTTTATTTCGCCTTCATTTATAAATAATAAGTAAACTAGGTACAGAATTCTATGTTGGTGGGGTTTTTTTCCTTTAAACATTTTAAGTATTTTACTTCAGACTCTTCTCACTTGCATGTTTTCTGAGGAGACGTCTGATGTAATTCTTATCCTTGTTGATCCATAGGTGCTTGTTGCTGTGTTTTGTCCTTTGACTTCTTTTCAAGATTTCCTCTTTGTCTTTAGTTTTCTGCCATTTGAAAATGATACGCCTACATATCAGTTTTTTGGTATTTCTCCTGCTTGGTGTTCTCTGAACTTTTTGGATCTATGGTTTAGTGTCCATTTTTAGTTTTGGAAAATTCTCAGTCATTACTACTTCAAATATTCTCTTTCTTCTCTCTCTGGTGATGTTTCTCCTTTTGTAATCGTTTAATGGTTTTTGGATATTTTGTTCTATCTTTTTCAGTGGTTCTCTTTGCATTTTAGTTCTGGAAGCTTCTTTTGGAATTTCCTCCAATTCACTGGTTCTGTTCTTGGCCATTTCCACTCTGTTGATAAGCCTGTCAAAGACATACTTCATCTCTGTTGTAGAGTTTCTAACTCCTAGATTTATTTTTGATTCATGGAGTTTCCATATTTCTGATTACATCAGTTATCTGTTCTTGCATGGTGGCTGCTTTTTCCATTAGAGCCATCACATTTTAATCATAGTTGTTTAAATTTCTAGTCTGATAATTCCAAATTCCCTGCCATATCTGAGTCTGGTTCTGATACTTTCCTCTGTCTTTTCAAACTATATTTTCTTTCTCTTTTCATGTGCCACATAATTTTTTTCGTTGAAAGCCAGACATCATGTGGTAGGTAAAAAGAACTGAAGTAAATAGGCCTTTGTGTGAGGCTTTATGTTTATCTGGTTAGGGGTTAGGCTATGTTTATAGTATGCTATAGCCGCAGAACCTAGCAGAACCCCTGGAGGTAAAACTCATGAAAATATGAGTTCTCTTCCCCCAAGAATGGGCATCCCTTGAGTTTTTATCTCTCAAGTTTGTCCATAGCAACTTTAACTCTGAGATTGTCGTCTAGCAACTCATCAATGACAGTTTAGTTTTCCTACCCTGGTACTCACTGTAGTGTTGGTTTCTGCTCCAGGGTTTTTGCTTTTAGGATATACGTGGGCTGAAAGTGAAGGGTTGGAAAAGTATATTATATGCAAGGAGTAATCAAAAGAGAGCAGGAGTGGCTATATTTATAGCAGAAAAAGTAAGCTAAGTTAAAAACTTTTATATAAGACCAAAAAGGTCATTACATAATGATAAGGTGGTCAATTCCTAAAGAGGATATAGTAATTGTAAACGTCTCTACACCTAACATTGGAGCACCTAAATATGTAAAACAAATATTAACAGAATTAAAGGGAAATATAGATAGCAACACAGCAATAGGGAGAACAATACCCCTGCTTACAACAATGATCATCAAGACAGGAAACAGTAGACTTAAAACAACATTATGGACGACATTTACCTGACAGACATATACAGAATATTTTGTATATTTAAAAGCAGCAGAATACACATTGTTTTCAAACACACTTAGAAAATTTTCCAGGATAGTTGACATGTTATGCCACAAAACAAGTCTTAACAAATATAAGAAGGCTGTAATTATAGCAAGTATCTTTTCTGACCACAATGGCATAAAACTAGAAATCAAAAACAGGAGGAAAATTGGAAAATTAACATTTGTATCAAAGTGAAATAACATTTCTGAACAAAATTAAACAAAACTTCTGGTAAAAATCTAAAAAGAAATAAAAAAAGATCTTGAGACAAACTAAAATGGAAACACAACAAATCAAAACGTGTAAGATGTGCCAAAGGCAGTCTGAAAGGGAAGTATGTAATGATAAACAACTACATTATGAAAAAGAAAGATATGTAACAAACAATCTACACTTCAAGGAAATAGAAAAAGGAGAACAAACTAAACCCAAAAAGTTAGCAGAAGGAAGACAATAATAAAATTCAGAGCAGAAATAAATGAAATTGAGTAAAATCTAATGGAAAGGATTAATGAAACTAAGACTTGTTTTTAAAAAACAAACAGAACCAACAAACCTTTAGTTATATTAACTAAGAACAAAATGAGGAAGGAACAAATAAATAAAATTATAAAATAAAGAGGAATCATTAGAACTGATACCACAGAAATATAAAGGATCATAAGAGACTGCTATGAACAATTATATGCCAACAAATTAAATAGGCTGGAAGAAATGGATAATTTCTAGAAACAAACAACCTTACCAAGACTGAATTATGAGGAAATATAAAATCTGAGCAGACAAATAATGAGTAAGGAGATTCAATTTGCAATGAAAATCCTCCCCAGAAAGAATAGGACTGGATGGCTCCACTGGTGAATTCTCCAAACATTTAAAAAATTAATGCCAATCCTCAAACTCTTCCAAAAGCTGAAGAGGAGAGAATACTGTCAAACTTATTTTAAGTCCAGCATTTCCCCAATACTAAAGCCAGACAAGTCCACCAACAAAAAAAAAAAAAGAAGAAGAAAAAAGAAAATTAGACCAATATCCCCGATGGACATAGTTGCAGATATTTTCAACAAAACAATAGCAAACCAAATTCCAAAAAGTCCAATGCCACGGCCAAGTGGGATTTATCCCAGGAAAGCAAGGATGTTTCAACATATGAAAATCAATAAAGGTAATACATTACGTTAACAGAATAAAGAACAAAATGCATATGATCATCTCAATAGATACAGAAAAAAGCATTTGACAAAACTTAACATCCCTTCATGTATACCTCAACATAATGAAGTCCTTATATGACGGGCCCACAGCTAGTATCATACTCAGTGGTGATCAGGAACAAGACAATGATGTTTTTTGCTACTTCTATTCAATATAGTATTGGAAGTCTTACCTAGAGCAATTGGGTAAGACAAAGAAAAAAATGCATCCAAATTAGGAAGGAAGAAGTTAAATTGTCTGTGTTTGAAGATGACATAGTCTTGCTTATAGAAAACCTTAAAGGCTCCACTAGAAAAACTCTTAAAACTAATAAAAATTTAGTAAATTTGCAAGATACAAAATCACCATACAAAAAGCAGTAGTATTACTCAAACAACAGACAATACGAAAAAGAAAATAAAGAAAATAATCCCATTTACAATAGCATCAAAAAATACTTCGTGATGAATTTATTCAAGGAGGTGAGAGATCTCTATATGGAAAACTATAAAACATTGATGAGACAAATTGAAGAGGACACAAATAAATGAAAATAAATCCTATGTTCATGGATTAGAAAGCTTAATATTGTTAAAATATCCATAACACCCAAAACTATGTACATATTCAGTGCAATCCGTATCGAAATTTCAATGACATTTTTCACAGAAAAAGACAATTCTAAAATTCATATGGAATCACAAAAGACCTGATATAGCCAAGATGAGAAAAATAAGCTGGAGGCATCACACTACTCAATTTCAAAATACTTTCAAAACTATAGTAATTAAAGCAGTATGGTACTGGCATAAAAACAGACATATAGAACAATGAAGCACAACAGATATCCCAGAAATTAATTCATACATTTATGATCAATTGATCTTCAACAAAAGTGCCAAGGATGTACAATTGGAAAGAATGGCGTTTTCAATGAAAGATGTTGAGAAAACTGAATAATCACATACAGAAGAATATCATTGGATTCTTATCTCATACCATATACACAAATCAACTAAAAATTGATTAAAGACTTAAAGGCAAGACCTGAAACTGTAAAACTACTAGAAGAAAACCTAGGGGAAAACTTCTTGAGATTGATCTGGGTAACGATTTTTTGGATATGACCTCAAAACTACAGGCAACCCAAGCAAAAACGAACAAGTAAGATTCCATCAAACAAGTTCTTTGCTTGCTCTAGAAGTATTCACATTTTCTACTTCTTTTTGAGTTAGTTTTGGTAATTTGTGTCTTTCTAGAAATTTGATCAGAGGATGTTTTGTCAGAAGTCAGCCTATTCTCAGGAGGGGGTTGTATATGGTTCAGGCTGAGAGTGGGCCAGAGCTCATTCAGGGGCCTGGAGGAAGAAGAGATGCTTAACAGAAGTTTGATTAGAAGCATTTCGTTCTGACTGATCTTTGTGGACAAGCAGTACAGTGAATCATTTATGAAGCAAAGAGTAGGAATTTCAAAGGCCTATTTCTGACCCTTTCATAGATAAACAAGGGGACATCTATGAGTCTTATCAAAATCATTTGGGAAAGGGTCGTTCTTTGCAGTAAGCCCTTTTACAGAACACTAAGGTTGGAGGGATTCTTTTTTTAAAAAATTAAATTTTATTTTAGATTCGGGGGTAAATGTGATTATTTTCTGTATGGGAATACTGCATACCGGTAGGGATTAGGCTTCTAGTGTACCCATTACCCAAATAGTGAACATTATGCCCAATAGGTAATTTTTCAACACTTGTTTCCCCACCCTCCCCCTTTTTGGAGTCCCCAGTGTCTATTATTTCCATCTTTAAGTCCATGTGTACCCATTTTTTAGCTTCTACTTACGAGTGAGAATATGTAGTATTTGGTTTTCTGTTTCTGAGTTAGTTCACTTAGGATAATGACTTCCAGCTGCATCCATGTTGTTGCAAAGGACACAGCTGTATTCTTTTTTATGGTTGCATAGTATTCCTTGGTGTGTATATGCCACATTTTCTTTTTCAGGCAACCACTGATAGACATTTAGGTTGGTTCCATGACTTGCTATTGTGAATAGTGCTTCTATGAACATAGAAATCCTGAACAGATTAATAACAAGTAGTGAAATTGAATCAGTAATTTAAAAACTTCCAAAAAACAAAAGCTCAGTACCAGATAAATTAACAGCCAAACTTTACCAGATGCACAAAGCAGAGCTAGTACCAACCTTACTGAAACTATTCCAAAAAATAGAGGAGGAGGAATCCTTCCTAACTCTTTCTACTAAACTTGTATCACCCTGATACCAAAATCTGGCAAGGACAAAACTAAAAAAGAAAACTACAGGCCAATATCCCTGATGAACAGAGATGCAAAAATTCTCAGCAAAATACTAGCAAACCAAATGCAATAGCACATGAAAAAGATAATTCATTATAATCGATTGGGTTTTATTCCAGGGATACAAGGATGGATCAACATTTGCAAATCGAAAAATGTGATTCTTCGCATAAACAGAACTAAAAACAAAAATCATATGATCATCTCAATAGATGCAGAAAAGGCATTCAATAAAATCCAACACCCTAATACCAGCCTGAGCAACATAGAAAGATCCCTGTTCTACCTAAAATAAAAATAACCAGGCATGGTGGCACACATTAGTGGTCCCAACTACTGAGGAGGCTGAGGCAGGAGGATTGCCTGAATCCAGGAGTTTGAGGCTGCAGTGAGCTATGATTGTGCCACTGCACTACAGCCTGGATTCCAAAGCAAGACCTTATCTCAAAAAAAAAAAAAAATCCAACATCTCTTCATGATTAAAATCCTCAGCAAACTAGGCATCAAAGGAACATGCTTCAAAATAATAAGAGTCATCTATGACAAACCTACAGCTAACATCATACTAAATGGGGAAAAGTTGGAAGCATTCACCCTAAGAACTGGAACAAGACAAGGATGTCCACCCTCATCACTCCTGTTTAACATAGCATTGGAAGTCATACCAGAACGACGAGGCAAGATAAATAAAAGGCATCCAAATTGGAAAAGAGAAAGTCATGTTGATGACATGATCTTATATCTAGAAAACCCTAAAGACTTCTCCAAAAGACTCCTAGACTTGACAAATGATTTCAGTAAAGTTTCAGGATAGACAAGCAAGGTAAAAATAATTAGGAAGGATTTCTTAAACGTCATTGTTTTTCAGGATCATGGGACTCAGGAAAATTCAACATTGTTGCATTGTACAAAAAAAAGCAGAAAGGCAGATCCTTGGGAAAACATAGACTATTCCCAAAATGGTTCCAGGACAATTGGTTTTAGGTATAAAATAATAATAATAACCATGCCACACCATAAATAAAAACCAATTCCAGAAGGATTACAAATTTAAATGAAAGTTATATTTTCAGCAATAGGGCAAACTAGATTGTCTGGAAAATCTCTCATTGTAAATCTCCTAAAAATGATGGATAAATTTTTTTTAAAGGGAAGATAAAACTTCAGAATAAATAAGAGACTGCACCAATTTATAGTTGACCCTTGAACGACATGGGTTTGAACTGGCACAGGTCCACTTACACGTGGATGTTTTTCAACCAAACAGAAATACAGCATTTGTGGAACGTGAAACCCTTGTATAGGGAGAGCAGACTTTTCTTATACGTGAGTTCCGTGGCAGGGGTGACTGCAGGAGTTGAGTATGTGCAGATTTGGGCATGTGCTTGGGCCCTGGAACCAATCCCCTGCATATACTGAGAGATGACTATATATATTAAATATTAATACAAGTACCTTAAATATGTAATTATAATTCTTATGCAACATATATTTATAATATTGGTATATGCATGTATTTAAGATATTTACATGCAATTTCATAACTATATATTAAATAAGAATGCATATCTATGTCTATATATCTATTAGAACTAACTGAAAGAAGAGACAGATTACCTACAAAGGAATAAAGTATAGAAGCAGTATGAAACCAGTAGAAGTTAGAGTAAGTTCTGGGAGAAGATAACTGGCAACTTAGACTTGTATACTCCCTGAAACTTTCTTTCAAGCCATGTGGGCATGACCTTTATCCTTTGGAAAGATTTTTAAATACCAGGTTAATTTCTTTACTATTTTATTACTTTTTTTTTTTTTTTTTTGAGACGGAGTCTCGCTCCGTCGCCCAGGCCTGGAGTGCAGTGGCGCGATCTTGGCTCACTGCAAGCTCCGCCTCCTGGGTTCACGCCATTCTCCTGCCTCAGCCTCCAGAGTAGCTGAGACTACAGGCGCCCGCCACCACACCCAGGTAATTTTTGTGTGTGTGTGTATTTTTAGTAGAGACGGGGTTTCACCGTGTTAGCCAGGATGGTCTTGATCTCCTGACCTCATGATCTGCCCACCTTGGCCTCCCAAAGTGCTGGGATTACAGGCATGAGCCACCGCGCCCGGCCTACTATTTTATTTCTAAAATAATTTCAACTTTTATTTTAGGTTCAGGGGGGTACATGTGCAGGTTTTGTTACATGGGTATATTGTGTTGATGCTGAGGTTTGACGTATGAATAGTCCCATCATCCAAGTAGTGAGCATAGTGCCCAATAGGTAGTTTTTCAGCTCTTGGTCCCCTTCTTCTCACCCCCTTCTAGTATCCCTAGTGTCTTTTGTTCTCAACTTCATGTTCATGTGTACCCCATGTTTAGCTTCTATGTATAAGTGAGAACATGTGGTATTTGGTTTTCCATTCTTGCACAAATTTGCTTAGGATAATAGCCTCCAGCTGCATCTGTGTTGCTGCAAAGGACCTGACTTCATTCTTTTTATAGCTCTGTAGTATTCCATTTTATATATATATATATATACACACACACAACATTTTCTTTATCCAGTCTACCATTGATGGGCATCTAGGTTGATTCCATGTCTTTGCTATTGTGAATAGTGCTGTAATGAACATACTGGCGCATGTGTCTTTTTGGTAGAATGATTTATTTTTTCTTTGGTTATATACCCAGTAGTGGGATTGCTGAGTGGAATAGTAGTTCTAAATTCTTTGAGAAATCTCCAAACTGCTTTCCGTAGTTGCTGAACTAATTTACATTCCCACCAACAGTGTATGAGTGTTTCCTTTTCTCTGCAGCCTTGCTGACATTTCTCTGATGATTGGTGATGTTGAGCATTTTTTCATGTTTGTTGGCTGCCTGTATGTCTTCTTTTGAGAAATGTCTGTTCATATCCTTTGCCCCTCTTTTAATGAGGTTATTTGTTTTTTCCTTGTTGGTTTGTTTAAGTTCCTTATAGATTCTAGGTATTAGACCTTTGTCTGATGTATAGTTTGTGAATATTTTCTCCCATTCTGTAGGTTGTCTGCTCACTTGTTGATAGTTTCTTTTGCTGTGCAGAAGCTCTTTAGTTTAATTTAGTCTCACTTGTCAATGTTTTTGTTGCAATTGCTTTTGAAGACTTAGCCAAAATTTATTTGCCAAGGCCATTGCCAAAATGGCATTTCCTAGGTTTCCTTCTAGGATTTTTATAATTTGAGGTCTTACATTTAAATCTTTAATCCATCTTGAGTTAATTTTTGTAGTTGGTGAAAGGTAGGGGTCCAATTTCATTCTTCTGCATATGGCTAGCCAGTTATCCTAGCACCATTTATTGAATAGAGAGTCCTTTCCCCATTGCTTATTTTTATTGACTTTGTTGAAGATCAGATGGATACAGGTCTTATTTTAGAACTATTCACATTTTCCGCTTACTTTTGAGTCAGTTTTAGTAATTTGTGTTTCGCTAGCAATTGTTCATCTAGTTGTGTAATCTATTGGCATAAAGGTGATGATAGTATTCTTTGATAATTATTTTCATTTCTGCAAGATCTGAAAGAGAAGAGATGTCTTCTCTTTCACTCGTAATTTTGCTAACTTGTGTCTTCTCTGCTTCATTACCAGTCTGTGCAAAGGTTTAGCAATTTTTAAAAAATTTCATTTTATTCACATTCACTATTTTTGTTTTGTCTGTTTAATGGATTTCCTCTCTAATCTTTATTATTTCTTTTCTCCTGCTTGTTTAAGATTTAGTTTACTCTTCCTTTTCTAGTAAATTAAGATGAAACCTTACTTTTTTCTTTTCTAAAAAAGTCATTTAAAAACCACGAAAATTTCCCTAAGCACTGCTGTATCCCATAAATATTGATATACTGTAATTTCATTTTGTTTGATACTAATATAGACACTCCAGTTTTCTTAGGGTTACTATTTGTATTGTTTATCTATTTCCATTCTATTACTTTAAACCTATTTGTGTTCTTAGATGTTCTTAGAAAAGGTGTCTCTTAAGTCTTATTATTTTTACCCAATTTGACATTCTCTAAAACTATTATTGAAATGTTCAATCTATTTACATTTGGTGTAATTATTTATGTGATTTAATGTATATCTTGTTTTGCTATTTAATTTTATATGTTCCATATCTTTTTAATTCATACATTGCTTTTAACTGTCTTTCGTGTTAGATACTTCTATTGTACTGTTTAATTCTTTTCTTTTTTTTTTTTACTACATTTTAAGGGATTTTTTATGGTTTATTTGTGGATTACAATACGTATCTTATCACAATTTGTGAATTACAATATGTATCTTAATTTATCACAATCTGCTTCAGATTAATACTAACATTTTTCCAGTAAAATATAGATATCCAATAGAACTCTATTTCTCCCCTTCTTTGTTCTATTTTACTGTTTATATGAAATTTACCTATTATTATAATCTATAAGTATAGGTTAAAATCCAACAATTCTAATTTTTCTCTGCAAAGTGTTTAAAATAAGAGAAGAATATAAGAAATAATATACTTAAGCAGATTTTATATTTACCTGTGTAATTATTTTTACCAGTTTTTTTTATATATACAGATTCAAGTAACTGGTGTCATTTCTCTTCCGTCTTTGTTTATCTGGTAATGTCTTTATTTTACTTTTTTTTTTGAAGGATAGTTTTGTTGAATACTTAATACTTGGTTGACTTTTCTTTTTCTTTTAGCACTTTGCTTTCTAGCTTCTGATTGTTTCTGATGGAAAATCTCATCACAATAAAATGTTAATTTTATTGTGGTTCCTTGTACTTCATGAGTCATTTTTCTTTTGCTGCTTTCAAAATTTTCTCTTTCAACAATTTGATTATAATTTGTTAAGGTGTGAATCTCTTTGAATTTATTTTAGTTGGAGTTTGTTGAACTTCTTGGAAGTGTAAATTAGTTTAAAAAATCATGTGTGGGATATTTTCAGCCACTGTTTCTTCAAATATTTTTTCTGCCTTTTTCTCTCTCCTTCTCTGGGAGCTGTGTTCAATTTTTTAAAAAAATTCTCTCTGTTCTTCAGATTGGATGGTCTATATTGATCTGTCCACAAGTTTGCTTATCTCTTCTGCCAGCTAAAGTCTGCTACTGAAACTCTTCAGTGAAATTTTCACTTCAATGACAGCACTTTTCAACACAATAATTTTTATTTTGTTACGTTTTATAATTTATATATAGTTATTGATAGTTTTAATTTGATAAGCCATGGTCATCATACTTTTGTTTTATTCTTAAACACCGTTTCTTCCGTTCTTTGAACATATTTATAATAGTTGGTTTATTATCGGTGTAGGGTACCTCAGAAACAATTTCTATTGACTGCTTTTTCTCCTGTATATGGGTAGCACTTTCCTGGGTTTTTTGCTTGTCTCCTAATTTTTTCTTGAAAACCAGTTTAGATCATATATTACAACAACTCTAGATTCCGATTCCACTCTCCCCTTCCCCTAGGGTTGTTGTTTCTTTTTGTAAATTTTTTGTTGATTTACTTACTGACCCTTCCGTACCAATTCTTTAGAATGGTTTCTTCCAAAGTATGCATCCAAAGTTGTTTTTCCTCATTAAAAAAAAATCTTGTTTTCAATTTTTAAGGCTGGATTCCTAGGGTTGCCACTTGGTCAGCATCATGTAGTGATCAGCCAATTACTGGTCAGCGTCTATGCTTAAACGTCTTGATCCACAAGGCTAATGGTTCCATGTCCGAGGTGGGAAATTCACTGAATGTTCAGGCAGTTTGTAGGTTTTCTCTGGTCTCTGCTTTCTGCCAGCTATTCCTGTTTCTCCTTTGAGCATTACATTCTGTTAGAGAGGAGAGGCATCTTATTCCATGTAGCGCTGCTATAGTAGAATGCCTGAGACTGAACAATTTGTAAGGAACAGAAATTTATTTCTTACAGTTCTGTTGACTGGGAAGTCTAAGATCAAAGTGCTGGCACCTGGTGGAAGTCTAGTCTCTGCTTCAAAGATAGTGCCTTGAATGCTGCATCCTCCTGAGGGGTGGAACCCTGTGTTATCACATGACGGAGGAGCAGAAGAGACCACATCCACACCTGCAAGCCCTTCATACAGCAGCTCTAACCTTGACCTAAACACCTCCCGTTAGGCCCCACCTCCCAACCTCACTGCTTTGGAGATTAAGTTTCTAACACATGCATTTTGGGGGATACATTTAGACCATAGCCAGGGTCCTCTCCAGTCTGGTCTGGTACATTTCTGGATGTCAATAAATATACTTTGAAAACATAATATGTAATATTTCATAATATATTATTTTAAAAATATCTCATTTGTACCAATATTTAATCTTTTAAATCATGTTCAAGTGGACTTTCTTTTTCTTAAAAGTTTATTCACATTTGCATTTTTTAAAAGGCTGGGTTCTTATAAATAGACTGATAATACAAAAATACCAATATATTGTGGTCAATCTTAGAAACCCACAACTCCAATAAAAGTCTTTTAGACTTATCTTCCTCTCCCCTGTGTCCACAAAGTAGAGAATGCAATCCTTCAATTTTCAGGAGCTCATAGCTTATATCTGTTTTTGGCACCCCTTCCCCAATTCTTCCCAGTATTATATTTCCCTGTGTCTTAATCACCTACTTGCACTATAAACCTCTTAGAGCAGAGGACTGCCGCTTTCTTCCATCTCTAAGCTTGCCCTGTACCCTGCACCAAGTCTCACACATAGTAGGTACTCAGAAGGTGTTAAGTGGGATTTTAGCTGGCTGAAAAAGGAGCACTCGCTCTTGGCTTCCCATTCCTTATATGGGCCACGAAGCCCCTGTCTCCAAGGCCCTTTGTGTCTGTGACATTCTCGGGCTTATGCTTCTTGTGAACATTTGTGGGATATTAGTCATCTTATGTAGAACAGGATATATCTGTCACTTCTCCTCTGTGAATCCCTCCTTTCAACAAGATTTATTTTAAGAACTGTGTGAAAAGAGAAATTTTCATAGGCAACCCTGTGAAAACGCAGTCATTTGTCAACATGTGGAATTAAGTGCCCTGAGTTCCCATCCAACTGTCCTGGCCCTGCCCACCAGGGGGCCCCTCTAAGGAGGCAGCATCCAGGCAAGGGTCTGAGTTAGCCACAAAGGTGCATCTTAGGGCCCCTCCTGTTTCCTTGCTCTCCAGTGCTCCTGGCATGGTGAGTTCTCCGTTCTCTTGAACAGTGCAGCTGAGGAGTACACGTGAGACCTCATTGAATCCTCAAGGCTGCCTTAGGAGATCAAAATGACCCTGCTACAGAAAGGGAAACTGAGAGCACACAGCTAGAATGTAGTGGAGCTGGACTTTGAGCTGAGGCCCTTTGCCTCCACATCCAAGGCTGTGTCCGTTAGCCTGAGCTGCTGTGAGCAGCAGGGGCCACTGGCTTTCTCTCAAAACAACAAGTTGGTGATCTGCAAGATTTCATTGAGTTTGGAGCTGACGGAGCCAGATAGCTTTTGGGCAAGAACCAGAGGTCTTTGAGGAGATGCAGGAGGGAAGAGGTTATCACCCAAACCCCAGCTGGGGGCAAGGCTCCCTGACCCCTGTCCTGCCAAGGGAGGGAGTGTGGCATGTGGCCACTCCATGGGGCAGTGGTGCCCCATTGTCTTTGGCTATTGGCAATCCCTGCATAATGGATGGCAACCCTGGGCCTCAGTTTCACTGTCTCTGAACTGAGGTGGGTGAGTTCAATAAGCCCTGCACTTTCCCTGAGATCAGAAGAGGGAAGGCTCTCTTTTCAAGGCTGGAGTTAGCAGCAAAAGAGTAGAGCGGCTTCCTCCTCCGCGCTCTGGGATGGCACATGTTGGGTGAGAAATGTTGGGGGCTTGATTGGGAGCTGCCATGCTCATTGCACACGGCTGCATGCATCAGCTGCGAGGATTCACACCACATCCTCCAGACACCCCCACTGGGAGTTTCTATAGCAACTTTCTGAGAGGAATTTCCAGGGCTTGCAGATTCTGTCATAGTAACCCAGTGAGGGAAGAAAGCTCAGGGTGTGTGAGTAGGGGGCAAAGGATCCGTGTGTGCTGAGGTCCCTGTGAGGCCAGGAGGGCAGAGTGGGTGGGCTCTCGGAACAGCCACAGAGCTGAGCAGTCAGGGGCTATGGTCCAGTCTTCTTCCAGCTCCTTAACAACAGGCAGGTCACAAGTCATCCCTGAAGGTCTCACTTTAGATCATAAAATGTACCTCAAAGATGGTCATGAAGATTAAATGAAAGAGACCTGCAGACTTCTCATTTATCTTTCCTGAGGATTAGGGCAGGACAAGCTGGGAGTGTGATTCCAGTGGCGGGCTGCCTGTGGGTGTCTGTAGAATAGAAATGAAATTATGCAAGCAGATGGCTTGATGAAGAGACAAAAATATGAATATAAAACACTATAGCCATGGAGATGCTAATTTATTTTTACTTTTAATAATGACACAACTTGGGATATCAAAGGTGTCTTCTTGCTTTTAGATATATTCAGCCCTCAAAATAAAATCTTTCAACAGAACACAGCTCCAAATCACACAAAAACATTCTGAATTGGAGGATCAGCATGCCTGCCTGTTAATATGCAAGCACTGAGCATGAGCAGTTTATCCCAACAGTGAATCCACACTGCAGATATACTACACACACAGCATTCTAGGGAATGGAGAAATGAAATGCACAAAGAGCTCTGCCCTTGAATTGGTAGTGACTAGTGAAACAGTCCTTACAAATGTTATACAATTAATCAAGAAAAAAGGGGGGAGAAACAGCTCAGCATTAATCACTAGGTCAGCTTGTTCTCTGACCTGCTTCCTCATAGCTGTTTTCCGTCTGTTGCCCTAGAATCATGTAGATTCTAGATTATAGGTCCCTGTAACTGCTCTGTAGATAACAGCCTGGGCATTGTGAAACATTAAGTTTTCCATCTGAGATATTCTTTCAGGTCTTGCAAACCAATGAAACTACTGACTCAGCTTGTCCAAAGGGCCCCATGAGAAGATGACTCACCAAAGAATGCAGTTTCCCACATCTTAATGATTTCATCCCCTTTACCTGGCCAATCAGTGACCCAATTTTCCAGCCCCTTGCCCTCCACAATGATTCTTTTAAAAATCCCTGTCTAGACCTCCTTGGGGAGATGGATTTGAGGGTCCCTCCCATCTTCTCACTCAGCTATCCTATCAATCATCATTAAGCTCTTTCTCTGCTGCAAACCCTGCTGTCTCAGTGTATTGGTCTGCACATGCACAATGGACTAAGAAACCTGTTGGTCCTGTAACAATAACAGGGGAGATGAGACAGATTAACCATTGCAGGGATAGCTAGATATATTTAAAGGAATATAGAAATGCCTCTGGTGGCAACATCCAGCTGGGTCTCCAGTGTAGCAGAGCTAAGGCTAAAGCCAGGCTCTGGGGGAGGGTGAATCACAGCAGAAACGTGAAAGTGCAGGAGGGTGCAGATGGGGGTGAAGCTGCAGGCTCATCCCATTCTGCTTATGCCCCTCAAAGCAATCACGAGTAAGCCCCTAACCTGCAGGCCTCGGGTGTTTTCTCTAGCAGACAGTAGAAATACCTCCTCTTTAAGCCCATATGGGGATAATTTACTTCAAGAAGTCATCTCTGTTCCTGGCATACAAAAAAGCACTTAACAGATTATAAGACAAACAATAAAAAAGTAAAAGCCATGCAAGTTGAAAATGAATTTAGAATCCTGCCTTACACTGTGTAGGGACAACAGTATCTGTGAGTGTGGGGGATGACTGGATGACTAGACCACTTTGGGACATTTTTCTAAAAATTCTCTGGTGAAACTTAATTTGTCCACTCACTCTCAGCCACACCATGCACTGCTCTGCCCTAGGACAGCCAGTGGAATGCACTTGGAGCCCTTCCTCAGGACCAATGTTGAGGCAAGCCTTCTTGCTCACAGTCAGGGGTGCTAAGTAAGTGATCCAAGCTTTGCAGAGAGATGTCTTTAGTGTTTTCAGCACAGTGTGGATCATTCATACTGCTAGGCATTAGGGAGGATACAAGAAGATGTGTTCTGCCTTCAGGGAGTTGGGATAGGATCAGAAAAGGAGTGTGTTGAACAGAGGAGCTGCAGAGCTCACATGATCCTGTGGGTGGGACAGACACCGTGGAGGAGGCCAGCCCTGTTGCTGTCCCACCCAGACTCCTTGGAATCCCATTGGTCAGCACTGGGCCTCTCCAAAGCTTACTTTTGTCCCTGATAGCAGGAACCTGTGATGCTTCTTCACATGACTTTCCCCAGGCTACTCTGCTCCTATATTCAGAGGACATCCCCCATGACAACCCTCAGCTTAGGAAGCTTGAAAGGGAGTCTACATGGGATGTTTCTGAGATATAATTTATACCCAGACTTTATCCACGGGGTGCATATCATGGCAGGCATAAGGATGACTGCAATTGGGGTTTGCAGTAGGGGAGAGAGATGGGGCTTATCTCTGAATGCAAAAGGAAACGGGGGAATTTATGGCCAGGGAGCATGGTAGGGATCAGAGGGTAGAAAATTACTAAGAGGTAATCAGGGCTAAGGAGGTTTTTTGTTGTTGTTGTTGTCATTGCTGTTTTTGTTTTGTTTTGTTTTTTTGCTAAAGTGACCTCACAGGATTCTTGCTGAAGCCAGGCCAAGGTGATCAGACATCACCTGAGGGATGGTGGAAGAGGAAGAACCTGATCAGATATCAAGGATGATCAGATATCGACGGTGGCATGTTCTGGCTAAACCAATTAAGAAGGATTCTTGCTAACACTGGACAATGCAAAGATGGACTCAGACATACACACGTCAGAGCCTAGTTGAGAAGAGAATTTAAGAAGCCTGGCTAGAGTTAGGTCACACTCTGAGATCAATCTGAGGCTACTTATTCTGGGACTTTGCTTGAAATTTTACCCTGTTCAGCCCCTTCTCATTCCTTGCCCTGCTTCCTCATCTTGGTTTCTTCTGGTGGCATTTCCACCACAAATAACTCATAGAAATCTTCACCTCAGAGTCTGCTCCTGAGGAATGCAACTTGAGACAGTTGGTATGGAAGTAGTCCTGGGAGCTCATCACCAATGACAGGAGCATGTGAATAGTTGTGGTTTATCTGGGGTAAATAGGGACAAGGTACAATTAGAAAAAGATGCAGTGGCTTGTGCAATAACTCTGGTGTGTAGGACATGTGGTGAAATAGTCACTAGAAGGATGTAAAATTGGTTGATGCTATGGATGTGTTGAGGAAATAACAAACTTAAGTGAGCCAGTTACTGATTTAAGGCACAGTGGTAGGTCCAGTTGCAGCTGGGTGGATATGCTGTCTTTACAAGGGTATTCAATGTAGTTTCTAGTATGTGGCATGCAGCTTTTGATCTGGTAGATGCATTTTTTATTAGACTTTAGAGCAATTTTAGTTTCAAAGCAAAATTGAAGGGAAAACACAGAGGTTTCCCACATACTCCCTGCCCATCTATATATAACCTTCTCCACTATTAACATAACCCACCAGAGTGCCAATTGGAGTGAAATATAGAAGCCTCACATTCCTTTTAGTCCCTTTATCTTCTACTGTGTATAACATAGTTGTCTTAAATATTTTCTATAATAGATTTAAAACCACATAAGATAGTGTTATAGAGGGTGTTATAATTTTTGCTTTGGCTGTCAAACATAATTTAGAAAACTCAATAGGAGAAAGAAAATGTATTATATTTATCTATTTTTAAAATTCTTTCCACTGTTCTTTCTCCCTTTCTCATGTTCCCAGTTTCCTCCTTTTATCATTTCTTTCTGTTTAGAGAACTTGGTTTAGCCATCTAATATACTTCGGATATTTGTCCCCACCCAAGTCCCATGTTTAAATGTAATCCCCAATGTTAAAAGTGGGGCCTGGTGGGAAGTGTTTGTATCATGAGGACAGATCCCTCATGAATGACTTGGGCCATCCCCTTGATGATAGATGAGCTCTTGCTCTGAGTTCACATGAGATCTGGTTGTTTAAAAGTTTGTGGCACTCCCCTCAAATCTCTCTCCCTCCTGCTTTTGCCATGTGAAGTGCCTGCTCCCATTTTGCCTTCTGCCATGAGTAAAAGCTTCCCTCCTCAGAAGAATGTTCTAGTATTTTGTTTCCTATATAGCCTGCATGTGATCCAACTAAATCTTTTTGTCTTATAAATTACTGTATTAGCCTGTTTTCACACTGCTGTAAATAATGACCTGAGACTGGATAATTTATAAAGGAAAGAGGTTTAATTAACTCATAGTTCTGTATGTCTGGGAGGCCTCAGGAAACTTACAATCATGGTGGAAGGGGAAGGGGAAGCAAAGCATGTCTTACATGGCAGCAGAAGAGGTGGGGTACTGCCAAACACTTTTAAACCATCAGATCTCATGAGAACACACTCAATATCACAAGAACAGCATGGGGGAAACCACCCCCATGATACAATCACCTCTCACCAGGTCCCTCCCTCAACACATGGGGATTACGATTCGAGATAAGATTTGAGTGGGGACACAGAGCCAAACTATATCAATTACCCAGTCTCAGGTATTCCTCTGTAGTGATGCAAGAACAGCTTAACAGAAAATTGGTACTGAGGGGTGGGGCATTGCTATAAAGATATCTGAAAATGTGAAAGCAACTTTGAAACTGGGTAATAGGTAGAGGACGGAAGAGTTTGGAGGGCTCAGAAGAAGACAGGAAGATGAGAGAGAATTTAGAACTTCTTAGAGACTGGCTAAATGGTTGCAACCAAGATGCTAATAGAATTATGAACAGTGAAGTCCAGGCTGCAAAGGTCTCAGATGGGAATAAGGAACTTACTGAAAAATGGAGCAAAGGTCATGCATATTATGCCTTAGCAAAGAGCTTGGCTGCATTCTGTTTACATCCTGGGGATCAGTGGAAGTTTGAACTTGAGAATGATGACCTAGGGTATCTGGTGGAAGAAATTTCTAAGCAGCACAGCATTCAAATGTGGCCTGGCTGCTTCTAACAACCTATGCTCAGATGTGGGAGCAAATGAATGACTTAAAATTGCAACTTATATTTAGAAGAGATGCAGAGTATAAAAGTTTGGAAAATCTGCAGCCTGGCCATGTGATAGAGGAAGAAAAAGCTTTTTTAGGACAGGAATTCAAACAGTCTGCAGAACAACACTTACTAGAGATATTTGAATAATCAAAAGGAGGCAAGTGGTAAGCACTGACAGTCAAGACAATGGAAAAAAGTCCTGGTAGGCATTTAAGAAGTCTCTGGGGCAGCCCCTCCCATCATAGGCTCAGAGGCCTAGGAAGGAAGAATGATTTCACGGGCCAGGACCCCTACTGTCTGCACAGCCTTGGAGCACTGCTCCCTGAATCCTGGCTGCTTTGGCTCCAGCACCAGCTGTGGCTCAAGGAGGCCCAGGTATGGCTCAGGCTGCCATTTTGGAGAATGCAAGCCACAAGCCTTGGTGGCTTCCATGTGGTGTTAAGCCTGCAGGTGCACAGAGTGCAAGAGTGGTGGATTCTTGGAAGCCACCACCTAGATTTCAGAGGATGTATGGAAAAGCCTGAGTGGGCTGGGCATGGTGGCTCACACCTGTAATCCTAGCATTTTGGGAGGGCGAGGCCGATCGATCATGAGGTCAGGAGTTTGAGACCGGCCTGGCCAACGTAGTGAAACCCCGTCTCTACTAAAAATACAAAAAAAAATTAGCTGGGCATGGTGATGTGCACCTGTAATCCCAGCTACTTGGGAGGCTGAGGCAGGAGAATCATGTGAACCTAGGAGGTGGAGATTTCAGTGAGCCGAGATCACGGCATTGCACTCCAGCCCAGGGGACAGTGCAGGACTCGGTAAAAAAAAAAAAACAATAAAAGCCTGTGTGTCCAAGCAGAAGCCTGCTATAGGGGTGGAGCCCTCACAGAGAACCTCTACTAGGGCAGTACGGAGGGGAAATGTGGGGTTGGAGGCCTCACACAGAATCCCCACTGCAGCATTGCCTAGTGGAGCTGTGAGAAGGGGACACCATGCTCCAGATCTGAGAATAGTAGATCCACTGACAGTTTGTACCTTGCACCTGGAAAAGCCACAGGCACTCAACAAGCTTTGAGAGCAACCTTGGGGACTGAAACCTGCAAAGCCACAAAAGTAGAGCTGCCCAAGACCTTGGGAGCCCACTCCTTGCACCAGTGTGCCCTGGAGGTGGCACTATTTTGGAGCTTTAAGATTTAATCACTGCCGTGATGGGTTTTGGACCTGCTTGGGGCCTGTAGCTCCTTTCTTTTGGCCAATTTCTCCCTTTTGGAGTGGGAATGTTTACCCAATGCCTATTTACACATTGTATCTTGGAAGTAAATAAATTGCCTTTGATTTTGTGGGCTCATATATGGAAGGGAATTGCCTCATCTCAGGTGAGACTTTGGACTTTAGACTTTTGAATTAGTGCCAGAATGAGTTAAGACTTTGGGGGACTGTTGGGAAGGCATAATTGCATTTTGCAAAGTGAGGACATGGGATTTGTGGAAAGGCCAGGAGTAGAATGATGTAGTTTGGATATTTGTCCCTGCCCAAATCTCATGTTGAAATGTAATCCCCAATGTTGGAGGTGGAGCCTGGTGGGAAGAAGTTTTTGGATCGTGGAGGCAGATCCCTCATGAATAGCTTGAGCCATCCCCTTGGTGATAAGTGAGCTCTCACTCTGAGTTCATATGAGATCTGGTCATTTAAAAGTGTGTGGCCCTCCCAACTCCCTCTCTCACTCCTGCTTTTGCCATGTGAAGTGCCTGCTCCCACTTTGCCTTCTGCCATGAGGCCTCCCCAGAAGCAGATGCCAGCACTGTGTTTCCTGTATATCCTGCATAAATGTGATCCAGTTAAACTGCTTTCTTATAAATTACCCAATCTCAGGTGTTACTTTACAGCAATGCAAGAATGGCCTAAGACAACATCCTTTTAGGGTAAGTTTACTTTTGAAAAATTATCTTAATTTTTCTTCATCTGAGAACATCTTGATTTTCCTCTTATATCAGAAAGCTATTTTCACTGGATATAGAATTCTGAATAAACTATTTCTTTTGTTTGTTTGTTTGTTTTTAGCACTTGAAAAATCTTTTACCATTTCTTTCTGGCCTCCAATATTTCTGATAAGAAATTGACAATAATTCAAATTGTTTTTCTCCTATGGGTAATGTGTTATTTCTCTCTGGCTGCTTTCAATATTTTTTTTCTTTCTTTTTAGTTTTTAGAAGTTTGGCTATGATGCATCTTGATGTGTACTTCTCTGCGTGTCTTGTTTAGGGCTGGCTCAAAGCTACAGTTTGGTTTGTTTGATCCTCCAGAGCTCATTTGAAATCTGATCCCCAGTGTTGCAGGTGGGGCCTAGTGGGGGACTCATGGGGGAAGATCCCTCATGAATGACTTGGTGCCATCCTTGTGGTAGTGAGTGAATTCTCACTCTATTAGTTCCCATGAGAGCTGGTTGTTAAAAGGAGCCTGGCCCCACCCTTTATCTCTTTCTCATTTACTCACTTACCATGTGATCTCTGCACATACAGCTCCCCTTTTTCTTTCACCAGGAATGGAAGCAGCCTGAGAGTCTCACCAGGAGCAGATGCTGATGGCATGCTTCTTCTACAGCCTGCAGAACCATGAGCCAAATAGATCCCTTTTTCTTTATAAATCACCAAGCCTTCCATATTTCTTTATGGCAACACAGACTAAGACATGTACCTTCTTGAATCCTTTGGTTTATGGAAATTCTCAGCCATAATTCTTTGTGTTTTCAGCTTTCTCATATTCCTGCTCTTCTTTCAGGACTGTGATGACACACTCTTAGATTTTTGTTATAGTCCCACAAGTCCATGAGGCTATACTCATTTTTTAATAGTCTGTTTTCTCTGTCATTCAGGTAATTTCCATTGTTCCACCTTCAAGTTCACTGATTCTTTCCTCTATCTACTTGTACTTGCTGTTGAGTCCATCCATTGATTTTTCTAAATTTTGTCTATTTTAGTTTTGTGTTCTAAAATTTCCATTTGGTTTTCCTTTCTATCTTTTACTTTTTTGCTAAGGCTTTCTAATTCTTTTTTCTTTTGTCCCATTGTATTGTAATTGCTCAGTGAAGAATATTTATTATGCCTGCATTAAAACTTTTTTTTTTTTTTTGAGATGGAGTCTCGCTGTGTCATCCAGGCTGGAATGCAAATGGTGCAATCTTGGCTCACTGTAACCTCCGCCTCCTGGATTCAAGTGATTATCCTGCCTCAGCTTCCCTAGTAGCTGGGATTACAGGCATGCGCCACCACGCCTGGCTAATTTTTGTATTTTTAGTAGAGACAGGGTTTCATCTTCTTGGCCAGGTTGGTCTTGAACTCCTGACCTCAAGTAATCCACCCACCTCAGCCTCCCAAAGTGCTGGGATTACAGATGTGAGCCACCAGGCCCAGCCTCTGCATTAAAATTTTGTCAGATAATCCTAACATCTCTGTCATCCAACTGTTGGTATCTACTGATTTTTTAAAACTCAAGTTTATGTTTTCCTGATTCTTGCATATAACTAGGGACTATTTTTATTGAAAACTGGATATGTGCAATATTATGATAGTCTTGGTATTATTTAGGTCTTCTCTTTCAGATGGTTGCTTCTGACATCACTCTGGTGGAGGAAGTTAGACCTTTGCCTTGCAGCAGCTGGTGAATGTAGAAGTCCAGGTCCCTCACTCAACCTCCATGAACACCCAAGAGACTCCCCATTACTGCTGAGTGGAGTGGGGTTTCTGACTCTCTGACAGGCCTCCACTAAAATCACCCTGGCTGGTCAGAATAAGAATGCCTCTCATTCCCCACATGACCTGTGCCGACACCACCGAGAAGTGGCTTTATGATGCCCAGGTGGTAATGAAAGTTTTGGCTCCCAAGCAAGTCTCTTTTACATCACCTTAGGGTGGAGGAAGGGCACCTCCTCACTGTCAGAGGAGAGTGGAAGTTCAGACTTCCCATGGGGCCTCCATGGGGCCTCCACTGACACCACAAAGGGAGAGGGACTATCGCCTCCTGGAGATGAAAATTCCAGCTCTTGACTTGACTATCTCTGATACCACCCTGATGTTGGGGAGGAGGATTGGGGCACCTGATTGCAGCTTGGTGAGAGTAGATCTGTAGGCTCCCTGCCACCCCTCACTAGTGTGGATATGGGTGAGGCCACAGTTTCTTTTGTGGTGTATGGTGGAAGTTGAATAATGACTGTTTTAACATTTTCTACCTTGCTAGGTTGAACCTTTCCTGACCTTTAACTAAAGAGAGAAGTCTTTTGTTGTGTTGTGTTGTTTGCTTGTTTTCTTGTTTGTTTGTTTTTCTTTTTTCCCCCTTTTCACCCATGGTCTGTGAGTTGTCAGCTTCTCTAGCTTTAAGCCTTGGATATGTGAAATGGAAAGAAATCCCAGAGAACATATCGCCATGTGTTCTTTTGGTCCTGGGGTTTCTAATATGTCTGTTGCTTTCCACCTTTCAGAGCCAGGGATTTTAGTTGGACTTAGTCGGAGGAATTGGGAAAAGTACATCGATTCCACTTTCCCAGAGGTGGAAGTCCCAAGCACATCTTTATGAAATATTTTATCTAGCTTTTATAATTATGTTTAAGGGTATTGATCAGAATTACATAGTCTACTTGCAACCATTGCTGTTTTCACATAGCTTCATATTTTTGTCTTTTTTATCATTTTAGAAATATGGGATGGAAGAAGGAGTATAGCATTTGGCCAGTAACCTTTTAAAGGAAGCCTTTGTTAAGCACATGCTGAATGGCAGTGAAGTCCAACAGTGACAAGGGAAAAAACCACTGCAGCCAGGGATATGCAGTCTAGGGAGTGGCTACTGCCCACAGTTAGGGTAACAATGGAAAATGCTAACTTCTTTCTGAGCAGCTTTCACTCAGAAATGACACCCAACCAATTCTTGTGTGCAAGAAAGATTTTCTCAGGTTTATTAGTCGTAGATCTCCAGAGAAACAGAACCAATAGGAGATATCTATATCTCTATATTAATATATCTGTAGGTATACATATATCTCTATATCTATGTCTCCCTCTATCTACCTATCGATGTATTGTAAGGAATTGACTCACATGATTATGGAGGCTGAGAAGTCCCCGGATCTGCAGTTGACAAGGTGGAGACCCAGGAGAGCCAATAATATAGCTCCAATTTGAGTCTGAAGGCCTGAGAACCAATGGCGGGCCAATGACGTAAGTTCTAATCTGAAAGCCAGCAGGTTTGAAATCCAAAAAGTCAATGTCTCAGTTCAAGTCTAGTTGATGGCCAATTGATTATTTTATGAAATCATGATGAGAAACCAATGGAGAAAGGCATCTATAATCAATTGTAGACCAAGGTGGCATAGAACAGTGGAGAAAGAATATGAAATGCTGACTCATTTAATATTCATGTGGAAAAAATTAATCTTTACCATCACCTCACATTGTACAGAAAAGTCAATCTCAAACGGACTTAGACCTAATTGTGAAAGGTAAGACAATAAGGCTTCTAAAGTAGCACAGAGTATATTCCTGACTCTACGGTGAGCAAATCTTTCTTTAAAAAGACACCACAAAGGAAACTACTTTAAAATTTTACTTTATTAAAACCAAGAATTTCTATTCCATAAAAACAAAACTATATGAGGCAGAAAAAAACGGCATATGAGAAGATGTTTGCAATACACACCTGAGAAGAACCTAAAAATTCTAAAGCACTTTTACAGATTAATCAGAAAAAAAAACCAACCCAATTTAAAAAATAGGCAATTGTCTTGAATATTTTATTTTTAAAAAATTTCATCCAAGTGCCCTCAAAACATATGAAAAGGTCATCAGTGTTATATAGTCATCAGGGAAATTCAAACTGAAACCAGCAGCTGCCATTCCGTCCTCCATTCCCAAGTGGTCCAGTGTTAATGAGATTAAGGAGCAACAGAAACTCTCATACATGCATTTGGGAATATTACTCTTTGGCAGTGTCCACTAGACTTGACAAGGTAATAACATTTGTAGGTATATATACCCCATGCAAATGCACTAAAAGATGTTTATACAAATGCTAATAGCAGCATTATTCATAATAACCCCAAACTGGAAACAAGCCAAATATTTATCAATGGTAGGATAAGTAAATATGTTCTGACAAAATCACAATAAAATACTTTAAATCCCTGAAAAATAATAAACAACTTCAGTGTACAACTACATGGATGAATCTCCCAAGCCTAATGTTTGTCACAAAATGCCAGACGCAAGAGTATGATGTATATAATTCTATTTATGTAAGGTTCAAAATAGATAGGAGTAATCTATGTCGATAGATGTTATAGCAGTGGATACCTTTTTTAGGATGGGTTTGACACGGGATGAGGGTGCCAGAAGGGCTCCTGAAGTGTTGGTAATGTTTTATTTCTATAAATGGGTGTTGATTACATGAATATATTCAGTTTGTGAACATTATTTGAGGTAAAATAGAATTTGTATGCCTTTCCGCATGTATGTTATTCTGCAATAAAAATTTATTTAAAATGTTTTGTATTCTTATTTTTTCAAGTACAAAAATTGTATGAATTGCATATTAAAAGCTCTCTTCCCCACCTCCCCGCCTACCACACATCATGCCCTAGAAAATGCCAACTCTTTGCAGGATTCAAAGAAATACAGTGGTGGTTCTGGATTCACAGTTCAGCTTTCTTCTGGTGCTTGCACTTCCACTAGAGGATACAGGGATACTCCACATTTAAACATGAAATAAAGAACCCAGTGAGGCTGGGGAATTGCCAGAGAAGTGTTCGTCAGTGACTTACAGGGTGGTATTTACCTCAACACACTTACTTCGGAATCTCAAAACCTCACAGGTAAATGTTTACCCTCAAGGCTTTAATAAGCGTTGTTGTTGTTGTTGTTGTTAAGATCAATATCTTTTCGGTTGCTATTTTAATGGAATATTTAAAAATTCTATTTCTGGTTCTGCTTGATTTGGTAATTTAAAAGAATCATTTTAGTTTTTTAAAAAGAATTATATATTTTTTAATGCACAAAAGTAATACAAGGTAATTGTAATAAATCAAAATATAAAAGTACATAAAGAAGCTAATAATTCCCCTTTGTTTCCTTTCCCACTCCTGTATGTAATGATTCAAACTATTTTCTATTTTCAAACAACTAAATATGAATATACATGGATAGCCTGCTCCCTTATTTTTTTCACAAATGGAATTAAATCAACTGTATTATACTTCCATTTGCTTTTTAATCTTTTCAATAGCTGCATAATATTCCATAATGTGACAGATTAAAGAATGCCACAAATCATTTGTGGATCCTTCCATTGAGAGGCCTAATGCCCTGATCCTTAAATCTGGGTTGAACTTGATGACTTGCCTAACCGATAGAATGAGGCAGAAGTCATGCTGCCTGAAGCTTCTGCCTTGATCTCTGGAACTCAGGTGTCATGCTGTGAGGAGGTGCAAAAGTTCCATGGAAATGCATATGGAGAAGATCCAAAGCTCCCAGGTACAGCCCTGGCTAAGCACCCAGAAAAGAGTCAGCACCAATTTGCCAGCCCTATAAATGAACTTGGTTTTCATGTTAGTGAAATAAGTTTTCAAGCTGAATCCTCTAGCCACAGAAGAGCTGCCCCCATTGATGTTGCACAGAGCAGGGATAAGCTGTTCCTGTCATGTCCCACTCAAATAGCAAATTCTGAGCAAAATACACTGCCATTATTGTATTAAGTTGGTAGATTTAGGGACGTTTGTTATACATCCATACATAACCAGAATACATAGAATCAGAACAGCTTAATTTACTCATTATTAACTATTACACTACATATAAACAGATTTTTTTCCTCCAACTTCTAATAGCTTGCAACAAACATCTTTGTGTACTTCTAATTTTTGCCATTTAAATAATACTGCATTGCCGCATTGTCGATTTACTTCATTTGATGCTTTTATTTTATGCTGTTAGTTTTTCTTCATATGTCTTATGACTTTTGTTTTGTGGTATGTAATTTATAGAAAAGACATAATATTTGGGGTGTTTCTAAGCTTTTAGGCTTGCCCTGCTTCTCTGCCAATCACTCATTCTATTTTTTTGGATGCGTTTTACTAGTGACAGATGCTGACTCCTTTTCTCACACATTAAGGAAAAACACTTATTTGATTTTTTAAAAAATCAACAGGATGAGTCATGATACTCTTTAAAATCTAATCTTTGAGAACTCCTCTATCTGCCATCTTGCTACATCAGTCTCTTGTTTGTTTCAGGAAAACTAGTGCAAGCAGCAAAGATAATGCTCCCTTGAAAATGCTTCCTGAAACCACAAAATATGGGTCCTTTGTAATTTATTCAGAATTTATTTGAACAAGGAAACCATGGTATTGGTATTTTTTTTACTGTCCACTGAGAAAAACAGTGTTTTTACAAGTTTTTCTTTCTCCTCATCATCGTTAACATGATTTCAAAGCACAAGGCTGGAAGTGCTGCGCAGTTAGTCTAATTTCAACAAAATATGCTTGCTGCTTTCAGACCTAGCACATCAGAGCTGATTTGATGCTTGATGTAGCATTGCAGCATCTTTGTGCTAGTTTCTTTCAAGCTCCATGTGAACTAATGTAACAATTCCCCTTGAAATCATTTGATTCCTATTATTTTGGTATATTAAACATGAAAATAACAGTTCAGCTTTCTTCTGGTGCTTGCACTTCCTCTAGAGGATACAGGGAGGGACTCCACATTTAAACATGAAATAAAGAATCCAGTGAGGCTGGGGAGTTGCCAGGGAAGGGAAACTGCTCGTCAGCGACTTACAAGGTGGTATTTACCTCAACACACCACTTTACGAAACCTGAGTCTCACCTTGGCGAGATTTTCATCAGCAAATGGGGAACGTGGCCATCTCTCTGTGATGATTTGCCAATCGAGGTACGAGGGAGCACAAGTAAAAGTTGAATGTCAACTTGCTCATTTATAATGACTGATGAGAAACATAAATATATTTACAAGTTCTCTCATTTCCTATATAAAAATCTTCACTGAAATGTAATGCCTAGGGCAACCACTTAATAGTTTATACGAAGAAATCCACTCAAAACACTATAGAAAAATCAAACTAGAATTGTAAAAAACGTTCAAACAACCCACAGGAGGCAGAAAGAAGAAAACAGTAAAACAAAAAACTCGGAGGAAACAAACAGAAAACAAACAAACCTGCACGTTGTGCACATGTACCCTAAAACTTAAAGTATAATAATAATAAAATAAATAAAATGACAGATTTATTTCCTAATGTATATGTAATCACATTAAATATAAGTTGTCTGAATACACCAATTAAAAGACAGAAATTGACAGAGTGAATTATAAAATGAGCTAACTATATGCCAGCTACAAGAAACTCACTTTCAATCTAATAATATGGTTAGGTTGAAAGAAAAGATCGAAAAACTATATTACATATAAACATTAATCAAAGTAAAGTTGAAGTGTATATGTTATCCTAGAGGACAGACTTCAGAGTGAAGTAACAGAAAGGAACATTTCCTAATGGTAAAAGGATCAGTCCCTGAAGAAATCATAGCAATCCTAAACATGTATGCACCCAACAATGGAGCTGCAACATATGTGAATAGAAAACTGATAGAAAATTGAAAGGAGAAATAAACAAAATTTTAATGGGAGACTTCAACACTCCTCTCTCAACAATTTATAGAACAATACCATTAGCTGACAGGATCTAAACATTTAGAGAACAATTCACCCAACAACAGTAGAATCCGCATGTTTTTCAAGCCCTCACACAACGTTTACCAACTTAGACTGTATTCTGAGCCATTAAATGAACCACAGCAGATATAAAATAATAAAACTCGTACAGAGTTGGTTCTGTGGCCATCATGGACTCAAGCTACCAAGCAATAACAGAAAGATAACAGGAAAATCTCCAAACATTTGAAAACTACAAAATGTGCTTCTAAATAATCTGTGACTCAAAGAGGAAGTATTTTAAATTTAAAAATAGCTTGAACTGATTGACAATATAACATAGAAACATTTATGGGATGGAGTAGACATATGTTTCCCTATTCCTCCTACTTAGTGCAGCGAAAGCCCCTTAACATTATATACAAAACAAGACAACTCTGAAAGGTGGAGAAAGGAGGGCAGATCAGTCAGGGCTTTGTGTCCTGAAGAATGACATGATAGTGCGTTTCTTTGCTCTTCTTAGTGCCTTATATATCTCGCACTGAGTGCTGCAGAAACCTGAAAATGCCAATAGGAAAATACAGACTCCCTTATCCCCCAGAAAACAAACAAACAAACAAACACAAAAAAACCCTGCTTTCTGCAGCCACAGAACAAGAAAAGGGGCAGCCAAGCAAGACAGAACATTTTTAGACAATAACCACACTCCTCTTCAGCCAAACTCCATGGAAATAACCACTGCCCCAGCCCCACCCCAGTAGCAAAGGCCACCTGGCGAGCTTAGACTATCACCCTTGCCAAACTGTAGCAACTGCTCCTCCACGCTGTGGTGATGTCAGAGAAGGCCAAGTGGGAGGTCAGGACTTCCATTGCTGACCAGTGCTAGTGAGGCCCCATCTCTGGCCGTGCCAGTGGGGACCAGTGGGGAGCTGTGGCCACGCTCCCTGCCTTTCATGGAACTCTTACCCCTGCCCAGCAGTGATGAGAAGCCCCTCCTCTTGGGGGCCAATGGAGCCCAAGCGGGGATCTGAAGTTTGACCCCCACCTTGCAGTAATAGGTGAAACCCTCTCTACCCATTCCTTCCTTCAGAGGAAGCCTGCTAAAACAAAAAATTTAAATAAGGTTTGGTCTCATAATACCTCAGATGTGCAGATATCATTGACAATCCCTCATCATACCAAGAACTAGCAAAATCTCAAATGGAATGAGTAAAAGTGATCAATGGACACCAATAAAGAAGTAGCACCGATGTTAGGATTTTCCAACAAGGATCCTAAGGCAGCCATCACAAAAATGCTTTTACTAAAAATTTTTTAAAAGAGAGAAAAAAGGCATAAATTACCAATATCAAGAATGAAACGGGATATCAATATAGACCATGCAGATGGCTTAAGGATAATAAGGGAATATTGTGAACAACCCTACACACATAAACTTGACAATTTAGTTTAAATGGACCAATTTCTCAAAAAACACAATTACTATAATTCAGTAAACATGAAAGAGAGAATTTGAATAATCCTATTATTAAGAAAATTTAATTTGTAATTTTAAACCCCCCCCAAAAAATAAATCTTTAGAACCAGATGATTTTACTGTGAAATTTCCGAATTAACATTAACTCTAAAAAGTATCTTCCATAAATTAGAAGAGGAGGAAGCACTTCCCAACTTATTTTACAAGATCAGTATTACCTGATACCAAATCTAGACAATGATAGTACAAAAAGAGAAAAAAATACAGATCAATATCTCTCAAGAGTATAAACACAGGCCGGGCGCGGTGGCTCATGTTTGTAATCCCAGCACTTTGGGAGGCCGAGATGGGCGGATCACGAGGTCAGGAGATCGAGACCATCCTGGCTAACTCGGTGAAACCCCGTCTCTGCTAAAAATACAAAAAAGTAGCTGGGCATGGTGGCGGGCAACTGTAGTCCCAGCTACTCGGGAGGCTGAGGCAGGAGAATGGCGTGAACCCGGGAGGCGGAGCTTGCAGTGAGCCGAGATCGCGCCACTGTACTCCAGCCTGGGTGACAGAGCAAGACTCCATATCAAAAAAAAAAAAAAAAAGTATAAACACAAATGTCCTCATAAAATATTAGCAATCAAATCCATCAATGTACAGAAAGCAGTGGAGTTTGTGTCAGGGGTGCAAGGCTGATTCAATCATTAAAATCAATCAATATAATGTGCCATATTAACAGGCTAACAAGGAAAAAAATTACAAGTTTATATCAAATGATGCAGAAAAAAATTTGACAACTAACATTCATGACAAAAACTCTCAGCAATCTAGAAAAAGAGGGAACTTAGACAATTTGATATAAAATAAAGATAAACAGTAGACAAAATAAAAATATGACCCTTGTAATCACCTATTGAGGTGAAAGCTACCATGGTCTGGATTTTACTAATGGGGGTTTTGGTGTGGCAAGGAGACAAGAGGTAGCCTCCGGAATTTACTCAGCTCTTAAGTGAACAGGTAGGGACTTGAACCTGGTTGTTTGGCTCCAAGTAAGAAATAGAGTCCAGGTGGTCTGGCTCCGTAGCCTGGGATGGTGACCACCCTGCTGTGCTGTTGCTTACCCTCCAGAGCTCCCCACCTCCCCCAGCAGGTCCTAGACCTGGACAACAACCTGGTTTCTTGAAGGAGGTGATACCCATAGTACATAAACAGTGTTGGAACAGAGAGACAACATGGAGAACCTTCATCCCTCATTCAATGATAGGGTGGGGGTCTGGGGACAGCCTAGGCATGGGCAGACACATTTTCTGTGGCAGACGGAGGAGGCTGGGAGCTGGGCATTGCTCATGGCATCCGTGCAGCTTCAAAGTGCTCACCGTCTGCACCCTCACCCTCACCACCGCCTGCTGGCCACTCAGCAGCCCTGGAGGCAGACACTCCTTTGACCCTGTTTGACAGGTGATGACGCTGAGTTCCAGCGATGTTGAGCCTCAAGGTCAAGTTACCCAACTCCAGGAAGAGGTGGGCTTGGGTGGGGGCAGCTGGACTCCCCAGCTGCACTGGAAATTCTATGCCACATTGCCAGGAATGATAAATAACTCCTTCTGCATTAGGAAACAAGCAGGACTTCCTCAAGACAGACAAATGATTGAATATATAGAATTGTCCAGAATCACACCCCTCTTAAATGGATATGCTCAGACACACGAGTGGGACTGGAAGTGGAGGCCGGGTGAGGAGACGTTGGCTTTGCAGTCAATACACTTCTGTTTTGTTTTTTTTTTTCCAACAAATGTATTCATGTGTTGCACAATTTTTAAAAAAGGTAAAAAGAGATGGTGCTATGTATATAATAGAGCTGTTATAAAAGTTTAAATTAAGTTATATAATAGTCGCAGTATCTGGGACATAGTAGGTGCTCAAAATAAACATTATTTTGCAAAGCGTCTTAGTCTGTTTGGGTTTCTATAACCAAAATACCATAGACTGGGAGACTTAACAGAAATGTATTCCTCACAGTTCTGGAGGCTGAGAAGTCCAAGATCGAGGCACTGACACATCTGGTGTCTGGTGAGGACCCACTTACTGTTTCATTGATGGCACCTTCTCCCTGTGTCCTCACATACTGGAGGAGGTTGCTGACTCCCTGGGGCCCCTTATATAAGGGCAGTAATCCCATTCATGAGAAACATTCAGACCACAGCATACATTTAAAATGCTTTACAGAAGCAGATCAAGTGAGACGATGATGGGCTCTCAGAGACCCATGCTCTTCTACAATCTATCTGCAAAGAAGACCTGGCTGGAGGTGGAGAGTATAAAAGCCAATCAGGACTACAGCGAATCAGGACGGTCTCTGATTAAAGGTGTTAACGACGTGACCTAGCCCTGGCTGGATGCAGTTCAGGGCCTCCCTGGGTCTTGGTTGCAGCCTTCATGAATATAACAGCCCCCCACACCACGCAGAGCAGGTTTTGTTCACTCAAGCCATGCAAGAGGCATGGGCTCAGCGTGCAGCTCTGTCTTCTCCAGCAATCTGTCCGGTTTCTGTCTCTTCAGCTCCAGCCACCTCCATGCGCTGCATGGAGCCCCTCCCTGCACTGGGTCCCAGAAGTTCTGCTTGTTTTCAGTGATCACACTCCCGCACTGTCTGTGGCTCAAAGTCTGTAAATAATGGTTTAGCATATTTCATCCACTTTTCTACCTGGACAGAAAGTGTAGTGTTGTTAGTTGGTCAGAGCAGGAGGTGGTTCTGTGTGTTTTGTCAGCCTTCCAGATGTCCCCAAGCAGCAAGAGAAGGAAGGGGCTGTGCACAGCCTTTGCCTGGGGCTTCCTATGTCCATCGGAAAGAGAGTGGATCGCATAAGCTCTCACAGAAAGAATGAATGAGCGAGTCAGTTGCTTCCCTGAATGGCTTTGTTCTGTTCTGGTGCATCCTCTGCTTGGGACCCACCTGCTAGGGCGTGGTAGAGTGAACAGCTACGTGTCTTTGTTCAGCACCTGCTTAGTGCCAGGACCTTTCTCTCTGCTTGGGAAATTGCCGTCTTTGTTTCACAGAGGATGAAGCTGAGGTTCGTAGGCTGAATTCTGGTGGCCCAGTTTTCCGGCCTGGGCTCCTTCCACTTGTAGAGTGGCCTATCTCAGTGCTGCCTATGCCGTTGGGAGGGGTGGTGGCAAAGGCAGACCAAGAGTCACCAGGCAATTTCTTAGGAGCCTGAAGTCTGCAATCCTCCAGTGAAGCTTTTCAGATGAATGTCCTTCACACCCCAAGAATTCTAGAAATGCTGAGCCCCTAGCCTGGAGGGCAGGCTTGGTGCCTGCAACAGAGCATGGGCCCAGCGACCCCTATGGTCTGAGAGAGAGGGTGAGGTGGGAGGACCATCCACTCTGGGAGACTTGGGCTGGCCTTGCAGACTGAAACCTCTCCTGTAAAGTGATGTGTGTCCTGGACCTGCAGGGAGGGAGGGGCCTCTGGAAGTCAGGCCGATTGCCAGGGTCTGTGAGGCATCTTCTGAAGCCCAGGCCCTGTCTGGCTTTTTCTTGCCAGGAGTCTGGCTCTCTTGCTCCACATGAATGACTGAAGTTATTTGAAGAGGTCCCCCAGAGAGTCATCAGGCCTCTGGTGGAATTGCAGGGGCTCAGGGAAGGCACAGAGATAGGGCTGTAATGCCCGGGGAGGGAGCGGCCCAAGGCCTGCCCCAGACCACTGCAAGCCTGGGTGCTTGGAGAGGAGAGGGCCATTAGCATGGCTGTTAAGAGCCGCTGCTGGGGGCACTGGCAAGGGACCTGTTCAACAGCTTCACCCACTGGGCCATGCACCTGACAAGCATTCACCAACCACTCTTTCTGTCTTACAGGAAAGTGATGGGGGTGGGGAGCAAGGTTGCTTTGGCCTGAGGTCAAACCATCAAGATCTGCATATGTCTACAGTTATTGATCCTTCTATTAGGTAAAGAAAAGAATTGTATAAAAACCATTCAGAGCTGCTGAAGATGTTGTTACACTTGCCAGATCTGGGAACTGCGATTTTCCTTTGCAGCTTCAACAAGAGAAGAAATCTCACAGGGGAGGAAGGGGTCGCTGAGCGTCCTCGGCCCATGGATACCTTACTTTGTGGCGCCACCTAACGGCTAAAGGTTAAAATTGCAAATCTTAAAGATTCCTCCGGCAGAGGAAGAGGTGGGAAGGGGCCGGGTTTTTGAAGAGCAGGCTGAGAGAGCTTTTTTGGGAGATTTGTTTCCTGCTTTCTGGGCACATGCACCTAATGACGATACAATCCTACGACCCATCTCTGATTCTTCCCCTGACCCACTCTGGTGTAGCCCTGCGGAGATAATTGGCAATTGCAAAGTCACCTGCCTTTGACTTCTGACCCAGTAACCCAGGAAACCGTGCCAAAGATACTCTAGCAAGAAATACGAGTCGGGTTTACACGTGCCACACCCTACGGAATTTTTTGTTATCGTAAGAGACTCAGAGCGATTCACATGTGCATCAGAGAGGGCACTGATGGAAGCAAACCTCGTGCATCCCACAGAGTTACAGCCAGCAGCGCTCAGGCTGTGTGGCTGCCGCAAGTGCCCCTGAGCCCCCTGAGCCCCAGTGGCTGGCGACAGCCCCGCTCCATGTCGCCTTCATCCAAGATCTGCGCCGCGGGGCGGCCGCCATCTGGAGCACGGCTGGCCACGGTCAGCCCTAAGCTGGTGGGTGACACTGCGTCTGCGCACACTTCGTTGCTCAAAGCCAACTGTATGTGCTGACTGGGTGTGCCTTCTAGTGTCCTGTGTTCCTGCTGAGTGCCTAGCATGCATACTTCCTTTGTGCGCCCAGTGTTGTGTGCCTGTCACTGTGTGTCCAGTATTGAGTTATGTGCATGGTGTTATGCACCAGGCATGGTGTGTCTGACTTTGTTTGCCCAGTGTCGCGTAGCCAGCATCTGTGTCCAGCCTGTGTTCTTGCCATGTGCCTGGCCCTGCATGCCTAGTGTGGCACCTGGCTGTGCATACTCCGCATTGTATGCCGGGTTTGTTTGCTCCCGTCTGTGAGCCTTGCAGTGTAATCCTGGAGCGTATGCCCTGTGTTGTTTGCCAACTGTGTGTGCAGGTACTGTGTGTACCTGGCGCTGTGTCCCTGCTTGTTTGTGCCTAGTGGGCATGCCCAGTATTGCATGCCTGGTGTTGTGTACCTGGTCCTGTGTGCCCAGTATTGAGATCCCAGAGTGTCTGCCCGGCCTGGGTGCCTGCGTTGTGTGTCCGGCCCTGTGTGCTCAGGTTTGTGCATCCAGCTTGGTGGGCCCAGAGTGTGCCTGGCATACGGGCTTAGTGCTTTCTCCCTGGCATTTTGTGCCTGGCATGTTTGCCCAGCACTGTGTGCCCTGCATGGTGTCCCAGAGGCTGCGCCTACTATGGTGTGTCTGGCTTTGTGTGTCTGGCATTGCATGCTCATTGTTGTATACTTACTGTGTGTGTCCAGCATGGGGCGCCTGCATTGTTTTCCTGGCCCTGTGGTTCCAGAGTTCTGTTTCTGCACTGCATGCCTGGTGTTGTGTGGGTGGAATTACATGGCTGGTGTGTACATGGCTGGTATGTGACCCAGCGTTGTGAGCTCAGTGTGGTGCTCCTGGAGTGCCTGGCCCGGAGTGCCTGCTGGTGTGTGTGTGGTATGTGTTTGGCATCATCTGTCTGAGGTTTTGTGCATAGTGTTGTGTTCCCACAGTGTGTGCTGGCATTAGTGCCTGGACTTGTGTGTGCCTGGCATTGCACCCTGGCTTCTGTGCCCAGCATGGTGTGTCCCAGTGTTTTGTGCCCTACAGTGAAGCTCAGCATTGCGTTTGGTGTGTGTGTTCAACATGTGTTACAAGCATGGGTTCTTGCCGTGTGTGCATTGTGTATGTGATGCTGTGTCCCTAGAGTGTGTGTAGCATCTGTGCCTGGTGTGTGCCCGATGTTGTGTTCCTGCAGCGTCTGGTGTTGTCCCCAGTGTGTGCCAGTGTGTATTCCCAGTGGGTGTGCCAGCTTGTCGGTCATGGTATGCCTGACCTTGTATGCCCAGAGTTGTGTGTCCAGTGTGTCCCCAGCTTCAGTGTCTGTGGCTGGAGAGTGTGTCTTTCCTTCTGTGTCTGGTGTTGTGACCCAGCATGGTTTGTGTGGCTGTGTATGCTTGGCAAGCGTGCCCACTCCTGTGTGCCTGGTGCTGCGTGACTGGCACGTGTACCTCGAATTGTTTGGCTGACAGTGTGTGCCCAGAATTTTGTGCCCACTGTGTGGGCCTGTGTTGTGTCCTGTGCTGTGTGCTCTGTTGTTAGCCCTGTGTGTGTGCTCTGTGTGTCTTGTGCTGTGTGTCCTATGCTGTGTGGCCTGTGCTGTGTCCTGTGTGGTGTGCCGTGCACTGTGTGCCCTGTAGTGTGTGTCCTGTGCTGTGTCCTGTGTGGTGTGCCGTGTGCTGTGTGTCTTGTGCTGTGTGTCCTGTGCTGTGCGCCCTGTGTTGTGTACCCAGTACTTCTGTGTGTCCTGGGCTGTGTGTCCAGCACATGTGTCTGCTGCCCCACTGTGCTGAGTCCCAACACCCACCTGTGCGCCTGGCACTGCCTCGTTGTTGGGGAGGACACCCTGTGTGGCCGTCCTCGCCACCTGCTCGAGCAGAGCTGAGGTGGCCTCTGCCCTCACTTCCACCGCAGTTTGCCTTCCTTCCTGGGGACACTCCTGCCTGGCAGCTCCCCATGTTTAGCCTGTTCCAGGGATCAGCTTCCACCCCAGGCACTCTCCATTTATTTGGGGAGTTCCCACAGGATGAGGCCCTTAAGGGAGTCCCTCCTCTCTACTGGGGATACCCCTGAGCAGGTGGGGACTCCTGTCCTTCATTCAGCTCATCCCCAGCCCTGGCTGGAGCTTTCCCTCCTTTGCGGAGGTGGGCTCAGGCAGGCCTCGCTGGGGAGCTCACCAGGCCCTGTGCGTGGGGCTCTGCAGGCCCAGCCAGTCCTGACTCTGCCGTGAGCCCCGCACCAGGATGGGAAGTGCCCTGAGAGCTCATCTCCTACCACCTCCAGGGCTGGGGCTGGCGCCTCCTCCAGCCTGGCATCTGGCCGCGGCGGTCTCCCCAAGCAGCCACCAGGGGGCAGAGCCACCCTCTGTCCACACCCCGATCCTCCCTCACCCCTTCAATTGCTGGACAAGGGACCCTTGCCTGAGGACGCCCTTGGATCCCTCCTGTGAGACAAGGAGCTGCAGATAACCCCAACCTCTACACAGACAGAAAGGAGCAGATTTCATAAAAAGCAGGGAATTTTTAAAATGTGAGTAATTTTTAAAAATACAATCTCCGCGTAAAACCCACTTAGAAAACTTTGTGCTTTCTGATTAATAGAGAGCAAATCACTTACCCAGGGCTATTGGATGCTGTAATTTTTTAAGGTTTTAAATATGCTTTTATTTGTTTCCCCCTGATGGTCTGAGGCTTCTATTCTTGCTAACTTTTTAGTTCTCCTTGTCCTGGGGACACAGGGTATGGGGCAGGACCTCCCTGGATTAAAGGAAGTGAGTCAGACATGCCACCGCCCGCAGGTTCCAGGACAGTTCTGGTCTGAATGCAGTCCCGACGCGAGTGCTGTTCCCTGGGAGCTGAGACCCGCAAAGATGCCCTTCCACCACCCTCTCCCCACGGTTCTTTCGTGCTGCTGCGTTCCTGGAGGCTGAGCTTCTGTCCCATCCTGTCTCCTTTGTGTGTTTCAAACCTCTTTCCAATTTCTGTTATACTGATGCTGTTCTCCTTTCCGGTACTATTACATGATTTTCTTCCCATTTCTCATGATTCAGAGCCCATGGTGGGTGAGGGGGACAGTTGGGTGGTCCACACCTGAGACTTCATGCATCCTGTGAGGCTGAGTCACAGGCCTGGGGGTCCTTGAATCCCTCTTATCCCACAAGGGAGATCCTCCTGGAATCTCAGCAGATTGGAGAGCCCAGCTGAGAAGAATCTGCTATCCTATTAGTGCCCTTGGTTTTGAGGTGGCTGTAAAATCCCCTGCTAGAGGCGGAAGAGAGAGGATCGCACCCCAGTATCGGACTGCTGTGGGCAAGTTGGTGAAATCAAATGTATTGTTACTTTCTGAGAATCAGCACCCACATTTTCTGCATTTAAGGATTTTATGGAGCACAACAAAATCCACAGCAGTCACAGCAACTGAGAGAGAACGCCAGGCCACACTCCCTAGGCATTCCTGGAGAGGTGTTCTATGCCTTAAGGATGAACAATAGAGAATTTGATTTAAAAAATTGATGGAAAGTTAATGTTGAAAGAAGTCAGGGTGAAATAAAAGCATGAGATGCTGTATGGGATGTGAAGATTTCTAGGAGACAATAATAATAGACAAGCAAATGAAGACTGGTGTAGAGTGAAAGTTAGGTGGCCAGGATACGACAAGGGCACTGCAGCCAGGATTCCTGTCCCGGGGACAATCGGCACAAAGAGTCTGCACCTGGGAGGACAGGGGCCTTCAGTGTGTGATCTGTACTGAGGGTCTGCACCTGAGAGGACAGGGGCTTTCAGTGTGTGATCCCTACTGAGAGTCTGCACCTGGGTGGACAGAAGCCTTCTCTATGTGATCGGTACTGAGGGTCTGTACCTCAGAGGACAGGGGCCTTCAGTGTGTGATCTGTACTGAAGGTCTGCATTGAGAGGACAGGGACCTTCAGTGTATGATCTGTACTGAGGGTCTGCACCTGGGAGCACAGGGGCCTTCAGTGTGTGATCTGTACTGAGAGTCTGCACCTGGGAAGACAGGTTCCTTCAGTGTGTGATCCGTACTAAGGGTCTGCACCTGGGAGGACAGGGCCCTTCAGTGTGTGATCTGTATTGAGGGTCTGCACCTGGGAAGACAGGTTCCTTCAGTGTGTGATCCGTACTGAGGGTCTGCACCTGGGAGGACAGGGCCCTTCAGTGTGTGATCTGTATTGAGGGTCTGCACCTGGGAAGACAGGTTCCTTCAGTGTGTGATCCGTACTGAGGGTCTGCACCTGGGAGGACAGAGGACAGGGACTTTCAGTGTGTGAACTGTACTGAGGGTCTGTACCTGGGAGCACAGGGGCCTTCAGTGTTTTTTGTTTGTTTGTTTATTTGTTTTCTGTAATGAGAGTATGCACCTGGGAGGAGAGGTGCCTTTGGTGTTTTTTTTTCCTGTACTAAGGGTGTGCGCCTGGGAAAATAGTGCCTTTTGTGTGTGATCTGTACTGACAGCGTGCTCCCATGATGACAGGGTCTTCAGTTGTAATCTTCTCTTAGAGTTTGCAAATGTTTGGACATTGTGTCATCTTTTGATGTTTGGTATTGAGTGTCTATATGGGTGAAGTTAGGGGCCATTTTTTTGTCACTTGCACTGAGAGTGTGCACACGAGACCTGCATTCCTTCCATGTGTTATTTGTGCTGAGAGTCTGTGTGTTCTGAAAAGCCCCTTCACTTTGTTTTTCACTAATACTCTGCACATTTGAGGACAGGGATCCTTCTTTGTGACCTGTAGCGACCATCTGCACCAATGAAGGAAAAAGGCCTCCAGCATTTGATCTTGCTTAGATTGTTGCTTTGTGTGGATGGGATGGATTTCTGCATAGATCATTCTCAGTCTGTTTTTGTACAGAGATGATTAATTTGCTTTTCTATTCTCTGATCTGTGTCATCTCATGCTATCCTCAACTTTACTTGCTTTACATATAAATTGAGTATTGCAAAATTAAGTAAACTCTTAATAATGAGAAGTAAACTTCTTAGTAATTCTTAGATGGGCTGAATTACAACCTTTCATCTTACTGCTTTGTCCTTGGCACACACTAATTACTTCCTGAGTCATCTGGTTTTGGTTTCCTTATGCTGTTGCTATGATCATTCAATGGATCATGGATGTAGAAAGAGTATCTTGCTCCCCTGGAATACTCACAGATGGAATGAGCTTGTTTTGTATCTTGGAATGGTTTAGGGAGCCACAGACGGACAAGGAAGATTTTGCCTTCTATGCCACAGTAGAAACATGACAATGTACGGGGATGGGAACAGCCTGGTGTGCTCAGAGACCAGACTAAGCTTTAATTTAATTGTAATAACCCTGGTGATTTGGGGAATGAGGGTTAGAGATTGGACAATGTGAACTGGAGACAGATTCTGAAGGACTGGTAGAGTTTGGATTATGGAAGGGTTTAAGCACTTGCAAACAAAATTGATTTTTTTGTTCTTACTCACACCAATGTGTGTTCAACTGGGGAAAGATCGTAGAGGTAACTCCTGAAGAAATTACTGTGGTGGGTCCAATGGGTGCAATAGATTTGGATCCATAGAACTTGTCCTGGTGGAAGATAAGGCAGGCATCAAACAGGGGTGGAGAGCAGATGGGAATACTGTGTTTCCTTATTGATCAAGGAGAGGGAGGGAAAGGAAGAGGGACTCCCAGTGTGCAGGGGCAGAGAGCAGTGTAGAGCTCAGATGTCTTTCTGGTCCAGGGTTGACCTTGGAATCATATATCTGCTCACGTGTCTTTTTATTTAAGACATCTTTTGCCTATAGGTGAGGGGGCGAGAGGACCTTCTCCCAATTAAATAACAATAATAATAGTAATGACTTTTTAACGGCATGTCCTAAAGTCTATTATTAGAATATAGTACGCCTGCTGCAGGCTCATAACCTCATTAACTTGGAAATAATGCAGTATGGGCAATTAGGATGATAAACCACTTATGCAATTTCATAGTATGACATTAATGAATGTACTTGGGAAGCATTTCCTTAGCACCAAGGCCACAGGAAAAGTCAAGGGGAGACAGGTGCCAGTGGATGTAAACAGTACAGATCAGTGGAGGGCCGTATATTTGAAAGCCTAGCTGTGTGTTGGTTGAGTAGGTCCCTTCCAAACTATGCTGTGCAGGTTATGATGGGGAAGGGAACAGAGACAGCCCAGCGCCTTGCGGACGGGGCAGGAAGGCTCTGGGCTCTACAGCACTGGACATCCAAAGTTTCCTCTATGCCTATACCCTGGGGTCTCTACCAAACCCAATTCCTGGGTAGAGAATGATCACCTTAAAGAAATGCTGGAAATCCAGAGACCCTTACACTGGTTCATAATTAAGAAAGCAATGCTGACAAAATCCCAACAGGAGCCCCATGCAGAGGATCTTGGCTGGCTATGTCTTTTAGTGATCCAGAACAGTGCCTGGAAAAGCCATTAAGAAATTACGAGTTGAAGATTAGCTGAGAAAAGGCAAGAAATTGAATGAAGTCAGTCTAAGTGTGCCATCAGGCATTTTTCTAGCTGTCTGCTCAGAAAGGTCTTTAAAGGGTGACCAATCAGCATGTCAGAGATGAAATTGGATGCTGTGAGAATCTCAGGTAAGCAGCCCATGAAAAGGAGGGAGCTTTCCAGATATGCCTTCTTCCTGGAGACCTTTCCTCTCTAGTGCATGTTTATGGATGGTTCAGGATCCAGGGGCATAAAATTCAGCCAATTTACAATAAGCAGAAAATATTGGCAAGATTTCACTTAGGAGATTGCAGATCCAGGTGTGTGAATCAACCACAAACACCACCACAGAGTACTCATGGTGGATGGTGCCCCCACACCAGTGCCCAGGACAGGCAAACAGGCTGTCAGTTCTGCCCACCTGATGCTAGACACCCAGATGGAGCTCTGCACTGCACCAGGCCGTGTGTGATGCTCACTGGAGGGCCTACGCACAGCCTTTCCTCCCGGGGAACTATGGCCATGTCTGCCGAAAGAGGTAATTCTCTGACAGTACAGCAACTGGAAATGAGAAGGTCTCAGGGGAGCATGGAGTTATAGAAAAATGAAGCAGAAGACATTGAGGTTGTTTCCCAAGACCTGTTCCCAGAGACCTCATAAATATCTCTGTCCAAGAGCAGAGGATCCCGCTCCAGTGGCCTGAGCACTCCAGGCTCCAGTTTGCTTTTCTGTAGGCTCTATGCTCTTTCCTTAGGCTTATGGCTTCTTCCTTTTTATAGGAAACACTCCTTTTTTTTTTTTTTTTTGAGATGGAGTCCTGCTCCTGTCACTCAGGCTGGAGTGCAGTGGCACAGTGGCACGATTTTGGCTCACTGCAACCTCCACCTCCTGGGTTCAAGCAATTCTCCTTCCTCAGCCTCCCAAGTAGCTGGGATTACAGGCTTGCACCACCACGCCCGGCTAATTTTTGTATTTTTAGTAGAGATGGGGTTTCGCCATGTTGGCCAGGCTGGTCTCGAACTCCTGAGCTCAGGTGATCCACCCGCCTTGGCCTCCCAAAGTGCTAGGATTACAGGCGTGAGCCGCTGTGCTGGCCAGGAGACACTGCTCCTGATACATCCAAGCTACAGCCATGATGCTGTTGGCGTGAGCCTAGGAGATAGGTGCACGCTTCCCACTGGCACAAGCTTCCCTGTAGCCTCTCGAACAGTTCTGAAGCTGTGACTAAGGAGCAGCTATACCAAGGCCTCCCACACCCATATTTGTTCTCCTTCTTGTGGAGTGCTCTGTCGACCTGATGCAGGGTAAGGATTGGCCAGAGCAGATCCCCGAAGTCGTGTGACCCTGGCCCTATGAATCATCATGGAAAACAACTCCTCCTTGGGGAAGGTGCCTAAAAAAGAGGAGTTCAAGACACTTTATGCATAACCTAATATAATAGCTAAGGAACCCAGCAAAGCTGCTTGATTAAAAAGCTCTGTGTGTATAGGCCGAGCGCGGTGGCTCATGCCTGTAATCCCAGCACTTTCGGAGGCCGAGGCGGGCAGATCACGAGGTCAGGAGATCAAGACCATCCTGGCTAACACAGTGAAACCCCCATCTCTACTAAAAATACAAAAAAAATTAGCCAGGCCAGGTGGTGGGTGCCTATAATCCCAGCTACTTGGGAGGCTGAGGCAGGAGAATGGCATGAACCCGGGAGGCAGGGCTTGCAGTGAGCTGAGATCATGCCACTGCACTCCAGCCTGGGCGACAGAGCGAGACTCCATCTCAAAAAAAAAAAAAAAAGCTCTGTGTGTATATGCAAATGTGTGCACACATGGGAGGGAGTGCTGTGTGCGTGCTTCAGCAGGGCTGAGAGGAAGAACGGGAAGCTGGAGACAAGTGTGTCCTTGTTTTTATGATTATCTCCTAATAGTGTGTCAGTTAGGATTCTACAGGGAAATCGAACAAACAGAATGTTGCTGTAGTTTGGATATCTGACCCCTCCAAACCTCATGTTGAAATTTGCTCCCTAGTGTGTTGGAGGTGTGGCCTAATGGAAGGTGTTTGGGTCATGGCAGTGGATCTCTTATGAATGGCTTGGTGCTGTCCTTGTGGTAATGAGTCCTTGCTCTATTATTTCCCACAAGAACCGGTTGCTACAAAGAGCCTAGCATCTCGCTCCCCTCTCTCTTGCCTCCTGTCTTGTGATCTCTGCACACACGGACTCCTCTTCGCCATCTGCTATGAGTGGAAGCAGCTTGAGGTTCCTATCAGATGCAGATGCTGGCGCCATGCTTCCTGTGCAGGCTGCAGAACCATGAGCCAAATAAACCACTTTTCTTTATACATTACCCAGCCTCAGGTGTTTATAGCAATGCAAATGGAATAATGCAGGTGTATACACACAAGAGGCGATTCATTATAGAAATTGGCTCACGTGGTTATGGAGGCCAAGAAGTCCCACAATCTGTTGTCTGCAATCTGGAGAACAAGGAAGCTAGTGCTGCAATTCAGTCTGAGTCCAAGGGCCTGAGAACCAGGAGAGCAGATGTCCAAGGACAGGAGAAGATGGAGTCTTAGCTTAAGCAGAGAGGGCAAATTTTCTCCTCCACCTTTTTGTTACATGCAGGCTCTCAGTGGATTAGATGATGCCCACCCACATTGGAGAGGGCCTTCTTCTTGACTTAGTTCACCAGTTCAAACAATAATCTATCCTGGAAACACCCTCACAGACATACCCAGAAATGATGGTTTACCAGTTGTCTGGGCATTCCCTCACCCGGTCAAGTTAACACATAACATTAGCTGTCACACATTGTAAAGGATGAAATTCAGATCAGAGGATTGTCGAGGGCTGGAGGTAGGTCCTCAAGCTCACACTCCTGCCTTCACCCAGGAGGCAAGAGAGACTAGAAGTCCAGCTGAGGTGAAGGTGTAATGAGCCAAATAGAGTCAGGACTGAGACTCCAGCCTCCTGAATTCTACTGCATCAAACTTCCCCTGCACCTCTTGCAGATGCAGATTCCCACAGGCCCCTCTGCATCTTTGCTTAGGGTGCACTTCCCCACTCCCTGTCTGCCTAGATGAATACTGCATGGGCTGTTGAACAGCGTGATTGGGGTTGTACCGATATGCACATTCCATCCAGTCTGCCAACGTGAGTTGAATTAATTCCAATTTCGTTAAGGAAGCTGAGGACAACCTGAAGTTCTACTGAATGGAATCCTTTTCAGAAGAGAAGAACATTTAAGTAGATTACAGTTTGATATTGTTGGCCATTTTCTGTTGAATAGTGGAGGGATGGGGGTAGTGAGCTGCATCGCTTCATAGGGTGGAAAATGGCTTATTTCTGGCTCATCTGAAGTTCCATGGCTTTTTTGATATGATTAAACAAGGCATAAATGAAGCACTGGCACATGTTCAATGCAACAACACCCCTTTGTGAATCTATTATACACTGGGAACCGAGCTGTGTCCTCAGGATCTAAAGCTGAAGGAGGCACAGGCATCAGGATGGTGGCAATCTCGCAGCATCACTCCAATAAAGGAGGCATCTGGCATTGTGAGAACACAGACTAGAGAGCAATGCATACTTCCAGGAAGTGGATAGGCTTGAGACATGCTGGAGGCAGGAGGCAGCCTTTGACTGAAGCTTGGGGCAAACCAGTTGGGGCCTGGGACAGAGGGGGCAGATGGCCATGACTGCTGTGACTTGATTGGGGAGTGTCTGGACATGAGACTTGACAGGCCTGGGGCCTTCAAGGGGAGCCTCACGGGAAGCAGTCGTTGAAGACAGAAGTGGCAAAAAAAGAAAAAAAAATGTGGTTCCTTTTTTAGAACAAAGACTCTGGCCACAGTGCGGGGAGAGAGGGCACAGGCTGCTGTCTTTGCAGGAGTGTCAGGAACCTTGTAGAGAAGATGCCAGGCTGAGTCCGAGCCCAGCTGTGCAGGAGAGGAGGGACAGGTATGATGGATGTTTCTAGGGCAGAACAGACAGGAAGCGGGGGAGGGAAGGAAGGAAAGACGGAGGTGGGGATGCATCTGAGGTCTCCCGTTTGAAAGCTGGGAGAAGAATGACACCTTTTAATGAGACAGGCCAGTTGATGGAGGTTTGGGGGAGAAGCAAGGTGTGCTCATTTAAAAAGTTTTATTTTAGAATAACTAGACTTATGGGAAAATTTCAAAATAGTACAGAGAATTCCAGTAAATCCTTCACCCAGCTTCCCCTAATTGTGAGCATCTACAGTGCGATGATCAAAACCAGGAAACAAACAATGATACAATATTATTATAAAAACTACAGAATTTATTCATATTTTTCCAGCTAAGCGGCTTATTTTTAGATCTCTGGGTTGAGGTGCTAACAGACTTCCCTGGAGCCCAGGATTATAACATGTGTAATGAGACCTTTGCTTTCTCTTTCCATCTGTGCTCAGCTCCACACTTCATTTCATTTACCTTATTGGTGGATAGATGATTTCTTTTTCAATCCCTTGGATGTGATTTTATTTTAGGTTATCATATAAGATGAAAGATACACACACACACACACACACGTGTGTGTGTGTGTGTGTATCCTCTTCCCCTCTGTGATTTCAGAATTCTTTTTAACTTGCAACAGTTCAATCCACTTACCTCCACTGCGCCTTCCCAGTGGAACTCTCACAGTCACCAGGCACGTCCTATGTGCTAGTGCGGTACTATCTGCTCAGTCCTCACACTAACCCTGCAGGCAAACCACGACACACTGGGATCCGGGAGCTGATCAGCTCACCTCCTGCAGGCAGCCGAGGAACCGAGTGTGAACCCCGAGCGCTGCTCCTAACTGTCATGTGCATAAGCATCTCAATGCACGTTTTGCTTGTGTTTTCTCGATTTCCTGTTCCTTATGTTTTCTCAATTTTTCTTCACAATGATATCTTTTTAGGCCCTTTTCCTTTCCCTTGTGATTTGGAAGGTGATAGTCTTTTCACCTTACCAGCAGTTGTTCTTACGTTGCTGGAACTCCCCTGCAAGCTCTTATCAAGTGCTTCCCTGCTGTCCCATCCAGTGAATTCACTTCGTGTGGTCCTCATCCAACTCAGCCCCTGAGCAGCTTTGGGATTGGGGGACCATGCCTTCCTTCTCCAAACTCTTCCCTCACTCCTTCTATGACACCAGAGCTGCACCTGCCTCCCTGCTGGCACCCCCTGTTCTACTGCACTCTCTATGTCAGTTTGCCTTCAGCCTTGGACCTGGGGTATTTCCTTGTCTCTCTTTATCTGCACCTTTCCTGTGTGATCTCCTACAGTCGGTTGCTCTACGTCCCAGCCCCAATCCATAGCTCCAGGTGTAATCCCTCTTCTGCGAGACTGACTGCTGGAAAACTCAGCTCGGACGTCCCATAGGGGACTCACCCCTAACAGGCTGGTTATTGCACTCTTGTTCCCACATGCTCTCCTGTCCTGCCCCAAGGAGTCACTCTTTTTTCCTCCTTTCCCTCACTCCCCGCAACCAAGTCATCAGCAAGTCCTGCAGATTCTAAGAAAATGCATATCGCTTTATTCACTTCTCTCTGCTTGCCCTGCACCCATAGCTCTTCCAAGGTCAATTGCAAGGCCTAAGTCATCTCCTCTACCTCCCATGCACTCTCTTTGAGTGGACTTTTGTCATTGTAAGTCCATTATGTCACTCCTTTGCTTAAGGAAACAAGTGCTTCATCCACTGCTTGTGAAAATGCAAAATGTTACAGAACACAATGCAGGGAAATTGGGAATGTCTGTCAATATGACAAACGCAACTACCCTTTGACTCAGTAATGCCTTCCAGGAATTTGTCTTTTGTACATATTTGCACACATGCAAAGTAATAAATGCACAAACTTATTGTAAGCAGCATTGAAACAACAAAATTTCCAGACAACTCAAAATCCCATCAAGAAGAAGCTGGATAAATAAGCTATGGTAATCAACACAATAGAACACTTTGAAGCAGTGAAAAAAATTTTGAGGAAGCCCTCCATATGCTGATATGAAAATATCTCCAGGATATACTGTTAACGAAAAAGAAGGTTGAAAATAGTATTTTATAGTATGCTATCTTTTTTATATAAAGAGAGAAATAAAAATTTATCTTTACTTGAGTGTGAGGGTGGTGAGGTCAACAAGAAAGAGAAGTGAGGCTTCCCATTGTATAATTTATGATAGTGTTTTTATGTGATTTTTGAATCTTGTTGAATATATTAATCACTCTCTCTCTTTCTCACATACACACACACACTCACACTTCAGGGACTTCTACCTGCTTCATGCTTCTAGTGGAGATCCGCACTTCTTCACATGGGCTACTCAATCAGGTCTCCCCCTCCTCCTCCATCCTCCCGCTGGATGTTCCCTCTCACTAACTGCTCAGCTACTTGGCCTGTGTTCTGTTCCTTGCCAACTTCAGGCCCCTCCAGTCTCCGTGCCTCCCTGGAACACACATTTCCCTGCTCTTCACGTGGCTGGGTCTTCACCTTTCTCAGGGTGCAGCACACAAACCAATCCTGCAGAAAGGGCCTCCCTGGCCCAGCAGTGCACAGGGCGTTGTCTCCCATCTTTCTCCATCCTTAACACCATTTGTTGTTGGTTTCTGGCTAGTTTGTTTTCCCCACTAGCCAGCGTGCTCCAGGAGAGCAGACACCACCTCTTATTCAAAATCCCAGGCACTCGATCTATTTTGGAATATATAAAAAAATCATGCTTAAGCCTAATTATTTATATTTATCTAATCACAAATTTTCTAGCAAAGTTATGAAAAAGTGACTTTTTATTTTTTTCCATATTCAATGAAGAATTTTGCTCACCTTTGCTTCCTTTGATGTTCAATCTCTCCAACTGCCTCACCCCTCTCCACAAGATACTTTGGAATCTTTGGGAATTTGTCCGATTTTTTTAAACAATGTATAATTGATCTTTGATATTTAAATGTTCTTTTAAAAAACATTGGATTTTGCATGCAATTTGTTACTACGTTTATAACATATTTATACCTAAAACTATATGTTCAAACTGTTTTGATGGCTACATCAACAATTCTGTCTCTTTCTTATCTTTGGATTCATTTTCATGTTTGTACCATGCTGCTGAAATATACCTTCTGTCTTCAGTCTGCTCAGGCTGCCATAACAAAATAACACAGGCTGGGCAGCATGAACAACTGAAATTTATTTCTCACAATTCTAGGTTCTAGAAGTCTATGCTGAAAACACCAGAAAACTTGGTTTCTGGTGAGGGCTCTCTTCCTGGCTTGTAGACAGCCACCTTCTCACAGTGTGCTCACATGGCTTTTGGCCTCTGTGTGTGTGTGTGCAGAGAGAGAGACAGATTGCTGATGTCTCTTCCTGTTCTTGCAAGGACACTGGTTCTATTGGATTAGGGCCCCACCCGTATGACCTTATTTAACCTTAATTATCTTTTTAAAGGCCCTATCTCTGAATACAGCCACACTGAGGTTTAGGGTTCCAACATATGGATTAGAGTGGGGCACAATTCAATCCGTAGCATTCCACTCTCAGGCCTCCTCAAATTTATGTTCTTCTCACATACAAAATACACAAACCACCATTCCAACAGCCCCCAAAGTCTTATTCATTCCAGAATCAATCTAAGTTCAAATTCTCATCTGGATGTCATCCAAATCAGCTATGGGTGAGGTCCTCTCTAGCTGTAAACCTGTGAACAGACAAATTATGTGCTTCCAAACTACAATAGTGGGACAGGCTTAGGACGTACATTCCCATTTCAAAGGGGAGAAGTCAGAAAGAAAAAAGGGATGATAGGGTCCAAGCAAGTCCCAGACCCAGCAAGACAAGCTCCATCAGATCTTAAGGCTTGAGAGGAAAATCCTCTTGGGCTCAATGCCCTACCTTTGGATCCAGTGGGGCAGCACCTTTGCCTCTGGGCCTTGTGGGGCAGCCCTGCTCCTACAGCTCTGTAGGGCAGTCCCACCCCAGTGCTTCTGGTGGAGGCCATCTACCTGCTGAAACCAAAGTGGTGGCCTGAGCCTGACCCTTTGAAGACAACGAGGCAGCCCTGATGTTCTCTGAAACACCTTCCACGTCGTTCTTCCATTTTCTTGATGAAACAGTCCACGTTCACAGCCAATTAGCACCACTGTCGTCGCCTGCAGAGTTTAAGAAGTGCCACCACCCTCCTTCATTTATTCCCTCTCTCATCCCCTTCAGTGTAAGCCAGTGGTGTAGGTGTTTCTGCTTGTATTCCCTTCAATGAGCCACACCCTTGGTTCTCTCTTCAGGATACACTTTCTCATTTTTATTTTTTATTTGCCACATGGACAGACTAAGAATTTTCCAAATCTTTAAGTTCTTGTTTCTTTTGATGTAATAATTTCTTCTTCAATTTATCTGTCTTCTGTCACATTTTACTACAGGCATATCCAAGAGATTTTGGTTTGGTTCCAGACCACCGCAATAAATGGTCTGAATGTTACAATAAAGTGATTCGCAGAATAGACTGCTATACTGTAATCTATTAACTGTGCAATAGCATGTTTTTAAAAATGTACACATCTTAATTAAAAAGTACTTTATTACTAAAAACTGCTAATGATTATCTGAGCCTTCAGTGAGTTGTAATCTATTTGCTGGTAGAGGGTCCTCCCTTGACAGCTGCTGACTGATCAGGGTGGTGGTTGCTGAAGGTTGGGGTGGCTGTGGCAATTTATTTCTTTTTTTTGTTTTTGTTTTTTTGAGACTGAGTCTCACTCTGTCGCCTAGGCTGGAATCAGTGGTGCAATCTCGCTCACTGCAACCTCCGCCTCCCGGGTTCAAGCAATTATCTTGCCTCAGCCTCCTGAGTAGCTGGGCCTATAGGCACGTGCCACCATGCACAGCTAAGTTTTTGTATTTTTAGTAGAGACGGGGTTTCACCATATTGGTCGGGCTGGTCTCGAACTCCTGACCTCATGATCTGCCTGCTTCAGCCTCCCAGAGTGCTGGGATTACAGGCGTGAGCCACTGCACCCGACGGCAATTTCTTAAAATAAGACAACTGTGAAGTTTGCTGCATTGATGGACTCTTCCTCTCATGAAAGATTTCTCTGTTGCATGCATTGCTGTTTGTTTTGGTAGGCGTGGCGGGGGGGAGCTTAGAAAAAATGTCTTATATAATACCAAGACCTATTATTCAAACCGATAGGGAGCCATTTCCATTCTTAAGCTTTATTTTGAAATATATGTCTTCATTTTTATAGGATGTGAGCAAAGCTTTGAAATTAAATTATTCTGTTTAAATTCAGCCTAGAATTCAAGGATAAATATTTATTCTATCAAAGTAGAGTTTGAATATTCTTCTCCATGTCTCCTCAGCCTCTTCCAACTTTTTCCTTCATTTCTCTCTGCCTATATTTTTTGCACTTCCCCTGCATCCATCTTTCTTCTACATGAGCCCACCTTTCATTTCCCTGTCGCTTCTCCTGGGTTCTTCCATCACGCTGTCTCTTATGTACAAATTGCTACCACTCTATTGGTCTGTCTCCAGATTCTTTCTGTCACTGTTTTTCTTCTGCTTGCCCTACCCTCTCTTAAAATTCTGCTGCCTTCTCTCAACTCTTGTCACTTTTAACTTATATACTTATTCAAATCTTTTTTTCTCATCTTTTTTTTTTTTTTTTGAGATGAAGTCTCACTCTGTTGCCCAAGCTGGAGTGCAGTGGCACGATCTTGTCTCACTGCAACCTCCACCTCCCAGAGTCAAGCAATTCTCCTGCCTCAGGCTCCTGAGTAGCTGGGACTACAGGTACACAGCACCAAGCTTGGCTAATTTTTTTGTATTTTTAGTAGAGATGGGGTTTCACTACGTTAGCCAGGCTGGTCTTGAATTCCTGACCTCATGATCCACCCACCTCCGCCTCCCAAAGTGCTGGGGTTACAGGCGTAAGCCACTGGGTCCAGCCTTTTCTCATCATTTCTTAAGTTCTTATTATATGTGGGCCTTTTACCTTACCTCTTAGCTCTATCAGTGTTTTGCTTCCTATGCCTGAGAACACACACATTCCCTGTGGGAAGCAGGGGTAGAAAATTCACACAGCAAGCAACCAGGGGTGGAAGGGCAAGCTGTGGAGATATCCTGCTCAGCAGAGCCCTGCACACCTTGCAGGCAAGGGCATTCCATCCAACTTCACACTGACATTTTGCTAAAGTAACCAACAGTCTTGGTTTGCCCGGGACTGTACTAGTTTGTCACTGAAGGTCTTGTGTTCTGGGAAATATCTCAGTTTCAGGCAAATCAGGACAGCTGATTACTCAACATCTTACTTTCTTTACATCTTTTTGCATAGCCCTTTCATCAAACTATGCTCACCTCAACATTCAGCCTTACATTGTTCTTCTTTCTATAGTAACTGCCTGGTGGGACCATTGTTGTTACCAAGTCTCCCTTGCACCTTGCCCAGATGAGTGCAGTACTGTCTCTTGATTGACACATTGTTGTTGTTGTTGTTGTTCCCTGGCTTTAGCCTACCCTGTACTTATCCTTTCTCTACCTGTTTTAGCATGTACCAGGCAGATTCAGTTACGGGAACCCGTGTGGCCCCATTGAAAGGATGCTCTTAATGCCGGGAGGTATCTTTCTCTGTACATAAAAATCACCCCTGGTATGTCATCTTGTTTATGGAGTAGTGCCAGAGATACCTGGCCTTACCTCATACTTCACCTCCTTTTGCCTACTGTGATCTCTCTTTCTGCCCACCCTAGCTGGCCCAGGGCTTACTGAGCCTCCCCATGGCCTTTGAGCTATGGCTGTATTTATTGGTGTCTAATCTGGTTTTACCATTCAGCTTGGTATCTACCTAAATGACTCCAACTTGAACTTGACCTGCATACCAGGCCCTATGTGGCACAGAAGATGCTAGGTGCAGGAGGCAAGCCAATTTTCTGCCCCTGCTATTAAGTCTTCCCTAAGCCGTCTCCTTGAACTTGTGTTTCTCTGCATGTTGGTGCATTTAACTCTCCCAGTGGATCTGTTTTCATTTCTCAGAACCCTTATTCTCTCCTGCCCGGTGCTTCTGTTTCTTGGTGTTTTAGCCAGGGATGATTTGGTAACAGGAAGAAGGAAGCCACTCAAACTAACTTATAAAAAAGTTGATAGCAGGCAATAAAATAATAAATAGATAATATGAACTTCATCCAAATTTAAAACTTGTGTACATTGGACGACACTATCAAAAGAGTGAAAAGACAACACACAGAATGGGAGGAAGTATTTACAACTCATATGTCGATAAAGGATTATTATCCAGAATGCATAAAGAATTCCTACGGCTCAACAACAAAAAACAGTATCTGTTCATATCTTCTGCCCATTTCCTAGTTGTATTTTTTGGTTTTTTTAATATTGAATTCTTGAGAATCTTTATATATCCTAGCTATAAATCCTTTACTAGATAAGTGATTTGGAAATATTTGCTTACATTCTTTAGCTTATAGATTTATTCTCTTCAGGGGGTATTTTGTAGAGCAAAAGTTTTTAATATTCTTGAGCTCCAAATTATCTGTTTTTGGCATCAAATTTGAGAAAACTTTGCCTACCCTAGATTCTGAACATTTTAAAATATTTTTTTCTAAAACTTTTATAGTTTATATTTTCCCTTGAAGGCTATAAAGCATTTTGAGTTCATTTTTATATAAGATATAAGGTTTATTTTTTTCTTACCCAATGGATGGCCAATTGCTTCTACACCATTTTTTGAAAAGACTATCCTTCCTCCATTTAGCTGCTTTTATACTGTTGTTAAAATCAATTAGACATATGTGTTTGTGTCCATTTCTGGGTTCTCTATTCTGTTTCATTGATCTATGTTTCTCTCTCCTCAATACCACAATGTCTTGATTACTACAGCTACACGGCAAAACTTAACACCAAGTACCATGTTTCCTCCCACTTTATTATTCTTTTTCAAGATTGTTTTAGCTATTCTAGGATGTGTGCCTTTCCATATAAATTTTAGAATAATACAAATTACAACTATATAAAATATAATAATATAATAAACATTACACTATGATAATAATTTTAAAATAATACAAATTTTATCTATGTCTACAAAAAGTCCTTGCTGAGATTTTAATAGGAATTGCATTAAACCTATAAATCAATTTTGGGAAAATTGACATTTTTGCTATTTCTGAGTTTTCTAATCCATGAACATGGTACACTGCCTATTTATTAAAAGGTACACTGCCTATTTATTATCAGATCTTCTCTGATTTCTTTCTTTCTTCTCTGATTTCTTTCTTTCTTCTGTGAAGAAAGAAATTTTCAGCATACAGATCTTACAGAGGTTATAAATCCATAATTAAGTTTTAATTTTATTTGGCATGATTGCAAATGTTATTTTGGTTTCTGCATACTCACTGTTAGTATACAGAAATGGGATTGATATTTGTGTGCTGACCTTGTAAACTAGGACTTTGCTGAACTTACTTATTAGTTATAAGAGTTTCCTTGTAGAATCCTTGGGATTTCCATGTAGACAATCAAGTCATTTGCAAATAGGAGCAGTTTTATTTCTTTCTTTCTGATCAGTGTGCCTATTTTTTTTAATCTTATTAAAGTGGCTAGAACTTCCAGTACAAGAGTGGTGATTGCTGAGATTTTTCCTCCTGTTTCCAATTTGAAGGAGGAAAAAAGTATTAAATGTGATGTAAGGTATAATCTTGAGCTTTGTTTTTATTTTTCAAGTGGTCTTTATCAAATTGAGAAAATTTTTCTTTGTTCCCAACTTGCTGAGAATTTTTATCATGAATGGATGTGGGATTTTGTCAATTGCATTTTACATCAATTATCAAAAGCGTATTACATCAATTGATAATAGCATATGGTTTTTTCCTTTAGCTTAATGACATGGTGCATTACAGTGATTGACTTTAAATGCCAAACCAGCCTTACATCCATGGAATAAATCCAACTTGATAATTCAGTTGATAATACTTTTGAGAATTTTTGCATATAAACTCATGGGAGGTATTGGTCTACAGTTTTCTTTTTGAAAATACTGTCATATACTGGTTAGTCACGGTAATACTGGCCTTAAAAAATGAGGCAGAAGATGCCCCTCACTATGTTATTTCCTGAAATAGATTGCATAAAATTGGTGTTATTTTTCTTCAAATGACTTTATAATTCATTGGTGGAACCATATCAGCCTGGAGATTTATTCCTCCAGACACTTCAAATTGCAAATTCAATCCTTTTAATGGGCATAGGGATACTCAGAGTATCTATTTTATCTAGCATGAGTTTTTGTAGCTTGTGGAGCTTTTTTGGAAGTTTTCCATTTCTTCCAAGTTTTTGAATTTATGAGTAATTGTTCATACCATCCCCCATAATATCTTTTTAATAGCTGAAGAATCTGTAGTAATACCCCCTGTTTTATTTCTATTATTATTTATTTGAGTATTCTCTTTTTATTTTTGCCAGTTTTGCTATAGGTTTACTAATGTTATTGGGTTTTTTCCCCCCAATGAACTAGCTGTTGGTTTCATTTATTTTCTTTATTTTTTGTTTTCAATTTCATTGATTTCTGATCTGTATTTATTATTTCCTTCTTTCTGCTTACTTTCCATTTATTTTGATCTTATTTTCCTAGTTATTGAAGTGGTAATATAGGTTATTTATCTGAGATATTTTCTAATTTTTAATGTAAATATTTAGCAGTATAAATTTCCCAGTAGTGCAGTAACTACATTCCATGAATTTTGATATGGTGTGTTTTTGCTTTTATTCAACTGTATGTCTTTTAAAATTTCCTTTGAGATTTCCTATTTAACTCATGGATTATTCAGAGTGTACTTTAATTTGCACTTGGATAGAAATTTTTCTGATATATTCCCATTATTGACTTCTAGTTTAAATTCATTGTGGTTAGAGAACACACACACTCACACAGTATTTTGGTTCTTTTGCATTTGTGGAGATTTTTTTTAACTAGGAAATATTTCTATTCAACACTAATAATGGAAGACCTAGCCAGTATCATTATACAATAAAAATGACACTGTTCACTGACAAATGATTGTTTACATAAGAAACCCTATAAATTTTACAAAAACACTGCTAGAAGTAATAAATAAATGTAACAAGGTTGCAATAATTGTGGCCCATAAACAAAATACAACTATATTTTTATATACTAGTAATACACAATTAGAAAATAAACTTTTGCTTCTTTTTAAAATTTTTAGTTTTAGATTTACATATAATAATTGTTTGAAACTGTAAGTTTCTCTCTTTCAAAAGATTGGAAAAATTTTCCACCATCATTGTATCAAATATTCATTCTTCCACACTTTCTTTTCTTCTTCTAAGGCCTTGGTGGTACTATTTTTGAATGAATCTCTTGTTATTGTCCACAGGTCTCCAAAGGATTGTTCATTTTCTTTTGGTATATTTTCTCTCTTTTGTACAGTCTAGGTGAATTCTATTAATATGTTTTCAAGTTCATTGATTCCCTCCTCTGACATTTCCATTCCACTATTGAGTTCATCCAGTGGGCTTTTAAAACTTTCTCTTACTATGTTTTTCAGTTCTATAATTTCAAGTTAGTCATTTTTATACCATATGCTATTTTACTAAACTTTTCTAGTTTTTATTTTTATTTGTTTTGAGAGCATCTGTAGTTGTTGGCTGAAATATTTTTACAACTGCTTTAAAATCTTTGTCAAATAGTTCTAATGCCTGTTTCTTCTTGTTGTTGGTGTCAGTTGATTGATTTTTCTCATTGAAGGTGATTTTTCTTATGATATAATTTTCAACTGTGCTCTGAAAATTATATCTGTTAGGCCAGGAGACTTTGAGTCCTATTTATTTATTTATTTATTTTATTTTGAGATGGAGTCTTGCTCTGTTGCCCAGGCTGGAGTGCAATGGCATGATCTCGTTCACTGCAACCTCTGCCTCCTGGGTTCAAGCAATTCTCCTGCCTCAGCCTCCCCAGTAGCTGTGATTACAGGTACCTGCCACCACGCCTAGCTAATTTTTGTATTTTTAATAGAGATGGGGTTTCACCATGTTGGCCAGGTTGGTCTGGAACTCCTGACCTCAGGTGATCCACCCGCCTCGGCTTCCCAAAGTGCTGGGATTACAGGCCTGAGCCACTGTACTGGCTGGTCCTATTTAAATATTAAATATTTTATTTTAGCATGCTGTCAACCGGTTCAGATTCAACATGTGGGTCTTAGCCTACTCTTACGGGTTGTGGTTCCAATAGCAATTTAACATTCAGAAACTTTGCAGTGTTATTTTCCTCTGCTTGATTCTTCCAGTGCCCATAAGGCTCCCACTGTAGTCTGCTGGTGGTGCCTGTAGGGAAAAAGTGATTTTTCCAGGTATGGCAGTCAGATGTCTCTTGATGTGGGAGGGGTCTCACTTTAAGCTCCCTCCTCTCTTTCTCGGTGTCTCTGAGTGAGGGAGGAGAGTTTTGGGCTCACAGGATCAAAGAGGCTTCCAAAGCCTGATCACTTGATGTGACCAGGTCTTATTCTTTTCTGCCTGGCCGTCCCTGCGTCTGCACTGGGGAGAAGAATTTGGCAATTTTATATAAATTAAGCATCCACCTAATCTATGATCCAGAGTTCTATTCCTCTGTATCTACCAAAGATAAATAAAGATTTAGGGATGTGAATGCCCTTGAAATGACAAATGGATAAATAAACTATGACACATTCATATAATAGAATACTATTCAACAATAAGAAGAAACAGATGATGCATGCATGTGACAATAAGGATGATTCTTCAATGTATTCTGCTAAGTGAAAGAAGAAAGGTCCAAAGGCTATGCATCATGTGATTCAATTTATGTAATGCTGGAAAAGGCAAAACTGTCAGAAGGAAAGAAGATCAGTGGTTGTCTTGGATTGGACAAGGGGTTTCATATATAGGAGCAGCAAAGGGGAAATTTGAGGATGATGGAACAGTTTCATATAAAACTTTGGTGGCTGACACAGTTTTACAGACTCTTTTCATTTGTCAAAGAACAATTTACCATAAAAAATGAATTTCATTGACATAAATTTTTAAAAATCAACCAGGATGTGGGGAAAAGATTGAGTCCCCAGACTGTGATGATGAGTTAAACCATATTACAAATGAATTACATAAGCACAGTGAGGGCATGAGGAACAAAAGAGCTGACCTAAGTCATTTCAAAAAGCAGTGTTTTAAATGGTTACTGTAAGACTAAAGAAAAAAAGAACATAAACGAAGACTGCTTTTGTTGGCATATTTGTTTCCCAGAAGGGTTGGATTGAGAATTCTGGGCTGGGCACTGTGGCTCATGCCTGAGGTGGGAGGATCGCTTGAGGCCAGGAGTTCTAGACCAGCTTGGTCAACATAGCAAGCAAGACCTCAACTCTACAAAAAAAATAATAATAATTAACATGGTGTGGTGGCAGTGCCTGCAGTTCCAGCTACTTGGAAGGCTGAGGCTGCAGGATCACTTGAGCTCAGGAGTTCTAAGCTGCAGGGAGCTATGACTGAGCCACTGCACTCTAACCTGGGTGACCGAGCAAGATCCTGTCTGTAAAAAAATAAATAAATAAAAAGAATTCTGAAACCACTTTATTTGTATAGTAGTGTTGAATAAATAAGTAAATATATTTGAAACAATGGAAGCCAGGTTCTCCTTATTGTAAGAAGTTACAATAAGGAAAGAGATAAGTCTAAAATGGATTAAGTGATGCTGCATTGAAGTTTGAGAATCAATATGAACGCATGAGTGTGCATGTATGTGTGTGTGTGAATATATGAAAGTAGATGCAGAAGTAAATGTAGATGTATGTATACATGAGTTAGCATATATATCTCCGAGCCCTATCCACTGATAGGAACTAGATGCTCTGACACCCCGTGGCAATGAGCATGCCTTCTCTTCAGCTCGTGGTTTTTTTTTTTTTTTTTGAGACGGAGTCTCGCTCTGTCGCCCAGGCTGGAGTGCAGTGGCGGGATCTGGGCTCACTGCAAGCTCCGCCTCCCGGGTTCACGCCATTCTCCTGCCTCAGCCTCCCAAGTAGCTGGGACTACAGGCGCCCGCCACTACGCCCGGCTAATTTTTTGTATTTTTAGTAGAGACGGGGTTTCACCGTTTTAGCCAGGATGGTCTCGATCTCCTGACCTCGTGATCCGCCCGCCTCGGCCTCCCAAAGTGCTGGGATTACAGGCGTGAGCCACCGCGCCCGGCCCAGCTCGTGGTTTTTAATTACCATTCTCCAACAAAAGGAAAACATGGTTCTTTGCAGGTGTGGTTAATTCCAGGCCTGTGGCAGGGAAGCTTCACAAAGATTCTGTAACATCTTGTAGTGCCAGTAGGAAGGAAGTGCTAAAATAAAACAAAACAAATTAAGCCAGCAAAGGAAAAGCAAAATGGTTTGAGGGAGTGTCAAAAGAGCACAGGAGTAAACCTAAAAGGGCTCTAAGCCTAAAGAACAATGACCTTGCAGTCATGGAAAAGAATGAGATCATGCCCTTTGCAGGGACATGGATGAAGCTGGAAGCCATCATCCTCAGCAAACTAACACAGGAACAGAAAACCAAACAGCACATGTTCTCACTCATAAGTGGGAGTTGAACAATGAGAACACATGGACACAGGGAGGGGAACATCACACACCCGGCGCCTGTCAGTGGGTGGGGGCAAGGAGAGGGAGAGCATTACAACAAATACGTAATGCATGCGGGGCTAAAACCTAGATGACGGGTTGATGGTTCAGCAAACCACCATGGCACATATATACCTATGTAACAAACCTGCACATTCTGCACATGAATCCTCGAACTTAAAAGTAAAATTTAAAAAATAAATAAATAAATAAGAGCAATGACCAAAGCATTCCCCATGAACAACTTGGACTAAAATGTAATGATCGTGTTGGAATATAATCCAAAGAATAAAATAAATGCCCAGGAATCCATCCAATGTAAATGGATAACTGAATACATAAATTAATAAAGAAGTGATCATTTTCCCTTTACATAAAAATTCCAGTCAGTAAGCGCAGAAGAAATTGGGGATATTCTAAAAACACCATTAGAACACTACAGGTACAGTTGTCATAGGCAAGATACATTGGTGAATTTTAAGTAGTGGGCAAATTTTAAGCAGACAGTATTTACAATATTCACAATAGCCAAGACATGGAATCAACCTAAGTGTTCATCAATGGATGAATGAATAAAGAAAAGGTGGTATATGTACACGATGGAACACTGTTTGGCCTGATAAATAAATCCTGTCATTTGTGACAACATGAATAAACCTAGGTGATATTATACAAAGTGAAATAAGTCAGATACAGAAAGACAAATACTGCATGATCTCACTTATACATGAAATCTAAAAAGTTGAATTCATAGAAGCAGAGAGTAGAATAGTGGTTATCAGAGGCTGGCGTGTGGGTAGAACTGAGAAAATGTTGGTCAAAGGTATAAAATTTCAGTTAGATGGGAGGAATAAGTTTAAGAGATCGCTTGTACTTTATTGTGACTACAGTTAATAACAGTATATAATATGCTTGAAAATTGCTGAGAGTAGATTTTAAGTGTGCTAATCATAAAAATATGAGGTAATATATATTAGTTAGCTTGATTTTTTAGCCATTTCACAATATCTACGTATATCAAAATGTTTTATAAATGATAAATATATATAATTTTTGTTCCTCAATTATAAACAGAGATAAAAAAGTAAAATCATTATAACAGAAACACAGAATACCTTTGATGGACTCATCAGTAGACTAAGCACAGCCAAGGAAAGAATCAATGAGTTTTAAGAAATGTAATAGAAACTTTCAAGACTGAAATGCATAGCGAAAAAGCAATTAAAACAATGGAACAAATTATCCAAGAACTATGGGACAATTGCAAAAGATGTAACATATACATAATGGTAATATGAGAAGGAGAAATAAGAGATATGGGAACAGAGAAAATTTTTGAGACAATAATGGCTGAGAATTCCCCAAATTAATGTCAGACACCAAGCCACAAATCCAGGAAGCTCAGGGAATGCCAAGTAGAATATATGCTGAGAAATCTACATGTAAGCATGTCATACCCAAGCTGCAGAAATTAAAAGACAAGGGGGAAGTATTGAAAGAAGTCAGAGGGTAAAAACCACCTTATCTATTGGGAAGCAAGGATAAAAATTACATCTGACTTTAGAAACCATGCAAGCAAGAAAACAGTGGAGTGAAATATTTAAGGTGCTTATAGGAATAACGAAAAAGCCTAGGATTCCACACTCAGAGTAATTATCTTTCAAAAGTTACAGAGAAATAAATAACTTTTATAGCCAAACAAAAATGAGGGAGTTTGCCTAGCAGGATATGTTTAAAAAGTTGTTCAGAGAGAAGGAAAATGACATAGGTTAAAAACTTTAATCTATATAAAGAAAGGAAGAGTATTAGGGAAGGAATAAATAAAGATGAAATGAAGCCTTTCATTTTTCTTTTTCTTAATGGATCTAACAGATAATAGTTTGTTCAAAGTAATAATAGTAAACAGTGAATTGTGTGGATGTAGCACAGAGATAAATGAAATGAATGACAGCAATTTTATAATGAGTAGGAAGGAGAAACTGTAAACACTCTATTTTAAAACCTTTAAAATGATTTAGCATATTTGGAGACGAACTTGGATTGTTGTAAATGTATGCTGCAAACTCTAGGGCAATCGCTGAAAAACATTTTAAAAGAGTAAAAATTGAGTCAGACAAAATGCTCAACTAAAACCAGATGAGGCAGAAAAAGAATGGGAGACAAAAAAAAAAAAAAAAAAAAGAAAGAAGCAGAAACAAAGATATTTAATAGAAAACAGTAAGAAACTTGTTAGATATTAATCCAATTATATCAGTAATCCCTTTAAATGTCAATGGTCTAAATACATCAATTAAAATAGTGTCCGAGTGAAGAAGAAAATAAGACGCAACTATATGTTGTCTACCAGAAACTCATTTTAACTATAAAAACACATATAGATAAAAGTAATAGAGTAGAGAAACATATGCATGCTAACGCTAATTAAAAGAAAACTGTGGTAGCTATATTAATTTCAGAAGGAACAGACTTCAGAGCAAGGAAAATAATCAGGGATAAAAATGTACATCACATCATGATAAAGGGGTTCCATCACCCAAACATCACAATTCTTAGTGTATGTGCACCTAAAAAGTGTCAAAATACATGAGGCAAAATATTATTAAATTTTGAGGACAAATAGATGGGTCTATTCTTATAGGTGGAGACTTAAATATTCTTCTATCAGTAATTGACAGACCCAGCAGGGAGGAAATCCATAAGAACATGGTTGAACTGAACAACACCATCAATCAACTGGATCTAATTGACACTTATAGAATACTTCATTCAACAACAGCAGAATACACAGTCTCCTCAATTTTACATGCTTACATTCATGAAATAGATCACATTCTGGACTATAAAACATACCTTGACAAATTTAAAAGAGTAAATGAAAACAAAGTGATACAATAACTATATTAGCTTTTCACAGCACTCAATTAATTAGTGGATGCAGGCACTGGGTATCATTAGTTGGTGACATCAAAACAGTGAAAACCAGCCACAATGTGAAAGGCCACAACATAAACAGTGAACTTTCAAAAGGACTGACCCTGAGTTTGACTGAGCCTCTGGATCCCACTGTTATTTGGTAGAAAATAGGGCAGGGATACATGCTGAGCTACATAACCAGTTTGAAATCCACGCATTAGAAGACTCTACAGGTAAAAGAGCCCAGACTCAACAGACAAATTGTATATTAAAAAAAGAAAAGGATGGAGGAGTAATCTCAAGATTGACTGAAAGATAAGTATATACCATAGCAAGCTGGCAAAATAGACATAACTGTACTATAGTGACTACTATCCTCACTTGGTAAGATTATGAAGAAAGGCAAGGAAATGTCTGTTACAAAAATCAATATAACATAGTTACATTTACAGGAAGCAATGTAATTTGGCTGGGGCATGATGGAGGGCTTTTGGGTTTGTTGCAAAGTTCTGTTTTTTGTTTGTTTTTGTTTTTTTTCTGAGACGGAGTCTCACTCTGTCACCCAGGCTGGAGTGCAGTGGCGCGATCTCGGCTCACTGCAAGCTCCGCCTCCCGGGTTCACGCCATTCTCCCGCCTCAGCCTCCTGAGTAGCTGGGACTACAGGTGCCCACCACCATGCCCGGCTAATTTTTTATATTTTTTTAGTAGAGACGGGGTTTCACCATTCACAGGATGGTCTCGATCTCCTGACCTCATGATCCGCCCGCCTTGGCCTCCCAAAGTGCTGGGATTATAGGCGTGAGTCACCGCGCCCGGCCAAAGTTCTGTTTCTTGACCTGGGTAGTTGTGACAAAGACATTTGCCTTATAATCATAATTAACTAATCTCTACATTTGTTTGGGTCTGGTTTTCTGTTTCATCTTAAAACAAAAAGATAAATAATAAATAATGCATACATAAATCCAAGGAAAAAAGTTAATGGGGCATGTGTTCTGGAAATCGAGGGAAGAAAACACATATGGAGCGGGGAGCAGAGTCTCCTGTCTCTGTGTTTTTCTGCACAAATCACACCCCACCCCACCCACCACCCAGTGGCCATCAGCAGGGATAGTCCCTCACAATAAGTTTCTCTAGCTTCCAGCTTGTTCAACTGTAGAGGGAGCAATGGTCAGATCCTACATGTTCTGTCCCTTGTTGAGTGTGTTTTGGGGTCTTTGTGCCTTGTGATATTCTGAATTCTCTCTCTATAATGCTGAATTAATTTTTTTCTCTATTTTTAGCATCTTATTGTTTGCCTATAAGAATTGCCAAGTCATTCAATCTTAAAACCATCAAGTTATTACATCTGAAGATTTCTGAGTCAATCTGAGAAGCATCATTATCTTATCCTTATTCTGTGCTCACTGTGCAAATGCTCGGCTATACCGATTATTGCCTAAGCAGTATCCATTATCTTTAAAAAGGACAAACAAAAATTAATCTCAATTTGGAATTTCAACTGTTCTGATAGATGCTATTTCTTCAATGAGCTGGAACTGTAGAATCGAATCCTCTAAGGAAGCCTCAGGTACATGAGTCTCGCAGCTGCAGATACAACCCTCTTCATTCATGGTCAAACAAGTTAAGGCTGGCTCTAGAAATGAACATTCCTTTGCACAATTGCTAGAGGTTCACATTTATGTTTTCTGTGTATTGATCACTAAAATAGAAAATCGGTGCCATCATATCAGAGAATCACTAAGTCATGGGTTTTGAATATCTACAGAATCATGGAATCTGAGATCTGCTGAGTCATGATATTTGAAAATTACGTTTGCACACAAGCCTTGATTTGCATTTTCAGGATATTAAAATCAAAACTGCAGAATCCCATAGTCATTCTCTTTGAAAACTTCAGCTTTGATTCAAACATTCTGCAGCTGCCAATTCATAAATTCTGAGAAATTAAGAGTCAGATTGAGATTGTACAATAGCAGACACATATTCCATTACTAAAGGAAGTCCCTGGAGGGACTAAGATATTCAAAGTGGTGAGAGAAAGAAATACTAATAATTTGTTCTATGTTAGCTACATATCACTACTTCATATAGGTCCTCCACTGTATGTGGTATTATCCCCATGTTAGAACTGAGGAAACCAAAGTTGAGGATGATTTGATATCAAGTAAGTTCATAGGTTCCAGAGCTAGGACTTCAACTGCACATCTATCAGAAGCCTTGATTGACAATCATGAAATCATGGAGAGAGTGAGAGGATCATGGAAAAGTCAGCCTCTGTCTGGCCAGGGTCCCATCCCAGCTGCCTGCAAAGTCTTCTAATCACTTGTACCCATGCTCCATTCAGGCAGAATAACAAGACCAGACCTTCAGCTAGCTCATAGGGTTTGCAAATGATTTTTGCTGATTTATTTGATGACTAAAGTACCCACACATCCTTACTCTTCCCCTGCTTGAATTCTGGGGCTATTCTGGGAGAGGGTCTAGGAGTGGATCCCAAATTTGTGGGTATGCAAGTTACAATCATCTGCTGATCTTCAGAAACTCCCCAAACCCTGGCCACATCCAGACAAGTTAAACCACAATCTCTGGGGAATGGAACTCCAACATAGGCATTTTTTAAGCCCTTCAGATGATTGCAATGGGAAGAAAAGTTTGAGAACAATGGGCTTATCCTGTTATTCCTGAAAAGCAGTGATTTCATATATGAATCACGTAAGGGAGGTTTTTAAAAAGCACTGAATCCCAGGCCCAGAACAATGGGGTTAGAATCTCTAGGAGGCTGGGCATGGGTGATTAACAAAAGCTCCTCATGCTGATCGGTGAAATTTCTGGAAGGTCAAGGCAGGAGCTCCTTGAATGGTTTAATCCTTTCCATATGGAACTCTGCAAACTAGGTTTCAGGGCTTTCCTCCCTGTTAGTCAAAAAATCATCTGCTTTTGCTTAACTAGTGAGGGTTGGGTTTCTGTCACTTGCAAGTTCTGGAATTGACCAAGCATCCTGGTTTGCCCGGTACTCTCCTGGTTTCAGCTCTACAAATCCCACATACCAGGAAACCCTTCGGTCCCAGACACATCTGGATGGTTTGTCACTCTACTTGTAATCAAAGTATTATGGTTATTTTCTTACTAGATTTATTGAGATGTCCTCTCTTTATCCTTCTAACCAGTGCTCATAAAACAACCACTACCAAGATTAACTACCTGGAACCCTGAGTACATGCCCCACATATATCCTGAGATGTCATCCCACCCATCACAGGCTCCCATTCTCCCTACACAACTCCTTCTTCACTCCTGATCCTTACACAACACAACCCCTGCACCCTAATTCACTGACATTCCTAAGTCAGAACCACACTCTCAACTTTACCTCCACAAGCCATGTGAGGGGGTACATGGCTACCCCACCATGTGTGGCTCATAGCCATTGAAAACTGAAGCATGAAGCCCTCCCTCTAGCTATATGTTCTTTTTTTTTTTTTTTTTTGAGACGGAGTCTCGCTCTGTCGCCCAGGGTGGAGTGCAGTGGCATGATCTCGGCTCACTGCAAGCTCTGCCTCCCGGGTTCATGCCATTCTCCTGCCTCAGCCTCCTGAGTAGCTGGGACTACAGGCGCCCACCACCACGCCAAGCTAATTTTTTGTATTTTCAATAGAGACGGGGTTTCACCTTGTTAGCCAGGATGGTCTCGATCTCCTGACCTCGTGATCCACCCACCTCGGCCTCCCAAAGTGCTGGGATTACGGGTGTGAGCCACTGCGCCCAGCCTAGCTATATGTTCTTATGCTTGACTGTGTCTTCTTGATCAAAGCTGGAGTCCACCTTCTAGAAAGTTAAGAAATCAAAGCAATGATTCATTGGGGCTTGCTTGCTTCATGGAACAGATTTTCTCACCCCACCTCACGTAAGTGGGAATATATTTTAAGGATTCATTTAAGAAAATGGAAAACAGGAATCTTAACCATGGGGTAGGTCTTCACAAGAACTCAGAGAAAACTGAACAACCAAGCTTCACTTCCAGGTCAGGAAGACCAGGCCGGCCACCAGGGAGACTTGAGTGGGATGGCATCCTGAGTGTTAATGCTGGAGACTGACATCCTCAGCAGTGGGAGTCCCAGGACCTCCACTCCAGGGTTCCGCTGGCAGATCACTCAGCTCTATGCTGTCTGTCCATTCCTCCCTGTGCGGAGCCACCTTCTGTTTGCCTACCAAGGAGCTCATTGCTACCAAACTTCTCACTTCAAATTCCAGACAGGTAGAACCTACCTTGCTCAACTGATATCCCTAACCCTGCCAGGGAAAATCTTTCCATTCCAGACCACACCTTAGACCCCTGTTAGTGTGGTTACCTTCAGCCCATCACCAGACTCTAGTCCATCAGCTATGAACTGGGAGTGGGGGTCATGACATGAGTACCTAAGGCTGTCCTCTTAGAAAGGTCTATATGGGCACAACCATGGGAAACCCTGTAATGGGCATGCCTAATAAGATAAAATCTTAGCACTGGATGAGTCCATGTGGATAACAGAATGCAACTCTAGCCTTTTAGGGATGAAGATAAGGTGCTATATATTGAAAAGAGTCAAAAATATTTGACCTTGGACCTCAGCTTCTTTTTACCAGTAGACCTTGTGCAATTTACATCACCTCTCTTGATCCTATCTGTAAAATTTCAGATGAGAATGCTTGCCTATTGTGTTTGTCATGAAGATTAATTTTTATAGTCTCCATAAGCACCTGGCATACAATAGGGCCTTCATAACTACTAGTTTCCAGTGTGGACTTAGGCACTTCATTCCCCTGTCTCTTTGTCCTCAGCCATCACGATGCATCATGACACAGCACAACAAGGGCTCTTCAATCAACTCTCAGTTCTACTTTGGATGGAACGCAAGCTGGTTGGATGTGGGCACCCAGCAGCCCTCCATCAATCTCCAGTCTCTTGTGTAATCCAAGCACATGATTTGAGATCCTCTACTTTAACCCCAGATCATCAATCTCAGGGCTAATGGAATATAGAAAAACGCTTTTCCCTGGAAGATTACTAAAAGGTCACAGTCTTGTTTTCCCCTGATAGATTTTCTGTCATATTACATAGTAATGTTCCACTGGGTGGCAAGATTACTGTCGTCCTGAGAATAATGGTCATCTCTGTAGCTGTATTATCCAACTCTCCAACTGGGCTGTGAATTTCTCCACAGATGACTTTTAGTCACTAGCATCCAATTTATAACTGGTTTTGTTTTCTAAAATTACAGATGGACTGGGGGCAGTGGCTCACGCCTGTAATCCCAGCACTTTGGGAAGGTGAAAGGGTGGATCACCTGAGGTCAGGAGTTTGAGACCAGCCTGGTGCCAACATGGTAACACCCCGAATCTACTAAAAAATTACAAAAATTAGGCAGGCGTGGTGGGGCACACCTGTAATCCCAGCTACTTGGGAGGCTGAGACAGGAGAATTGCTTGAACCCAGGAGGCAGAGGTTGCAGTGAGCTGAGATTGTGCCAGCCTGGGTGACAGAGCAAGACTCTGTCTCAAAAAAAAAAAAAATTACAGATGAACAAAATTAACTAGACTATATGCCCCAGTTTATGGCACACTTACCATCAGTCTGTACAAAGTTCCCTTTTTTCTTTCTTTTCTTCCCTCCTTTCTTTCCCTCCCTCCCTTCCTTCCTTCCTCCCTCCCTTCTCCTCCTCCTATTTCTTGCTCTCTCTTTTCTTTCTCTCCTTCCATCCTTTCCTTCCTTCTTTTCTTTCTGTTAGTTATTTAATCCATCATTCCTTTTCCCATTCCACTCCCTACCCTGACCTTCACAATGTACATACATTCTATCTAAAGAGAATCTTTTCAAACCATTTTTATATATTCATGTAAATATATGTAGGATATAGAGTAGTTGTGTGTTCATGTGATTAATGTAAATAATGCTTTGTTTATTAGTCACACATATGTGGATATATATAAATCTAATTCCTTACATGGACCACTGTTGAGATCTAAACAGTGCAACACACATCCTTATCCATTTCTGTAAGGAAGGCTTTCAGATTAACCCCAGCTCTTTGCTCTCATAACCAAGGCTGAATGCATAATTTTGTAGAGGTCTCTCTGTGCTTACCACTGAGATTTTCTTTGTGGGATACATCCTGGAGAAGAATTCCCAGGTTAGGTGGCATACACATACATAATTTTTAATGATTGCCCTCCAGAATGGCTTCACTGGTTTTCAATTTCCAAAGTAAACAAAGGTTTCCATTTCTCCACATCCTCACTAGGATTTAACATGATCAAATTTTCTAATTTTGCCACTCTGATGTCAGTACGGCAATATGATGTTAGGAGTTGCATGTCTCAGATGGTGAGGTTAAGCATACATGCATCGGTTGGCAGGTATTCTGTCTGGTTTTCCACCTGAAGAGCTTTCTCATGTCCATGGTCCATTCTTTTTCTATTGGATGGTTGCCTTTTCCATACTGATTTGCAGAAGTACTTTGTGTGTTTTAGGCACTTAAAATAGTAGACCTCCATCTGTTATCTGTATGTTAACTTTACCTTGGCTACACAGAAATAAATTCTGAGTGAGTGATGTCCATCAATCCTTCCTTTCCGTGTGTGTGATTCTTGGATCTTGTTAAGGAGGATTTATCCAGCTGAGTTCACAAAGGAATTCTGCATCTTCACCCGTTAGTTTAGCAGATTTACTTTCTTTATAGAATTTTAACTTTTTCAATACTATTTTTGTTCACATGTAAGGTAGGAATCCAGTTTCATTTCACTCAGTGGGCACTCAGTCTGTTTATGCAACACCATTTATGCAGTAATAAACAAATTCTTGTGAATGGTAATGCAACCACCATCATACACTGTATCCCTGAATATATGGGTGGCTGTGCCTGCACTGCCCAGGCTATTCTATTACTCCTGTTCTAGTAGCACATTATTTTTTATTACAATAGTTTTGTACTATGTGTTATTTTAAGGTAGGATAACTGTCCAAACTTGTGCTTTATTTTCAGAATTTGTTTAGTAATTTACAAACTTCTAGAGCCATTGTTTCAATTTTCCTTAAAGAAGATTACTATAAAAATGAAGCCTGGTTATTAAAAGGAAGATTATTATGCAGAGTGCTATCTGGCAAAGTTATACCCAAAAATTAAAATGCAAATAAGTGGAATATCAATGAAAGGAATTGACATAAATGTACTAGATTTTTTTAATTATAAGAAACTTCTTTTAAACATGACAGATTAAGCCTATATTTAAAATTTCACTGAAATCAGAATAAAGAGAAAAAGTAAAGCATCAGTGGAAAAGGACAGAGCAAATAAGATGATATGAGATGTTACAAACTTTTAAAAGTGAGAAGCTCCATTAGTTTACTTTCACACTTTTAAAAGTTTGTAACATCTCTTAATGTTACAAACTAAGTCCACGGAAAGCTAAGTGCCTGTGGGGAGTGAGGCCAAGGAATAAAGCAGGATGCTTTTAAAAAGCACGCAGAAAAAAATTCTTGGAAATAAAAAAGTGTGATGGGAAAAACAAAATATTTGATTGAAGGGCCAGAGGATAGAGTGGAATTGTTCTCTCAGAAAGTTAAAGCAAAACAACAAATGAAGTATAAGGGAAAAGAATACCTCTGGAAGGGCCAATATCCAAATAATTACACTTCTGAAAGGCAAGGACAGATAAAAAGGAAGAAAAATGACAATGAAATAATACTAGAAAGTTTCTCAGATTCTCAGGGCATAAGCCTCCAGATTGAAAGGTCCCACTGCACACAGTGTAAGATGTGGAATCGCGTGAAACTAACCACTGTGGTATTTTGGAATATCAGGGGAAGAGGCAACATTATGGATTTTAAAAAGACGAATAAAAAAGGTGACTCGTGGAAATGACCTCAGACAATAAACAATGCCTTGACCTTCCTACTAAAGAAAAGATATATCCAATCCAGACTTCTGTATAACAGTCAGTCAATCTCATATGGGGACACAGTGAAGATGCTTTCAGCTAGGCCTCAAAGCGTGTGATTGCCAATTCTTGTGCACGCTTCCTTAAAAGTATTTGCTATACTAAAATGTGGCAGTAATAGAAGAAAGAGGTAAGTATGGGACCAAAAAAATTTCAGAAAACAATCAAAGAAGAATCCCCAGATGATGAAAAGAGAAAACTCTAGGATGACAGTTGGATGTTTCAACCACAAGAGCACAAGTAAACCAGATTAAGAATTCCATTTGAAGAGTATCTGGGAAAAAAATGGGATATTATTAATGGCTTGGAAGTACTCTCCTCTTAGAGAGTGAAGTATTTATTTTATATACATTTGAAAAACAATTTGATTTAAACATTTTTGACAACAATTTTATGAACAGCTATAGAGGACTAAATATAAAATTCTTAATGGATACAAAGATACAGTTAGATAGATGAAATAAGTTCCAGCATTTGACAATACAGTAGAAAAATTATAGTTAACAATAATTTATTACATATTTCAAAATAACTGAAAGATTTATAATACTCCCAACATGCACAAAAAAGATAAATGGTTGGGGTAATGGATGTCCCGATTGCCCTGATTTGATCATTACACATTGTATACAGGTACAAAATGTCACATGTACCTCAAAATATGTCCAACTATTATACACCAAGTTAAAAAAAACTAGATGAAGTAAAAAATTTTATGAAAAAGCTTAAAGTAACAAATTTGGTACCAAAAGAAAGAAAAATGTTACAAAGGCCAATAGCAAATAAAAATATTTAAATGGTGATCAAATTTTCTCCTTACCCAGAAGCTGCCAACCCAGACAATATTACATGGGTAAATTCTACCAAACTGTCAAAGAATGTGTAACCCATATTTTAAATAATCTGTTATGGAAAACAGAACTTGAAGATGAGCTTCCAAACTCATTTAATGAAGTCAGTTCATAACCTTGCTACCAAAACAGAGCAAGTAAATTACAAGCAAAGAAAATGACAGACCGATTTCATGGGTGAACATACACTCAGAATCAGAAATGGAATAATGGAGTAGGCTAATTAAACCCGAGTGTATTTTTAAATTAATGAAACAAAATGATTGTGAAGCATTTATACCAGGAAAGCAAGAATGCCATCAGAAATGATTCAACATCATATTATTTTATTATCAGAAAAATCTACCAGTGTAATTTTTTTACGAGTGCAGATAAAGAAGAAACTTACATGGTTTTTTTCTCAATGCATTCTTACAAACATCTTTACAGTTAAATGCTATTTGCATTGGAAACCCATAGAAAAAGAGACTCAATAGACAAGCTGTAAGAACAACAAAGAGAATCTGGAGACATTTCCAGATCCAAGACCAGCATATAAAAATGAATGGTATCCCTTGAAACCAGTAATAACTGTTAAGAAAATGTAATAGACAGTAAGACTCAATTTACAATAGAAACAAAATCTCTAAAATATTTAGTAAAATCCAACAAAGAAATTCATGCAATCTGTATGGAAAAGAAAATCACACTATTAAATAACTGCTCTTTTTTCATTAAACTTTAAAAATGTTGGCATAATTTTAGATTCATATGTAATTGTAAGAAAGAATATGGAGATATGTTGTGTAGCCTTTGCCTAGTTTCTCCCAATGGTAACATCTCAAAAGTATATATTACCCCAATTTTACATGCATGTACTCATTTGTGTGTGTGTGTTTTGTTCTGTGCAATTTTATCACATGCATAAGTTATGCATCCTCCACCACAGTCAAGATACAGGACAGTTCCATCACTACAAGGCTCCCCCATACTGTCCTTTTACAGCCACACCCACCTGTCCACCCCCAACCTCCATCCCTTGCCCTTGGCACCTGCTAATCTGTTCTCTATTTCTATAATTTTGCCATCTAAAGGATAAAATGTAAATGGAGTTATACACTATGTACTCTTTTAGGATTGTTTTTTCTTAAACTCAGCATAATTCCCTTAAGATCTGTCCAAGCTGTTTTGTGTTTATCAATGTCATTCTTTTTCATTGCTAAGTAGTCATCCACTGTAGTGATATATCGCAGTTATATTTAACCATTTTCCCATTGATGGATGTTTGGGTTGTTTCCAGTTTGGGGCTATTAAAAGTAAAGTAACTATGAACATGTGTCTACAGGTTTTTGTGTGAACATGAGTTTTCATTTATCTGGGATAGATGCCCAGGAGTGCAAGTGCTGTGTCTGTACTAATCATACATTTACTTTTATAAGAAATTGCCAAACTATTTTCTAGAGTACCTATGCCATTTTACATTACCACCAGCAATAAGGGCTAGTTTTTAATATAACAGCACAATTAAGGGTATGTTAATAAACCTGCAAACATTATGAAAGGGTACAAAGGTAAAAGTGCCTCTTACCTCATTTCCAATCACTACAATTAATGACTGCCAACAGTTATTTAATTGGCTTTTAGAACTGTTTTACCCAAATGAGATAATATTCTATGTTTCATAAACTTTGTTAATATGTAGTTTTTTGTGTGTATTCACTTATCTGTGTGTACATATTTATGTCCCTCTTTTAAGGTTACAAAGCATTCTAGTTCATGGGTATGCCATCCTTTATCCACTTGTCTCTTCATGATGGGTGCATTAGGCCATTTTTGCATTGCTATAAACAAATACCTGAGGCGGGATAATTTATGAAGAAAAGAAGTTTATTTGGCTCACAGTTCTGCAGGCTGTACAGGAAGTGTGGTGCTGGCATCTTCTTGGTTTCTGGTGAGGCCTCAGGAAGCTTACAGTCATGGCACAAGGCAAAGGGGAAGCTGGTGTTTCACATGGCAAGGGCAGCAGCTAGAGAGGGAGGGGAGATGCTACACTCTTTTGGATCCTGCAAGAATTCACTCACTATTGTGAAGACAGCATCAAGCCATGAGGGTTTTGCCCGCAGGACCCAAACACCTCTCACCAGGCACCACCTCCAACACTGGGGATTACATTTCAACATGAGATCTAGAGGGGACATACATTCAAACCACATCAATGGGCTTTAGGAAATGTGTTGTTCTTTTTTGTTAATGTAAACAAAACTGTAATAAATATTTTAACATATATCTTAAATGTATATATTACTCACTGTATTCTGTAGGCTAATTTATAAAATTATTGTGTTAAATAGGATGCAAATTCAAATTTTCATGTATATTCTCAATTCCTCTCCTAACAACCGTGCATGTGAGTGCACCTTTTCTTAGGCCCCTCAGACTTTGGCCTTCATCAAAATTCTTCATCTTTCCTTATTTGATGGGCTAAATGTGGAATCTCAACTTCAAGTCAAAGCAGCACTGAAAGAGCCTGTGCTGAAGGCTCCCTCTTCTCTAATCACATAGATAAAATATGCATGGGAATAAAACCTAAAAATGTGTAACCAGGCTGTAAAACAGGAAAAGCATATCTGTGGCTGAGAAATCTAGAAAAGCAGAAGGTGCAGAGCTGATGGAAGCCTCTGGCACCCAGGAAGAATGGGAAGTGAGCCATCTCAGTGCTTAAAATGACCTCCTGCCCCCACAGCCTCCTGCTCTTGAAGGGTGGGGAGAAGCTGCTGCTTCCTGGGACAGCTGGGAAGTGTGAACCCCAATTGGGAGCACTGAACCGTGACATGGACCTGGCCTCTGCTGACCTGGGGATGGTATATGCAATGCCCCCAGGTTCACAGAGAAACACACACTGGACTCAATAAGATGAAATGTGGTTTCGGACTGAGGGTCCAAGGATGTAGATATTGTCAGTTGCAAAATTGTTAGGTATAGTAGAATAGGGAGGAGAGGGACATGGAAAATAAAGTTCCCAAACACATAAGGAATTCTTATGCTAAGAAAGTCTAGCCTCTTCCCACAAAATGCCAATAAATAAAGCATATTTTCACTGAAAAAACTAATGAAAATAATAACATCATAAAAATAGGCAGCAGGGGCAACTAGTTCTGGAACCAAATGGAATGACAGAGTTCTCCCCATTTCTCCAGCTAAGCCCTGAACATTATACAGAAAACAAACATCAGATGCTGAAGGGGAGAGAGAAAAAGGGAGACCAACTAGGGATGTCAGGACAGAAAAATAACTCAGCAGCGAGCTCCCTGGGATTTATTTCTGCCTTGCATATTCCAAACACTGCCAACAGGTACAGACAAAACAAAAAGTCTCAACAAAAGCCTGCTTCCCTTGGCTAAGGACCAGGAAAGAGGCAACCTAGAAACAAAACAGGTGGAAATGAAATAAGATTAAGTGGACTCAAACAATTAAAAATAATAAAAGTGAAAACATATAGACAATGACATTTATAAACCTCAATGGACAGAATGAATACATTTTAGACGATTAATGAATTCAAAGTAAAAGTGAGGATCACCGATCATAGATCATAGTGAGGACCTTCTAAACAGGGAAATTTTTGAAAGTGAAAAGGGCATAGTAATTTCACAGGGACAACATGCAGGGACCAAACTATCCCATGCAAATAGGGAAATACAGTCCACACACCCACCACCAACCTCAGAGTTAGAGACAAATAAAAGTTAATGAAAGGACAGTGATTAGAAAGCAAAGGAAAAGTAAAAGTTTCCAACATAAATTTGGCTGGAATTTCAGAATAAGAAACCAAAGGAAATGGCAGAAAAGCAATTTTACAACAGAGAATTCAGATATTTTGTAAGGTAAGGGAGCTTTCAAATTAAAATTGACTAGGAGTATCAAGTGAGATAAATAAAAACATACACACCAAGGCATGTCTTAGTGAACCCAAAGATGGAAAAAAAAATCTTAAAAGCTTTTGAAGAGAAAAGATAAGGTAGCTACCTAGGAATGACAGAGAATGGTCATAGAGTTTGCAAAAGCAATTGTCAGAACATTGTGAATAATATCTTCAAAAGGACTGAATATAAACAAGTATCAAATGAGAATTTTATATACAGATTAAAAAATTTTTCAAGGGTTTTTGGAAGATGGTACAAGTAGCAGTATTGTTTTTGAATTTCTCTAGGCGCCCCCATGAACACACAGAAATGGAGACAGCAAAACACAAATTCAGTAGCTATCTCCTACGGTAAAGCTAGATAACCCAGTGTCCCTAAGAGCTCAAAACACAAGAGGAGAGATATGAACCACTGACCTCCAAAAGACATGCACGGCTCTGGCAGAAGAGAGAACAATGGTTGTCTGACAGGCCTGAGGCCTTCAGTATGACTGACTAGAAGGCAGGCCTGACTTTAAGGCCCTGCCACCAGTGCCCAGAAGGAGCTCTCACTGGGAAGTTAGTGATTGATCAGCAGTTGCTGTCTAGAAATTCTTAATGAGTTCATCTTTAAACTTGTCCAATAGTACATGGAGCATGCACCAGGGGTTTGGAGACTCAGCACCTGTGTGGCCCTGGGTCTCACTGCCTCCCTGCCTCTGCATAATGTGTTCTCAGCCCTCTGCTTCCCTGCCTCTGCCCAAGGACCTCAGCCACGCTTCATCTCCTGTGGGGACCTGGCACCAGGAGGCCTGGGGTTGGGCATGTGCGCCCCAATGAAGGGAACTGTGGATTGGGGCTTTGGGGCCTATAAAGGTTTGCACTCACCCCACAGGTATTCCTGGGCTCAAGTGAGTACAACATTAAACAGCAAATAAAAGTCACCAGAACAGGTTCGGAGAGAGATCACAGAAAAAAGGGAAAACATTTTTTCTTTCTTAATTTGAACAAGGGTTTTACATTTTTGTTTTACATTGGGTCTCACAAAAATTACATGGCAAGCCCAGTGTGATGGTTGATATTGAGTGTCAACTCGATTGGATTGAAGGATGCAAAGTATTGTTCCTGGGTGTGTCTGCGAGGGTGTTGCCAAAAGAGATTAACATTTGAGTCAGTGCACTGGGAGAGGTGGACCCACCTACCCTCAATCTGCATGGGCACCATCTAATTGGCTGCCAGCACAGCTAGAATAAATCAGGCAGAATTTGGAAGGACTTAGCTTTCTGAGTCTTCTGGCCTTCATCCTTCTCCTGTGCTGGATGCTTCCTGCCCTCCAACATCAGACTCCAAGTTCTTCGGCTTTTCAACTCTTGGACTTACACCAGTGATTTGCCAGGGGCTCTTGGGCCTTCAGCCACAGACTGAAGGCTGCACTGTCGGCTTCCCTACTTTTGAGGTTTTGGGACTAGGACTGGCTTCTTTGCTCCTCAGCTTGCAGACGGCCATTGTGGGATTTCACCTTGTGATCATGTGAATCAATACTCCTTAATAAACTCCCCTTCATATATACATCTATCCTATTAATTCTGTCTCTCTAGGGAACCCTGACTAATACACCCTGCCAATGGCTACTTTCTGGAAATCCCCAGAAGGCCAACTTTTGAAAGCAGCTGGAATTGGGAAGGATTTGCTCATTCTTAAAGCCAGGGAGAGCCAGAATATCTCAGAAAGGACAGCAGAGCAGACAAGGTCCTGAAAACGCTCAGTAATAATAAGCAAACCTCCCTTCAGGACAAAGCCCCAAAATAGGAGGAAACTGGAAGGGCAGAGTTCAAATTGAACTGGATGGAGATAACAATAGAGAAAACGGGAATTAAAATCCAGTTATGACTGGGGAGGCGAATAGAGTCAGACTCCTAGAAAGCAAAATGCCATGTTTTCGAACACTTTCTCAAAACAACAGGTCACTTGTGTTAGCAGTCACAATTCAATCAGAGAAGCAGCACCACTAGCATGTCTGTGTGCGTGTTTGTGTGCATGATTGTGTAACAGCAAATCTTAGGAGCTGCTTCACCAGCCTTTGAGAAGCTGTTATATTTGCCTCTGGAGCTGCAGTCTGGAGTTCACACCGAGGCAGTTAGCCAGGAAGGGAAGATGTCTGTACAGTGGGGAAGAGCAACAGCAAGCAGGAACTCACAAGCACATGTTGGAACCTTGTGAGGATGGGATGACATCTGGGTCAGACTTGCTGCCCCCGACATTAGTGGAAGTGGTATCCTGCAGAAGCTGTGGCTCTGTGTCATGGAGCTAAACACATGCTTGGCCCAGAAGATGCAGAAGCTGAAGGAAGATCCAGTGGAGGATGAAGCCCAGCCACTGCTTCACACCAAGAAAGTGAGTCAGCAGATCAGTTCCAATACCTGTAAGCTTCAAAATGGCTGATGTTCCAGGTCTTCCTTCCAAAGCTCCCCCAAAAACCTCTCTAGTCGAGCCAAAAAAATACAGTGAAGGGAATTCTGAAAAACAGTTTGGCCTTGTCAAATAGGCACATTACAAAACTACCACAGTACTCGAGAGCTGTGATACAAGAAACGCTTCTAAATCATGCCTCCATTCTGAAAATTTAGAACTATAATGTCATGTAAAGATAGTAACAGGGAAATAAATCAAAGGAATGCAAACATTCTATGGAAAAAATGTTAAATGCTTGCCAGAACGACATTTTGATGAAAGGATTAAAAGTGTACCAACAGAGGGATACACTTTGATTGTTTATAGAAATCTATATCCTATAACTTTTAAAGTAATTGTCTAAGAAAATAGATGGAAAAAACAAAAGAACAGTGTAAATTAAATGATAGAATTCAGGGGCCAGGCGTGGTGGCTCACGCCTGTAATCCCAGCACTTTGGGAGGCCAAGGAAGGTGGATCATGAGGTCAGGAGATCGAGACCATCCTGGCTAACACGGTGAAACCCTGTCTCTATTAAAAATACAAAAAATTAACTGGGCATGGTGGTGGGCACCTGTAGTCCCAGCTACTTGGGAGGCTGAGGCAGGAGAATGGCATGAACCCGGGAGGCGGAGCTTGCAGTGAGCCGAGATGGCGCCACCGCACTCCAGCCTGGGCGACAGAGTGAGACTCTGTCTCAAAAAAAAAAAAAAAAAAAAAAAAAAAAAGATAGAATTCAGGGAAAAATAAACTTAAAAACAGAATCTTATAAATAAACACAACAGAAATGCGAATAATCACAACATAGTGTCTTAAGAAAAGTGGAAAAAGAGGACAGTTTAAAAAAAATTTTTTAAAGATATGCCAAGAATTTGAGTGAAAGTGATAATATAAAAGACTACCACCCCAACCACAAAAAACACAACATACAGGTCCAAGAAGAAATCCCAAATAAGGGAAGAAAACAAGTACTAAGAATGGCATTTTGTTGAAAAAAATATTTTATAAACAAGAGATTTGAAACAATGAAATAATAAATTGCATACCTGGGAAAGTCAACTCAGAACAACCAACACCAAAACACAGTTAAAAAGAAAATGTCCTTTCTCTTTCTTTTTAAATATTTAGGGGAAAAAAAGGAAAAAAGTGATGTAAAACAAAGAGAAAATTAGCTTATCAGACTTTCAAGAGCAGCATTTTGTGCCAGAATAAAAGGAACATTATAAAGATACTCAACTTTTTAAAAAATGAGCTGAGGATTTTATATCCTAACAAACTGACTTTCAAGTATAAAGGGAGCAAACTGTCATCAATATGGAATAACATACAGAATATTTTCCATGGGCCCTTTCTTCATAATGTACTGAGAATGAGGTTTAAATAATGAACATTACTGGAGAGACAGTGGCATAAAGACTGGCTGAGCATTAAATATATATTTCCATGGAGAGCTAAGACGAAATCTGCGATATGAGGGAGAGTAGAGCATGTAATAGTTATATACTTTGACAATGGGTGGAAAGCAGAATTTTCTAAAAAGGGAAAGAGAAAATGGAAAAAGCATATGCAAAACAATTTTTAAATGCTTCTCTATAATCATGTTGGTGACAATGTTGCTATTGCTACTCTCCTTATGTTTTGCTTGAAATGTGAGATGAAGAAAATAAGCAATACATGTGTTATTTGAATCCCCAGGGCCCTTCAGAACCAAGACTTTTAGAAGCTGCAAGTGTGAAATAGAAAAGATTAAGTAAGCACTCTGAAATCCTAAATTTGAACTCATAGGATATTTTTCATAGATAGATAGGTATCCTAAATCTGTCCACTGACGAGGCCCAAAAATAACATTTGCAACTAAAAGGTACCAGAGTTTCTTAGAGAAATAGTTGAAATAGCTAATTCTAGGTCTGGGGTGGGAAATATAGAAAATAAACAGAGGAGCTCAGAATATCATCGTACCACAGAGAGCAAGGGCACCAGCCAAGACCAGCAGGATTGCGCTAAAGGAACTTGGGAGTCAACCTGTAGAACAGGCACTCACCAAACCATGGGGCAACTTGAGGATCAGTAAGGATAACGACCGTAATCAAAACACACCAAACAGGGTTCTCTGTGAGCTCATAATGATACACTGTATTAGTCCAGATCCACCAATATAGAATTAAATGTGAAAGGATTTTATTGGAGGAAAAGACCCTGTGGGAAAAAAGTAGGGCGCATGCTAGAGAAGTCTGGAGATCTATCAGACTGCAATGTGTATCTGATCCCAAGTGAAGGAGGGAGGGAGGAAACATGGCATTGAAGAGTCTTGGACTGCCAGGAAGAAAGGTTCAGCAGGAGCATTGAGAGCCCTTGAGCCCAAGTTGGTTGTCAGCAGAGTTCAGCATCTCTTAGGAACAGTTTTCCTGGGAACAAGAAGCAGGATGTTGTGAGACATGGCCTATCACAAATACTGGGATGGACTTTGTAGCTCCATAGCTGCGACTCTTGTTGAATTATGCTATCTGAAGTTGGCAGTTGGCATGGACACCTGGACACACACACACACACCCCTACCTGATTAGTTAACTTTATAGGACACTAAGGGACCAGGTATCTGTGTTAAAATCTCATAAATAAAGGGAACATGTATACTTCCTTTCCTGTGCAAACTACCACTCAGAAGCTAATGGCAGATGTGCGGATATCTTTAAAGGAAGAGGGAATGATAGAACTGGAGCATTGCCACTTTGCAACACCTACAAATCAAACAAATCTAAGTACTAGCTTCTAAGAATCTATTGCTACTAATTACAAAAAAAGAAAGATAAGGCCAGGCATAGTGGCTCATGCCTGTAATCCTAGCACTTTGGGAGGCCAAGGTGGGCAGATCACCTGAGATCAGGAGTTTGAGATTGCCTGGCCAACATGGTGAAACCTCATCTCTACCAAAAATACAAAAATTAGCCGGGGATGGTGACGGGTGCCCATAATCCCAGTTACTTGGGAGACTGAGGCAGGAGAATCACTTGAACCCAGGAGGCGGAGGCTGCAGTGAGCCAAGATCGTGCCATTGCACTCCAGCCTGGGCAACGAGAGCGAAACTCCGTCTCAAAAAAAAGAAAGAAAGAAAGATAAGTATATATTGTGTGCCTCTTGACAATGAACACAATGAACACAACAGCACCGATGGTGTAATCTTCCTCCCCAAAGTGAAATCTGAATCAGATTAAGTTTATAGATTCAACTACTAATCTGCAGGAAATCTAGAGGATAAATGAAACATTAAACTCTACCATGGGAATGCAATCAGCAGAATCAGCAGAATCTTGACTCTACAGGATTGGTTTCTAAAATGAAAAAAAAATCTTTCAGTTTAGGAAGATACAGAGAGAAATTTTTAAAAATCAGGCTAACCTAAACTCACTGTTTAGGGCTCCTCAACTAGATAATGAAATAATAATAAAGAGTAATAAGGGTATTTCCAGAAAAGCTAGAGCAGGAGTTAGTCTTGTTAGGGGAGGATGGTGCTTGTCTTGGGAAGGTGGCCTGAACCTTCTGTGGTTGCTGCCAAGTTCTCTCTAATTTATGGGTGGAGTTAAAGGGACATTTATTTTGTAATAACTCATCAAGTGGTACACTTGGTCTAAACTGCTTTCCGTTTTCCTTTATTCTGACAAAAAATACACAATTCAAATGGAAAATAAAGACATTTATAGACATACGATGGCAGAGAACTTACCATATAAAGAGACTCACTAAAAGTAAAGATATATGTTTATAGAAAGAGTAAACGTAGGGGGAAAGAGAGTGAATTAAGAAACCATATGTTGATAAAATTAATTAACTATGCCTATATAAATTATACTGGTAATCTTAAGTAAATAGCAGATATAAAAAGTAACTTTCCAGCTGGGTGCGGTGCCTCACACCTGTAATCCTAACACTTTGGGAGGCCAAGGTGGGTGGATGGCCTGAGCTCAGGAGTTTGAAACCAGCCTGGGCAACACGGTGAAACCCGCCTCTAGTAAAATACAAAAAATTAGCCGGCACCTTGGCGTGCACCTGTAATCCCAGGTACTCGGGAGGCTAAGGCAGGAGAAATGCTAGAACCTGGGAGGTGGAGGTTTAAGTGAGCCGAGATCACGCCACTGCATTTTAGCCCGGGTGACAGAGTGAGACTCCATCTCAAAAAAAAAAAAAAAAACGGAAAAGTAACTTTCCAGATCTAGTTCCAGGGAAGATGGGGTAAACACACCCTTTCCTACTGAATACAACCTATAAAACCTGAACAGAATGCATAGGCAGCAATTTGGGAACTCTGCAAAATAAACATCAGTAGGCAGATCAAAGGAAGAAACCATCAGAATACCATCAAAATACACATGAACTGCTGGCGAGTTTAATCTTTTTTTCCTTGCGTTATTTCCCAGTCTGAATTCAACGCAGTTAGAAAACCAGAACTAAGCACTGAGGTGCGGAAATAGAAACAACAGAAACTCTCTAGCTCAGGCTCAAAGACCAGAAAAGGGAAATGTAGAGAAAGAGAGAGAAATCCCCCATTTTTTCTCCCCATTTCCTCAGTTCTTGCACCCTAGCCCCAGGCAATTGTATAATGTGGGTAGCAGGAAGAGCAAAGACAGCCAGCAATGGAAAAACTGAAGGAGTTAAGTATCTGAGAGAGGGAATCTCCCTCTAGCATTTGGTGTGGCTATAGTTCCAAGAGGGTAGAGTCAATCCCAGGTGTTTCCATTTTTCTTTCTGTTCTGCACTGTATGGGCCCGGTATAGACTGTAATTATGGAACAGAGCAGTTTTTGGTCAGAGGACTGAAAAAGAGAAGGTCAGGAAACCAGAAAGTACTGGAGAGATAGCAGAGCGCAAGCTTGGGAAAGTGACCCCATAACACTGTTTATCAGCTCAAGGACTCACCTCTGACCTGTACGTTCACGGTCCTGATCATAATCAGCACACTAAAGACTCTGAGAACTGAGATAGCCAGTAGACCTTTGCTCATTTTCCTAACTGACCACTAAGTAAGTGGTACAGGTCTAGGACAAATGTGAATATTACTGAAAGGCTTCGAAAACTGGCCTGATATGGGAACCACAGCCTACAGAAGGCTAAAACATAAATAGTAACACTTTTTATAGGATTTGAACAAAATTTAAACAAGAAGGGGCTCACAACATAATATTCAAAATGTGCAGTATAAAATCCAAAATTATATTGCATTTGAAGAATAAAACAAAAAAACCTTCAACTTTCATTAGAAAAGACAAGCAACAGACATCAATGATGAGATGTTGGCATTATCTAACACATCTTCAAAGTGGTATTAAAAAGTGCTCAGATAAGCAAACTTCTGAAACTTATGACTTGATTTTTCTGTTCATATGTTTCCATGGAAAAAATTACAAAATGAAGCCTTCTGACAGGGAAATATCAAGTTAGATGACTTCCCTGGTTAATTTTTCTAATAACTTTTGGAGAAAATATACACATAACACAAAGCTTACACACTTTCAGAATATAAAAAATGGGGAATAATTCCCAACTCATTTTATGAGGCCAGCATAATCTTGGTACCAAAATCTTACAAGCTTATTATTAAAATAAGAAAATATGAGGCATGTTTCCTTTGATAAAGATAAATGTAAAGTTCTAAGGAGATAATTGTGAAACAAATTCAACAATACTTTTAAAAATAATAACCAAATGTGTTACTTTTCAGAATTGCAAAATGGGAAGGAATGGGTAAACAGTGTGTCTGTAACTCATTCCTCCAGCCTCTGAGACAGTTTTAATTGTGACCCAAACTCCTAGCAAAGGACGGCTGATGAAACACACCAGCTACACCGTAAGTGAAACTTCAGCAAGGGTTGCTAGGTACAGACTATGGATCCAGGAGCACTTTCAGGACAAAACACCTAGCTTGTCTATAATATTTGTTATAAATAGATCTGCAATTTACGAGCTGCAGTTCTGCATTGGACAATAGAAGTTAGTCATGTAGCCAGTACAGGGCTGCCTGCCTTGGAGGATATAAAAGCTGAGTGATAACTAAACCCAGTTGCTTTCTTGCACTAACTTGTCCTCTATGCAGTTTGCACTCCTCACTCTGAAGGCAAAATTCACTCTGAGTAGAAAAAGGAGACACAGAGAGCTGAGTGTGAAGAGCTCAGGGTCTCCCAGATATTGAAGTGGTGCATGTTGCTGCTCTTGCTTGCATCTTTTACTAATCATTAGTAAAGCTTGGTGCTGAACAAGACTTGAATTTCATATAAATCTGATCAATAATGTAGATCTTTGTATTGTGTGTAGGGTTAACTCAACAATAAAAAGTCATTGCAATTCAAAATACTAATGAAAAAAGGATAAAAACAATCTCATCTTAATAGACACTTTACAAAGATGTAACTCTACCCTCATTTGTGATTTTTAAGGATTGTTATCTGAGTAGGAATAGAAGGGAATTTCCTCCTTGTGAAAAGGTTTATCTAAAAAATAAAATAACAAAACAGAACAACAAAAAACTATAGCTAACATTTTACTTAGTGGCTGTTGTGGGTTGAATTATGTCTCCAACAAAAGATATGTTGAAATCCTAGCCCCTAATACCTATGAATGTGACTTTATTTAGAAATAGGGTCTTTGCAGATGCAATCAAATTAAGATGAGGACATTAAGTTGGGGCCTAATCCAATATGACTGGTGTCCTTATAAGAAGAGGGAAATTTGAACACAGACACACAGGGAGAACAACAATGGAAGATGAAGGCAGAGATGGGAGAGACATAGCTGCCAGCCAACAAACATCCATGATGGCCAACCACCACCAGAAACTGTGAAGAGACGAGGAAAGTTCTCCCCAGAGTCTCAGCAGGGGCATGCTGACATCATGATTTCAGACTCCTAGCCTCCAGAACTGTAAGACAATACATTTATATGTTTTAAGCCACCGAGTTTTCAGTACTTTGTTATGGAAGTGCTAGGAAACGAATATAGTGGTGAATTATTGAAGGCCTTCTGCCTGAGACCAGAAATGAGACAAAGCAGTATGCTATGACTTCTACTCAGTATTGAATTTGATGGTCCCAGCTAGTGTCATAGTGAGTGAAACAGGCCAAGAAAAAGAAATAGATGAATAAGGATTGGGACGGATAATCTACAGAAAAACCATTATAATCAATAGGAGAGTTTAGAACTTCACTGGATAAAAGACCAATATGCAAATATCATGTATATTTCTATACATGCAACAGTTTTAAAATTAAATGTAAAAAATCTGTCATTTTAATAGCATCAAAAGACACCAATGTCTATGAATAATTCTTATGAAAGTGTGCCAAAATACCTGTGTTGAAGACTACAAAATATTATTGTGAGAAATTAAACAAGATCTAAATAAGTGGAAGAAAACATCACGTTTGTATATTACAGGACTCAGTAAAGACATCAGTCCTTCCCAAGTTGATCTAAAAATTCTATAGAATCCCAGTAAAGTTAATATAAAATAAATTATTTTATTCTATTAAAATGAAAAGGGTCAAGAATATTCAAGACAATCTTGAAGAAATACTAAAAAGGAGGAAAATTAACACTACCATGTATAAAGAGCTACTATAATGCTATAGTCATTAAGAGAGTGTGATATTGGTGCAAGTCTAAGCAAATAGACTGGACCCACATATATACACTGTTATGTGATGCACAAAGGTGACATGGCAATGCAGGAAGAAAGATTACTTTTTCATTAAGTGGTATAGAGTCAATTTAATATTCATATAAGACAATGAATCCCTATTCCTACCATACTTCATAGCATACACAAAATTTAATTCTAGATGGGTGACAAATATCAACATGAAAGGTAAGACCATAAAACTCTAGGAAGACATAGGATGTTACCTTCACGACCTTGGGGTAGACAAAGAGATCTAAAGCACAACACAAAAAATGCAAACTGTGATTGGAAGCGTTGATAAATTGGACTACACTGAGATTAAGAATATCTATTCACCAAAAGATACCATTAAGAAAGTTAAATGAAGCCAGAGTTCTAAAAATTATGTTCAATATCAATGTCTGACAAAGGACTCCTTCTGAATGAAGAATTAATTCCTACAAATAAATAAGAAAAAGGCAGACAACACAATAGAAAAATGGACAAAAAACCCTGAAAAATCAGTTCACAAAGGATATCCAAAATAACAATAAACACATGAAAAGCTGCTCCACTTCTTTAGTCATCAGGGAAATGCAAATTAAAAGCCACATTGAGATCAAATTACCCATAAGCCAAAAAAATCTGAAATTAAGTCAAAGACAAGTGGATGAATTATGTGAGGCAACTAGATCACTCATACATTGTGCTGGGAGTGTAATTAGAACAAATATTTTGAGAGACTGACAATATCTAAGAATAGTATATATCTAGAAAAAACTGTGCTGTTTTGGAAACAGAAAAGCACAATTTGAAGTAAATCATCGGTCAAAGAAGAAATCACAAAGAAGTTAGAAAATATTTTGAACTGGAGGTTATGAATATAGAACATATCAAAATTAGGAGGAGGCAACTAAAGTAGTGTTCAGATGGAAATTTGCATATTTAAATGCTTACATTTGAAATGAATCTAAAATCAGCAACCTCAGTTTACACTTCAAGAAGTTTGTAAAAAATGAGCAAATTAAACCCCAAATAAGTAGAAGGTAATAAGAAACACAAGAATAGAAATCACTGAAATTTCAAAAAAAAAATTGAGAAAAAGCAAAAAGTTGTACCATGAAAAGATTAGTAATATCGTTAAACCTTAGTAAGTGTAATCAAGAACAAACAGGAGAAAACACAAATTCCTTGAAACAGTAATGAAGAGGAGGTATCACCACATAGCCTATATATATACATAAGGTAATAAAGGCACATAATAAACAACTTTATGTCAATAAATGCAATAACTTAAATGAAATAAACACATTTGTAAAAAAAAATACAATTTAGTAAGCTTTTCCCAAGAAGAAATAGAAACTGAATTGTACTACATATCTATTAAAAATTGGGTTAACGTTAAGAAAATAATCTTTCCACAAAAACTCCAGACACAGATAGTTCCACTAGTTAGTTTCATCAAACATTTAAGAAACAAATTATATCTTGCACAAACTATTTCAGAAAGTAGAGGAGGAGGAAGCATAAGATCTTCTACCAAAATTAGATGATAAAATTACAAGAAATGAAAATGATGGAGCAATATCCTTCATGGATATACATAGAAAATTCTTTTAAAATCTACTAACAAATTAAATTCAGCAGTAATCAAATCCATGACCAAGTGAATTTGTGGTTTGATGTCTTTTGTAAATATTGAAAAGTTCTCAGAATTTATTCTTTGAATAGTGCTTTTGTCTTACATTCACTCTCCATTTAATGAAAGGATCTTTTATATCTGAAAGACCTGGGGAGGAAGGTAGCCACCCAGCAAAGTCATCTGACCTTTTTGATTGTGGTGTGAGGGAGAAAGAAACTTTCATTGTGGTAAGCCAATGAGAATTGAGGATTATCACTGCAATGGACATCACCCACTATGATAACTAGCTTTACCATTTTAAACGTACAAATTTTATTTATTTTTATTATTTTTATTTATTTATTTATTTTGAGATGGAGTCTCGCTCTGTTGCCCTGCTAGTGTGCAATGGCATGATCTGGGCTCACCACAACCTCTGCCTCCCGGGTTCAAGCGATTCTCCTGCCTCAGCCTCCCGAGTAGCTGGGATTACAAGTGCCTGCCACCATGCCCGATTAATATTTGTATTTTCAGTAGAGACGGGGTTTGGCCACGTTGGCCAGGTTGGTCTCGAACTCGTGACCTCAGGTGATCCACCTGCCTCAGCCTCCCAAAGTGGTGGGATTACAGGTGTGAGCCACTGCACCCGGCCACAAATTTTATAGTTTATTTTTCAGTGTCCTATTATCTCAAATTGTGAGGCACACATTTTCCTGTTTACTCTGCCTACTGACTTTCCCTAATTGACGATGGCCTAGGATGATGTAGAGTTTGTTTCCTTGAATGGTTTATATTTTTTATTTTGAACTGATTTTCATGGATATTGCGATTTGGGGGCATTTTTTGGAGTCCCATGTGTGTAAAGTTACTAAATCTTCCTCCAGAGGAATTCTTGAATTCTAAACCATATAATACACATTTGGACTCCACACCTAAGCCTAATGCACTTTTTGGTTTTTAAATGTGTAATTATCTTTTTCCCCCTATCCGGAGCCCAAGCAGAAAACATGCTTCCTTCCACTTCCCTGGCTAATGGTTGAGGTTTCCTGGTCTTTTTTACACTGGAAAGGAGATTACACCAATTTCTGGATTTATGTGAATATCTCAGTTCCAGTTCCCCACCTCTCATAGGCCCCAAGCCCAAGGTCACCTTACCTCCTGAGAGTGTGTTAAAATTTCCCTCTTACCCATAGAATCTATATTTTTGGTATGCCCAGGCATGTATTCACATCCTGCTATGTTTTATTTGCTGTTTTTTTTTTGTTTTTTTTTTGTTTTTTTTTTTTTGCTTTGGGAACGGGAGTGAGTGTAGAACCTATACAGTCCCGTCAGCTCTATTCCAAGAATGTTCTGCTCTTTTCTTCGTTTCACAAATGAAAAACCTGAGTCCCATAGATGGGAGTCAATACAGCCAAACTCACAGACCTACCTATGGCACAGGGGAGACTGAAGTTTATTTTCCAACTTCCAGCAGTCCTACATTGTAAGCTGAGTGAGTGGACTGCGCTTGCAGGTCCTCCAGGTGCCTAGCGAGAACAGAGGACAAATAAATATTTACGAATTGCTTGTCTCACCTGAAAATGGTTTATTTCTAGGTTTCTGATATTATGGGGTGCAATGGCGGTAAAGAAGCAGTTCTGGTTTCAGGAATGTGATCCTGATAGCCATACTCCAGAAAAAATAAATAAATTCCCTTGGCCCCATGGGCTCATGCTCTTCTAGAAGGGAAGACAGGGCTCTTAGGTACTTTCAGCGCTCGTAGAAGAGTGTTGTTACAGTCCCATGACCAGTGCAGGGGATGTGCCACTGAGAATCTTTTCACTGATGCTTCATGGGCTTTCTCTATTCTGCTACTGGGTTTTATTTCCCTTCTTCTAATTCTCCCTTTACCAACAACTAATCCCCTGTAGATAATTAATTCATCAAGTGCCTGCTCTGTGATGTCCGGACTGCTAGAAGTGGTAGGGGGACTCAAGAGCCAGATGAAGCTAAGGGCACGCCTGTCTGCTCTCCAGGGACCCCTGGCGTCCCTTTCTCCTGGCAGAATGACTGCTATCCTTTGAGGTGAATCCAGTTCAGCTGTCACCTCTTCTATTAACCACTCTCCAAAAACAGCTAATCCTTCTTCTAGGCTCTTACCGCAGTTATGAAAGCCTATGCTGACCCTTTGTTTAAACATGTGTACATTAACAGTAATACACTTAAGACACTTCATGGCAAGGGCAATATACTGCGTTATTCTTCCAAATCAAATAGTTGGGCTCAGTCCCCCATTCCTGCTACTGGGGTACAGTCAAGCTCAGTCACCTTTTGGTGAGCCTTTCCCTAGTTCTTGGAGTCTTAAAAGAATCCCGTGGTTTTCGGCAGTTCAGAAACCCAGGCATTGCCGCTGCGTGGTCCACGGGAGTTGCTCTGGTGGAGCTCGGATGCCCGGGGGCTGCAGGAAAGAAGGTGGCAGCGCCCCCTACGCGGACGCAGGGCGCTGCTGTGCTCAGCAGAAGGGAGCAAATGGGATGGAGCTTCAGCCACCCTGGAAGCCGCCCCTTGGCGCCTTCCTCCCTCCCTTCCTCTTTCCAAAATCAAGCCCCCTCTTCAACATCAAGAACTCTCCGCACTCCCTGGACCTCTCAGAGCCTCTCCTCATTTACTCTTTCCAATGCGCTGGCTCAAAAGAGCCTAGATAAGAACACCAAGTTCTGGCTGTCCTTCCAGCAAAGAGTTAGGAGTTAACTTTTCAATCTTTTTTAATCTCCTTTAAAAAAGAATGAGCCATACATTAGGGTAACCACTGGGAATCCCATCACACACATTGGCGGCATCTCTCCTCCCCGACAGGGTGCCTCCAGCACTTCAGATCCCAGCCGAGAGTCTGGCTGCTGGCGCCCAGCAAACGGTGCGGAAAGCAAACCGGGGCTCGCGGAAAGCGGGAGGAGGGGGGCTTCCTCGGGTCTGTTTTGTCTGGTTGGCAAGACTTCCGAAGCCTGGTTCCCTATAGCTGCCACCCGGTCGCTGGCGTGGAGGAGGGAGTCCGGGAAGACTGGACCCCAGAATTGTCCCGGCTTTCTCCCGAGTGCCCAGCGCAGCTTCTGGCTGAGAGCGGGAGCGGGCTGAGTGGGGACAAAGAACGCAAGGGAGAGGTAGAGCCTGGCCTTGGGCAGCCCCTGGCCTGGCCAGAGGCGCGAGGCCGAGAGCCCGCTCGGTGGAGACTGGGGGTGGAGGTGCCCGGAGCGTACCCAGCGCCGGGAGTACCTCCCGCTCACACCTCGGGCTGCAGTTCCCTGGGTGGCCGCCGAGACGCTGGCCCGGGCTGGAGGGATGGGGGGGCGGGGACGGGGGCGGGGGCGGGGCTCGTCACGTGGAGAGGCGCGCGGGGGCGGGCGGGGCGGGGGCGCGCGCCCGGCTCCTTAAAGGCGCGCGAGCCGAGCGGCGAGGTGCCTCTGTGGCCGCAGGCGCAGGCCCGGGCGACAGCCGAGACGTGGAGCGCGCCGGCTCGCTGCAGCTCCGGGACTCAACATGCGCTGCTCGCCGGGAGGCGTCTGGCTGGCGCTGGCCGCGTCGCTCCTGCACGGTAAAGCCACTGCCTCCCCGCCCTCCACTCCTCCGTGGGATCCCGGGCACATCCCGGGCGCCTCTGTGCGCCCCGCGCCTGGGCCAGGTTTGGGATCTCCCCGCCGCCGGGGAGGGGCAGCGGGGGCGCTGCGGGGGCTGCTTGTCTGGGCTGCACCGGGTGGGCGGCGGGGGACGCCGGCAGGAGGGAGTCGGGGGTACCCCCGCCGGCCTGCCCTGAGCCCCCTGCCCGGGTCTTCTCTCCTTAAGTGTCCCTGCAAGGCGAGTTCCAGAGGAAGCTTTACAAGGAGCTGGTCAAGAACTACAATCCCTTGGAGAGGCCCGTGGCCAATGACTCGCAACCACTCACCGTCTACTTCTCCCTGAGCCTCCTGCAGATCATGGACGTGGTGAGTCCCGCCTGGCTACAGGGCTGCCCTCTCCCCTTCCTGGGCTCCGAGGGGCTTTTTAGACAGCGTCGGGCGGCCAGGCGGTGGAGCTCGGCTGGGGCACTCTAGTTGGCCCCAAGCTAGGCAGGGCCATGCTCTGAGTCTGTCCCCAGCCTGCCCTCTCCTGAGTGTCTCATTTCTCGGTTTCCCCTCCAGCCAAGGAGGGACCTGGTAGAGCTTATTCCATCACCCTGGCCACCTGTGCATGGTTACTTGGGTCCCACCTTTCTCTCAGGTTAGAAACTCAAGCATCCTGAGCTGGGACTCAGTAGCAAGAACAGGTGAAGTTCACTTTTTAATCTCCCTTATGGTGTAAGTGTTGACTTGCATTCCAGCATTGTCAATTTAGCCACTTCTAGACTTTTCTGCCGCCTATGGTATGTAACTTCTTTGGTGGGGGCCTGGCCCTGAGCTTTGCAGCTGGCGAATCTATCCAGGCAGAGGGCAAGAGGGCCAGCTGTGAACTTTCACTGTGACCCCATCTTAGGAATGGGCATGCTTTGCCTTCCTGGTGAGGACAGGTACTGGGAGTCCTGCTCCGAGGACTCAGGGTTCCCCGTCAGGAATACATGTGTCTGTCCCTCCAGGCAGCTGCCATCAGTTCCGTGGGTCTCTTGCCTTGCAGCCTTGCTAGTGCCCGCTTCAGTTAGCCAATCTGTGTAAACTTGCCTATTGTTCCTCTGTGCTGCTTTGGATATTCAATATTCATGGTATATTCTCCATACAATACAAATACTTCACACAAGTGTTTAATTCATTATAAGTGGGTTTGGTGTCTTGTCTATACAGAGTATCGGATTCTATTGTGGAGCACCCTGGAGTGTGGCAGGGTGGGGCACAGGGATAATAATGTTCATTGGGAGGGAGAGCATGATGGGAAAGAGGTGAGAGAATAGCCACAATTACTGGTTAAAAAAGAAATAGTGCTAAGAGCTACCTGGCAAAGTGGAAAAAGGTAAGAGGTGATATTTCATAATCCTACAAATAAACAGTTACCTGCACTATCATGTTGATGAATGGTATATCACTTAACCTAGTTAAAATTGCCATCATACATTGCCTCCTTTCCAACGCTACACTCGCCTCAAATGTGTTCTTCCTCCTACAGACAGAATCATGCTTTAAAATATTGAATGTATATGTGATGATGTGGAAAAGTTATCATGAGAAGAGCTGTAGGGGAAGGCAGGTTCAGTCTCATGTGTTGCAGAGCAGCAAAAGTTGCTGTTTATGGAGCAGTTCCTCAGTTGCTTTAAAGAGCTCAGGATTTGTACTTGGGATCTTCGGTGGGTTCTGGCTGTGTTGGTTTCTGGATGGCTGCTGTTAGGTAAGTTTCTTAAGCATCTTGAGCCTTGGCTTTCCGGCTAATAAAATGCACACTGTCAGTCATTGTGATCAACTAAAGAATATGGAAACAACTTGAAGAGACCTTAAAGCTAGATATGTGATTATGGTCATTTTCATGCAGAAACCACATGAAAAAGGACCAGGCAGCAGAGCTAACACACCCCGCAAGTGGTGTGTGACAGGGTGAGAAAGGGACAGTAGCCCCCTCTTCCCCCATTTGTCCAGGGTCAACTCCAGCCAGGCTGTCACACTGTTTGTGTCTGCTCCACAGCTGTCTCTCTTGGAGTGGGTGACCCTGTATTGCCTGGATGGGGGTGATGGTGTAGTAGCCCCTCAGTAGAGGAACAGGAGGAAGTCAGTAGAACAGGCTCCTGAGGTTGCAAAGGCTGCGGCAGCACCTTTTGGAGAAGAGACCACTCGCGGAGAAGCTGCAGGCTTTCTTCTGGGAACTTCTTCTTTAAGAGACTCTTAAGAAACCAAGTTATTATGAGGAGCTCTGAGTCTTAGGAGAAGTTTAGGCATAAGTTAGTGTTATACTACATGAACATTTAAAATAACTTTTGTCATGTTAGAAAATTACAAAAATAGCACATTGGCACTTTGTGTCAATGACATTCCAGTGTCCTTAGGAAATGCATGTGAAGAAGGCTGTCAGCAGCCAGAGGTCATGGGAAGGGGGCGGGAGAAAGTTTATCTCTCACCTTAGCCGTGGTATTGGCTGTGAACACATTGAACTTCCCAGCCAGGCAATGCTATGTTCATGGAGTGGCCTTGAACAAACTCACTTACCTTTCTAAGCTCTGTTTTCTCATGTGTTAAATGAGAATAATAATACCTGCTTCAGAGGGTTTTGAGAGGATTAAATGAGAGAAAGTGCTTGCCCACACTGGTGATTCACTGAAGGTCTGCTCCATCTTAATTATGTAACTACTCAACTCAGAGGTCAAGAAGTCCATGCCTAGAAGGGTGTGGTCACATGCCCAAGGTCACTCTGTGATTAGAGGTAGGGCTATGAGGAAAACCAACATCGGACAAGTCCTTTGTCTTTCGTCTGCTGCTTCCTTTAGACTTGGTAACTTCGGCAGAACAAAGTCATTTAATTTATTTAAACTGGGTGAATTGTAACTAATTTAATGTGACTTTCCTGAGATCCTGGATGAAGCCGAAGTCTCTATCAGACATAACAAAATATGCAAACATTTGTATTCCAGCCTTACTTGGCTCTGCCTGGTTTTTGAAGCAGAGCCAGGTCTCTCCAGCTGAAATCTCAGCGCTCTGGACAGAGACACAATGGTTCTCATAAAGGCTTCGTGTGGCAAAATCTTGGCTGGTATAGATTCTCTTTACACATTTGTTGCCCATTTTAACTGGACTGTTCTAGAGACCATAGTAGTTGGTTTTCCTACTCCCAAATATTGTTATTGATTGCTTTTGTTTGTCAGCAGAGATTCCTGACTGGAGTGATAGGAAGACACCATATGATGTTACATATTTGATTTTTGTGAAAGATCATTTACTCTTTAATCAATTTATTCCACACATGCTATTGAGCTCCTGTTGTAGACTTTGACAAATTCTGAGAATTAACAGAAAGATGAGGGATTATTTTTCCTTTCAGAGATCTCATGAGCTGGCTAGGGAGATTAAAAAGTAAATCCAAAATTACATGTGATGAAATTTAACATAAATATCTATACAAAGTGCTAGAAAACATTGTGTTCAACTAGAGCAGCTGAGAGTGGCTTCAAAGAGATGGTGGTTAGAGTTCTAAAGATGAGAAGGAGTTTGCCACTGAAAGTAGGAAATCTTTTCCAGGTTGAGGAAAGACTGAAAGTGCAGTGGAGGACAGCTCACTTTCAACAAGGTGTGTTTTATGGGACACTGGCAACCTGTTGATCTTTACTACAGGTTTTGCTGCAAGACTTCTCAGAAAATTTATGCTATGTTTTTTGAGACATTCTAAAAGACCAATATAGTACTGACCAAACTACTGATAGTTTTATAGACCCTTTTGTAAGAATTATATGCTCTAGAAGCACACCTTACAAGGGGGAGGCTATGATTTTTCTTTGGTAGGAGGTGCTAGATGAGTGTGGGGACAGTAAGGTTGCAGTGTGTGAGGCGTCCTGAGTTCCTCTGCAAGTTTGCATTTCACCTGGCCCTAGTCTAGGCATCTCTGAGGGCATGAGGAGGCAGTGTGCCAGGGGTTTTGTGAAGCTGTAAGACCAGCCTGCCATAGCATATTTTCCTAGAAAAGGAAATAGTCCAAACCATGATATTTGTATTAAATTCAAGTATAAATTATAGATTGGAGTGAAAAAACTTTGCATACATTTTAGAGGTACAACATGAGTCCTCAAAGGAATTGCTTGACCTGCTGTTATTCAACAGGCTCCTTCATGAAGCACTAGGCAGAGGGGGAAGATATGGTGGGTCGTTAAACAGGGGAGGGAAGTAACCGAATCTCTGCTTAAGCAGAAGATGCTGAGAGCAGTGAGTGTGAGACGGGTCAGAGAGGAGAGAAAGGTAACGGACAAGGAGGTTGAAACTAGGATGGCCACTGTGGGAATGTGGAGAAGGGGGCAGATTTAAGAGATGTTTTGGATATATTGTCTATGATCTATAACTGTGTGTATAAACATCATGAATATACATCAATAAATTTGCTAAGTGAAAGTGCCTAAATTATTCTTATATGCACACACTGACTTCTGGTGATTATTAATTTACTTCCTGGGCTTGTAACTGGGCTGGGAATGAGATAATACATAAGAAATCATTTTGAAGTGATGCATGTGTGAGGTTCTAATCTGCCAAGTTTCCATAATGTTTCTTTCTCCTTTATTTGTGCTGTTTAGTCAGTCACCTGAGCACATGCATCTGAAGGCCATTCTAAGTGATTTGCATAAAATAAATATGCATTGGTTATGAAGCATGTCCAGAAGTCAAGTTTGTTAATAATATGAACCAACATGTAATTATATACAAATGTAAAACACATAATTATACAAGATTGACTATTTTGGTATTTTATTGATTTGAAATGCAGACTCAGCTTTTTGGAAGCTTTAGTCACAAGACCGTAGAACTAAGTGGTCATGCACTTACGTTTTGGCACTGAAGATGGCAGGCAGGGCTGTGGAGCCCAGTATCCTAAGGGCTTATGTGTTATCTGAATTCCTTTGGGGGGCCCTCTGTGTAGGTTTGCAATATGTATGATTTTACATTCATTAGCCACTATTTAAAATGCTACAACTCCAACAAAATACTGTCAAATATTATAAAACCCACATACCTAGAATATATTGTAAAAAGAAATGCTGAAGGTATAATCAGGTATTGATCTTTATCATTTAAAAAAATCTTTACTTTTTTGAGCAGTTTTAGCTTCACAGCAAAATGAAGAAGAAGGTACAGAGATTTCCCACAGCTTCCTCAATTATCAACATTCCCCACTAGAGTAGTATATTTGTTACGACTGATGAACTTACATTGACACATCATCATCACCCCAAATGCATAGTTTATAAGAAGGTTCCCTCTTGGTTTTGTATAATCTATGGGTTTGGGCAAATGTATAATGGCATAATGTGTAATACCCTCATTATGGTATCATACAGAGTATTTTTACTCTCCTGAAATTTCTTTGTGCTCTCCCTGCTTATCACTACCTTCACCACAGCTCTTGGCAGCCGCTGACCTTTTGTTGTCTCCATAGTTGAACCCTTTCCACAATGTCGTATGGTTGGAATCATACAGTCTGTAGCCTTTTCAGATGGACTTATTTCACTTAGTAATATGCATTTATGCTCTCTCCATACTCTTTCATGGCTTGATAGCTCACTCCTTTTTAGCACTGAATAATATGCCAGTGGTCTGGATGTAGCACAGTTCATTTATCCATTCACCTCCGGAAGAACATCTTGGTTGCCTCCAAGTTTTGGCAATTATGAGTAAAGCTGCTGTAAGCATCTTGTGCAGATTTTTACGTGAACATAAGGTTTCAATCACTTGTGTAAATACCAACGAGGGCACTTGCTGGTTCGTATGCTAAGAGTATGTTTAATTTTCTAAGGAAATCACAGACTATCTCCCAAAGTGGATGTACCATTTTACATTCTCACCAGCAATGAATGAGAGCCCCTGTTGCCCTTTATCCATGTCAGCATTTGGTGTTGTCAGTGTTCTAAGTTTTAAGCATTCCAATAGGTGTGTAGTGGAATCTCATTGTTTTATATTTGCATTTCCCTGATGACATATGATGTGGAGCATTTTTTCAGAAGCTTATTGCCATCTGTAGGTCTTCTTTGGTAAGGTGTCTGTTAAGGTCTTTGGCCAAGTTTTCAGTGGGTTTTTTTTTTTTTTCTTATTTCTGAATTTAAGAGTTTTTGTATATTTTTGATGACAGTCCTTTATCAGGTATGTCTTTTGCAAATATTTTTCCCAGTCAGTACCTTGTTTTCTCATTCTCTTTACATTGTATTTCACAGAACATACATTTTTAACTTTAGTGAAACCCATCTTTTCAATTCTTTCTTTTATGGATTGTGCCTCTGGTATTGTATCTAAAAAGTTACTGCAATATCCAAGGTCATACAGGTTTTCCTCTATTATCTTCTAGGAGTTTTATAGTTTTGCACTTTACATTTAGGTCTGTGGTCCACTTTGAGTTAATTTTTATGAAGGGTGTAAGGTCCGTGTCTACATTTATCTTTTTGCATGTGATTGTCCAGTTGTTGTAGCACCATTTGTTGAAAAGATGATCTTTGCTCCATTTTATTGCCTTTGCATCTTTGTCAAAGATCAGCTGATTATATTCATGTGAGTCTTATTTCTGGGTTCTCTGTTGTGTTTTGTCGATCTCTTTGTCTATTCTTTCATCAATAACACAGTCTTGATTACTATAGCTTTATCCTAAGTCTTGAAGTTTGGTAGTATCAGTCCTCCAACTTTGTCGTTCCTCAACATTGTGTTGGCTATTCTGGGTCTTTTGCGTCTCTCTATAAACTTTATAATTGCTTTATCGATACCCACAAAATAACCTTCTGGGATTTGATTGAATCTGTAGATCAAGTTGGGAAGAACTGACATATTGACAATACTGAATTTTTCTATTCATGAACATAGAACAGCTCTTTAGTTAGTTCTTCCTTTATTTTGTTTGTAAGAATTTTGTAGTTTTACTCATATAGATCTTGTAAATACTTTACTTGATTTTTACCTAAGTGCTTAATTTTTGAGGGGTTAAATGGTATTATGATTTCAATGTCAAATTCTACTTGTTAATTGCCGAAATATAGGAAAGCGATTTACTTTTACATGTTAACCTTGTCTTCTGCAAAGTTGCTGTAATTGTTTATTAGCTCCTGGAGATTTTTTTTTTGGTCAGTTATTTTGGGTTTTCTACATGAACGATCATGTCATCTGCGATCAAAGACAGCTTTATTTCTTTTTTCCCAGTCTATATACTTTTTATTTCCTTTTTCTTGTCCTTTTGTATTAGCTAGTACTTCCAGTGTGCTATTGAAAGGAGTGGGAGAGGGGACAACCTTGACTTGTTCCTAATCTTAGTGGGAAAGCTTCAGTTTTCTTATCATTAGGTATGATGTTAGCTATAGGTTTTTTGGATATGTATATATATATATATATATAAATATACATATGTACATACATTTTGTGTATATGTAAAATATGTGTACATGTTTACATTTATGTATAAATATGTACATACATTTTGTATATTTATTTACATTTATATAAACATATATTGTATATATAATATACATATTTTATATATACATATGAAAAATATGTATATACACACATATACAAAAAACGTACAGCTAACATCATACTTAATGATATATATATTTATCAAGTTGAGGAAGTTCTCCCCTATTCCGTTTACTGAAAGTTTTTGTGATGAATAGGAGTTGGATTATGTCAAAATTGTTTTCATCTATTGATATAATCATATGATTTTTCTTTTGTAGCCTGTTGATGTAATGGATTATATTAATTTTTTAATGTTGAGCCAGCCTTGAATATCTGGAATGAATCTCACTTGACCATGGTGTATAATTCTTTTTGTACATTGTTGAGATAAATTTGCTAATTTTTAAATTTTTGGTTGAGACGGGGTTTCACTATGTTGCTCAGGCTGGTCTTGGACTCCTGAGCTCAGTTGATCTGCCTGTCTCAGCCTCCTAAAGTGCTAGGATTGGAGGCGTGAGCCACCACAACGTGCTAATATTTTGTTGAGCATTTTTGAATCTGTGTTCATCAGTGATACTGGTTTGTGGTTATCTTTTCTTAGAATGTCTTTATCTGCCATTTGTATTAGGGTAATGCAGGCCTCATAGAATGTTTTAGGAAGTATTTCCTCTGCTTGTGTACTCTGAAAGAGACTGTAGATAATTGGTATAATTTCTTTTTTAAATTTGTAGACTTCACCAGTGAGCCCTTCTGGGCCTGTTGCTTTCTGTTTTGGAAGGTTATTATTATTTGATTCAATTGCTCTGATAGATATAGGCCCATTCAAATTGTTTATTTCTTCTTGTTTGAGTTTTGAGAAATTTTGTCTTTCAAGGAGTAGTCCATTTTATCTAGGTTATAAAATTTGTGAGCATAGAATTGTTCATAGTATTTATTTGTTATCCTTTTAATGCCCATGGGCTGTGTAATGATGTCTTCTACTTCTGATATTAGTTATTTTTGTCCTTTCTCATTTTTTTCTTATTTAGCCTGGCTAGATGCTTATTGATTTTATTGATCATTTTTCAAAAAACAGATTTTGTTTTTGTTCATTTCCTCTATTGATTTCCTGTTTACAATTTTGTTGATTTCTACTCTAATTTTTAGTATTTCTCTGCTTATTTTGGATTTAATTTGCTCTTTTTTCTAGTTTCCTAAAGTAGAAGCTTAGAATACTGATTTTTAGATCTTTCATTTCTGTACATTTCAATACTGTATTCAGGGCTATAGATTTTCGCTTAAGGACTTCTTTTGCTGCATCCCACAAATTTTGATAAGTTGTGTTTTCATTTTCATTTCAGTTAAAATATTTCAATGTCTCTTGAGAATTCTTCTTTGAGGCATATATTATTTAAAGGCATATTGTCTAATCTCCACGTATTTTTGGATTTTTCAGTAATCTTTCTGTTACTGATTTCTAGTATAATTTCTTTGTATTCTGATAGCAGGCAATGTGTAATTTCTATTCTTTTAAATTTGTTAAGGCTCTTTCTGTGGCACAATTATGGGGAATATTCCATGTGAACTTGAGAAGAATGTGTATTCTGCTGTTGTTGGATAAAATAGTACTATAGATGTTGCTTATATCCAATTGATGGACAATGTTTTGAGTTCAATCATGTTTATACTGGTTTTCTGCTTGCTGGTTCTTCAAATTTCTGGTAGAGGGGTGTTAAAGTTTCCAACTGTGAAAATGGATTTACCTATTTATCCTTGTAGGTCTAATAGTTTTTGCCTCATTAGTTTGATGCTGTGTTTTTGGGCATATACACATTAAGGACTGTTATGTCTTTTTGTAGAACTGGTCTTTTTATCATTAAGTAATATCCTTTTTTATCCCTGGAAACTTTCCTTGCTTTGAAGTACGCTCTATCTGAAATTTACATAGCTATTCCTGCTTTCTTGGATTAGTGTTAGCATGGTATATTTTTCTCCATCCATAAGACACTGTTAATTTATATGTGTCTTTATATTTAGAGTGGGTTTTTTGTAGGCACATACAGTTGGGTCTTGTTTTTTGTTCTACTCTTACAGTCTCTTTAAATTGATGCATTTAGACCACTCAGAGTGATTGTCGATATAGTTGGATCAATAACTATCATATTTGTTACTGATTTTTTTGTTGTCCTTGTTCCTTATTTCAGTTTTTGTTTTCCACTCTGACTTTTATGGTTTAGTTGGACATTTTATATGGTTATGTTTTCCCTCCTTTCTTGGTGTATCAGTTATAGTTCTTTTTTTACTTTTTTAGTGGTTGCCCTAGAGTTTGCAATATACATTTACAACTAACCCAAGTCACCTTTCATGTTACATTATACCACTTCATGCATAATGAGAGCACTTTATAATGCAAAATAACATGAATTTCTTCCTCCTGTCCCTTGTACCATTTATTTCTTATAAGGTGCGTGTGTGTGTGTGTATATGTGTGTGTGTGTGTGTGTATATGTATTATATATGTATATATTATATATACACAAAGTATAATAAAATACATTTTTGCTATTGTTACTTTGAACAAACTGTTATCTGTTAGATAAATTAATAAGAAAAACAAAAGTTTTTATTTTGCCTTCACTTTTTCCTTCTTCAGTGGTTCTTTCTTTAATTTAGATATGACTTTCAACCTGTATCGTTTCCCTTTTTTTAAAGAACTTCTTTTAACATTTTTTCAAGGCAGGTCTGCTTGAAACAAATTTCTTCAATTTTTGCCTGAGAATGTATTTTTTTTCCTTGTCTTTTGAAGGATGATTTCAATAATTCTAGATTTGTGACTTTCTCTCTCAACACTAATTATTTTACTCTACTCTTTTTGCTTGCATGATTTCATGTAAGTCAGATGTAATTCTTACCTTTTTGGTCCTCTAAAGGGAAGGGTTTTTTGTCTGCCTTTGGCTTCCTTCAGGATTTTATCTTTATCTTTGTTTATAGTTTGAAATGATATACTTAGATGTTGGATTTTTTTTCCCCCACATGTATCAGCTTGCTGTTTTCTGAGATTCCTGGATGTGTGGTTTGGTGTTTGACACTAATTTGGGGAAATTCTCAATCATTGTTTCAAATACTTCTGTTCCTTTCTCTACTTCAACAGTCCCCAACCTTTTTGACACCAGGGACCTGTTTTGTGGAAGACAATTTTTCCATAGACTGTCGGGGGCCATGGTTTTGGGATGAAACTGTTCCACCTCAGATTGTCAGGCATTCATTAGATTCTCATAAGGAGCGTGCAACCTAGATCCCTTGCATGTGAAATTCACAATAGGGTTTGTGTTCCTGTAAGAATGTCACGCTGCCGCTGATCTGACCGGAGGCGGAGCTCAGGCAGTAATGCTCCCTGACCTGCCCCTCACCTCCTGGTGTGTGGCCCAGTTCCTAACAGTCCAGGTGACAGGTACTGGCCTGTGGCCTGGGGGTTGGGGAACCCTGCTCTACTTCTTCTCCTTCTCGCATTCCCATCACACATATGTTACACCATTTGTAATTGTCCCACAATCCTTGGATATTCTATTCTGTTGTTTTCAGTCTTTGTTCTCTTTGCTTTTCAGTTTTCAAAATTTCGATTGATATTCCTCATACTAGGGATTCTTTCCTCAGCTGTATCCAACCTACTAGTAAGCCCATCAAATATATTCTTTATTTTTGTTACATTATTTTTGATTGCTGGAATTTCTTTTTGGTTATGTCTTAGGAGTTCCATCTCTGTGCTTACATTGTTTAACTGTTCTTGCATGATGTCTGCTTTTTCCATTAGAGCCTTTAGCTTATTAATCATAGTTGTTGTAAATTCTGATCTGATAATTCCAATACTGCTGCTATGTCTGGTACTAATGCATGTTCTGTCTCTTCAAATTGTGTTTTTTGTTTGTTTTTTGCCTTTTAGTATGCTTTGTAATTTTTTCTTGATTGGTGGCTGTGATGTACCAGGTAAAAGGAACTGCTGTAAATTAATGTTACTAATGTAGTGTTAAGGTGTGGAGGGAGGGGAAGCATTCTATACTCCTATGATTAGGTCTCAGTTTTTTAGTGAGCCTTTCCCTCTGGACACGAACTTCATAGGTGTTTCTCAGTTTGTTTCTCCCCACTTGAGTGCGATAGGATGGCTAGAGTGGGTGGAGTTCAGTATTTCCCTTCCCTTGTGTCAGGTAAGCTCTCATAATACCCCGGAGGGTTAGACTCTGGTTAATTCATTTCTCCTGATGGCAGGCCTTATTAAAAACAACAGAAAATTCTGGCACATTTCCAAGTGGTTTCTTTCACTTCCCTCTGGTGGAAGGATGAGGGAACATTTCTTCAGTATTTCCTGTGGGAACCTGGTAGAGCTTCTGGAGGTAAATCTCATGATATTTGGGAACCCCCTATGATTGAATCCTTTTGGAATTTTTAACTTTCAAAGTTGTACACACTGAGCCTCCAGGAATTTGCCAATTCCAGTTTCAGGTTTTCTTACTCTGCTGCTGGTTCCTGTGGTGGTTTTGCTGATTAGTCTCTGCTCTGGAAAGTCCTGGCTCTCTGTATGTCCCTGTTTGTCCCCCTAATCTTGAGAGCAGAAGTTCATCCTGTGTGTTCCCCTCTTAGCTGGGCTCCAAGAAGAGCTGTTGTTTTTCTAGTGTGTTCACCTTTTTACTTGTTAGGACAAAGTTCATTCTGAGCTTCTTGCATCAGGAACCAGGAACTGGATCTAATAATGTTTTTATAAGATACATTTCTTAAAATGACAAAAGTAATATGTGTTTGTACAGGAGCTAAATTAAACAAACCAAAAAAAGAATCAAGAAGTTGAAAATCAAGGGGGTAAAAATCAGCACACACAAGGCATTCTGGCAGAGTTCATGCTATCTTTTCTTTATGTTTATAGATGTGTAGAGAAATATTTAAATATTTAAAAGTTAAAAGGTATAAACATGATGTATGGTGCCTTAAGCAGTATTAACAGGCATTGATTTTAAAGTGGTACACTTAGGCCCATTAGTAAACAAATACAGATTTTAAAATACATTTATATGTTTTCTTCATTAACTCTTACCATCACTGCATATTCAATCTATATTCCTTTTGTAATTTAAAAACCATTTTAAAAAATGTGTTTAAATGATTTATGATGATACTTATAAGTAACACATAGTTGGGTTTTTAAAAAAATTGAATTTGATAATCTTTGTATTTTAGTTATCCTTCATGTGGTTACTGATCTATTTGGTTTTAAATCTATCCTTCACTGTTTACTTCCACTTACCCTTGTCTCTTCTATGTTCTTTTTTTCCTCTTTTTTCTTACACTTTTCTGGATTAATTGCTCATTTTATATTATTCTAATTTTCTCTTCTATTAGTTTGTTAGTCATATTTCTTTCTTTTTGTCTTACAGTGGTTGATCTGGAGATTACAATAGGAATCCATGACTAAGTAAAGTCTAGTGAAAGTCGTCAACCTTTCTGTACAATGTGAGGACTTTACAACACTTTAATTCCATAATTCCAATTTATCTACTGTTATTGTCATATATTTTATTTCTATAAATATATTTAAACCTTATAAGATTATAATTGTCTTTTACAGTCAGTATTCTTTTAGATTTACTCGTATATTTACCTTTTTTTGTTACTTTAATTCCTCCCTGTATCTTCTAACTTTCATCTGAGATAATTTTCCTTCTGCCCTTTAGACTTCTCTTTCATGAGAGTCTGGAAGTAGCACAATTTCTCCATGTTTGTTTCAAAACTTATTTATATTGCCTAATTTTTGTGTGATAATTCAGAAATACAGACTTTGTGTTGCCGGTTAGTTACAGCACTTTTATATACAGCATAGTGTCTATAGTCGATTACCCTAGTGTTTTCTGACTTCAGTACTTCTGTTAAGAGGTCAGCTGTATGCCTTACTGTTGCTTCTCTGTTCTTGTTTTCTTTGGTCACTTTTAAATTTTATTCTTTGTCTTTGATTTTTAACAGTTTTGCTATGATAAGAATATGTTTCTGCTCTTTTGTTTTACCTGCTTGGGATTCAGAATGACTTATTGAATCTGTTCCTTGGTTTCATTCACAAGTTTTGGACAATTGTTGCCAGATCGATCGATCTTTTCCTCCTTCCTTCCTTCCTTCCTTCCTTCCTTCCTTCCTTCCTTCCTTCTTTTTTTGGGGATGGAGTCTCGCTGTGTTGCCCAGGCTGGAGTGCAATGGCACGATCTTGGCTCACTACAACCTCTGCCACCTGGATTCAAGCAATTCTTCTGCCTCAGCCTCCCGAGTAGCTGGAACTACAGGTGTGCACCACCACGCCTGGCTAATTTTTGTATTTTTAGTAGAGACAGGTTTTCACCATATTGGCCAGGCTGGTCTCCAACTCCTGACCTCATGATCCGCCTGCCTCAGCCTCCCAAAGTGCTGGGATTACAGGCGTGAGCCACTGTGCCCGGCCTAGATATTTCTTTAGATATGGCTTCTGCTCTATTTTTTCTGCCTTCCCTTTTTGGGACAATGATTACATGTTCACCACAGCTTTCACTTTATCTCAGTGATTCTCAACCAGGGGCAGTGTCTCTCCCCAGGGAATATTTGGCATTATCTTGAAAAAATTTCAGTTGCCCCAACTGGGGAGAAAGATGCTACTGACACTTACAGGGAAGAGGCTAGGGATGCTACTAAATGACCTATAGTGCATAGGGTGACTCCTCAAGAAAAAGAATTATCTGGCCCCCAATTTCAACAGTGCTGAGATGGAGAAGACTAATTTATTCCATATGCCTCCTATTCTTTGCGGCAATTCCCATTACTTTGTCTCTCCATGCTTCATCCGGTCCGTTTTCTGTTGACATATATTCAATATTCAGTCCTTGAATTCTCTCATTGTGTCTATCTGTTGTTAGTCCCATTTATCGACTCCTTTTTAAAGTTTCAGATATTGCATGCTTTAGTGTTAAGAGTTTCCTTTTGGTTCTTACGATGTTTTCTAGCTCTCAAGCTTGTTCTGATTTTCTTCAAATATATTAATAAGACTTTTTTTTATAGTCCCTGTCTGATAATTCCATTCTTAAGACACTTTGTGCCTCTGTTTTTATTAGTGATGGCTCTTTTTGCTTTTCTGTTACATGGTCTGTGCTCCTTCTGAGCCTGGTTGTGTTTGTAGTTTGTCCCAGACAATGTATGGGAAAAATGGTAGAGATGAGAGAACGGAGAACACTTTTACTCCTGTTAATATTTGCTTCTGACAACAGCCACCCCATGGGTACCAGCAACCACACATAACCTTAATTAGATTAGGGATTGAGAAGATACGAAGATGGGCTTCAGTCCCTTTAAGCGCTGGTTTGTTTCTGGTTCTTGCATATACATTCTAGGGCATAAATACAGAGAATTTACTAGAGTCTTCTCTCTCTTCAATAAGTTTTTTTTTTTTTGAGACAGAGTCTCACTTTGTCACCCAGGCTGGCATATGGTGGCACAGTCTCGGCTCACTGCAACCTCTCTCTCCCGGGTTCCAGTGATTCTCCTGCTTCAGCCTTCCAAGTAGCTGGTATTTTTTTTTAATATTTTAAGTTTTAGGGTACATGTGCACAACGTGCAGGTTTGTTACATATGTATACATGTGCCATGCTGGTGTGCTGCACCCATTAACTCGTCATTTAGCATTAGGTATATCTCCTAATGCTATCCCTCCCCCCTCCCCCCACCCCACAACAGTCCCCAGAGTGTGATGTTCCCCTTCCTGTGACCATGTGTTCTCATTGTTCAATTCCCATCTATGAGTGAGAACATGTGGTGTTTGGTTTTTTGTCCTTGGGATAGTTTACTGAGAATGATGATTTCCAATTTCATCCATGTCCCTACAAAGGACATGAACTCATCATTTTTTATGGCTGCATAGTATTCCATGGTGTATATGTGCCACATTTTCTTAATCCAGTCTATCATTGTTGGACATTTGGCTTGGTTCCAAGTCTTTGCTATTGTGAATAGGGCCACAATAAACATACGTGTGTGTGTGTCTTTATAGCAGCATGATTTATAGTCCTTTGGGTATATACCCAGTAATGGGATGGCTGGGTCAAATGGTATTTCTAGTTCTAGATCCCTGAGGAATCGCCACACTGACTTCCACAATGGTTGAACTAGTTTACAGTCCCACCAGCAGTGTAAAAGTGTTCCTATTTCTCCACATGCTCTCCAGCACCTGTTGTTTCCTGACTTTTTAATGATTGGCATTCTAACTGGTGTGAGATGGTATCTCACTGTGGTTTTGATTTGCATTTCTCTGATGGCCAGTGATGATGAGCATTTTTTCATGTGTCTTTTGGCTGCATAAATGTCTTCTTTTGAGAAGTTTCTGTTCATATCCTTTGCCCACTTTTTGATGGGGTTGTTTGTTTTTTTCTTGTAAATTTGTTTGAGTTCATTGTAGATTCTGGATATTAGCCCTTTGTCAGATGGGTAGGTCGCGAAAAGTTTCTCCCATTTTGTGGGTTGCCTGTTCACTCTGATGGTAGTTTCTTTTGCTGTGCAGAAGCTCTTTAGTTTAATTAGATTCCATTTGTCAATTTTGGCTTTTGTTGCCATTGCTTTTGGTGTTTTAGACATGAAGTCCTTGCCCATGCCTATGTCCTAAATGGTAATGCCTAGGTTTTCTTCTAGGGTTTTTATGGTTTTAGGTCTAACGTTTAAGTCTTTAATCCATCTTGAATTAATTTTTGTATAAGGTGTAAGGAAGGGATCCAGTTTCAGCTTTCTACACATGGCTAGCCAGTTTTCCCAGCACCATTTATTAAATAGGGAATCCTTTCCCCATTGCTTGTTTTTGTCAGGTTTGTCAAAGATCAGATAGTTGTAGATATGCGGCGTTATTTCTGAGGGCTCTGTTCTGTTCCATTGGTCTATATCTCTGTTTTGGTACCAGTACCATGCTGTTTGGTTACTGTAGCCTTGTAGTATATAGTTTGAAGTCAGGTAGCGTGATGGCTCCAGCTTTGTTCTTTTGGCTTAGGATTGACTTGGCGATGCGGGCTCTTTTTTGGTTCCATATGAACTTTAAAGTAGTTTTTTCCAATTCTGTGAAGAAAGTCATTGGTAGCTTGATGGGGATGGCATTGAATCTATAAATTACCTTGGGCAGTATGGCCATTTTCACGATATTGATTCCTCCTACCCATGAGCATGGAATGTTCTTCCATTTGTTTGTATCCTCTTTTATTTCATTGAGCAGTGGTTTGTAGTTCTCCTTGAAGAGGTCCTTCACATCCCTTGTAAGGTGGATTCCTAAGTATTTTATTCTCTTTGAAGCAATTGCGAATGGGAGTTCACTCATGATTTGGCTCTCTGTTTGTCTGTTATTGGTGTATAAGAATGCTTGTGATTTTTGTACATTGATTTTGTATCTTGAGACTTTGCTGAAGTTGCTTATCAGCTTCAGGAGATTTTGGGCTGAGACAATGGGGTTTTCTAGATATACAATCATGTCATCTGCAAACAGGGACAATTTGACTTCCTCTTTTCCTAATTGAATACCCTTTATTTCCTTCTCCTGCCTGATTGCTCCGGCCAGAACTTCCAACACTATGTTGAATAGGAGTGGTGAGAGAGGGCATCCCTGTCTGTGCCAGTTTTCAAAGGGAATGCTTCCAGTTTTTGCCCATTCAGCATGATATTGACTGTGGGTTTGTCATAGATAGCTCTTATTATTTTGAGATACATCCCATCAATACCTAATTTATTGAGAGTTTTTAGCATGAAGGGTTGTTGAATTTTGTCAAAGGCCTTTTCTGCATCTATTGAGATAATCATGTGGTTTTTGTCTTTGGTTCTGTTTATATGCTGGATTACATTTATTGATTTGCGTATATTGAACCAGTCTTGCATCCCAGGGATGAAGCCCACTTGATCATGGTGGATAAGCTTTTTGATGTGCTGCTGGATTCCGTTTGCCAGTATTTTATTGAGGATTTTTGCATCAATGTTCATCAGGGATATTGGTCTAAAATTCTCTTTTTTGGTTGTGTCTCTGCTCAGCTTTGGTATCAGAATGATGCTGGCCTCATGAAATGAGTTAGGGAGATTCCCTCTTTTTCTGTTGATTGGAATAGTTTCAGAAGGAACGGTACCAGTTCCTCCTTGTACCTCTGGTAGAATTCGGCTGTGAATCCATCTGGTCCTGGACTCTTTCTGGTTGGTAAGCTATTGATTATTGCCACAATTTCAGCTCCTGTTACTGGTCTATTCAGAGATTCAACTTCTTCCTGGTTTAGTTTTGGGAGAGTGTATGTGTCGAGGAATTTACCATTTCTTCTAGATTTTCTAGTTTATTTGCGTGGAGATGTTTGTAGTATTCTCTGATGATAGTTTGTATTTCTGTGGGATTGGTGGTCATATCCCCTTTATCATTTTTTATTGCGTCTATTTGATTCTTCTCTCTTTTTTTCTTTATTAGTCTTGCTAGCGGTCTATCAATTTTGTTGATCCTTTCAAAAAACCAGCTCCTGGATTCATTAATTTTTTGAAGGGTTTTTTGTGTCTCTATTTCCTTCAGTTCTGCTCTGATTTTAGTTATTTCTTGCCTTCTGCTAGCTTTTGAATGTGTTTGCTCTTGCTTTTCTAGTTCTTTTAATTGTGCTGTTAGGGTGTCAATTTTGGAGCTTTCCTGCTTTCTCTTGTGGGCATTTAGTGCTATAAATTTCCCTGTAGACACTGCTTTGAATGCATCCCAGAGATTCTGGTATGTTGTGTCTTTGTTCTCGTTGGTTTCAAAGAACATCTTTATTTCTGCCTTCATTTCGTTATGTACCCAGTAGTCATTCAGGAGCAGGTTGTTCAGTTTCCACGTAGTTGAGCGGTTTTGAGTGAGTTTCTTAATCCTGAGTTCTAGTTTGATTGCACTGTGGTCTGTTCTTTTACATTTGCTGAGGAGAGCTTTACTTCCAGGTATGTGGTCAATTTTGGGATAGGTGTGGTGTGGTGCTGAAAAAAATGTATATTCTGTTGATTTGGGGTGGAGAGTTCTGTAGATGTCTATTAGGTCTGCTTGGTGCAGAGCTGAGTTCAGTTCCTGGGTATCCTTGTTAACTTTCTGTCTCGTTGATCTGTCTAATGTTGACAGTGGGGTGTTAAAGTCTCCCATTATTATTGTGTGGCAGTCTAAGTCTCTTTGTAGGTCACTCAGGACTTGCTTTATGAATCTGGGTGCTCCTGTATTGGTGCATATATATTTAGGAAAGTTAGCTCTTCTTGTTGAATTGATCCCTTTACCATTATGTAATGGCCTTCTTTGTCTCTTTTGATCTTTGTTGGTTTAAAGTCTGTTTTATCAGAGACTAGGATTGCAACCCCTGCCCTTTTTTGTTTTCCATTTGCTTGGTAGATCTTCCTCCATCCTTTAATTTTGAGGCTATGTGTGTCTCTGCACGTGAGATGGGTTTCCTGAATACAGCACACTGATGGGTCTTGACTCTTTATCCAATTTGCCAGTCTGTGTCTTTTAATTGGAGCATTTAGTCCATTTACATTTGAAGTTAATATTGTTATGTGTGAATTTGATCCTGTCATTATGATGTTAGCTGGTTATTTTGCTTGTTAGTTGATGCAGTTTCTTCCTAGTCTCCATGGTCTTTACATTTTGGCATGATTTTGCAGCGGCTAGTACCGGTTGTGCCTTTCCATGTTTAGTGCTTCCTTCAGGAGCTCTTTTAGGGCAGGCCTGGTGGTGACAGAATCTCTCAGCATTTGCTTGTCTGTAAAGTATTTTATTTCTCCTTCACTTATGAAGCTTAGTTTGGCTGGATATGAAATTCTGGGTGAAAATTCTTTTCTTTGAGAATGTTGAATATTGGCCCCCACCCTCTTCTGGCTTGTAGAGTTTCTGCCGAGAGATCCGCTGTTAGTCTGATGGGTTTCCCTTTGTGGGTAACCCGACCTTTCTCTCTGGCTGCCCTTAACGTTTTTTCTTTCATTTCCACTTTGGTGAATCTGACAATTATGTGTCTTGGAGTTGCTCTTCTCGATGAGTATCTTTGTGGTGTTCTCTGTATTTCCTGAATGTGAATGTTGGCCTGCCTTGCTAGATTGGGGAAGTTCTCATGGATGATATCCTGCAGAGTGTTTTCCAACTTGGTTCCATTCTCCCCGTCACTTTCAGGTACACCAATCAGATGCAGATTTGGTCTTTTCACATAGTCCCATATTTCTTGGAGGCTTTGTTCGTTTCTTTTTATTCTTTTTTCTCTAAACTTCCCTTCTCACTTCATTTCATTCATTTCATCTTCCATCGCTGATACCCATTCTTCCAGTTGATCGCATCAGCTCCTGAGGCTTCTGCATTCTTCATGTAGTTCTCGAGCCTTGGCTTTCAGCTCCATCAGCTCCTTTAAGAACTTCTCTGTATTGGTTATTCTAGTTATACATTCGTCTAAATTTTTTTCAAAGTTTTCAACTTCTTTGCCTTTGGTTTGAATTTCCTCCTGTAGCTCGGAGTAGTTTGGTCGTCTGAAGCCTTCTTCTCTCAACTCGTCAAAGTCATTCTCCATCCAGCTTTGTTCCGTTGCTGGTGAGGAACTGCCTTCCTTTGTAGGAGGAGAGTCGCTCTGCTTTTTAGAGTTTCCAGTTTTTCTGTTCTGTTTTTTCCCCATCTTTGTGGTTTTATTTACTTTTGGTCTTTGATGATGGTGATGCACAGATGGGTTTTTGGTGTGGATGTCCTGTCTGTTTGTTAGTTTTCCTTCTAACAGACAGGACCCTCAGCTGCAGGTCTGTTGGAGTTTGCTAGAGGTCCACTCCAGACCCTGTTTGCCTGGGTATCAGCAGCGGTGTCTGCAGAACCGCGGATTTTCATGATCCGCGAATGCTGCTGTCTGATCGTTCCTCTGGAAGTTTTGTCTCAGAGGAGTACCCGGCCGTGTGAGGTGTCAGTCTGCCCCTACTTGGGGGTGCCTCCCAGTTAGGCTGCTCGGGGGTCAGGGGTCAGGGACCCACTTGAGGAGGCAGTCTGCCCGTTCTCAGATCTCCAGCTGTGTGCTGGGAGAACCACTGCTCTCCTCAAAGCTGTCAGACAGGGACATTTAAGTCTGCAGAGGTTACTGCTCTCTTTTTGTTTGTCTGTGCCCTGCCCCCAGAGGTGTAGCCTACAGAGGCAGGCAGGCCTCCTTGAGCTGTGGTGGGCTCCACCCAGTTGGAGCTTCCTGGCTGCTTTGTTTACCTAAGCGAGCCTGGGCAATGGCGGGCGCCCCTCCCCCAGCCTTGCTGAAGCCTTGCAGTTTGATCTCAGACTGCTGTGCTAGCAATCAGCGAGACTCCGTGGGCGTAGGACCCTCCGAGCCATGTGCGGGATATAATCTCCTGGTGTGCCGTTTCCGAAGCCCGTCAGAAAAGCGCAGTATTGGGGTGGGAGTGGCCCGATTTTCCAGGTGCCGTCTGTCACCCCTTTCCTTGACCAGGAAAGGGAACTCCCCTGACCCCTTGCGCTTCCCGAGTGAGGCAATGCCTCGCCCTGCTTCGGCTGGTGCATGGGGCGCTGCACCGACTGTGCTGCGCCCACTGTCTGGCACTCCCTAGTGAGATGAACCTGGTAGCTCAGATAGAAATGCAGGAATCACCCGTCTTCTGCATTGCTCAGGCTGGGAGCTGTAGACCGGAGCTGTTCCTATTTGGCCATCTTGGCTCCTCCCCAAGTAGCTGGTATTACAGGCATGCACCACCATGCCTGGCTGATTTTTGTATTTTTAGTAGAGACGGGGTTTCAAGACGTTCCCCAGGCTGGTCTTGAACTCCTGACCTGAAGTGATCTGCCCGCCTTGGCCTCCCAAAGTGCTGGGATTGCAGGCATGAGCCACTGCACCTGGCCCTCTCTTCAGTAAGTCTTGAGCTCAAAATTTTCCACTTTTCTCTTAAGTTTGTCAAGGTTTGCTTAAAATTTTAGCCTCTTAAGCATTATTAAATAATCACCACAGGCTCTGGAAAGGTGGCCTCAAATCTTGGTATTCTCTCAGGGCTCCCCTCCCTTCCTGGATCTTGTCCCTGCAATTCCTCACTGCTCTATTAGTATTCTGGTGCCCTTAAGCATGATTTTTTTTTTTTTTTCCCCAAGCTCTTCTAATTGTTCTCACTGGAGAGTTGATGAGAACCACCTAGTTGATCATCACTGATAGCAGAACAGAAATTCTAAGTGGAAATAAATATCATATGTGCTCTCTAATTTGTGGAAGCTAAGAAAGTGGATCTCACGGAAGTAGGGAGTGTAGTGGTGGTTACCAGTGACTGGGAAGACAGTGGGGAGAGGAGAAGTTGGTTAAAGGGAGTAAGTTAGATGGAAGAGGCCAGGTGCGTTGGCTCACACTTGTAATCCCAGCAGTTTGGGAGGCCAAAGAGGGTAGATCACAAGGTCAAGAGATTGAGACCATCTTGGCCAACATGGTGAAACCCCATTTCTACTAAAAATACAAAAATTAGCTGGGGGTGATGGCGCATGCCTGTAGTCCCAGCTACTCGGGAGGCTGAGGCAGGAGAATCGCTTGAACCCGGGAGGCAGAGGTTGCAGTGAGCCGAGATCGCGCCACTGCACTCCAGCCTGGTGACAGAGCGAGACTCCATCTCAAAATAAATAAATAAATACAATTAAATAAAAAAGTTAGATGAAAGATATAGTTAGATAGAAGGAATAAGTTCTAGTATTTAATAGTATAGTAGAGAAATTATAGTTAACAATAATTTATTGTACATTTCAAAATAACTAGAAGAGCAGACTTGTAATTTTCCCAACATAAAAGATAAATGTTTGAGGTGGTAGATACCCCGATGATACCGATTTCATCATTACACATTGTCTGTGGGTATCAAAATATCACATGTACCTCCAAAATATGTACAGCTATTAGATATAAATAAAAAAATCTGTAATGCACCTTTATAATTGATACCAATTTATTATGGTTGAAATTTTGTCTCCTAAAACCTGAAGAGGTTTAGGAGACAGAGCCCTGAAGAGGGCTGTGGGAGATAAACCCACAAAATTCTTTTAATCTGTATAGACTGAGAATTGTAAGCACTTTTACTAAAGGAATCTTTCTTGTAAATGTTGCCTTTCAAGGCTACCACTGAAGATATTCCCTGAAGGGTTCAGCTCTCTCAGAGCTTCTCGTTTCATCTTTGACATGCTGTTAAAGGAAGAGAAATAGTCTTGTCATGGAGGAAGGCCAACGAAAATCTCTGCTGCCTTATTGATTTATTTTTAAAATCAGGATTAGGTAGTGTTTTACTCCTCCTCAAAGAAGAGGGAAGTCATTTGGCATCTTCTAATTGCAGTTCCCATGCTCTTAATTTCAGTGATTTCCTTATTCAGTTAACATCAGTTATAAACCGTTATAGCCAAAGAAATTCAAAAAGTATTGTAAAATAGTATGTACTTGGGCATATTTATGTGTGTGTAAATGCACACTCAGTCACACACACCCCTGTTATCCTTAGCTCTCCTTGTTGATTTTATTTTTGATATCTCAAGACAAGGTATCATGTACTATGCTAATTAAGTTTCCAAGATCTAAAGCTTGAAGATACCGCAGAGGCCTTGGAGTCACAGCTCCCAGGTAGCCAAAACAATGGACTGAAACTAATAAGAAATTAAGCAATGAATTATACAAAATCTTGTATTATGGGTTAAAAATTAGTGCAGAAGAATGGGCTGTGGGAAAGGCCTGGATGTGTGGCTGACTACTGGCTCTGCGTCAGCTCGTGGGTGTAGGAGCTGACCTGTCTAAGCTGTAGGTGGCAGTGGACGAGGAGTAGGAAATTGCAGTTGTCATGGTTAATGAATGCCACCTGTGAGAGATTCTCAGCATGGGAAATTTACTCTTGCATCATTGGAAGTGAATTGTCTGTAAATATTCCTGTCTTGGATAAAAGAGCCATGGTGTCTATACTCTGGGGAGAGGACTTAGAGAGGGAGGAGAACTTATTTACTTTATTTTGTGGAGAGAAGGCACGTGTTAGGCTAACTCTTTAGTTGGTTTCAAATTTCAGGATTGTTAAATGAGTTTATAATCTAAAGTATCTATTTTAAGAAGTCCACACAGAGAAGATATTATGATCAGAGATTTAGATTAAGCAAATTAGGGTAAGGCTGCTCACTGATTGCCAAAGTATATTTCATTAAGTGCAAATGGATGAAATTTACAATTGAAATCACTAGTCAGGAAACAGTTTGTTTAAGTTCTCCATTAAGAAGTTTTATTGTCATTTGAAGTAACCTTTAACACACTGTGTTAAAGGTCTCTCGTAGAGAGACACACATCTTATTTTGGAAGTTATTCTTTAACCCTATTCTAAAACTTTAAATTGTAGTAGAGTAGATATACACTAATGTGGCACGATATCAAAACCAATTCAGTGGGTTACCACAAAGTGAACCCCGTTAAGCTGTCACCACCCAATACAGACCTTCGCTCCTCCAGAGCTAAACTGTTTGCCTTACTTCAAACACCAAAGTCTAGTTTTGCCCTTCTCTGGAACTCTGTATAAGAGGAATCACCCAAGCACACAGCGTGCGTTCTTTGGGATCTGGCTTTTTTGGTTCATTTTTATTTTTGTGAGCCACCCAAGTTGTTGTCTGTAGCTCTTCTTTCTTCATTTCTATTGTATGAATATAACAACATGTATTATTATATTGATGGCTATTTAGATTTCTTCTAGATTTTGTCTGCTTTCAAGAACACTTCAAGGAATGTGTTACATGTCTTCTGACGGACAGGAGTATGCATTTCTCTCTGATACAGACGTAAAAGTAGATTGGCGGGGCCATAGGGCAGCGTGTTTTTAACTTTTCTGGATGATGCTAAACAATTTTCAAAATGGTTATACCAATTAGCATTCCCACCAGCAGTGTATGAAAATTCTTGTTGCTCTACATACTCACCAACGCTTGGCATTTTTAGTCTATTAAATTTACCATTCTAGTGGGTGTGGAGTGACATTTTCTTGTGATTTTAATTAGCATTTCCCTGATTACAGCTAAGGTTGAGGAGATTTTCATTTTTTTATTTTCCATTTTGATATATTATTTTGAGAAGTGTCTAATCGTGTCTCTTTACTATTTCTCTCTCTCTTTTTTTTTTGTTTTGTGTTGGTTTGTTTTCTTCTTTATTGATTTGTATGAGTTTTTCTGTATTACAGATATAAACCCGTAGTCATTGTCTTTGTTTTGTGCTGTTATAACAGACTGGAGACTGGGTAATTTATTAAAAATAGAAATTTATTTCTCATAGTTCTGGGGATGGTAAAGTCTGATATCAAGGTGCCAGTATCTGGCATATCTTGCTGCTTCACAATGTGGTGGAAGGCATCACATGGCAGAAGGGCAAAGAGTGGGTGTGAGAGAGAGAGAGCAAGAGGGCTAAACCTGCTCCCTTCATAATGAACCCACTCCCAAGGTAACTGCATTAGTCCATTCAGGAGGGTGGGGCCTTCATGACCTAAGCATCTCTTATAGGTTCTGTCTCCCAATACCATCCTAGTGGAAATTAAATTTCAGCATGAGTTTTGGAGGGGTCAAACATTCAAACCATTGCAGTTGGCCAGGCGTGGTGGCTCATGCCTGTAATCCCAGCACTTTGGGAGGCCGAGGCGGGCGGATCACGAGGTCAGGAGATCGAGACCATCCTGGCTAACACAGTGAAACCCTGTCTCTACTAAAAATACAAAAAATTAGCCGGGCGTGGTAGCAGGCGCCTGTAGTCCCAGCTGCTCAGGAGGCTGAGGCAGGAGAATGGCGTGAACCCGGGAGGCGGAGCTTGCAGTGAGCTGAGATCATGCCGCTGCACTCCAGCCTGGGTGACAGAGCGAGACTCTGTATCAAAAAAAAAAACCAAAAAACAAAACCATTGCAGTTATATGTTTTGCAGGTATCTTAGACTCTTTGGCTTATTGTTTTACTTTTTGACATTCTTTCTTTTCTCCTTTTGTAAACTTTCAATTGAAGTATGACATGCTTACAGATTAATGGTGTCTTTTGGTGAACAGAAATTCTTAATTTTAGTGTGGCCTAGTTTAGAAATCCTTTCTTCTACATTTAGTGCTTACAGTGTCATATTTTAAAAGTCTTTCCCTTCCCCAAGTTCATGAAGATATTTTTCTGTATTTTTTAGAAGCTTTCCATTGTTGTTTTAGTGAATTTTTGTTACTGTTTTACCTCTCATGTTTGTTTATAACCCACCTAGAATTGATTTTTGTGTATAAAGTGTATCACTTTTAAGCAGTTTTATGGAAATTGGACTGGTGACTAATTTATTTTGTTTTTCAAGAGTTGTGAAAGGGTTGTTAGTGGAATTAATGCATGATTGTTTAACTGTATCACATTTGGACATTGTATTGTCCACTATGCCTGTGCCCTAATGGACATTTTAATTATTTAATGTGTGTATGATATGAAAATAATGTATGGGTAATGGAAATTTTTAATATTTAAAAATGTTGACATCACACACATTATTTACAAAGTCAGTAGTAAAGAAGGGCTTATGAGAAGCCCTAGCCCCTGGCCCCAGGTTTCCCATCACCATCCTAAGACAGGTACTTTTAACAGGCTCTGTTTCAGGTCATCACTCATATTTTAACATTCTGCTTATGTTTCTATTTCTTGATTGATTAAAATATCAAATTCTCTGGACCTTTACTGAAATTAAAATGCCTTTAATTAAATATCTTCAGTATGGATGTTCTTATTTTTAGGAGGGATTTTGTTAACAAAGAAAACATTAGGCAAATTCAATTTAGCAGACGTTATATGAGCAAAGAACAATTCATGAATCAAGCAGCACTCAGGACCAGAAGAGGTTCAGAGAGCTTGACTCAGTAGTGTGAGCAACCAGCTTTTATAGGCTGAACACAGAAGCAAATTAGATAATCTGATTGGCTACCACTAGGCACTTGTCTTACTTGGCATGGGGTGATGAATTGGCTGCCTGTGATTGGCTGAAATCTAGCTGTTCATGGTTAGCTGAAACTCTGCTGTTATAGTCCTAAGTTAGGTTTTGGTTTGTTTGCTTAATAAATTAGGTTGCCTTTGTTAAGTAGGAACTCAAAGATGGGAGATAGTCTCCAGCCAGTGGCCTTCTGCTTATTTCATTTAGCAGTTTGTTTATTAGGAATGGCAGTGTGTCCCTCAAATCAGGATCTGATGATGAAGGTTGTTGGCTAATGATTGAGATAGAGATGGGTTTTTTTGTTTGTTTTTGTTTGGATGCCTATCTGACTCTGAAGGAAAAGAAAAAAATTTCCCTAAGTTTCTTAGCAAATCAAAAGCCTTCTACACTGACTGATTTTAAGGATAGGCTGTAATTAGGTAATGAACATTTTGGTGTGTTAACTTGGAAAACCCCAACTTTATAGCCATAGCTAATATATTCACTGAAATATATTTCGGGTTTTGAAAATCAATTGGCCAAAAGCTTTAAAAACATTCTTTTTAAAAACAACATTTAAAAACTTTCTTGCAGAGTTTTCCTTTAAAAATAAAAAGTGCTACTTTTTAAGCCTTTGATCAAATGTTGATACTCCTCAACTTTGTGACTGAATCATTTAGGACAATATTTTAAATTTGCCTAAAATATCTGTAGGTTAAAGATCAAGAAAATTTCCTGATTAAAAGTGAAAGGATAACAGATATGTTGATAAAAATGCACAACGTCCATAGAATCCTGATACTTGCAGACATTCAGGTGTTTGTAGTTACTCTTCAGGGCCACATCCTATAAACAACTAGAAATCAGGATATACATGTAAGTCAGGTAAATTTCAGACAGCCTGTAATGTTTCAAGCAGGAAGATGTCTCCAGATCTGTCCTGGAGGCTTCCCTGTTCTTTATATTACCGGTCTTGCATTTTACAACTTCAGACTAAACAGAAACTGTATCAGAGGCCTTTGTCTTAGTGATTTAGGCCAGGGAGTGATTTACACTGACTAGTGGTCCTAGGAGCAGTAGGCTTTTAATTCTGCTTCCTGCACTCTAGGATTGACTATCATGCTGTTGAAGATGATGTGTGGCTGCAGGGTGCACCTCCTTGCCTCCTTTCCCTCTGAAACATGCAGGGTTGTTCGGACCCTCCATCCTCTTCCATGCACAAAGCAGTTAATGCAAATTCCGTGGTCCAAGACAATCCTTTGACAGTAACCATCAGTCATGCATTAAAACAGCAGTGTACAGATGGTACCTTCATTGTTTCTGACAGGGACAGTTATGGGCATTGGATTAAAGTAAAAACTGAAAAGGAATATTCATGACAGGAAATTTTCCCTTTCCGGGGGTGTTTTGCAACAGCGGGAAGCAGCTGGTCATTGATGTGTCAGCACAAGGCAGCTTCCTGGATTTCCACTGGCTTCCTGGATTTTTCCAGGTGTCACTTGGAAAGTGTACTGAATTAGTGCTTGAAACTTAGTGTTAGAGTGCTCGAAACTTAGTCTCAAATAGAGGAAATGAACACAGAGTAGGATACATAATGTGGCATTGTTTGGATTGGGAATGCTGTACTTATTTCAGAAATGCCACTCTTTTGGAGGAAAATTAGTTTCCTCCTTACTTTATTGTTAAATCTGGGAAATCTGGAAAGGGCTGTGGGGGCAGAACTAGAGTGGGCTGGTATTCAGGGCCTCCTAATAGGTGGCTTTGGTTGTGTGACTTTGGATGCATATATCACTGTGTATATTTGAAAAAAGCCCTAAAGTAACATCATCTATATGTATATAACTTTAAAGAACTTTAACATTTTTAAAGCACTTTCACTGATGTTTGTCTCTTTGATGATCATGTGAAATGGTGTTCTTAATGACTGTACCTGTCTAGGCAGAGAACATTTTGGGACCTGAACCCAGGTCTTCTTTGTATTTTTTTTTTCTTTTTGGGACAGAGTCTTACTCTGTTGCCCAGGCTGGAGTGCAGTGGCATAATCTTGGCTCACTGCAACCTCCGCCTCCTGGGTTCAAGCAATTCTCATGCCTCAGTCTCCCGAGTGGCTGAGACTACAGGTGCACACCACCATGCCCAGCACATTTTTGTATTATTAGTAGAGATAGGGTTTTACCGTGTTGGCCAGGCTGGTCTCGAACTCCTGACGTCAGGTGATGTGCCCGCCTTGGCCTTCTGAAGTGCTGTATTTTTTTGTTTTCAGGATATTTCTGTTTATTTGCTCATTAAATGAATGGATTATGCAGTAGCCAAGATAATTGAAATAGGTGACCAGTGAGATTTTATTTTCAGTTTGAACTATTGATTTTTTTGGCATTTGATATGTTTTACTCCATTGCAGTTATTCTTTCTGATGCTTGAACTGTCAGATTGGCTCCTGCATTGTTTTGCTTTGGTCACTGTGATCCTTAATCATTTCTTCTATTTCCTGGCAGAAAATAAAATAAGGTGTCCTGGGCTCACTGTGTGTACCTCCCACCACAGACTGGAATCTGCCTTTGCTAAGGAGCATTACAGTGGGAAATTAAATTTAGAAGCCACAGACTGACAGGAGGTATTGGAAGAAATTCCAACTTGAGTCTAACAGATATCTCAGAAAGAGACAACTGAGCGAATGGGAAGTACAGATATAGAGAAATGATTTTTTTTTGTTTTGTTTGTTTTCTAAAAGCTTCTAGATTTGAGGGAAAACACAAACACATACTTAGAAGCAGCAGACCCACTTCATCCTTCAATTCCAGTACATCAGGTGTAAGGAAAAAAAGGCTATTTAGGACATTACAGAGGGCTATAACGCCCAAGCTCCGATGAGAAACTGATTAGTATCCTAAGATCTCTGAAACGCCAAGTAGAAAAGCAAAAAAAAAAAAAAAAAAAAAAAAAAAAAGTGTTTTCATGTATGCAAGGATTCAAAGTTTACCACCCACAAATTATCTGAAAGAATTGCTGGAATAATGTAATCCAGTTATGCAAAACCAAAATCAAACTCTAAGCAGAATAAGTGAGATATAATAAATCCAAGCAGTTAGAGTCCAGAAAATTTGGCATTAAGCCTAATTGTCAGTTGTCAAACATCCCATGAAACATCAACAGCAATCTATAACTGAAACTTCAGAATTCACTCTACAAACGGTCCTGGAGGAGTGAGGGTAGTGTATTTCAGAGGTAGAAAAAGCAGAGAAGAAATGCATTCTAAGATACTTTTCTATATCTATATCATCTATTTATATGTATACCTGTATATACATACCTGTGTGTGTGTGTGCACGCGCACACACGCACGCATATGGACTGATTTATGAAGGCATATATAGAAAAAATAAATTATGCATTTTCACATAACTTTCACATAAACTTGTAAATAACCACTGTAAGAATAGAAATAGGATATAAAGTTTTCAAACCTTGAAGGGCAATAATGGAACAAAGAAAACTGAACAATCCAATAAAACTAAGAAATGCTTTAAGAAAACACAAGAAAAGTCTGGTAAACAGGCAACATATTATGACAACAGAAACCCAATCTTATCCGTAATCACCATGTTGTGAATTGGACATTTTCAGTTGAAAATGTTCCAGCTATGGCCACTTTCAAGAGATAGACTTAAATCACAAATTCTCAGACAAAAATAAGTAAATAGGCAGATAGGCAAATGGAGATGGGGAAAAGCTGCAGCAAGCAGATATTAACAGTGGTTACAGAACTGTATCTTGCTGTAATGGGGGCTAATTGAGGAAAACCATCTGCGGCGGGAGGGCGTGTCTTCACTGAGGTGCGATGGCATTGTTGGCTGCTGAAGCAGGCATCAGAGTCCGAGAGGAGGACAGAGCACGTAGCCACAGGATGAGCACACCCACCAAGGGCTGATATGCAGAGCTGCCTACCCGAGGAGCATTGTGGGCCAGGAGAGCTTTGGATTCATCACAAGAGCAAGAGATGCATGGCAGCCCTGTTTCACAATAAGCATGTTATCTCACTCAGTCCTTGTGGCAAGCCCATTGGATGTACTGTCATTCTCCCGATGTTGTTGATTGGATACCAATGCTGGCCAGATTCATGGTGCTTGTAGGAGTGGAACCACCATGCTCAGCGGGACTAGACAGCTGCCAAACAGTGGAGGCTCAGGAAACCCCTTCACTTAAGTGCCAGCCTCACCCAGCCCGGACCTGGGAGGAAGCCAGGTAGTGGCAACAGAAGAGGAGGAAGGAAAGTCATCCAGGCACGTTTCCTGCGTGGAAAGAACAGCCTAAGATTGCTCAAGGTCTGGTTCAAATGGAGGTGTCCATAAAGAGACTTCCAGATCCCTTCCCATCAGAATTAACCTTTTGCACTCCCACAATACCGAAATACTTTACTTATTTATATGTGGCTATTAGGACAATTCAGAGAGAGACAAAATGTTTGAATTCACAAGAACAACATTTAAAAATGAGATAAGGCCAGGTACGGTGGCTCACGTCTGCAATTCCAGCCCTTTGGGAGGCCGAGGGGGGTGAATCACTTGAGGTAAGGAATTTGAGACCAGCCTGGCCAACATGATGAAACCCCATCTCTACTAAAAATATAGAGATTAGCCGGGCGTGGTGGCAGGTGCCTGTAGTCCCAGCTACTGGGGATGCTGAGGCAGGAGAATTGCTTGAACCCGGGAGGCGGAGGTTGCAGTGAGCTGAGATTGCATCACTGCCCTTCAGCCTGGGTGACAGAGTGAGACTTCATCTAAAAAACAACAGCAACAACAAAAAACACCAAAAAAACAACAAAACAAAACAAATAAGATGAGACCCTCAGTAATTATGTGAGCTTGGGAAAGCTACCACACCTCTTACATTCTGTTCTTTAAAGTAATAATAATTCCTGTGATATTGTCACAATACTCATGATTGGTGATACTTTTTAAAATTAACATTTTGGTAATATAACTCTTGCCCATAGTTTAAAAGCTGAGATAATTCTGTGAGGATTATTGTTCTCTGCTTCCATTTACATTTCTCATAGACAACCAATTCTAACTCTTTTAGCTGTTTCTTTGAGATTTACGTGCATATCTTGAAATAAAATGCTTATATTACCACTTTTTGCTTTAGTTCTGTTGAACAATGGAGAACCTCACAATACTGAAGGTGAGGACTTAGTTCTCTGTTCACTCTCTACCTCCACTACCACGCATAATTAACACACTTCCCTTCATTTATCACATTTACCTAATGAAATTACATAATCATTTTTGTTTAAATTAATATATAATGTTTATATTAAAATCTGTAAACTCATGATTCACAGCTGAGAGCCATGCAATAGGCTATATTCCTTTTCCTTAGAGTTAATACTATTATCTTTGGCCGGTTGTTGAATTTTTCATGTAATGATCACTATTCTATCCCCAAACTCTCCAGTAGACCTGTAATTTTCTCTCCCCATGTTCAGACACGTGGATCTGTGTCTTCCATGTTGTTAGAGACATCTTTTGAAGCATTTTATCCTCCTGCTTGAATGTAAATTGATTGTTTCCTAGCTCTGTTCTGCAGCTGTCAGACTGATATTTTCTTTTATGATTGCCTTTTGTCAACAGCTTTCTGACATCAACTGAGTATTCTATGACCCAGTTCGATTCAGACACTACCTTGCACTTCTGCCTGGCCATCTACACATTTGGGGCTTCCTACAACTTCCTCACATTTGTTAATTTGCTATAACAACTCCCAGAACTTGGTGCTAAATAGTCATTTGATGATGAGGATGCGTTCTGAGAAATGCATTATTAGGCGATTTCGTTCTTGTACAAACATCAGAGTCTACTTACACAGACCTAGGTGTTATAGCATACTACACACTTAGGCTATATGGTAGAGCCTATTGTTCCTAGGCTATAAACCTGTACAGCATGGTGCTTTACTGAATAGTGTAGGCAATTGTAATGCAATTGTAAGTATTTGTGTATCTAAACATAGAAAAGGTGTAGTAAAAATACAGAATAAAAGATAAAAGAATGATATACATATACAGGGTAGTTACCGTGAGTGCAGCTTGCAGGACTGGAAGTTGCTCTGGTGAGTCAGTGAGTGAGTAGTGAGTAAATGTGACGGCCTGGGACATTACTGTGTGCTACTGTAGACTTCGTAAACACTGTACACTTAGACTACACTAAATTAAAAAAAAAAAGTAATTGCACTGTGATGTTATGACAGCTATGACATCACTAGGCAATAGGAATTTTTTAGCCATTATAATCCTATGGGACCACTTTCAGATACGCTGTCCATAGTTCCCTGAAATGTCATTATGTGACACATAATTGTCCTTGTGATTATTGTTTTATTATAAAAATGCAAATGAGCTTCCAGGTGAAAAGTTACATAGGACAAAGTCTAGGAAGTCCTAAGCACAGGGTCTTCTGTCTCTGTGGAGACCAGCAGTGCCATCCTCTTCATACATTGATGTGTTCACCAACCAGGTAGTTTCCCCAAGCCTTGCCGTCTGGAGTTATTGATGGAGTTTCATTTTGTATGCATGATTGATTAAACTTTTGACCACATGATTGAGCTAAATTTTCAGCATCCCTCCCCTTCTTGGAGGTTAAGCCTCAAGTTCCAGTTCTCCAATCACTTGGTTGGTTTCTCTGGCAACCAGCCTCCATCCTGAAACCACTTGAGGGACCTCTTCCATGAGCCACTTCATTAGCATAACAAGGAATTTCTGATTTCTGTCACTAAGAGTTTTTGAAGCTCTATGTCAGGAACCATGGACAAAGACCAAATAGCTACTTTGTATTATTTCAATAGCTATCAACTAGAGAATTTCCCTTGCCATTCTCCATTTGTGGATCCAGATCCTCTTTCCTGGTTTATCTTCTCAGTTGATGGATGGTGTCCTTTATTACAGTTTGGGAAAGGGAGCATAGCAGGATTTTGAAGACCTTATTTTTACCCTTACACTTGATGAATAGTGTGGCTAGGAATAAGTTGAATACTTTTTCTTAGAATTTTGTTGTTTCTTTTCTTATTCCAATGTTCCAGTTCCCAATAGCTTTGTTTTGCTCTCTGAATGTTTCTTGTTGGAAGTATCTGATTTTTGTTAGTATTTTTAAAGCAATGCCGTTGCTCTGTTATAGTACTGAAGTTGTCCTCGTCTTCCTCCTTCTTCTTCTTTCTTCCTCCCCGTGCCCCTTTCCCTTCCCCTTCTTCTTTCTTTCTTCTGCTTCTGCTGCTGCTTCATTTTCTTCCTGCTCCTTGATCCTTCTACTTCTTGCTTTTGCTTTTTATGGAATTTTTCTTCTACTTCCTGTATTGTCTGCATCCTCAAAGTCCCTTATCTGTTGTTTATTTTGGTCTCTATTTGTCATATTAGAGCCTTTCTCATGATGATAGGTGATCTTTGGTAGAAGCTGTGTGTGTGTAGTGTGTGTGTGTGTGTGTGTGTATGTGTGTGTGTGGTGTGTGCAGGCAGGGGGTTCCCATATGTCTGTATGGTAGTGGTGGTGATGTTGGAGAAGTGGGCTTCATCATAGCATGATTTGGATGGGAACGTATTTTGGGGACCTTAATATGATTAGGTCTTTTCTCTTCATTGGATCACATTTCCCAGAGAAAATTTTTCTAGTATGCTACCTGGGCAGTATGTGCCTGGCAGTCAGAGCTCTGGAAACCAAAACAAGGGAGGGGCTGGGGGTCATGCATTCTTAACCCACCTCTGTTGTCAGTATGCATCTGTGCTCTTGCTTTACCTATGCTCATCATACAGAGTCCTCCTCATATTTCCTCTTCTGAGAATAAAATGCTAATATTATGCCATGGCCAAGAGAGGCAGTTGCCACTTGTGCATTGTGGTTCTTAAAATGAATATGCAACAGAGCCTATGAAGAACTTTTAAAATATGAGTGTTGAGGTATGTATGTGAAAATAGCAGAATAATGGCCTCAAAAATTATTTCCTCCATAAAATCAGAAAGAAGAAGGAAACTGCCAACATTTGCCAAAAGTAAGTTTTTCAAAACTTTAGAAATAAACTAAGAGGAGACCAAAAGCTAGCAGCAATCTGGGGAGCATTTATTTTTTATAAAAATAGGCCGAATCTTGGTAAGAACAGTGACTTTTGTGACATTTTAACCTGCCCTATTTCCTTCTCCCATCTCCAGCTCCCTGGTAGCCTTGAATCTGCAATTCAGGCTGCAATCATGATGAAACCATCAGCCTTTCTGTCACCAAAGTGGAGAGAACAGAGTTAAAGCTCCTCAGAGTCTCACTGTTGGAGAATTGTCAGTATTTGGTCTGTCTGGTGGTTCAGTAGAAGACCCCACTTGCAAGACTATTTTTACTTGACCAAATGCAGAGCTTTCCCAGTCTAGAAAGCCTTTTCCCTGGGTTGTTGGGTTGAAAATTTAGAAGTAATTGCTTAACCTTGGGGCTGCCTGAGGCAGTGGATATCAACTGAGGAAGATAATAAACTATAAAAAGATGAAAAGGAAAGGCTGGGGAATTCGATGTCCACAAGTTCTTTGAAAAGCTCCAAAAAACACATGTAAGGCTGTGCACATGCTCAGGAAAAATCTGAGAAGGCCTTAGACTCTCACCTCTGACTGACCTTGAGACTGTGCACAGGCAGGAAGTGAAGGCTAAAGCAGGGCTGTCAGCTGCCTGGCTGTGTGCGGAAGGTGTGCCCCAGCACACAACACAGCCCACTGCAAACACTGGGGGCAGAGCTGTCAGCTGCCTGGCTGTGTGTGGAAGGTGTGTCACAGCACACAGACATAGCCCACTGCAAACACTGGGGACAGAGCTGTCAGTTGCCTGGCTGTGTGTGGAAGGTGTGCCCCAGCACACAACACAGCCCACTGCGAACACTGGGGGCAGAGCTGTCAGCTGCCTGGCTGTGTGTGGAAGGTGTGCCCCGGCACACAACACAGCCCACTGCAAACACTGGGGACAGAGCTGTCAGCTGCCTGGCTGTGCCGAAGATGTGCTCCAGCACACAGATGCAGCCCACTGCCAACACTGGGGATTCATGGATGCCAAGCATTGAAGGAAATCTCAGTTTCCTAAATAGCTGGCAACTCATATAACAAAGGAAAGACTTTAGTGAGTATACACAACAAAAGATACAGACTTTACAGAATTAGTTGAGAAAAGTTACTGAATAAACAAATAGCAGCAACAACAAACCTAGGGTTGGAGGATATACTTTCCAGATTTTTCACATTATAGTATTTTTTTTTTTTTTGAGATGGAGTCTCACTCTGTCGCCCAGGCTGGAGTGCGGTGGCGCGATGTCCACTCACTGCAACCTCCACCTCCTGGGTTCAAGCCATTCTTCTGCCTCAGCCTCCCAAGTAGCTGGGATTACAGGCATGTGCCACCACGCCCAGCTAATTTTTGTATTTTTAGTAGAGACAGGGTTTCACCATGTTGGCCAGGATGGTCTCGATCTCTTGACCTCATGATATGCCTGCCTCGGCCTCCCAAAGTACTGGGATTACAGGCATGAGCCACCATGCCCAGCCACATTGTAGTATTTAAAATGTCCAATTTTCAAAAAATATATGTATGAGACATGCAGTGAAAATTTAAAAAGCAGATGGCATATACAGAGGGAAAAACAAAACAGAGTCAATAGGAATTGTCCTAAGAAAGCCCAGATGTTGAGTTTACTAGCAAAACACTTTAAACCAGTTATTTTATATATGTTCAATGCAGTAAACACTGTCTAAAACACTAAAGGAAAGTATAAGAATATCTCACCAAATAAATAATGCCAGTAAAGATGCATAGACATAAAAAATTTGATTCTGGAGTTAAAAATTCCAATAATGAAAATGAAATATTAACTAATGAGTTTCAATAAAAGATTCGAACAGGTGGAAGAAAGAAGGAACTTAAAGACGGATCAACTGAGTTTATCCCATCTGAATAACTGAGAAAAAAAATGGGGAAAAATGAACTAAGCATCAGAAACCTGTGAGAAAACAATCATAGCAACATACGCAAAAGAGTTATCCTAGAAGGAAAGAGGAAAGAAAGGGGCAGAAAGAATACTTGAAGCCAAAGGGAGTAAAAGCTTCCCAAATTGGGTGAAAAACATTGATGTACACATCCGTAAAGCTTAACAAACTACAGGAAGGATAAAACCAAAGATCCACACCTAGATACATCATAATCAAACTGTTGAAAGACAAAGAGGGAATCTTGAAAGCAGCAGGAGAGAACCAACTCATCACATGCAAAGTAGCCTTAATCAGATGAACAGCTGATTTCTCAACAGAAACCATGGAAGATAGAAAGCAGTGGAAAAGGATATTTTCAAAGTGCTGGAAGAAAAGACTTTAAGAATTCTATACCCAGTAAAAATATCTTTCAAAATGAAGGAGCAATTAATGCATTTTCCAATTTTAGAGAAGCTGAGACAATCCACTGCTGGAAAATTTTCCCTGCAAGAAAATACTGAAGAGTACTTTAGGTGAAATGAAAGGAGGGTAATTGGGATCTATAAAGAGATAAAGAATATCAGTAAGTAACTACCTAGGTAAACATAAAAGACACTGTAAATATATTTTGTGTTCATAACTCTTTTTTTCTCCTCTCTGATTTGAGATGCAACTGCATAAAGCAATAATTATAAGTATGTGTTGATATGCATACAGTGTATATAAATGTAATTTTTAATGCAACAACAACACAGAGGAGGAGAAAGCAGAGTTATACAGGGGGAAAGTTTTTGTACACTATTGCTTTAAGTTAGTATCAATCCAGACAAGATTGTTAGAAGTCAAGATGTTAATTGTAATTCCCGGGAAAAACAGCTTTACAAGAAGTAAGTGAAGTGACAAGGAAATGAAAATGGTACAGTGGAGAACATCTGCTTAACAAATTAGAAGGCAGTAGGGAAGGATTGGGGGAAGCACACAAGGCATGTAGAAAATCATAAAAAGCACCTAAGACATATAGAAAATAGCAAACTGGGCACAGTGGTTCACACCTGTATTTTAAGCCCTTTGGGAGGCTGAGACAGGAGGATTGCTTGAGGCCTATCGTTGGAGGCTAGCCTGGGTTACAGAGTGAGGCCCTATCTCTACAAAAAAAAGAAAAATTAGGTAGGCATGGTGACTCACACCTGTAGTCCTAGCTACTCAGGAGGTTGAGGTGGGAGGATTGCTTGAGTGCATGAGTTTGAGGCTACAGTGAACTGTGATTACACTGCACTCTAGCCTGGGTAACAGAGTGAGACCCTGAGGAAGGAAGGAGCAACCTGTTAGCTGTAAATTCTACTTTATCAGATTGCACATGAAAGTAGGTGGATTAGACACTCCAATGAAAATACAGAGATTGACAGAATAAATTAATAATTTGGCTGTATATGCAAGAGACACATTTTAGATTCAAAGGCACAAATAGGTTGAAAATAAATAGATGCAAAAAGATAATACCATGCAAACAGTAGTGAAGCTAGAGCTACAGTGGCTATACCAATATCAGACAAAATAGACTTCAAAGCATTACTACATCTCTACATGGTGGTGGGCGCCTGTAATCCCAGCTATTCGGGAGGCTGAGGCAGGAGAATTGCTTGAACCCAGGAGGCAGAGGTTGCAGTGAGCCGAGATCGCACCACTGCACTCCAGCCTGGGTGGCAGAGCAAGACTCCATCTCAGGGAAAAAAAAAAAGAAAAAAGTGTTACTACAGACTAAAAAGAGCATTTCATTGTAATAAAAAGTAAACTGGTCAGGAATATATCACAATTATAAATACATATGACGTATCAATGGGGCCCTCAAATACATGAAGCAAAAAGAGACAGAATTAAAGGGGAGTAATAGACAATTCAACAAAAATAGTTGAAGACTTCGGTACCCCTCTTTCAATAATGATAGAAACACTAGACAGTTAAAAAATAAATGGAAGACTTGAATGGCTTTCGTCTGCTAGCTAATGGACACCTTTTTTGTGATACCCTTGTTTCTTGTGTATAATTTTAAAACAACTACATAAAGCAATAATTAAAATCTGACTGACATTAGACTTAAAAATAGAGTTAATAACCATTAGGCTTAAATTAGACCTAATAGACACATCTATAGGACACTCCACAGAAAATGAAAAGACAACTCACAGAATGTGAGATAATATATGAAATAATATATTTCCTAAGGGTCAAGTATCCAGCATATGTTAAAGAAACTCTTACAACTCAACAAAAATACAACCTAATTTAAGAAAGATCAAAGGATATTTATCCAATGAAATACTAAATGAGTAGACATTTATTCAGTGCAATAGTCAAAGCCACTGAGGCTGGGCCTGATGGCCGAAACCTGTAGTCCCAGCATTTTGGGAGGCTGAGGCAGGAGGATCACTTGAGGCCAGGAGTTGGAGACCAGCCTGGGCAACCCATCAAGACCCAATTGCTACAAAAAAATTTAAAAATTAGCTGGGTGCAGTAGTGAATGGCTGTAGTCCCAACTCCTCAGGAGGCTGAGGCAGGAGGATCACTTGAGCACAGGAGGTCGAGGCTGCAGTGAGCTATGATTATACCACTGCACTCCAGCCTGGGTGATGGACCAAAACCCCATCTCAGAAAACAAAAACAAAAAACTAAGAAAACTCCACTGAATTCTGTACTTTAAAAAGATAATTTTATCATACATTAATTATGGCTCATTTTTTAAGTATAAATGCTTGTGTCCAAACCTTCTTATATCTTGAATTGTTCAGTGTGAAAAGAGATCTAGGTTGCTTTTTTTTTAAAACAAAGCTTCCTGAATTGTCTGTTGTGAATATTGTGTTAGCAAACATAGATTTTGAAAATCAGCGAAACACCAGAACTTGAAACGCACTCTGGGCACTTAACTTGAAAGTACTACATATGCTATTTTTATAATTATTTTTTATCTGATTTTCCCCCCGCCCACTAGATTTATCTCAATTGATGAAGCATTTATTGTGGCTTCTTAATAGATGTCTATTTAGAAGAATTATAAACCTTTTTAAAAAATAAGCCAGCTTTATTGAAGCTGTAATTGACATACAAAAACTATATAGTTTAAGTATACAGGTTGATAGGTTGAGACAAGTTTGTACACTCATGAAACCATTCCGACAATATAAAGAACATTTCCATCATTTGTAATAGGCTGCGTTTTGTTTTGTTTTGTTTTTTGCCCCTCTGCAGTTCCTCCCTTACACCTCAGCTTCCTCTAACCTCCAGGCAACCACTAATCTGATTTGTCACTATGGATTATTTTGCTCACTATTTAATTGGATTTTTTAAATGTTGAATTTTGAGAGTTCTTTATATATTCCAGAGATAAAAGTACTTTGTCAGATATGTGGACTCTAAATGTAAGAGTGGTTTCCAATACTCTTAACAAGGTATTTTCCAGCAAAAAAAAAGTTTTTAATTTTCATACAGTCTAATTTTATTTTTCTTTTACAGCTCATGTTTTTAGTGTCATGTCCAAGAACATTTCACTAAGCCCAGGACCCTGAAGATTTTTTCCTATGTTTTCTTAAAAAGGTTTATAGTTTAACATTTACATTTAAGTCTGCAATCTATTTTGAGTTTTTTTTGTGTGTGTGAACATGTGAGGTTTAGTTCCTTTTTTTTTTTTTTTTTTTTTTTTTTTTTTTTGAGACGGAGTCTTGCTCTGTCGCCCAGGCTGGAGTGCAGTGGCACGATCTTGGCTCACTGCAAACTCTGCCTCGCGGATTCACGCCATTCTCCTGCCTCAGCCTCCCGAGTAGCTGGGACTACAGGCACCCACTACCATGCCCAGCTAATTTTGTTGTATTTTTAGTAGAGATAGGGTTTCACCGTGTTAGCCAGGATGGTCTTGATCTCCTGACTTCATGATCCGCCCATCTCAGCCTCCCAAAGTGCTGGGATTACAGGCATGAGCCACCGTGCCTGGCCTAGTTCCTTTTTTTATATCGATGTCCAATTGCTGCAGCCCCATTTGTTGAAAAGATTGCCCTTTATTATCCATTGAATTGCTTTTGCACATCTGTCATAATTATTAGGCTCCACTTCAGGAGGTCTATTTCTAGAGTCTTTATTCTGTTTCATTTATCTATGTATTAATCCCTCAACTAATACCACACAGCCTAGATCACTGTAAATCTTCAAATCTGGTGGGATGATTGCTTATATTCCTTCTCTTTCAAAGTTGTTTCAGCTACTCTTTTCCTTTTGTCTTTCCATATACATTTTAGAACTATCGTATGTATATCAACAAATATATTACAGGGATTTTGATATGATTACATTAAACCTCGATACCAATTTGAGGAATGTTAGCATATTTATTATATTATTTCAGTTTGTGAATATGTCTGTTTATTTCTTCTTTGATTCCTGTCATTGGTGTTTGTAATTTTCAATATACAAGTCAAGTACACACTTCGTTAGATTTACACCTAAGCCATTTGATATGGATTGTCCCCTCCAGATCTCATGTTGAAATGTGATCCCCAGTATTGGAGGTGGGGCCTGGTGGGAGGTGTTTGGATGATTGGAGCAGATCCCTCATGAATGGCTTGCTACCCTCCCCAGTATAATGAGTTTATACAAGAGCTGGTTGTTCAAAAGAGCCTGGCACCTCCTCCTCTCTCTCTTGCTCCCTCTTTCACCACGTGACACACCTGCTCCCCTTCACCTTCCACCATGATTATAAGCTTCCTGAGGCTTCACCAGAAACAGATGCTGGCACTATGCTTCTCGTACAGCCTGCAGAACTGTGAGCCAAATAAGCCTCTTTTTTTTTTTTCTCAATAAGTCAGTCTCAGGTATTCCTTTATAGCAGCACAAAATGGACTAACAGTAAATTGGTACTGAGGAGTGGGGTGTTGCTATAAAAGATACTTGAAAATGTGGAATTAATTTTGGAACTGGGTATGGGCAGAGGTTGGAAGAGTTTGGAGGACTTAGAAGACAGGAAGATTAGGGAAAGTTTGGAACTTCTTAGAGACTGGTTAAATGGTTGTGACCAGAATGCTGATGGCAATATGGACAGTGAAAACCAGGCTGATGAAGTCTCAGATAGAAATGAGGAATTTATTAAAAACGAGTAAGGGCACTCCTGTTACACCCTAGCAGATAACTAGGCTGCATTGTATTCATGTTCTAGGGATTTATGGAAAGTTGAACTTAAGAGTGATAACCTAGGGCATCTGGCAAAGGACATTTCTAAGCAGCAAAGCATTTAAGAGGTGACATGGCTGCTTCTAACAGCCTACTGTCAGATGCAGGAGCGAAGAAATGACTCAGAGTTTGAAGTTACATTTAAAAGGGGAGCAGAGTGTAAAAGTTAGAAAATTTGCAGCCTGGCTGTGTGAAAGAAAAAGCATTTTCAGGAGAGGACAATAAGCAGATTGTGTCAGGAGAGGACTACAAGCACTAGTGGAGCAACTTCTCCCAAAAGAGATTTGCATGACTAAAAGGGAGGCAAGCACTAATAGCCAAGACAATGGGGAAAAGGCCTTGAAGGGGTCTCAGAAATCTTTGGGACAGAAGTTCCCATCACAGGTCCAGAGGCCTGGGAGGAAAGACTGGTTTCTGAGGCCAGAGCTGAGGCACTGCTGCCCTGCACAGCCTTAGGACACTGCATCCGTGATCCTGGAAGCTCTGGCTCCAGTCATGGCACAGAGGGCTCCAGGTACAGCTTGAGACACTGCTTCAGAGAACATAAGCCGTAAGCTTTGGTGGTACCATGTGGTACTAAGTCTGCAGGTGCACAGAATGCAAAATTGAAGGAAGCTTGGCAGCTTTTACCTAGCTTTCAGAGGATGTATGGAAAACACTGGGTGCCCAGGTGGAAGCCTATTGCAGGGGTGGAGCTACCATGGAGGGCGTCTAATAGGGTAGTGCTGAGGGGAAAGATGGGGTTGGAGCCCTCACATGGAGTCCCCACCAGGTCACTGCCTACTGGAGCTGTAGGAAGGGGGCAACCATCCGCCAGACCCATGAATGGTAGAGCCACTGTCAGCTTGCACCCTGAGCCCAGCAAAGCTGCAGGCAGTCAACTCCAACTTGTGTGAGCAGCCACAGAGAGGGCACACTCTCCAAAGCCACAGGGTCAGAGCTTTCCAAGGCCTTGGGAGCTCACCTCTCACAACAGTGTACCCAGGATGCGGGACATGGAGTCAAAGGAGGTTATATTGGAGCTTGAAGGTTTAATGTTGGCCCTGCTGGGTTTCAGACTTGTGTGTGGCCTATTGCCCCTTTCTTTTGGCTGATTTCTCCCTTTAGGAATGGGAATGTTTACCAAATGCCTGTACCACCATTGTTTCTTGAAAGCAAATAACTTGTTTGTGATCTAACAGGCTCATAGGTCAAAGAAATTTGCCTTGAGCCTTAGATGAAACTTTGGACTTTTGATTGAGTTAATGCTGGAATAAGTTAAGACATTTGGGGACTATTTGGAAGGGATGATTATATTTTGTAATAGGAGAAGGACAAGAGATTTAGGGGACCAAGTGCAGAATGATATGGTTTGGGTATTTGTTCCTTCTAAATCTCATGTTGAAATGTGATCCTCAATATTGGAGGCAGGGGCTGGTGGAAGGTGTTTGGGTCGTGGGGATGGATCCCTCATGAATGGCTTGCTGCTCTCCCCACTGTAATAAGTTCATGCAAGAACTGGGTGTTTAAAAGAGGCTAGCACCACTTGCCCTCTATCTTGCTCCCTCTCTTGCCATATGACACACCTGCTCCCCTTTTGCCTTCCACAATGATTTTAAGCTTCCTGAGGCTTCACCAGAAGCAGATGCTGGCACCATGCTTCTTGGGCAACCTGCAGAACCAGAAACCAAATAAATCTCTTTCCTTTATAAATTACCCAGTCTCAGGTATTCCTTTTTACCAATGCAAAAGGGACTAATACATTGGTCTTCCTTCATTGTTTTCCTTCTTCCTGTTCCCATTTTCTCCCTTCCTTCATTGTCCTCCTTCTTCCTGTTCCCATTTTCTCCCTTCCTTCTTTCCTTCCTTCTTATTGTTAAAAATTGTAAATGTTAATGTATATTTAATTTTGATGTCCATATGCTCATTGCTGGTGTATATAAATCAAGTTGATTTTTGGTATGTTAATTTTGTATCCTGCAGCTTTGCTAAACTCACTTATTCTGTTTTTGTTTTGTTTTTGTGGATTCTTTGGGATTTTCTATGCAGACAATTATGTCTTCTGCAAACAGCCAGTGTTATTTCTTTCCTTTCCATCTGTATGTGTTTCATTGCCTTTTCTTGAACTTACTGCACTGGCTAAAACTTCTAACAGTATAACATAACATAACATAGTGTTAGAAGTTTTAGCCAGTGCAATAAGTTCAAGAAAATAGAATAAAAGTAGAGAGAGCAAACGTCTTTGCCTTGTTTCCTATTTTAAGAAGAAATTATTGATTATTTTACTACTAAATATAACTGTAGCTATAACTGTTTTGTAAATGCTGTTTATCAAGTTGAGGAAGTTTGCCTTTATTCCGACTTTTTTGAGTTTTATAATGAATAGGTCTTGAATTTCGTCAGATGGTTTTTTCTGCGGCTCTTGATATGAATCACATTATTAATATTATTATTATTATTATTATTATTATTTTTGAGACAGAGTCTCCCTCTTGTTGCCCAGGCTGGAGTGCAGTGGCATGATCTCGGCTCACTGCAACCTCCGCCTCCTGGGTTCAAGTGATTCTCAGGCTCCCGAGTAGTTGGGATTACAGGCATCCGCCACCACGCCCAGCTAATTTTTTGTAGTTTCATTAGAGATGAGGTTTCACCATGTCGGCCAGCCTAGTCTTGAACTCCTGACCTCAGGTGATCCACCCACCTCGGCCTCCCAAAGTGCTAGGATTACAGGCATGTGCCACCGCGGCTGGCCAGAATCACATTATTTGATATGAATTTTTTTGTGTAGTTTTTCTTCTTTTGCCTTTTCTATTTAAGTTTTATATTGATTGATTTTCAAATATTAAACCAGCCTTAAATCCCTGGAATAAACCCTGGTTTGGTCATGGAACATAATTTTTTTGTATATATTGCTGAATTCAATGTGCTAACACTTATTATGGATTTTTGTGTCTATGAGAGATATTCATCTATATTTTCTTTTTTATACTTTCTTTGTTTCTGTAAGCAGGGTAATACTGGCTTAATAAATGAATTGAGAAGTGTTTCCTCTTTCAAATTGTGGAAGCAATGGTGTAGAATTGGTGTTAAAATTATTCTTTAAACATTTGATACAGTGAAATCGTCTGGGCTTAGAGACTTTATTTTTAAGAGTTTTAAAATTACAATTTCAGCATCTTTAATGTTATAGGACTTTTAAAATTATTTATTTTGTATTAGGTGAGTTGTAATCATTTGTCTTTTTTGAGGGATTTATTCATTTCGTCTAAATCGTCCAATTTATGAGTGTAAAATTCTTCATAGTACTTTCTTATTATCCTTTGATATCTGCAGGATCTGCATTCATATCCTCTATTTTAGTCCTCATGCTGCTTATTTGAATCTTCTCTCTTTTTTCTTTATTAGTCTCGCTAAAGGTTTTTCAATGTTACTGTTCTTTTTAGAGAACCAGCTCTTTGTATCATTGATTTTCTCTATTGCTTGCTTTCAATGTCATTGATTTCTGCTCTTACCTCTATTTTTTCCTTCATCCTTCTTGCTCTCTGGGAAATTTTTTTTTCTCTTTTTGTAGGTTCTTCAGATAGGAGCTTATATTATTTTTTGAGTCTTTTCCTTTTTTCTCATATATGCATTTATTATTGTAAATTTCCTTCAGCATTGCTTGCTTTCTATCTCACAAATTTTAATATGTTGTATTTTCATATTCAAAATATATTTTTAAAAATTATCTTGATTCTTTCTTTTTGACCTACAGATTACTTAGAATGTGTGTTTTTTCAATATTTTAGCCTTTGGATATTTTCCTATTATTCTTCCATTGTTAATTTGATTCCAAATTATACTTTGTGTTATTTCAGTTATTCTACATTTTTGAGTTTTATGGTCCAGAGTATGGCACATTTTGGTATGTACTCCATGGCCACGTGAAAAGAGTATTTTCTGCTTTTGTTCATTGGGGTGTTGTGTAAATTTTAGTTATATCTTGTTGGTTGATATTGTTAAGTTTGTCTGTATCCTTGCTGATTTTCTGTCTCTTTCTCTTTTAAATTGTGGAGAGACAAAGTATAAACATCTCCAGCTATAATTGTGGATGCTTCTGTTTCTCCTTTCAATTTTGTAAGTTTTGTCATCTATGTGTTTTGAAGTTTGATGACACACAATTAAGATTGCTGTGTTTTCTTGGCAGATTGGCCTGTTTATCGTCAGATATTGTCTCTCCCTATCTATGGTAATTTTCTTTGCTCTGAATGCTTTATTTGATATTATATCAGGCCACAACAGATTTATTTAGATTAAGGTTTACATGCTGTATTTTGTTCTATTGTTTTATTTTCAAATCGTGTGTATTGTTTTATTTGATATAAGTTTCTTGTAGACAGCTTATAGTTTGGTCATGCTTTTTTGTTGCTGTTTTTAGTAGATTTTATTTTTAGAGCAGTTTTAGGTTTACAACAAAATTGAACAAAAGTACAAAGATTTCCCACATATCCTGTGTCACCCCACATGCATAATCTCTCTCATTATTAACATCCCTGACCAGAGTGGTACATTGTTACGATTGACAAACCTACACTGACACATCATTGTCACCCAAAATTCATAGTTTACATTAGTGTTTGTTCTTGGTGTTGTACATTCTGTAGGTTAGGGTAAATGTATAATGACCTGTATCTACCATTATAATATCATTCAGAATAGTTTCACTGCCCCCCAAGTCTTCTCTGCTCCACCTAGTCATCCCTTGCTCCACCCAACTCTTGAAAACCCTTGGTCTTTTTATAGTATCTATAATTTTACCTTTTCCAGAATGTCAGCTCTGGGAATGTATGGTCCCACAGTTGGGAGCATACAGAATGTAGCCTTTTCAGATTTGACTTCTTTCACATAGTAATATGCATTTAAAGTTCCTCCATGTCTTTTTATGGCTTGATAGCTCTTTTTTTTTTTAGTGTTGAATAATAATCCATTGTCCAGATGTACCACAGATTACCCATTTACCTACTGAATGACATTTTGGTTGCTTCCAGTTTTGGGCAATTATGAATAAAGCTTCTATAAACATCTGTGTATAGGTATTGTGTGGACATATGTTTTCAAATCCTTTGGGTAAATACCAAAGAGGGCAATTGCTGGATTAAATGATAAGAGTATGTTTAGTTTTGTAAGAAAATCCTAGACTGTCATTCCAAGTGCCTGTACCATTTTCTGTTCTCACCAGCAATAAATGAGAATTCCTGTTTCTGTTTGTCCTTGCCAGCATTTGGTGTTGCCAGTGTTCTGGATTGTGGCCATTTCAATAAATGTGTAGTGGTATCTCATTGTTGTTTTACTCTGCATTTCCCTGATGACATATGATGTGGAACATATTTTCATATGTTGATCTGTATGTCTTCTTTGGTGAAGTATCAGTTAAGATCTGTCTTAGTTCATTTAGTGTTCCTATAAAGGAATACCTGAGGCTGGGTAATTTATAAAGCAATGAGTTTTATTTGGCTTACAGTTCTACAGGCTGTGGAAGTATGGCACCATCATCTGCTTCTGATGAGGGCTTCAGTCTGCTTCTACTCATAGCAGAAGGTGAAGGAGGAGGAGCATGTGTAGAGATCACATGATAAGAGAGGAAGCAAGAGAGAAAGAGAAAGAGGTGACAGGCTCTTTTTAACAACTAGCACTCACGGCTCTTATGGGAACTAAAACAGTGGTAACTCATTACCAGGAGGATAGTACCAAGCCATTCATGAGGGATTTGCCCCGTGACCCAAACACTTCCCCTTAGGTGCCACCTCCAGTGTTGGGGATCAATTTTCCATATGAGATTTGGAGGGATCAGACAAACTATAGCAAGGTCTTTGGCCTATTTTTAAATTGGGTTGCTTGTTTTCTTTTTGTTGAATTTTAAGCACTGTTTGATGTTTTTGTATAACAGTCCTTTATCTGATTTGTCTCTTTCAATTACTTTCTCCCATTCTGTGACTTGGCTTCTCATTATCTTGAAATTTTCTTTTGCAGAGGAGAAGTTTTTAATTTTAATGAAGTCCAGTCTATCAATTCTTTCTTTCGTAGATCATCCTTTGGTGTTACTTCTAAAAAGTCATCACCATACCAAAGTCATGTAGGTTTTCTCTTGTGTTATCTTCTAGTTTTATAGTTTTGCATTTTACATTTAGGTCTGTGATCCATTTTGAGTTAATTTTTGTGAAGGATGTAAGGTTGTATCTACATTTATTTTTTCGTATGTGGATGTGAGTTATTTCAGCATCATGTCTTTTAAAGACTATTGGGACCTGTTTTTCTAGTCTCTGCCAACCTGTATTAAATTACTTTATTTAAAACTAGAAAACCTAGAAGAAATGGTTACATTCCTGAACACATACACCCTCCCAAGACTGAACCTGGATACAGTCAAATCCCTGAATAGACCAATGACAAGTTCTGAAATTGAGGCAGTAATAAAAGCCTACCAACCAAAAAAAAAAAAAAAAAGCCCAGGACCAGATGGATTTATAGCTTAATTCTACCAGAGGTACAAAGAGGACCTGGTACCATTTCTTCTGAAACTATTCCAAACAATTAAAAAGGAGGGACTCCACCCTAACTCATTTCATGAGGCCAGCATCATCCTGATACCAAAACCTGTCAGAGATACAACAAAAAAAGAAAACTTCAGGCCAATATCCCTGATGAACTTCGATGCAAAAACCCTCAATAAAATACTGGCAAACCAAATCCAGCAGCACATCACAAAGCTTATCCACCATGATCAAGTCAGATTCATCCCTGGGATGCAAGGTTGGTTCAACATAGGAAAATCAATAAATGTAGTTCGTCACATACACAGAACTAAAGACAAAAGCCACTTCATTATCTCGATAAATGCAGAAAAGGACTTTGATAAAATTAAACATCCCTTCATGTTAAAAACTCTCAATAAACTAGGTATTGATGGGACATACCTCAAAATAATAAGAGCCATTTATGGCAGACCCACAGCCAATATCATACTGAATGGGCAAAAGCTGGAAACATTCCCCATGAAAACCAGCACAAGACAAGAATGCCCTCTCCCACCACTCCCATTCAACATAGTATTGGAAATTCTGGCCAGGGAAATCAGGCAAGAGAAAGAAGTAGAGGGTATTCAAATAGGAAGAGAGGAAGTCAAATTGTCTCTGTTTGCAGATGATATGATCCTATATCTAGAAAACCCCGTTGTCTCAGCTTCAAATCTCCTTAAGCTGATAAGAAACTTCAGCAAAATCTCAGGACAGGAAATCAATATGCAAGAGTCACAAACATTTCTATATAACAACAGACAGAGAGCCAAATCATGAATGAACTCCCATTCACAATTGCTACAAAGCAAATAAAATACCTAGGAATACAGCTAACAAGGGAAGTGAAGGACCTCTTCAAGGAGAACTACAAACCACTGCTCAAGGAAATCAGAGAGGATACAAACAAATGGAAAAGCATTCTATGCTCATGGATAGGAAAAATCAATATCATGAAAATGGCCATACTGCCCAAAGTAGACAGATTTAATGCTATTCCCATTAAATTACCATTGACATTCTTCACAAAATTAGAAAAAAAAAACTACTTTAAAATTCATATTGAACCAAAAAAGGGCCCTTACAGCCAAGGCAATTCCAAGCAAAAAAGAACAAAGCTGGAGCAGCATCACTCTACCCAACTTCAAACTATACTACAGTGCTACAGTAACCAAAATAGGATGGTACTGGCACAAAAACAGACACATAGACCAATGGAACAGAATAGAGAATTCAGAAATAAGACCACACATCTAAAACCATCTGATCTTCTACATACCTGACAAAAACAAGCAATGGGGAAAGGATTTCCTATTTAATAAATGGTGCTAGGAGAACTGGCTAGCCATATGCAGAAAATTGAAACTGGATCCCTTCCTTACACCATATACAAATATTAACTCAGGGTGGATTAAAGACTTAAATGTAAAACCCTAAAATATAAAAACCTAGAAGAAAATGTAGGCACTATCATTCAGGACGTAGGCATGGGCAAAGATTTCATGTTGAAAACGTCAAAATCAATTGCAACAAAAACAAAAATTAACAAATGGGATCTAACTAAAGAGCTTCTGCACAGCAAAAGAAACTGTCATCACAGTGAACAGACAACCTATAGAATGTGAGAAAATTTTTACAATCTGTCCATCTGACAAAGGTCTAATATCCAGAATCTACAATGAACTAAACAAATTTACAAGAAAAACACAACCCCATTAAAAAAATGGGCGAAAGGCAAGAACAGACACTTCTCAAAAGAAGACATTTATGTGGGCAACAAACATATGAAAAAAAAGCTCCACATCACGAATCATTAGAGAAATGCAAGTCAAAACCACAATGAGATACCAACTCATGCCAGTCAGAATGGCGATTATTAAAAAGTCAAGAAACAACAGATGCTGGCAGGGCTGTGGAGAAATAGGAATGCTTGTATTCTGTTGGTGGGAATGTAAATTAGTTCAACCATTGTGGAAGACAGTGTGGCAATTCCTCAAAGACCTAGAACCAGAAATACCATTTGACTCAGCCGTCCCATTACTGGGTATATATCCAAAGGAATATAAATCATTCTATTACAAAGATACATGCATGTGTATGTTCATTGTAGCACTATTCACAATAGCAAAGACATGGAATCAACCCAAATTCTCATCAATGATAGACTAAAGAAATGTGGTACATATACACCATGGAATACTACAGAGCCATAAAAAGAAATGAGATCATGTCCTCTACAGGTACATGGATGAAGCTGGAAGCCATTATTCTCAGCAAACTAATGCAGGAACAGAAAAGCAAACACTGCATATTCTCATAAGTGGGAGCTGAACAATGAGAACACATGGACATGGGGTAAAGCAGGGAACAACACACACCAGGGCCTGTCGGGTGGGGTCCTGGCAGTGGGAGAGCATCAGGAAAAATAGCAAATGCATGCTGGGATTAATACCTAGGTGATGGGTTGATAGGTGCAGCAAACCACCATGGCACATGTTTACCTGTGTAACAAACCTGCACATGTATCCCGAAACTTAAAATATAAAATTAAATTTGAAAAATAAAAATAAATAAATTACTGTACTTAGAGTATTTACATTTAATGTAATTATTGGTATGTTAGGGGCTTATGTGTGCCATTTTATTTCTGTATTTTGTTTATCTTTTTTATATTTTACCTGCTTTCCTATAGGCTATTTGAACATTTTTAAGAATTCCATTTGATTTATTCATAGTGTGTCTCAGTGGAACTCTTTGTGTATATATAAATTATTCCAATGAGTAATACTCTATTGTTTGAATATTAGTCGTTTTTCTAGGTATTATATTATTTATGAATAGCTTATTCCTGTCTACTAATGTTATTTTACCAGTTTGCATGCAGCATAGAAACTTTACCTCCCTTTATCCTCTCCTGTAGTTACCTTTACTATTTTCTCCACATACATTAAAACCATCTCAGACAGTTTTATACTTTTTCCTTCAACCAACAAACATAATTTAGAATACTCAACAAGAGAAAAAAAGTTCCATTATATTTACCCATATTTTTACTTGCCATATTTTTCCCTCCTTTCTCTCCACTCTTCCTTCTTTTAATGTTTCCTTTCAATCTATTGAACTTTAGCTATTCTTCTGAAGGTAGATGTGGTGGCAACACAATCTTTTAGTTGCCTCAGTCTGAGAATTTCTTCATTTTTCTTTCATTTTTGACCAATATATTTCACTGTATATAGGATTCTGAGGTGATCTTTTTTTCAGCATTTGAAAAGGTTGTTTTTCTTCATTCTGAACTCTGTGGTTTCCAATGAATAATACTTTGTCATTTGAATTGTTTTTGCAGTATAGGTAATGTGTCATTTTTCTTTCTCTGTTTTTAAGGTGTTTGTGTGGTCCTTAATTTTTAGAAATTTGACTATGATGTGTCGTGGTGGAGATTTCTTTGGATTTATCTTGTTTGGGGTTTGTTCATTTCTTTAATCTATAGATCTGTGTCTTTTATCAAATTTGTGAAGTGTTGGTCATTATTCATGTACTTTTTCAACTCCACCTTCTTCTTTTATCTAGGACTCCAATTATATGATTATTAGATTTTTTTTTGTAGTCCCATAAGTCTCTGACTTTTTTTTCAGTTTATTTTACCTTTGTTTTTCAAATTGAGTAATTTCTATTCTATCTTTGTGTTCACAATCTCCACCTGTAATTCTTAGTAAAGCAGGTTATATGTAAGATGAGAATGTTTTAGAGAACAACTCAGCATGAAAATAATCAGATCATATTTGTGGCAATACAGGATGTAAAATATGGGGATCATAGAATAGAACTTAACAGTTCTTTCAACAGTTGGATAATGCAATTAGTACAACTTTATGCAATGTCTTCTTTCCACTGTATATCTTATTTTTAATATGATTATTTTGAAAAAACATACTAATTATATAATATTCCATTTTATGTATAAGCAATGATGTATTGCTGGGCAGTTAACTTTGTTGATAATATTGCAAGCCCTATAAATAACATTATAATGAACATCTTTGGGTTTCTATTTTTGTTAATGATCACTGTTTTTTAGTATAATTTCTTAAATGTGAAATTAGTAGCTCAGGCTGGGCATGATGGCTCATGCCTGTAATACCAACACTTTGGGAGGCCGAGACAGGTGGATCACTCGTGGTCAGGAGTTCAAGACCAGCCTGGCCAACATGAAGAAACACTGTCTCCTACTAAAAATACAAAAATCAGCCTCGTGTGGTGGTGCACACCTGTAGTCCCAGCTACTTGGGAGAATCTTTCATGATAACCTGACTTTCTATAAAATATAAATTAGGACAAATGTATTCCTTGGTGCTATGGTTTAAATGTGTCCCCCAAAGTTCATATGTTGGGATCTTAATTCCTAATGCAACAGTACTGGGAAGTGGGCCTAATAGGAGGTGATTAGCTAATAATGATTAATATTGTTATTGTAGGAGTGAGTATTGTGAGAGGGGGAGATAAATTATCTCAAGAGTGGATGTGTTAAAAAAGTGAGTTTGGTCCCCTCTTGCTCTCTCTCGAGTACTCTCTAGCCCTTCTGTCTTCCATCATGGGATGTTGTAGCAAGAAGCCCCATTGCCAGATGCCAGCACTTTGAAATTGGACTTCCCAGCCTCCAGAACTGTGAGAAATAAATTTCTTTATAAATTACTCCCTTCATGATATTGTTACAGCAACACAAAACAGACCAAGACACTTTATCAAATTGCAAAGAAACATTGTTGTTCTAGGTTATAATAAATGTAAAAACTAGTGCAAATTTATTTTGGGCTACATGTGAAGGGATGAGATAAGGAGGGTGGATGGTGTGGGACAGAAATTCAACTGTTAACTATTATATAGATTCAAACTTGGACGTCATCTACACATAGCAATTTATTCCTAGCCAGTTCAGGGTTTATAATGAAAAAATATTTCCCTGACATATTAAGTGGCTCATATATAACAAAAGGTCATTTATGAAGGAAGGAATTACTTTGGAAATTTATGCAAACTATTTAATCACTTAAATTATGAAAAAGTTCCAACGCAATTTGGTTCCTGATTTTGTGATAGGAACATTTTTCTTGGTAATTGGTGTAGTGGCCTCATGTCAGGAGTCACTTCATTCTCCTTTTCAGAAGAAGAAAAGGGTTTATGAATGGTCTGTATTTGATTTTTTAGCACCTCACTATTCATCAGTATAAGCCCTAGATTAGATGGGCAATGGAATTTTGGGCTGAAGAAGGGAGAGGTATAGTTTTCCTTGTGTTAAAACTCTGTTTGATTAATTAGAATGAACTGCCAAGGTGTTTCTGGACACCAGTAATTTATTATCTTCCTACAAGTCTATAAGAGAAGGATTAGAGCCTAAAAGTCTGTATGGAACTCGCTATTTATAAATTTTACGGAAAAACAAACATGTTGGAAAACTGCAAGTTTAATCAGATTCTACAGGACTTCTTAGAATCCTTGTGACAGCAATATGAACTAAGAATTGGTAGGAGGGGTTATAGTTCTTTCTGTTTAATGTCTGTAATTTACATAGGGCTCTCTTAGACCATAGATTTAGGGTGACCCCAGCCTGGTTTCACAAGGTAGGACTTCCATTGAATTCTCTCTCACCAGTGTGTTCCTCGTTTGGAGTTCAGCACTGGGGACTGACTGGGCGGCAATGTGCATGAGCACATACAGTCTCAGAACATGCACTTTGGGCAAAGAGCAGAGCCCCTTTAGGTCAGGGTTGGATTTACCGTGGTGGCTCCAGTAGAGGACTGAAGCTTTGGCATATCATGTTCAATGTTCCTTCCTCTCCATCAGATATTTTTAATAAATGTGCAAGTCTTTAATAAATGTGAATCACCAGTGGTGGACATTTTGTCCAAGAATTGTCCTGAAGAGGAAGACAGTTTGGACCAGCTGCCCTGGGAAACTCCTCAGGCTACTTTACTCGAGTGCAGCCTCGCTGACTGCTCATGCTAGTGCATTAGAAGGTGGCCACGAGGACAGGCTGGCGCTGCCTGCACGGCCTGCACTCATACCTATGCTCATCGGCTGACCTCTGACTCTTTTTTTTTTTTTTGAGACGGAATTCTGCTCTTGTGGCCCAGGCTGGAGTGTAACGGCACGATCACAGCTCACTGCAACCTCCGCGTCCTGGGTTCAAGTAATTCTCCTGCCTCAGCCTCCTGAGTAGCTGGGATTACAGGCACCCACCACCACGCTCAGTGAATTTTTGTATTTTTAGTAGAGCTAGGGTCTCAGCATGTTGGCCAGGCCTCGAACTCCTGACCTCAGGTGATCCACCTGCCTTAGCCTCCCAAAGTGCTGGGATTACAGGTGGGAGCCACTGCACCCGGCCTCCCCCTAATTCTTATATTTCAGCAACATGTCCCTGTAGGTCACTTCTAGTAGTCTTTGCTATTTAAATAAGCTTAGGAGCATCTGCAAACTTAGAAAGTTTCCTGCCTTTGAGATAATTTATAAAAATATCAATGTTGATTCTGGCAGAAACCCCCCATGTAGGCCCTTTATCCCAATTAATGTTTTTCAAACATTAGAGTGCCTGACATTGTGATAGATCATTAGCCGTCTCTGCTACTTTATATATTTTCTGTATCTTTATCCTTATGCATACAAAGAAACTTAGCACCATATTCCATTCATTCTAAGATGCACATTAGTTTCACATTTTAACTTTTTTATTTAAAATTGGGCATGTCTTACAATTGAATACCATCTTAGATTTGATGACATGTGAAACTAGAATAAATGCTTAGAGGATTAACAGTGGAATTGGAATTATCCCTTGAGTGTATGTTAAAAATAACCTGAAAAGAGTTTGTATTTAAAAGTATTTTCAGAGTTTCAATTATGCTGACTCCAATTTTTGTATCCCATTCTTCTGAATTCAGTTTCTCCTTCCAGGAGGACACCTGATAGTAATTACTCCAATGAAGTAGTGTCAGTAATGACATTGTCTTTGTTTATCTGAAAAACGTTTTTCTTTTAACTTTACTCTTGGACGGCAGTGTAGCTGGTCTTAGATTCCAAAGTTGAAGTCCATAATTACTTTCCATAATTTGAACATGTTACTTCATTGATTCCTGGCTGCTCTTATTGTGGCTTGCCATCTGCTCCCTGGCCAGTCGTTGTTACCCTGTGGATAAACTGTTTGATTCTGTACTTTTAAGATATTCTTTTTCATATTCTATCGTTTTACTACAATGTGACTTAGTTAATTTTAAAATTATAAATAAACATATTATAAATAAACTCCCTTGTAATATCTTCAAGTTTTCTTTAAAGATAAACACTTTTGGCCAGGCACGGTGGCTCACGCCTGTAATCCCAGCACTTTGGGAGGCTGAGGCGGGCAGATCATGAGGTCAGGAGATCGGGACCATCCTGGCTAACATGGTGAAACCCCGTCTCTACTAAAAATACAAAAAATTAGCTGGGCCTGGTGGCAGGCGCCTGTAGTCCCAGCTACTCGGGAGGCTGAAGCAGGAGAATGGCGTGAACCCTGGAGGCGGAGGTTGCAGTGAGCCAAGATTGCACCACTGCACTCAGCCTGGGTGACAGAGCGAGACTCCATCTCAAAAAAAAAAAAAAAAAAAAGATAAACACTTTTATTTTTCAAGTTTACTTTAACAGCTATCTTTAAAGAAAACTTGAAGGTACTGCAGGGAGTTTCCCTGGAGGCCACACAGTTTCCCCTGTGAGTATCCTCTTGCATCAGTATGATGCTGTTTGTTACAATTAGTAATTGGATATTCATAGATATTTTAAACTGAGGTCCGTACTTTATTCACATTTTATTGGCTTTTTAAATCCCATTTCCTGTTTCTGTTCCACGATCCCATCCAGGAGTCCATGTAGCATTTAGTCCTTGTGTCTTTTTAGGCTCCTCTTCATTGTAACAGTTTTTCAGCCTTTCCTTGTTTCTGATGATCTCGACAGTTTTGAGTAGGGCACTGGTCAGATATTTTGTAACATGTCTCTTCATTGGGATTTGTTGGATGTTTTTATCCAAGTTAGAATGGAGTAATGTGTTTTGGGGTAGACAGACAGCAGAGTATTATATGTTATCATATCATATCCAGGGTGCATAATATCAATATGACTTACTGTTGCTGTGGGCCTTAATCAAATGGCTTAAAATGGTATTCGTCAGGTCCCTCGACTGCAAAGTTACTCTTTTTCCCCTATTTATATACTGTACTCTTTGGAAGGAAGTCACTATGCACAGCCCAGGAAGTCACTATGCACAGCCCAAATTAGGGAGTGGAAAGTAGTGTTTCACCTCCATGAAGGCAAAGTGTCTACATAAATTGAAATTCTTCTTCATGGAGAGTTTGCCTCCTTCACCCCATTTATTTATTTAATCATTTATTTATGTTAGTGTGGACTCAGCAGTATTTATTTTATATTTTGGAGTGTAATCCAGTATTACCTTATTTTGTTGTTCAAATTGTTTACTGTTTTTTACCACTAGGTACTTGTTAAATTTGCTGCAGTATCCCTCTGGCTTAACAGCACTGGTGTTATTTTATTTTTTTCACTCATTTTCCTTCTTTCTGGCTCTACAGTATGTTCCAGGTTCATCTGGTATATTTCCTGCCCAACACCTAGAATCAGCCCTTTCTCCAGAAATCCTGGTTCCTTGTATTGGTGAATGATTAGAAAGCAAGGTTTGGGTGCTAGGTGGGTTCATTGCCATTGGGGCGTCATCATTTCTAGGCCCTTTCTGACAGAGCAAAGAGTTATATGTGTATATAGTAGTTCATATATACAGAAATATCTGTAAGTATTTCTGTATGTAACCGTATGTATCCTTATTAAGCTAAACGTGAATTCATGCTTAAGTCTCCAACTCTCACTCTAAAGTGAGAAAACTGATTTCTACACATGGCATCCATTTACTTAACTGTTCGATTGCAATATACATGTACAGTAGTTTCAGAATTGGTAACTTACAACTCTGTGAGGAGCAACTTCATCAACTAGAGTGCAATGCTGATACACAGTTCCTTGCAGAATACACCCAGTTTCAAAGTTACTTAGACCAGCACCTTTTTCTCCCAGTCATGTCAGTAAGGTCGTTTTATACTTTTGTAATGCATTTGAATCCTTTTGTTACATTTTGTATTCCATTCTGGATCACCGAATCTCCTAAGTATTTGTTTTGTATTTTGCATTCATTTTGGGTTACTCTTTGTATTATAAAGTTCTATGAGTTTTGACAATGCTTAATGTCTTGTATTCACCATTACAATATGATACAGAATTCTCTGCCCTAGAAGTACTCTGTGCTCCATTTGTCTACTCCTAACCCCCACCACTGGCAACCACTGATAAATTTACAGTCTCTAAAGTTTTGCCTTTTGTAGAATGTCTTTTTATTGGAATGATACAATATGTAGCCTTTTCGGCCTGGCTTCTTTCACTTAGCACTGTGTATTTAAGAATCACCTATATCTTTCATGGCTTGATAGCTCATTTCATTTTATACTTGAATAATATTCCATTGTGTGGATGTGCCATGGTTTGTTTTTCCATTCACCTGTTATAAGACATCCTGATTGCATCCAGTTTTTGTGATTATGCATTAGGCTGCTATAAACATGTGCAGGTTTTCTGTAGATATGTGTTTTTGAATCATTGGGTAAATATCTAGGAATATAGTTGTTGTATCGTATGGTAACACTAGGTTTAGTTTTGTAAGAAACCGCCAAATCGTCTTCCAAAGTGGTGGTACCATTTTGCATTCTTACCAGCAATGAACGAGCCTTCCTGTTGCTCCCCATCCTCCCAGCAATTGGTAATGTGAACTTTTCAGATTTTAGCCTATCCGATAGGTATATGGTGGTATTGCATTGTTATAATTTACATGTCCATGATAACATGATGTGAAGCATCTTTTAATATGTTTATTTGTTATCTGTACATCTTCTTTGGTGAGTTGCCTGTTCATATCATTTGGCCATTTTTTAGTTAGGTTGTTTGTTAATGTATTGCTGGTTTCTTTCCTATATTTTGAATATAAGTTCTTTATCAGAGATGTATTTTGTAAAATTGTATCCCAGTCTGTAGTTTTTCTTTTCATTCTTGTAACAGTATCTTCCATAGAGCAGTTTTTAATTTTAATAAAGTCCAACTTACTAATTTTTTCTTTGCATGGATCATCATGCCTTTGCTGTTGTATGAAAAACCATAATCACCAAACCCAAAGTCACGTATATTTAATCCTGTCTTTTCTTCTAGTATTAGAATTTTATATTTTACATCTAGGCTTATGATCCATTTTGATTTAATTTCTGTGATAAGAATAAGATCTATGTTGAATTTTTTAGACATTTATTTTACTTGGTGTCTACTGAGCTTCTTGGATCTATGATTTGTGTCTGTCAATGGTGTTGGGAAGTTCTCAGCCATTATTCTTTCAACTATTCTTTCTGCTCTGCTCTCGCTTTTGGTGATTCAACTATATATGTGTTATACCTTTCAAAATTGTTCCACAATTTTTGGATAATCTGTTTTTTTTTTCTTTTTGCAATTCAGTTTTGGAAGTTTCTGTTGACACATTATCCAGCTCACTGATTCCTTGCTTGGCTGTGTCCAGGCTCCTCATGAGGCCATCAAACGCTTTCTTTCTTTTTTCTTTTGAAACTTTACAAGGCTTAAATTTCATTTAACTTACATTTTTGACACAACATGTTCAAATTGCATACAGGCATTCTTTATTTCTGTTACACTGGTTTTGATTTCTAGTATTTCCTTGCAATTCTTTCTGAGAGTTTCTTTCTGCTGATGTTACCCAACTGCTTTTGCATGTTGTTTATTTTTCCTTTAGCACCTTTAGCATATTTATCACATTATTTTAAATTTCTTATGTGATAATTTCAACATTTGTATCATATCTAAGTCCTGTTCTGATGTTTGCTTTGTCTCTGCAGACTGTTTTTTCTTGTCTTTTAATTGCCTTGTAATTTTTCTGTAATAAAGCAGAAATGGTCATGACATTATGAATTTAGATAAGTAGCTTTTTAGTGTGCGAATTCATGTGACAGGTAGTAGTTGGGCTTTATTTGATGTTTGCTATAGCTTTAACTGCCAGAGCCTTCAGGTTCTTCTAGTGTTCCTGTTTTTGTCTTCCCTCTTGATGTCTGTCTTCCTTAATTAAGTACTCTTTCTCAGAGAATCTACAGCTTTTTGGACTGTAGTTCACAGTAGTTATACTGGACCCCTGTTGGTGGGGTGGTAGGTGGGGATGAGGGGAAGAAGTGTTCTGTAATCCTATGTTACATGGTAGCATTGTAGTAGGCCTGTGTGTCTGGGCTCTGACCTTCACAAGTGTTTCTCTAGTGGTATAGCAGTGGTATAGCTTTTTCCCTTCTTAGGTAAGACAGAAAGGCTACAGGCTGCTGGAGTGGGACCAGTGTAATTTCCCTAGCAGGGATAAGCTCTGAGAAACCCTGGAGAGTAGGCTTTTTTGTGGAGAAGGCTCTGGGTGACCTGTTTCCCAGTGATTACTTCTCCCCTTCTCTTGCTGGAGCCACAAGGAGATCTTCCTTGCACATTTACTATGAGAACCTGGTGGAGTTTCTAGACATAAAACCCATGAAATTGTAGAGACCTCAGCAAGACTGTGGCTGTCTGGGGGCTTCTCACTCTCATTCATTGCTGGTTCACACTCAGCAACCAGAGATTCACTGAAATTACCATTTAAGCATTACCACAAGTTCATAGCTCCAGTGGCTTCTGCTTTGAGTGAGCAGATTTTGGCTGTGCCCTGAATTTCATGTCTCTCCATATTTCAGTGTGGTACTTACCCTGCAGCAGCAGTCCCTCCTGAGTCCAATAAATGTCATTGATTTTTCATTTCATTCATTTTTTTTTTCTGTTGTTATGAGAGTGATTAATTCTAAGCTATTTACATGCCAGAGCTAAAAAATGATGGAGGTTTGAATTAGTCTTTGATTTATACTTATATTTTTGAGGAACTCATACTTCCTTAATCTGAGGAAAAGTTGGCCAATTCTGGAAATTTCTCAGCCATTATTTCTTTAACCTTTCTTTTATGAAACTATTTTATACACATATTGAATCTTTTCATTGTGTCCTTCAAGTCTTTCAAGCATTCGCATTTTCCATCTCTTTATCTTTCTGAGTTACATTTTAGGTCATTTTGTTGAGTCTGTCTTCAGCTTACTAATTATCATTTCTGTTCTTTCCAATTCATTGTTTAACCCACCCATTGAGCTTTTATTTCAGTTACTAAATTTTTCATTTTGTAAAGCTCTTACTTTTGTTTTCTTCCAAATCTGCGTTTTTACCCCTAGAATATCTTATTCTTTTACTATGTTTTTGATTTCTGTAGTGCATTTAATCACGTTAAACATATTTATTCAGTATTATCCCTCTGATATTTCTCTTGTCTGTATTTTTGGGGGCTTATTCCTCCTGACTTGGTTTTCTCTCTTTCACTCATGGAAAATGTTATACTTTATGTATTTTGTATTTTTGATCAGGAGGGTATAATCATTGTGTTTTCTATGCAACAATTTTTTATTATTATTTTCTTTCTTTTGTCTTTTTTGTGGTTTGCTAATTTGTTTGTTCTCATTGCGTCTGTCTGGGTCCTCAAGTTTTACTGGTCTAGAACAACTTCTAAGCTAATGCCATGACTTGCAAAGTTCCTAGGCTTTGTGAATTGGTTACATTTGAATTCTCCATCAGAAAGAAGGCTGATACATTTTCAGGAAATAGAGTGTACCCTGACCTGGTTCTCCACTTTCAGCCCAGAATGACACAGACTAACTTGCTTCTTTCTTGGCCAATGGTCTCTTCAAATTTCCTGGACCATGCTGGTAGAAGTAGGTGGGGGGTTTGGTTCAGCTCTCCACCTACGAAAGAGAATCTTTTCTATAGTCCCACTTAGGCATTGTTTAGGCTCTCTGTGAATAACACTGGCCACTGGTCTCCATACTCCTGCACTCTGCTATGGTGTCAGCTCACGTACTTACAATGTTCTTTTCAATTTCCTCTTGGATTTTGTTGTTGTTGTTGTTTTGAAGGATTTCTTGTGCTTTCTTGTGAGCCAAAATCAGCATTTAAAAAGACATTTGTTTGATTTTCTCCAGAATTTCCAGGTGTTTGTAGCAGGATAGTATTAACATTATAGAGTCTCCTGTTTTGCTAGGACCAGAAGCAGGGCCCCCATGTATTATCCCGGCATACTTAACTAGTTTCTCTGTGTTGTAGTCACCATTTCAGCTCTAGCTATGGCTTCTTTGTTTCACTTCCATTTCCAACTTCTGTAATGGATGTAATCTCTTGGTGTGTTTGCTCTGCAGACACTGTGATTATCTTACACCGTGGTTATCTCAGGTCCTGCCTTCATGCCAGTAACTTAATTTTTTAGCTGTGTCTGTTTTGTTCCTTTCTGTTTCTCATCTAACTACGTAATAATTTGTTTTGGTTCTCAGTTTATTTGTTTAGCTCTGCAATGTTCCTTTTATTCTGTTATTTTATTAGCTCATCTTTGAAATCATGCTTAATTTGATCCAAGACTTATATAGTGTAATATAAAGAACTCATGAGAAGCATGCCCTTCTTATTTGGGCTTTTTTCCAGGCTACTTTGTATATTAGTTGTGTGTGTATGCCTGGCTGCCTTTCTTCTTTGTGCTTGTTATTTTAAAATTTTTATTTATGTATATATTTAATCATTCATTCATTCATACTCATACTTCCTTCTTGTGGCTGTCATTCCAATTTGTTTTCATCTGGCCCATGCCTCATTCGTATTTTCTGTGATGTAGTAGAGATGCATTATTTTTATGTTATACTTTCCTGATTCGTGGCCTGATTTATTTTTGTCTTTGTTTCTTAAGCCAATTAACCTATATTATTTATAGAAGTATTAGAAATATCAAATAACAAAAACAAAACCAAGAAAAATAAATGACTGCTTCTAAATCCTGCTCCTAACTTCCATTCATTCATCTTATCCCCTTCCCTTTCTATTGGCCTTTGGAACCCACTTTGCACCGGTTCCATACCAAGGGCTCTGTTGGGGTCTCCTTATCTCTAACTCAGTTCCTTAGAGGACCCCAATTGTGATGAGATTTGTTGCAGCTAGCTTTCTGACAATTCATTGAAAAAGCCTGATATTGAAATTACAGAAATTTTGTAACCAAGGCATTTGTGGGAGTCTGGCTGTGTGTATAGGTGTTTGCTTTTAGTCCAGAGAGATACAACTTGTAAACACTCAAGGAAATTCCTGAAAACTGATTCAGTTGGGATGATGGCTTAAACTTAAAGGGAGATTTATCCTTTCTGTTCAAGGGTAGTTCAGATGAAGTTTGATTCCTGCTCCACTCAGTATGCCGGAAACCCAGCATCTCTCTTCCTCTTTCTCCTCTACTCCACAATCTTCCTATCACTACCCATTGTCAGCTCTGCTAATTCAAGATCGATTCCTTCTCTGTTAGGGTCTGCTCTCATGATCCACCTTCCAGGCTTCATTCCCCAAGAGGTAGGTCCTTTGAGGGAGATAGGGGGCCCTTTCTCATAGAAGGAAAGGAAACCTTTCAGTTGCAGTGAAAAGTGCATGCTTGAACTCTTCCTCCCTCCCTGAGAAGGATGGGGCAGCTCTGGGCATGGGAGTCCACCCAGCGAGAACCAAGTGGACATCAGGTTGGGTGGGGCTCACCTCCCCCGGGCAAGCTCTCTTATTCCTGCACACACAGGCAGCTGAACACCTTGGTCTGCCTTGCTCCCTTCAATCTGGCATTGGGCAAATTGGATCTGGATTTCACAGGGGAAACAAAAGTCAGTGGTGTTGCCCGGATCCAGGTCCTAAGCTCAGGAAACCCACCTGCCTCTGTTCACCTGGCATTTATTCTCCCTAAAGGAGCCAGGCTGATCAGCCAGTTTTCCATCTTGTCATCATGGGTCTTTCCTGGGATTATGTCTCAAGGAATCACATGCTGACCTGTTGGGAGGAAAAAAAATATGTATATAAATATACACGTATTACACTGTGGTCTGATTTTTTAAATCCCTTAAGCCTTATACGTTGCATTGTTCTTGAAATCAGTGTTCTCGAACTGTGCAGGATTAACTTTGGTAGTTAAAAATAGAATCAAAGAGTTCAGAATCACTCTGCTGGGGGAGTTCTAGAGGCAGAAGTTTTTCCAAAGACTGCAGTCTCTGCCTCAGTGGCTCTTTGGAGCAACGTCTCCAATCTCAGGATCTTCGGGGTGCTGTGTTTTAAAGCATAATGCATTTCCTCTATTTGTCAGGTTTAACGGTACCGTCAGAAATAAGCATATATCTGTAAACAGTTCGGCTGTGATTAAGGAGCTCCAGAATCCTAGAAATAGTGAAGTTCCTTAGCTTAACCCTTTGCCAAGGTGGCTAGCTGGTGGATGAGGCCAGGATCCAAGGCTTGAAGGAAGTCAGGTTGCACACACTTTTTGAAAAGATTCTCATCTGCACATTGATGCATCGCAGAATAACCATGAACCCACTGGGAATATTAAATGCTGACCTCTAGACACTTAATTCCTAAGCCTTAATTTTCAGTGGGAACCAAACCAACCAGGTTTCAAAGATGAGCCAATAAAATAACAGAATAAAAGGAACATTGCAGAGCTAAATGAATAAACTGAGAATCAAAACAAATTATTACACAGTTAAATTAGAAACAGAAAACCAACCAGTAATTATGTGCCACCCCTAAAAATAGGCAGCCGCAGATAGTGAGGAGATATTGCCAGTTCGGGCCAATTCTCTTAGCCTTTTCAGTACCTTTCTATCAAAGGAACTTTTTTCCGATAATTTAACAGTGGAGAATTTTGCTATATTTTAGGCACTTTTCTTTTTCTTTTTCTTTTTTTTTTTGAGACAGTCTTGCTCTGTCGCCCAGGCTGGAGTGCAGTGGCACGATCTCAGCTCACTGCAAGCTCCGCCTCCCAGGTTCGTGCCATTCTCCTGCCTCAGCCTCCCAAGTAGCTGGGACTGCAGGTGCCTGCCACCGCGCCTGGCTAATTTTTTGTATTTTTATTAGAGACGGGGTTTCACCATGGTCTTGATCTCCTGGCCTCGTGATCTGCCTGCCTCGGCCTCCCAAAGTGCTGGGATTACAGGCGTGAGCCACCGCACCCAGCTCTTAGGCACTTTTCTTCCTGCTACCTATTCAGTCCTTGCAGCATGCTGCAGAGAGAGCAATTGATAGCCATTACCCTTGTTTTTACAAATAAGGGAACTGAGTCTCAGAAAAGTTCAGGGGATGGGACTACCCCTAGCCCACATGGCTAGTGAATAGCAGAGCCCAGAGCCTGTGATATCTATAGTTTTCACATTGTGTCCCCAACAAACAGACCCTGAGCAATCCCAAAATGTGAGCAGAGGTAGAGCCGAGCTCTGTATCCCGAGAGGGCCAGGCCCTGTGGTACGAGGACCAGGATGGTCCTAGAAATGCCAAGCTCCCCATCAGCAGCTCTCAGACATCCAGGCTTCAGGACTCCGTTGCTCTCCTTAAGGTTATTGAAGATCGTCTAAGTTTTGTTTATGTGATTATATCTATCAATATTTAACACATTGGAGATAAAACTAAGAAGCATTTTAAAGTTCAGTAATTCACTTAATATAATAAGGCCATTCCATAAATAGCAAGATGTTAACATAAATAGCATTTTATGGAAAATAACCATATTTTCACCCAAGAAATCAGTGGGAAGGGTGGCGTTGCTTTTTATTGTTGCAAATCTCCTTAATGCCTCATGTAATAGAAGACATCTGGACTCTCTGACCAGCTTCTGCATTCAGTCTGCTGCTGGTCCCTACGTCCTGTAGCCTCCGCAAAGCTCTATGGAAGACTCAAGGGAAAAGGGGGATGAAAGAGGGAAATAACGTCTAACCATTATGAAAAAAAGATTTGACTCACTGGTCCTCTGAAAGCATTTCAGAAACCCAGGGGTTCCAAGCCCATACTTTGAAAACTTCTGTCTTGTACAATTACCAAAGGGAATTATTTTCCGTGATCGTAATCACAGTGTTTGCTGTTACAACAAGGAGGACAGAATCACATCATGGTTCAAAACACAAGTGTTGAAAACTAAACTTTATGAAACTGAAATCCAACCCCCTAACCTCTTAAACAGGTTTCTGTACTTAGCTGTGTGACCTAGGGCCAGGAGCTTGTTTGTTTCATAATTGATATATTTATGCATTCCTCTTCTCCTTTGATTATAAAGGTAATACCTGCTCATAGCAAAGCATTCAAACAGAAAAGAGACATATAAAATTAAATTTGGGGGGTCTCCCATAATCTCCATTATTAAATGAGAAAAATAATAGTATTTATTTTGCTGGATTATTGTCGTGAAGCCAAAATGCGTTGTTTGCGTGTGCATGTGACATTTAGAAATGCAAACTCTGTTTAAGGGTTAGCTTTGTTATTTTCAGGTATCGTCAATACCTGATACCTGATATTTATTGATATCCTCTTGGTAAAGTACTTGTTCATCTTTTGCCCATTTTTCTATTGGATTGCCTGCCCTTTTCTGATTGATTTTTTGGAGTTTATTTCTTATTCTGGATATGAGTCTTTTGTCAGACCTACTATCTTGCTGACTCAGGGAAAACCTCAGTTTGTTATGCTGTAAAACTAAGAAAAAAATATGGTTGGTGTAAAGATTAAATTAGATAAAAGAAGTCACCGTTTATAAACTTTAGACTGCTACACAAATATGAATTTATATTATCCAGCTATTTTCTCTGCAAACAAGAATTTAGAAATGGTGGTGGTTAGGTCTATTGTTATGTTTTTGCTTTTTTTTTTTCCTCAGCATCTACACAAAGGAAAAAGAAATAATGTGATGGGAGCTCTGTAAAATCACATGGAATGATGTTACCCAGTAATTCACGAAAGAATAATTGCTGCAGAAATGCAAGATAGCACATTACGCATTACCACGACAGTTGTACTCTAAACCAGATAGACGATTATTCAGAGAGATTGATTTTAAAAAGCACGATCACTTAAATCAAAGCATGCTCTCAACTGAAGAGCTCAGATGGAAAAAGAATGAAGGGAGTTAGGCGCGTTGACTCGAGGGTGCCTTGCCACACCGGCCTTCTGGGATTCTGTGGCGGGCTGGGGACCCTGCCTCCTCCTGTCTTCATCCCAGAGGGAGAGGGGAGTGTAGATCTTGCAGGAGAGCCGTGTGTGTGAGTAGCCACGTGGTGACAGCCATTGGCACTGAGTGACATCGCACAGATTGCAGCATGCTCCTCCTCTTCCCACCTGCTGTAGCAGACAGGGCAGCTGTTTGCATCCCTGTTTCGGAGGAGAGAACATTGAAATGCACAGAAGCCAATTGCCTGCTGAGTCGGGAGCCCCCAGGGTCTTTTGCCTGTGTGGACTCTGCTCCTCCATGCCCTCCTGCCCAGTTGGGGAGGGCAGGAATAGCCAGGGGGGCAGCTTGAGGATCTGGAATTGCTGAAACCCACTTTCACAGTGCAATGGTCTGAATGTTTTTTTCCCCCACTAAATGCATATGTTGAGATCTGAATCCCCAAGGCGATGGTATTAGGAGGTGATTAGTCCATGACGGTGCAGTCATGATGGATGGTCCCCATATATACAAGGCCCCAGAGACCTCCCGCGCCCCTTCCACCATGCGAGGACACAGTGAAAGGTGGCTGCCTATGATCCGGGAAGCCAGCCCCCACCAGACACCAGGGTTCAACCATAGTGGCAGGTTAATCATGGACTTCCAGCCGCCAGAACTGTGAGAAACAAACTTCTATTTTTTATAAGCTACCCAGTGTATGATATTTTGTTATAAGCGTCCAAATGGAATTAAACATAGAGTCTGTGCTACTTAATTGCAGGCCCCTAGGTTCCTGTGGAATACTGTTCTTCGGGAGACTAAATGTGCATATTTATTCACAGGCCTCTGGGCCAGGGTTGGATGTTTCTGTCCCCTCTCTTGCAGGAACCCCCTTGTTTGACTCGGGTGGCCTCCAACTTGGGAGGGAGTGACTGCTGTAGGCAGCTCTGCCTGCTGATTCATGGTTTCATGCTCAAGTGCTGCATGGCAGGCTGGGGGCTCTGGCAGCAGTGAAGGATATTTGGGTGAAAGAGAAGGAAACTTCCCTCCTGGGGTGAGGAACTGGATTTTGTCCCTAGGTAAATTCTGGGCAGTGGGAGTGGAGCCCCTGCATACCTGCCCTGAATGTCCTTCTGCCGGGGGCCAGAGGGCCATGTGGGAACTATAATTCCATCTGGGGACTTTCCACACTCAGAGGTGTGGCCACCATCCCCAGGTCTCCCAGTTCACCTGCAGCCTGTGTGGCCAAGTACAAATCCCGAGGCAAGGAAGTTGAGTGCAGAGCTGAAGCCCTCCCCCAGGTCCTCTGTGCAGAAAGAAGCCTGTCAGGAAGCAGGGGGCTGAGCTCAGCTTTAGTGCAGCAGGGTCGGGACGTGCTTGCCAAGGATCGAGGAAGGAAAAGGCTGTGGGGAAAGGGGAGGGGACAGATGGACTCTGAACCTGCTTTTGGAGCAGCCTCTGGGGAGGGAGGGCTTTTCTTGCCAGCCGGTCAAGGTCTTATAGGAGAAGACACGGCACCTGCAGACCTATTGCTGCCAGAGTCCCACAGAACCTCTTTGAGAAGGGGGAAAGGGGTAAGTCAAGAGCCATTTTGCAAATGAGGAGACTGAGTCCTGCAGCAACTGCCTCTCATCTGTGGTCACAGGCGTGGGGGCCTGGAGACAGTAATGCCTGGATAGAGCCTTGGAAAGCAGAGCTGGTGGTGGGAACCGAGGGATAAAGGCTCAGGACTGGGTGCACATGGTGGATGTGAGGGGATCCACATACTGTGGTATTGCAGGATCACAGGTGGTTAAAGCAGAGGCTCAGCCCCAGGACGCCACCCCTTGTCACTCTGGGTGAAGTCCATGTCCTTGTCTTCCTCCTTGTAGGGACCCTGTTTTCCCTCCCTCCGTGATCCTTGTTACCATTTGTTGTTATATGTTGTTATAAGTGTATCATTATTGTGTTGTAGAATCCTACCTCATCCCCCCCCACCAACACACACACACACACACACACACACACACACACACACACACACACACACACACACTTTTTATTCTAGGAGCTCAGGAGCAATATTAATTTCCACTGCACACATCAGGCAAGCATAATGCTGGGGACAGGAGGTGTTCCATAAATGTTGCATGAACGAATGAATGAAAACTCGGCTGGACCATGGCTTGTAGCAATGGCTTGTGCACTTCACTCAAGATTCTTGACTTGATCCTTTGGGCAGTGCAGTTGGAGGAGGGTGATCTGATCATATGGATGGTCAGAAAGTCCAGTGTGAAGATGAGTAGAGGACAGCCTCTGTGTGTGTGCACCTGCATGTGCATAGGGGCAGCAGGCTGCACAGTGGGAATGGGAAGGAGGTGAGGGACCTTGTCACTGCAAACAGAGAGCCAAGAGACTCAGACCGTGTGTGGCCCGGACAGGTGCCAAGAGGAGGGAGATTGTTCTGGGAGCATGGTTCCTCATGCCCTCCTCTCTCCCTCTTGAGTCTTTGTGGGGGGTTCCCCTAACGGGTATCCCTGCATGCTCAGGTGGTGGTGGCTGCTGCTTGTTGATTACAGTTTGAAAAGCTGCACTTGGTCCCAAGTTGCCACACACCACTGAAATTCAGTGTTCTCTAATGGGGTTTCTGTTAGAATGTTGGAAAGAAGAAAGCCTTTTAATTAGATTCGTAGTAATTGAGCTCCCAAACCACAGAAGCCTTTCTCTCAGCAGATGAAGACACAAATGCAATTAAAAGAAGGAAAGGCACCTAAATGGAACCCTTGCTAATTTTAAGTCCATTAAAAACAACAACTCCTTAATAAGTTGAGGCAACAGATACACGTTCTGAAGAGTTTTAACAGTGCTTCCCAATAATATTGGAGCTTGAACTGGAACTGGAGTGCTCCAGCCACTTAAATGGATAGCTCTGTTGGGGATCATTTGCTCAGTGCAGAGTACAGAGACATGTTAGCTCTACAGCTTTTCCCACCAAAAACTCCTGGCACATTTTATTAGGAAAATGGGATATATTTTTTCCTGTAACTGAATAAATGTTCAGCATCTTGTGGACATTGCCTCTGGCCTGGGGTCCCCTGAGACATCATCCCATGTCCCTCCCCAGGCAGCCCTCTCCTCTCTGTGGGATTTGCCCCACCTGGCCCATCTCACCCCAGAGGTGCCCAACATGTGAGCAACTGGGCTGGGGCACTGATGTCCCTGTCAACTGCTTACATGCTGAACGCATTTTCATTTTAATGAGAGGCAGCATTCGTTTTTCATTTGCATCCCTGCTCACTGACATGCCCCAGCAGATGCCACGTTCTTTCTGCCTTTGGGTCTTTTTTTTTTTGAAACTTCCCATCGGTGAACCAGGCCAAGTAGATTCTATTGCGGGAGCTTGAGGTTTCAGCTTCTGGGAACATCTTCACAGGGGCATTAATTAATATTTTCCCTGGAGAGGGTGTCAATTGCTAATTCACAGAGTCCTTTACGTTGGAGTTGATTATTTCATGCTGAATCACAACATTCTCAGTATGACTATTGTACAGAATTCACTCATTTGCCTCCTTTCACTGGGCTTGGTCAGCCGTACTAAAACGCAAGTTGCCTCCCATTTGGAAAGGCCAGTCTTGACGGGTCTCTTCTCTGTACGTCCTGTGCTGGAGCAAAGTCACAGCTGGTACACTAGCCAAGCTCCCTGATTAGTGCATAGGCTTAGCTGGAGGCAGAACTCAGGGAGGTGTTTTGGAAATGTAGGAAAATAAGCTCTGGAGTCAGAAAGATCCAAGTTTGAATGGCTGCTTCTAAAGTCACCTCATCTTTCTCACCTTTAGTTTATCACCTGGGTAGGCTTTACCTTCAGGTGTATTTCAAGAGCCCGATGTGCCTCCTAGAAGTTAGAGGTTGAGAGAAAAGCCCAGATCTGCAGGGACAAGGCAGAGTCATGGCCCTCATGGCACCACTCACACAGGGTGCAGCAGCTCCACACAGGGCCATGGCCCCTTTCCTGGGGGAGGGAGGCATAACATACTTGTATTTGTTTAAAAGCATATATATTTTGGAAACAAACCTGACTTTAAAAACTTGTATTTTCACCTACTTTTATGTTTTTTTTTAAGCATATGAATTATTTAAAAATACAAAGATAAATAGCTAAATCATTAGCAGGCATCATTTCTGGATGGTAAGGTTGCAGAGTTTTAATTTTCTTCTTTATACTTTTCCATCTTTTTTAAGTGCTGTATAATAAATGTGTCTTACTTTGGAATAAATAGAAAAGCTTAACTCTAGGGAAATGCTGCTTGCATATATTGGAAGTGCTTGGTGCATTCTAATTTCCACACACAACAACGCTCTCGACAGTCAGATCCCCATGTGAATAATTGTCTCATTCTTTCTTTTGTAAACCATATTATTTATGCTGCTGCTTTTTTTTTTTTTTTGAAGGATGAGAAGAACCAAGTTTTAACCACCAACATTTGGCTGCAAATGGTAAGTTAAGAGAATGACAATCTCTCCCATGGGCTGCAAGATCTTGCACCCAAGATTCTTGTTCTGATACCTGAGATGCTTGCTTCTGAGAGGTCCTGTTTAGGAAAAAAAAACAAAAAAACAAAAGGCCATGGCTGTCACACCAACTCCACACCTGCCAACAATGAATGCTGGCTGTATGACACTACAGTCTGCAGTGCTCAACACATGCACAAGATCAACACATAGGACAAGGTAATGTGGGGACACTTCAGAAGCACTTCAGGCAAGACAAGAAGATACAGGGCTGTGTGTAGATGTCCACAACCTGCACCACAGCCAGTCCCCAGGACTCAGAAGCTCCATCCCTGCCCTCTGTGGCCTCCGGAGCTGCATGTTTGAATCAGGTGGAGTGTTCCGAAACCAGAGGCCCTCGTACTTTGTGCTCTAGCAATGCTTATAAGAATCTTGAAATGCTACCTATCATTTGTAGATTTTTAACTTGACATCTGCAATACTAATCTAAATTTGATTAATTGCAAATGATGCCACTTAACATCCAATTGTAAATATTAACACTGAAAAATGAAACAGTCAGTCTCTATTTTAAATGGAATTCAAAATACCATAATAATTTGGTGCCCATCTCATTCAAACACCATATGAACAAGCCTTTTTTTAAACTGTCAGATATTTAACGTAGTCCCTTTTTTCTCTTTGCACATGCATTTCTATTCTAGTTTCTATACGGAATTTTATCCTAATGTAATATAATTTTATGTTTGAAAGTCTCTTTTTTGTTTGTTTGTTTGTTTGTTCGTTTGTTTGTTTGAGACAGAGCCTTGTTCTGTCATCCAGGCTGGAGTGCAGTGCAGTGGCGCAATCTTGGCTTACTGCAACCTCCGCCTTCCAGGTTCAAGTGATTCTCCTGCCTCAGACTCCCGAACAGCTGGAATTACAGGCAGGCACCACCACACCCGGCTAGTTTTTGTATTTTTTAGTAGAGACAGGGTTTCTTCATGTTGGCCAGGCTGGTCTTGAACTCCTGACTTCAGGTGATCCACCCACCTCGGCCTCCCAAAGTGCTGGGATTACAGGCATGAGCCACCGTGCAGGGCCAAAAGTCTTTTATTAATCGTGCCTTGGTTTTTTCAAATGTAAATATTTACACAAGAATTATTCCTTTACACCGTAAGTATTAAATTTTGTTTCTTTTGGATTGATTTAAGTTTGCTATTGTTATTGGTATTATAATTCATCAAGGTGACATAAATTAAAATTTTTAAGTAATTATAAAACATAAATTTTTATTGGCAATTTATATCTCTGCCCAAGATGAGTTTGTTTTAAATTAGTTCATGTATCCACAGATGACTTTTTATTACTTGAATGGAGAGAATGATAGTTTTCACTTCAATTCTGTTGCTGTTTTTTAACTAGGTGTAGTAACATGAGTAGTTGGACATGAAAGCCACTTTGTTAAAGCAATGTTACTCCATCTTTGAACTTCTTCTAGGTTATATGCCAAAAATAATGTAGTTTTTATCAAATGTATCAGCTGACAGCTTGATTAGTTTCTCCTTCAATTTTGTTGAAAACAAAGAAAAGAATTTAAACCCACCTGACCTTTGAAAGTATTTGCCACCCAATTTGTAAGGTAATTCACACAGACACAAACGCTGATACTTGAATTGACCATTTGTTTGGTTCTTGAGTCAGTGTCCCAAGATGGGAGTTGAGGTAAGATAAGAGAAATGTGCCCTTCTTTATAAAGTTGAATGGGAGAAGTGAAAATGGAGGCAAAGGATAGTCCCATGTGGTTCTTGGGCAGTTGAGTTATCCTGCGAATACACGTGGAGTTGAGGGATAGAAAATGGATCTGCATCCAGCCTGGCCAACATGGTGCAACCCTGTCTCTACTAAAAATACAAAACTTAGCTGGGTGTGGTGGTGCACACCTGTAATCCCAGCTACTCAGGAGGCTGAGCCAGGAGAATCACTTGAACCTGGGAGGCAGAGGTTGCAGTGAGCTGAGATTGCACCACTGCACTACAGCCTGGGGAACAGAGCAAGACTCAATCTCAAGAAAAAAAAAAAAAAAAGAAAGAAAAAGAAAATGGATGTGCTTAAAGCCATTGCTAGGTCTCCAAGGTGCACCCATAGCTACATGTGAGACTCCTGCAGAACCTAACAGTCAGGTGAGAGCCCTTGAGATATTCCCTTGCAGGATTTAAAGCAGCATACTTCAGTGAGCATATCCCTTGCCACCTACTCTAGCTTCCCTCCTTTTGCCCAGGACACATGATCTGTGCTCTCCTGGAAGGCCCAGGCCTTCTTCCCATGGACAGACTCATCTCCTGGCCCCTGCTGAGAGCCTGGCATTAATGATTGTCCTCGCTGCCAGTAGCATCAAAATAGTGTCCGTGGGTCATTCTCACTCTTGTCTCTCCCACAGACTTTTCATTTGGATAAATGTTAAAGCCATGGATCCATTGGCTCAAACCAAAAACCTTGAAGTCACCCTTAACTCTTGTCTCGCACACCTCACCTCTGATACATCAACAAATCCTGGCAGCTTGACCTGCAAAACCGATCCAGGATCTAACTACTGGGCATCAACCATGATGCTTTCACCCTGGTCTACATGGGTGTCATCTCTCACCTCCATTATTAGGAGTCCCCATCCAGCCTTCCTGCTTCAGTGTTGCCTCTTCTGGTGGTGTCTTGTCCTCAACATAGCAGCCAGCATATACCTTCTTGGCACAGATCCCTCCAGGGGCTCCTGTCTCCCTGGACAGCATAGGAACTGAAGTCCTCGAAGTGGCCTTGGATTCAATTCCCTTCTTGCCTGGCTCCTTTTTCCTCTCCCCTCCCCTCTGTTCTTTGTTTCCTGGCTGCACTCACTGTCCACTTGTTGGGTGACACACACGTCACCCGAGCCCGTGCCCCCCCCTCAGGGCCTTTGCACTGGCTGCTCTCCCTGCCAGGAAGACTCGTCCCTAAGAACCACTTGATTTCCCCCTTACTTCTCACTGATCTCTTCCTAAAGGTCAACTCTTCATTGAGTCTTCTTTGAGCTCCGATGTACTGTCCCAAACCCTCCCCTCCACCTCCAGCCCACTCTGTTCTCTTTATCCTGTTTCATTTTTCTCCCAAAGGCTTCTCACCATGTAACCCGCTTTGTGTTCACTCGTCTATCTGTTCATTGGTTCTGAGTCTTCATCACCCTTAGAATGTGTGCACAGTGTGGGGGACAGGGCTCCAGGTGCATTCGGTCACTGCCGTACCCACAGCCCCTAGTTCACTGTCTCACCTGTAGCGGGCACCAAAGAACTTTTGCCGAATGAGAGAATGAAGCAAAAACTCAAGGTGAACCTTGAGGTGCTTGGGTAGCGTGACACAACATAAAGCCATCTCCTGAATGGCCGTGCAGCACTTTCGTACTGTGTGTATAAGGCCAGGCTCCGGAGAATGAGGCAAGTGCTTCCCTTTTTAATTAAAGTTGGACGTTTGCCATGCCCTCTAAGGAACAACGCTGCTGTTGACATTTTTCTTACAGAGAGAAATGCATGTTATGGAGAGGTCTCTCTCCCTGGTGCCTATCTTCCTTAGCCCTCAGTAAGTGACTGGTCTTCAGCAATGTATATGATTTGGCAATTTTATTTAAAGGATGGTGGTTTCCAAGAAAAATGTAACTGGATTATTACTTCCAGTATGGAATTCAGATGCTCCACAAATAAACATCCTTGCTTCAGAGGGTGTCACCAGAGACCTCTAAATTTATTTCAAGCACAGCTAATTTTAATTAAGGCTTACATTTGCAGAAGCATCTGCAGCTTCATTTGTTTGAAAACTCACCTTTTAACTCACCTCCTCTTGGAGCAACCTACTCTGTGGAAGGTATTAAACTGGGCCAGGTGAGGGGACCCAGAAATACATAACCCAGTTTCTACCTTTAAGCCATTTATGATCAGGCTGTGTAATTAACACGTTTAGAAGAAGGAGGCGGAGGAGAAGAAGAAGGAAAAGAGGAGGAGAAGGAGGAGGAGGAAAAAAGGAGGAAAAATGGAGGAGGAGTTGGAGGAGGTGGAGGAGGAGAAGGAAAAGAGGCGGAGGAGAAGGAGGAAGAGGAGGAGGAAGAGGAGGAGAGGAGGAAAGGAGGAGGAGAGGAGGAAAGGAGGAGGAGGAGGAGGAAAAGAGGAGGAGGAGGAAATTAAAATAGCAAGAACAAGTATCTCCCCAGGGATATTACAGATGACAGCTGGTGGTCAGATAGTAGAGGCCAGACGTGGGAGAAATCTCTGCTTTAAAGAAATGGGAGAGAAGGAGAGGCACAAATTCTCCTAAACGTGAAGATCTGGGAGCACTGGCATTTCTGAGTATTTTGTCATTAATGTTTACTTTTAGGTGCCTACCGATTGAGAAACATGCTGGATTCCCTTAGAAGGTGTGCCCTCATAAAGCTGGGTGATAACATTTATCTGGAAAGCGGCACCTGTAGATGATCTAGCAGTTGTAACACTGTCTCCCAACTGAATTTTTAAGGGCTCACAAGAATCCTGGGTTTAAAACAAACCTTAACAGTCATCTAGCCAGTGCCTGTGTCTCTCTGCTCCCCGCCCCCACCCAGTGTTTCAGTCTGGAAGCCCTGGCATTTCTATTCATGTCCACAGCATGGACATGAGGAACTCAGGAGTCACCAGAGCAAGCTTGGATGCTGCCCAGAGGCCACTTCTAAGCAACCTTCCATTGATTGCTGTTCTTGTGTTCCCTGGCTGGGGACCAGCCTGGCTTGACCCAGCACGATAATGGACATGCACAAGTGAAGCTGGGTACTGAAGGCTCTCAGGGCCAGGGTTCTGAGGGGGGTGCAAATGTGGGCCGGGGGCAGAGAGCCATAAAAACGGCTCTAGCAATGGGTTTTTCTCCTCCCGAGTTTCATGTTGCTGAATTCCTGTCCAGAAAATCTGAATCCACATAATCTTTTCTCTAGGGTATTTAAACTCTGCAAATGATACATTTTCTGTTTATTAAAAATGGAAAAGGCAGAAAGGTAAAAAAAAGAAAAAAACTCTCCTTGACCTCCAGTTTGTTGGTTTTGTTATTCTTTCTCCCAGTTGCCCTTGATTTTGATCATTCAGAAACGTGAGGGAGGAGAAAGAGGCTTCATCTCTCTGTTCACCTCTTCATGTTCCGAGGAGGAAGCAGCTGGTTCCTCTGCAGCCGGTTCCTCTGCAGCCAGTTTTCTCTGCAGATTAGTTTTTATCATTTTGAGAGGGTTGTCAGACATAATCTGATTTAATCTATGAGAAAAAAATGACAGAAGCCATTTCAGTTTCTGAAGAGACATTTGAACCATCCAGAGACTTACATTTGCTTTTAAAACATCTGTCTTCTGTCATTTTGCAATTGTGACCATTCTCCTGGCATTTGATGTCCCAGCCTTCCTGGGTCCTTCTCTAACTTTAACCTCCTAATTCTAATTATGGTACTAATAGCATTCACACCATAGATGATAAGATTTTAAGCTGTTATTTTTTCTAAAATATTTACCTTTTTAATTTCTGCATTCATCATCACTTGATCTCTGACACATGGAAATGCCACGCTTCCTGTTTACAGACAAGCCGGCTAGTGGCTTGCTTAGGGCTGTGACGGCATCTCAAGGTGAAGAGCGATGTGTCAATCATTATGTCTCACCAAGAGAAGAAAGCGTCAGGGTCAGTGGGGTGGAAAGGCTGCTTTCCTCCACTAACAAAATAATGGACGGGAATAATTTTGAAAAGATCAGTGTTTTCTGACATCAAACGTGTGATGACTTTTCTAGCACCAACAACCAATTTTCCACCAGCAACTGGGGGTCCACCAATTCAATTCATTTCTCACATTATCTACCTGGAGTTGCATCAGATCCCACAGGTTAAAGGGCTCAGTCTCACTTCAGATACCAGCTGCAAATGGTGTACCCAGGCTACCCACATGTCTAGCAGGTGACTGAAAATTCGAGGGTTCCCATACCCTTCTCCCCCAGGTTCAATAACTTTCTAAGATGACTGACAGAGCTCAGGAAAATACTTTGCTTACTTAATAAAATTTTAAATAATATACAAACTTATTTAATATATTTATAAATAAAATATATTTATTAAATAAATATTTAATATCTACTTATATAAAATACCCTGGAGAAAAGATTACATGGATTCAGAGTTTCAGAACAGGAATTCAGCAACATGAAACTCGGGAAGAGAAAAACCCATGACTTAGGTTTATTGGCTTATTCTAAAGGATGCAGCTCAGGAACCAAGTGGAAGGACGCAGCGGACAGGGCGTCGTGGCCGCAAGGGTGCGCGGAGCTGTTGTCGTAACTTCTCGCCAGTGGCCACCTTCCCTGCAAGTGGATGTGCTGACCAAGAGTGTTTATAACCCCGTCTCGAGCCCCTTTCTCACCCCTCCCCAGAGCTGTGAGTGCAATGGGCAGAAAGCTCTTTACTCCAGTCACTAGGTGACCAGCCCCCATGAAAGCTATCTAGGTGCCCAACCCTAAGTCACCTCATCAGCGTAAACTCAGGCCTCAGGCATGGTCAGAAGGGGCTCTGTATGAATCACAAAAGACACTCCTCTCACTCAGGAAATTCCCAGGGCTTTGGAAGCTCTGTGCCAGGAAAACCAAATCTATTTTCTTATTACACCATAATGTATTTTTTTAATGAAAGATAACTTTCCTTTTTCCTCCCTCCCTTCCCCTCTCTCATCCCTTTCCCCTCCTCCGCCCTCCCTCAATGCTTCCATGCCACTAGCATCCACACACATTTAGAGTTTCCTGTGGGCTCGAAGCAGCACAAATAGGGCCCAGGTGCCAGAGCCATGGAAGAATTGGGATTCCCCCAGTGCCTTTTAGATCAATGGCCCCTTCCTCCCTTCCCTTCAGTGTCCCCTCACAACTCCACACACTCTTCTTTTGAAGATTTAATGAGAAGGAATCTCACAAAAGGAGGGAGAGAAGGAAGAGCACACACTCCTCTAAATGTGATTGTCTGGGAGTCTAGGTTCATTGACGCTTCTTTTCAGATCCCCACTCTGTGGAAAACGTGTCAGGTGCTGTCTACAAAGATTTTGTCTGATGCCCCCTGTTCCCGAGGGACCTAGGAACCAAGTGCTTTCAGAGAACAACCTTTTTTCTAGAAGTTTGTTGTTTGTAGGGCCTTATTCCATATCCATTCTTGGGAAACCGTCATGGGAGCCTGTGGGGGTTGCTGGTGGGGCCCCCGGGCTCAGGATTGTGGACCTGGGCTCCAGGGCACACAGCATGAGGTTCCCACTGCATGTTGGCACTCAGTCTTCCCCACCCTTGGCTGCAGCTATGTTATGACTGTTACTACAGCTCCCAAGTCCAGCAGGATTTTGTAAAATGGGGAAATCTCTCTCTCTTTTTTTAAGCCACCATTCATCACTTGCCTGCCAGGGCCATATGACTTTAATCTGCTGCTGCACACATTATCTCATCTCATCCTGTGAGGCAGGGTACATGTAAGGAAACTGCAGTTCAGAGACAATGATTTACCTGAACAAGCTCACGCCGCTAGTCTCTGCCAGACCCTTGGTGCAAACCCAGGTCTGTCTGATGCGGATGCTTTTGGCAGCTCCCCCTACCTTTTCTGCCACTACGGTTACCTGAAAAGGGTTCCGATCCAGACCCCAAGAGAGGGTTCTTGGATCTAGTGTGAGAAAGAATTCAGGGCGTGAAAGTAAGTTTATTAGGAAAGTAGAGGAATAAAAGAATGGCTACTCCATAGAGAGAGCAGCCCCGAAGGCTGCTGGTTGCCCATTTTTATGGTTATTTCTTGATAGGCTGAACAAGGGGTGGATTATTCATGCCTCTCTTTTTTAGACCATGTAAGGTAACTTCCTGATGTTGCCTTGGCATTTCTAAACTGTCATGGAGCTGGTGGGAGTGTAGCCATGAGGATGACCAGAGGTCACTCTCGTGGCCATCTTGGTTTTGGTGGGATTCAGCCGGCTTCTTTACTGCAACCTGTTTTATCAGCAAGGTCTTTATGGCCTGTATCTTGTGCCAACTTCCTGTCTCATCCTGTGACTTAGAATGCCTAACCATCTGGGAATGCAGCCCAGTAGGAGGTTTCAGCCCTGCTTTACCCAGCTCCTATTTAAGATGGAGTTTCCCTGGTTTAAATGCCTCTGACACAATGGTCAGCCTGGTTTGGGGCAAGGGAAAACAGCAGATGGGCAGCAGCATCAGGGAGATTGAGCCAGAAGAACCAGCTCTGGTAGAACCCAAAGATCAGTTTGCTTAAAGTCAAATAACACAGGTAAGCCCTGACCCAGTGACTGACTAAAACATCCTAGCTTTCTGAACCCTGGCGTCCTCTTGTAAATGGAAGCAGTCATATCACTGACCCCCCCGAACTATGGTGAGTCTGCTATGGTGAGTCTGGACATACACAGGACACTGGACTAGCATAAAGGCTGTGATCTGGCCGGGGAGGGGATGAGCCCGTGGTTTACGCAGTGGGGTGTGCGGGGTGTGGGGAGGCAGCGTACAGCTCTGGCTGTGCCTTGGACGAGGTCTGGGTTTGACCATCCAAGCACTCCCATTCCCATTCCCAGTTCCTGTCTCCCCTCCCTCTCTGGCCATCATTCAGCAGGCAGAGGAGAAGGAGAGAAGTGCCTTGGCCTACCATGCCCACTTTCCAGGGCAGTTCGTGGAATCTTGGGGCCCTGACCTGTGTGGTAATAATGGTGAACGTGACTGGCTCTGTGATAATTAGTGACCGACACAGAGAAGCATCCCAGGGTGAGATGCAAGACTGTGGCACAGAAAGCACAGGTGTTGGCTGTGGCAGGGCCTTGTGCCCAGGGCAAGGGAGAGAAATGAAGGGAAGCACAGGGCAGAGGTGCCAAGTTGGAGCAAGCTGCAGGAAGCATGGCTTGGTTGGTGCCCAGGCATTCCTGGAAGACAACTAGGACAAGACCCACCATTCCTGGGTGTGCCCCTCCTGTCCCCTCCCCAACCACTTCCATCTCATTAGAGACCCCAGCAGGCAGCTGTCGATCCTGAATGCCCCAGAGGATACTTCTGCACATCACCCATTAACACATCCTCATTCCTGGAGGTCCCTGGCTGCAAAATGATGTCACTCACCTGGATAGTTCCTCTCCTTTGATGTCAGATTAGATCCTTCCAGACTTGGGACCATCTTTCTGGATGCTGCCTGCCCTCCTCAGAGAATGGTTGGTCTGGGACATGCCCTTTGCTTCCCTTGTTGTATCAATAGCTCTAGGCCCACAGCCCCTCATCTGCAATTCCCAAATCTCAGCAGCTCTGAAAATTTTTCCCCCTCCTTTGATGTTGTTTTCGTAACTTTGCGTCAAATTATTTTGGTCTAAAATCAAATTGAAATCTATGTGAATTGAGGCATTTATTTGTCTCACTTAGTGCAAATAGGCATGTTTTGCTGCAGAAATTACCATGTATTTGATTGTGAGGAGCCACCCTGGTCCCAGGTTGGGGTGGTGCATCACATACCTTTCTGGATCTTGGAAAGCCTGAGCTTCAGAGCATGGGTGGTACCAGGGGGACAGAATACAGGATAATGGTGCAATTATAGGAGCTTCTGGGCTCATACTTGTCAGCCCTGAGCCTCCTGTGGGGTGGTACTGGTTATGTGGCAGCTGCAGGTGGGATCCCACCCGAGCATCCTCTGCAGAGCTTGTGGGCTCCAGGAAGGGCTGTTTAGCACCTGATCCTCGGAGGGATGACCCCAGACGTGGGTATTCCTCTGGCAAAAGTCACTCGATAACCTCAATTAAGGCCTGGCCGTGAGCTTGTGTGAGTGCTTCCTGAGTCTTCACCTGCCTCCTTTCGTCCTGACTCTGCGTTTCACCATCAGGGCTCAGGATTTGCATTGTCGGGTGTCGGAAGCACTATCCCTGTGACAAAATAAAAATTCAAATCTGAAAACATTCCTTTAGAAATTCTGAGAGGTTCCCATGCAGCTGCACAGTATTGCTTTATGGAAATAAATATTCCACATTTCTCCAGCCTGGTTCTTAGTCCAGTGGAAATAAGTGAATTCCTTTTTTCGAAGTATTCTTACAGTGAAAACTTCTAAGGCAAAACAGTTATTCATTTGGCTAGAAGTAACCCATCTACTGCAGGAGGAGAAGGCTCGGGGACATGCAGAGGGTTGGAATTAACTTTAATGATACCATCTGAATGTGTTCATGGTGACAGCAGAACCTTAAATGTGAGTTTTATGCTCTTCACAGTCATTTTGGAAAGGATTTTTGAATTCCCATTTTCATTATATTTTATAAATAGCAATTCAGTTATAATAAATGTCTGGAATTCTCTTTGGTTTTGCACTTACCTAATAATCGCTTATGAGAAATATTAGTAGCCAAGGAAGTGAAGTGCTGCTAATGTCATTGTGTGTGTCAGTCTTGGACAGATCACTATTTACAGTGGAATGTGTCAGAATATCCAGGGGTGAAGACTGTTCGTTTCCCAGATGGCCAGATTTGGAAACCAGACATTCTTCTCTATAACAGGTAAGCATATTGAACAAAGGAAAAAAATGATTTTATGCTTGCATACATGTAGCTATCACGTATATTTGAATATTTCACAGAGATGCTGGATATGTTATCTATGATCTGGGGCCACTGCTCCCTACACGGCTTTCCGAGCGGCCAGGCCTTTGAGAAGCAGCTCTGTCCCTGTAAGCCAGCATTCCCTGGTTTGGCATGCACACGTGCACACGCTGGCTAGCCTGCTACTTAAGACGCCCATGAAGTTGTATGTTCTCGGGGCCTAGTGTTGTTTCTGTGCATATTGGCACATGGAGTATTCTTGCATAAGGCAGTACCTTTGTTCTCTGAATGGCAGCAGTTATGACCAACAGCAGGAAGTGCTGGCCTATGGGATGCACTGCTGGAGCCCACAGTTTGGACCCACATCCTCGTCTATGTTCCCTGTTGTGCATTGGAGAGTTCTGTGGCAGAGATGGCTGCAGGTGAGCGTGAGGACTGTCATCTCTAGCTGCATGCAGAAACTTCCCCTGCAGGGTATATACCTGATTTCTAATAGTCTTTCTCCTGAGGTCAGGAAATAAGGGACACGTCGGTAAACCAAGACAGTCTGACTTGCAGACCAGATGCCTAAAAGGCAATTATTCAGGCAGGGTAAGTTTCTAGAAGCAGTAAAATTTCTCGTTAAACTGCATAGTCAAATAAGGGATCCCAGAACATTTCTGACTAATAAGGTGTCAGACCTCATAAATAACATCATGAAAAGAAAGTTATTTCCTAATCATGACCGCTACCTTTGGTCATGAAGAAGGAAGCCCAGGCTTTCCTGATGCAGGGAACAGTGTGACCAAATTGCCCTCCATGGTCACTCGGTGATCCCGCTGGACAAGCAATGTGTTGTCCTACATGGCTACTTCCAGAAGGCTGGGCGATGCTATTTCTTGTATGGACTTTTCATTCTGCCTCTGTCTTTGCATCTGGGGGCCGGCCACATTTCACTTGAATCATTGGGCCCGTTTCTAGAAGAGTATCCTCTTCTCATTTGCTGCCACTTTTCTGCTTCTCAAATTAGTTCAGACAACTGAGCTTTGAAAAACGTCTAAAATAGGAGTAAGTGGTCCCCTGTTGAATGGATCAAACATGTGCCTTTCCATGCCTGGACTTTGGGTCTTCTGTTTCTTGGGGGGCTGTATTAGTTTGCCAAGGCTGCTGTAACAAAGTGCTACAGACTCAGAGCCTTAAACAATAGAAGTTACCCTGTCACAATTGTGGAGGCCAGAAGTCTGAATGAAGGTGTTGTCAGGACTGGCTTCTTCTGAGCCTCTCTCCTTGGCTGGTAGATGGCTGCCATCTCACTGGGTTCACGTGACCTTCGCTTGTCTCTGTCCGTGCCCTAGTCTCCTCTTCCTGTAAGCACTGCAGTCAAATTAGAGTAGGGCCCCATGCTCATGACCCTCTTTTACTTTAATTACCTTTTTAAAGGTTCTGTCTTCAAATAGAGCCACACTCTGAGGCACCAGGTATTAGGATTTCAACATGTGAGTTTGAGGGAGATGCAACTCAGTCCATAATGAGGGCATTGTATCTGACTTTTTGAGGGCAAAGGGTCAGGGTTGAAGAAGTCTCCGTGTTAATTTTAGCTGTAATATTTACAGTCTGTATAACCTTTGAGTCTCAGATTTCTCCTTTGAAAAACGGGGAAAGTGCCGGCTTCACAGAGTTCGGAGGATCGCTCTGTGGATGTGTGTAGCACACTTAGTCTGGCACTTGGAAAAGAGCACACATTCCGTAAAGGCAGTTGTGTGTTTACAGGCAGAATGATGAGGATTCCTGCTTTTAGAACAAGATGGTAATTTAACAATTTAGAAAAAAATAATCAATGTTTTTCATTTTCCAATTCGGATTTTTTAAGTTTGAAATCAAGAATAAATTTTATAACATTCAGCCTGAGCAATGTACGAGACCCCCATCTCTAACAACAATAACGACAACAACAACAAAATTAGCTGGGCATGGTGACCTGCACCTGTAGTGCCAGCTACTCAGGAGGCTGAGGTAGAAGGATCCCTTGAGCCCAGCAGTGAGCTTTGATTATATCACTGCTTGCCATCCTGGGTGACAGAGTGAGATGCTATCTCCAAATATATATATATATATATATATATGTATATATATATATATACATATATATATATATATACACATACATACATACACACACACATATACACACACACATACATACATATACATACACACACACACACAGAGAGAGAGAGAGAGAGCACCCCACCATATTATATGTATAACATGTTGGTGGAATCTTATTAACACGGTTACAAGAGGCAGTTTATATGGCCTATGTGTAGGATCTTTAACTCCAAAATGTAAAATGTTTGATGATTCCAAATGCTCTGGCTAATGAGGAATTTCCAAGTTGTAATTGAATTTCAAGGAGCAAAGATAGAGCAGTCTCTACCTGACAAATGTTACCAGGGTCCAGGCCCTTAGAAATGATCCCCACCTCCACATGCCTGACCCAGCTGCCGGTGCAGAACCCCATCGCTCACACATCTGTTGAGCTCTACTGAAGGATCCTGCTCGTTCCTCTTTCCCATGGTGGACATAGACCACGTCCGCCAGGCTTCATCATGGAGGATGTAGAGGCTGCTTCAATTTCTGCTTTTGTTTTCCTGAGACATGGAATGTAGGACTTTCTTTTTGAAGTAACTACTAAATATATTTTGAAGTAACTGCTAAATATATGGCCCGCAGGTCCACATGAACCCAACGTGGAATGAATAGATTTCAGAGAATATTTAAACCACTCATAGACACTTATCTATTGCTACAGAACAAACTCCTCAGAACTGAGTGACTTAAAGCAAACAACTCAGATTATTCCTCATGATGCCGTGGGCTGTCCAGGCCCATGTGGCTGGTTGTCTCTTTCACGTGGCATTGGGCACAGCCATGGGCTGGGGCTCCACTGGGCCGATGTGCTGAGGGGTACACTTCCACAGCGGGGCAGGTCTGGGCTGAGCTGGTGGGGACGCCGGCCCTGGCAGGAAGCTCAGCCATTCAGCTGGGGACTGTGCACCCACCCCTTCTGGGCCTTTTCCACAAGGCTCGGTGTCCCCCAGCTTGGTGGCCAGCAGTGCTCTGACAGGAAGGAAGGAGAGGCTGCTGGGACTCTTAAGGACTGAGCGTGAGGGTCCCGCAACAGCCCTTCTCCACATTCTGTTGGTCAGAGTAGGCAGGAGCCCAGCTTGGAGTCAAGAAAGGGGAAATCAGCACCCCTATCTAGGGCAAGAGGGAGGCCACAGGGTGCTCTGGGGACACTAGTGATCACAGCTAAGGAAGGAAAGCGGTGGAACTGCAAGGGTCAAAGTAAAGCCCCAGGAAACCGAAAGACCAGAAGAGGCGTGCATTGTGAAGGGGAAGGCACGCTCCGCCATGTGCCTGCTGAAATTGGCAATGTGGGAGGAGAAGCAGGCAGGAGGAGAGAGCTTCTAAACAAGACAGATCTTGTCATCTCTGCCCCCCCTTGCTGGCTGGCTTCCCCTTCCTGCCTGGACACACTGTGCAGCCCCCAGGTATGTGCTGACCAGCCTATCCCTACCCTGTAGCCTCGTCCACTCTCCAGCCCTACTGCTTGTCCTTTGGCTCATTGATGCACCAATGCTTCCAGGCAGAGTGTTTATATGAGCGTCTTGCGGGGCGAGGAATGCCCACCCCTTAACTCCCAGTTAGCAAGGGAAACCTCCCTGACACCCTCACCCCTGCCAAGTCTAGAACACATTTCTCTGTCACGTAGAAAAGGATTCCTGTCCACGATGGCACTTAGGGTCTGCTACCTCTTAGGGGCACCTAGCAGGGCACTTGATACACATTTATGCAAAGACAAGATGGAGAGAGGAAGGGAGGGTGCAGGAATTATTAGGAGGAGGAGCGAAGAAGATGGATCAGTGTAATACAGTGCGGCTAAGAACAGCCAGAGAAGAAAGAAAGCAAAGGAAAGAAATCATGTAGGCAACCTAGAAAACATTCAACTGAGACTGAGTCCAAAAATTCACACAGGAAATAGCAAAAATAGTCTTCACTACTAATATCCTAACCCTCTGATATTCTGTTATTGGGGATTTTGAGAGATACCGAATTTAATGCTTTCTGCCAGCTTCTAGGCGTGGAAAATAATATGTTCTGCTTAGTAGACTCATCTGTTAGTTCATTATGGTCTGAATGGAGTCGAGGGGCTTTTCCTAAAGGAGGGGGTTAAATGCATCCTGTGTAAGCCCCAGTTTTGAAAGCAGTGTTGATGTAGCTCAGCTGAAGCCTCCCAAACATGTCTGTCCTATTTCTCACTCTATTCTCGTTTGATATTGGAGTCCCCACGTGAGTCACTATTGCTTTTTGAGATATAATGCATTTTCCATGCTTTAAAGTGGCTGGGTCACTGCAAAACAGCCATCTCTGCATCATTTGTGGAATGGGCTGCTGTATTTCCTTGATGGGTGGGTAACAAGTCATGCTGCTGCCAGCCAGCTGGCCAGGTCGCTCTGAGGAGAGGATGGGCACGAATAAAAGCGTCTCTGTCTGGTGCTGATCCCAGTCATTTCTTTGTTGCTTTATTTTGCTTTACTTTAAGCCTGCGGCTCAAGGAGTTTTCTGAACACCATCTTGCCTAAAGTGGGTAGCAATTATGGATGGCTTGCCGTGATTTTCCCCTTTGGATGGAATTAAAGGCCTTGCTGGGATCAGCAGTCCGCTTGCAGAAGGACAGTCTGAATCCCGCAACTCTGCGGATGCCCCTACACCGTGCAGAGACAGGCAACTGCCTCACCCTCTCTGGGCTTCTCTGTTTCTGAGTTGCTCGGTCAGAAAATTCTATTGCAATAATGGAAATCTTTTTTGATGAAGATATTTAAAGATGTTTTTGTTGGCTCTGAAAGTTTAGAACAGCATGGGGTTTCAGCCATCCATTTTCATTGAGTGTGCAAAGCTGCATTTGTCATCTGCAGGGTTGTGTCTTTCACTCATTTTCCTGACCCTGTGGCTGATAGCAGAGGCTGGAGAGGGGACCTCTATGCAGGACACACTTGAGAGCAGTGTGGCCAAGCCTGTAAGCACTCATAATTGTGCTCATCATTGTTGCCAAGCGTCTTAGGGAACCTGGGGGAGCCAACCCAGGACAAGGATTCCTGAGCATGTAGCTTATTTGGGAAGGGATCCTGGGAAGCAGGATGAGGGGAGGGGGAGTGAGATAGGGAGGGCAGGCAAGCCGTTGGAGTGAGCATTGAAAAGCAAATCATACTGCGGGCAAACAGAGCCCATTCCTACTGGGGAGCTCTGGGAGACTGTGTATAGCACATCTCAGCCTTGTTCTGAGGAAACTGGGATGCTTATCTGCCAGCTGCCTTCCATCATAGGCTGAGAGCTGCTTCCAGGGGTGTCAGCTCCCTGGCACCTCTGGCTTGCCTGCCCCATGTGTGGATCAAGTGCAGAGCTGCAGATGCTTGCAGTAGGCAGCTGTCAGGGCCTTGGGCACAGGAGGATGATTGTCGACATGGTCTGCTACAGCGCAGATGAGCCATCCACTCAAGTTCTAGTTGCTTTCACCCTGCTTTGATTGTAGATCCAATCTCAGCTTCTGGTAGGGAGCATAGCAACAATATGGGTGGAAGGGAGAGAGTCCTAGGACTTGAGGGTCCTAGGGGTGAGGGTGTTCTCAGCCAGAGCAGAGGAGGCAGGCAGGTGGCAAATTTCACTGGACTAAAGAAGAGCCCAAGCCTGCATCCCAGCAAGGGGTGCCTATTCTACGTGGGCTGCGATGTATCTATTATGGAGTCATGGCAGTGCACACATGGAATGGCATCTTAGGGAGTGAATCTGTGAGATGTAGTGTTGTCATGGTTAATAGCTCCTGAAATTGTGGTATCCCTCAGCCTAACCGAGATTGGCCTGCTGGTGCTCAAAGGCTCATAATGCAGTCATGGCCAGGCTCTTGGAGGGCCCAAGGGCATCACTGGAAGGTGATGTGGTTGCTATAGTTTGAATATTTGTCCTTTACAAATATTTGAATATCTGTCTTCTCCAGAATTTGTGTTAAAATTTAACCCCTAATATGACAGTATTGAGAGGTGGGACCTTTGAAGGCCAACTGGGTCATGAGGGCTCTGCCCTCATGAATGCTTTAATCTATTCATGGATTAATGGATCAATAGGATATCATGGGAATGGGACTGATAACTTGATAAGAAGAGGAAGAGAGGCCTGAGCCAGCACCTTCAGGCCCCTCCCCATGCGATGCCTGGTACCACCTTGGCACTACAGAGAGTCCCCACCAGCAAGAAGCCCTCACCAGATGCAGCTCCTTGACCTCGGACTCCCAGCATCCATACTGTAAGAAATGAATTCTTTTCTTTATAAATTACCCAGTTTCAGGCATCCTGTTATAAGCAACAGAAAACAAACTAAGACAGTAGTAGTTCCAGGTGAGCAGAGGTAATTTTGCTGCTGGAGATCTCAGAGAAGGAGTTTTGAGGATGTGCTGTTACAGCTTCTGTATTAATCAGATATTCACACCTGAGCTGGAGGGAGGCTGTTTCTAAATCATGTGTTGTGGGAAGAGGGGGAGCAGCAGCTTGTTTTAAAGCAGTGAGTGGAGCCAGCCAACCTATGTTTGCATCTTCAAAGTCATCCTCCGAACTGTCCATCTCACTCTCCCAGGTCTCATCATGGTCGCTCTTGCTGTTTGTTTTTAATTTGTTCATTCACTCAACCAATATTTAGTGAAGGCTCCCTCAGCATAATCACACACTGTTCTGGGAACTAAGGATTCAGCAGTGATCCAGCCAGACCCAAACCCACCAGAGAAACAGAGATGGGGAAGAGAGGAGGGAGGCATGGGCCAGATTGTAGGTGATCCCAGAAAAATGAAGCAGGAAAGGGAATAGTGAGGGCTGAGCCAGAGGTCAGGGAGAGACCAGGAGACAGACTAGAGGGCTGCAAAGGAACAGGCCCTGTGATATCAAGTGGAGAGAGTGTTCCTGACAGAAGGAACAGCCAGTGCAGGGGCCCTGTCAAGAAGGCTTGTGAAAGACTTCGAAATGCAAAAAAAAAAAAAAAATAGTGAGGGAAGAGAAAAAAAGACACCTCGGTTCCTACAGAATACTAGGCATGGTCACAGGCACCTTCCTGGTCATCTGAGTCTGTAGTGGACTGTGCCTGTCATGGTCTTCAAACTAGTTTTCAACTCTAACTTCTAGAAAACTGATGGCAAAACCAATGATTCTAGTCCACGGAGAAGCAAATGTGTTTTGCTGGTGGACCAATTCCCCTGTTGACAGATTCAGATCAGTGTGCCTGGTTGTCTTTGTATGTGTCTGCTTTTAGGATGCTCTGCAGAATTGGTTTTAACATTTTCCTGGTTCCTTCCTTCATTAATGACTTAAGTAGTCTTTGACACACGATCACTTTATATTTGTGCAAGTGTCATGATTTTATCTTTTAAAAAATCCATCAATTGCCCTGAGGCGGGAACATGCTATCCAGGTCTGTCCTAGGAGCAAATTCAGCTGCTGTGGCTGGAGAGAATTGGTGGATGGGGAAGCCAGGGTTCAGAGAGAGGGTCAGAGACATGATGGGAGGAGCTGGGGACCAAGTCGTGGAGGCCTTGGCTTTGACTGTGAGACAGGAGAGGCCCTGATACCTTTGACAGAATTTTTGTTTCAGTTCCTTTTTGCTTTGAACATTTTAAAAAAAAATATTTATTCATATTCTCCTCTTGACTTGTTAGCAATTGATTCCCATCAGGTGATTTTGTCCAGAAGTTATTATCTGTTCTTTTCTGCTTGTACACTCCTCCCAGCCTGTGGCAGTGGGCAGGTTTTGCTTTTGTTGTTTCTTCTGACATCTCAGCAAGAGGAAGGGAGGAAGGGCAAGTGCGTGTGTGTCCTTAATCAGCCTCTGATGGCCCAGCTGTTTGCCTCGGGCTAACTCGGAGCCCACCTGTCTGCACCAGAGTGAGTGGACTGTCGCTGGCTGACTGTTAATGCTGTCTGCCTCATCCGGTGCTTACTGAAGGTCCCATGCACTGCGTTCAGCCTACTTGCCCGCAGCTCCTGGTCTTCAGCACCCTGGAGCCAAGCCCCCTTTACTGGGCACTCGCCCAGTGCCAGCAGATGATAGCCAGGAAATTGTGGCTTTATGCCTTCTTTCTGGACTTTATGAAGTCTGTTTGAGTGTCCACAAATCTCAGGGCGGGAAGCTGGTGCTCAGAGAGGTTCAGCCACTTGCCCGAGGTCACTCAGCTGGGTCTGCCTGACTCCATAGTCTGACTCATTACTGGCCAGTCTCTCGACACATCAGGAAAGAGCTCGGTCTCTTGTGCTTTATTTTCTAAAGTTAAAAAGCAGAGAGATCCCCTTTCCCTCCCTCTGAGCTGGCTCCACTTTCGCACCTGCTCTGGGCTGCTCTGCCAGGCTCAGCCTTCCACTTCCTAAAAAGAGTGAGTTTGTTTTCTCTGAAGCTGCTGTGGGGTTTTCTTTTCTTTTCTTTTCTTTTCTTTTTCTGAAGCTGCTGTGGGGTTTACTGTCGCCTCTTGACTGATTTCACTCAGCATCTGACATTTTCTTTTCTTTGACCAAATCCCCTGCCAGCCAGTGTGGGCCACAGGGCAGTGCCACAGCAGAGCGTGGAATGACAGAACCCAACTGCTGTCTGTGCAAGAGTTTGAGCAGAATTTCAAGCAGAGGACAGGTGCTGCGGTGAATAGAATTTTGTGGGGATGGTGTTGCATTGAGGTGGCCTGGGTGAGGCTGTCTTCTGGCATGTGGCAACGGGCCAGTCCACGGAGCAGCTCCCCAACCCCCTGCACCCCCAAGGGCCCTGAAGCTAATCGTGCCCAAGAGCACGGCTTTTGGAGATGAGCTTATTGATCTTTGTGATGTGGAACACAGAGCCAGCACGGTTGTAAGGGCTGTGTGATAAATACATGAGACAGGAACTCAATGGGCGGTTCAGTCTTCATCATGAGCTGCCTGAGGGAGCAGTGCGGGCAGCCAGGTGAGGGCCAGGGTCCGCCGCCACCCCGCCCCTTCCCGAGCCTGCTGTGGGGTCCCTGCGCGTGTCCACTGCCCACTAGAGATGCGCTCTTCAGCTGTCTGCACAGGAGGAGACTTAGGAAGTTGTGTGTGAGGCATCAGAAGGCAGCTGGGCCTCCCCAGCATGCTAAGACCTCAGCAGTGCAGGGTGTGGGGCCCGAGCTGGATGTGCCCCATTGCTTGTATCAAAACCTGGAGAAACAGAGCTTTCCTTGTGGGCCAGGGCCACATGGTCGGTGGAGCTGATGCTGTCAGTCGGCCGGGTGGTATTTTCTGGGGACCTACTCTGTGTAAGACACTGTGCTTCTAGGAAGACGCACATTCACTGCCCTCGAGGCATGTGTAATCAGTAGCAAATCAGTTTACCGTGGGTGGTCTCATCTGACGTATTTTTGTGTCCTTCAGTGAAGTCATCTAAAATTACTCTGCTTCACAATTGAGGAAATGGTTCCTGAAATTAAATGGCTTGTTGACGCAGTTCTGAGGCCTTGACTCCACATCCTCGTGCCTTTCCCAGTCCTTGACAGGCTCTTTGTGGCTGTAAGACAAGGGCACAAAGTGCATCTTGCAGAGCAGAAGATGACGTATGTCAGGGACATAACATCTTAGAAAGATCTGGAAGAGAGAGAGCCTCATCCAGTGGGAGGGTGTGGGCAACTGTTCACGGCAGGGTGGCCATACGTCTTGGTCTGTCTGGGACAGCCCGGGTTTGTGCCTGAGGTCCTGGCACTGCTGTTAATGGTGCCTTTTTTCACTTTTAAGATGGGGCATTTCATGGAAAGATATGTAAGTTAGGTCATATGGCACAGGGCCCTTAGCGGGGAGGGGGAGAGATCACCTTGGAAGGGACTAAATGTGGCAGGATCCTCAATGCATATGCTTGGAATGAAAGGGAGAGGGAAAAGAACAGAATAATCAGGTCAGGGACTAGCTATAATCTAAGGAATTGCCACCAGTCCAACTGGACTTCTCTGGAAATCTGTCCCTGACGCCTGGCCACAGTCGCCTACTCTGGGCTGCTGTGTACCTTGGAGGACTCTTTGTAAACATCACACGATGCTGCGGATGTGAGTTTGATACTCTTGTTTTTCCCCACTGTCCAGTGAGCTCCTTGGGAGCAACCAAGTTCTATTCACATTTTGTAATCCCCCCAAGTTAGTGTGACAAGTAGCACATGGCAAGCAGCACATCGCAGTGGGTGAGGGACTAGTGGGGCCACTACCCTGTTCCAGGAGGGAGTTGCTGGAGGCCAGAACCTGGGCAGAACCTTGGAACTCAGGCTGTCTGGATCAAGAGAGCCATCTTCTAGCACCCTTAGATTAAAAATAAGTAAGTTCTGATTGTGTGGGGCAGGGATGTAGGGTATGGGTCCTATCCCGAGAAGCAAATTAGTCTAGAAATGATTCTCCTTTCTCCTCCACTACCCATACCAATCTATCTTGAAGGATTATGCATTTGAAATTACTCTAGTCATCTTTTCACATTATTTGTGGTCTTTTTTTAATATAAATTTTACATCCTTAGCTAATCACATTTTTGTGTTGTTTCCTTTATGGATCCTTTATGGCTTTGGGGTCCCAGACCAGGAGACTATCCATTTATTCTACTAAATAGTTTGTTTTTTATTGTGTATGGTTTTTTTTCCCTAAAATGTTTGTGTATGCTATGAGGTAAGGGTCTAACTTTACTTTTCTTTAAGGGATAGAAAATAATTCTAACAGCACTTATTGAGCAATACATCTTTCTCCCCATGGCATTGAAGTGGGATGGTTATATTCATTTATGCATGTGCCAATACCATACTGAGAGCTAAGCAGGGTGAATAAAAAGAGACATATGTCTTGAATATCTTGCTGCGATTTTAAAACACTCATGATAAAGGCAAAACCCTTATAAGCTCTCAAAGCAAAAAAAAAAAAAAAATCACAATAGCAAGAAACAGTAGCCTAGTAGAGGACTACTTTCAAATATTGAAGGGCAATTATTTTTAAAATAAAATATTTTGTTGAACTGAACTTTCTGGGCAAAAATGAAAGCAGTTTTAAATATGTAAAGACTCAAGTCTGAAAGAATTACTCAGAATTGTATTCCAGCAAAATGAGAAGAAACCAAGAAAGAGGCAAACCTGGAATATAATCAGCACTCGTGAGTGATGGAATCACTAAAAGGCATAGTTCAGTCTAATTATTTGATGATGTTGTTAAATGGTTTTTGTTGGCAGGGGACTAAGAAGTAGAAGAAGTAACAGCAGACGTTTGGTGTCGGCCTTCTTTGGTTCATGCATGATAAAGATAAACCTCGTTAAATGCACAAAATGAAAAAAAGTACAAGTAAATATGTATGTTAAATATTTGAATAGCTATCAGAGTAACAGAAATAGTGTCATAACTTCCAGACCACTAGAGATAAAATAAGGGACCAAAACCTGAAGTCGATACCTCTAATGCAAGAACAGAAAACTGAGAAACAGTGTAAGTATGAGGTCTCTCATGGATCCCTGGCATGGGTATGAACATTATTTTAAACTGAAGACATTTGAGATTAAACAGATAGGGAAAGAAGCTTTTTCAGAGCTTACTTATCAGACTACAGCAAAAACTTCTGGGAGCGAGCCTGGCATAAATCTCCTTTCTAGGGGAGTCTTTACTGGCTGGAAAGAAGATGGAAAAGACCAGTTGCACCTGCATAAACAAAACTTTCCCACAGACCTTCTTATCTCCCATTTGCTCCCCTAGAAACCGATTTGTTCTTTTCATAGAAGCCCTTCCTCTCCCCTCTCTCTCCGCTGTGCAGTATATAATCTCACCTTTAGCTGTTTGAAGAGTTGCATTTTTCTTTGTGCCCCTGTGCCCATGTAGGCATAAAAGTCAGTTTTCTCTTGCTCATCTGTCTTTTGTCAGTTTAATTCCTAAGCTCCCCCCCGCCAAAAGAATCTATAAGGGTAGAGGAAGAGCATTTCTTCTCTAACATGAGAAAATCTGGCCAAAAAAAAAAAAAAAAAACAGCCTACAAAAAACCAGAAAACAAACCTACTAGCAGAAACGAGTTAAAACAATCACTAATCACAAAAATTCAAATGGATTTAAATCCCATAACAGTTCTCAAACCAAAACAGACTCCTAGATGGGTTTCAAAAAATCAAAATCCAACTATATTGTATATACAGAAGGTAGATTTTAATCAAATAATCCAAAAGGTTGAAATGAAAAGGATCGAAAAACCATGTCTGCCAAATGCCATAAGAAGAAACAGATTTAGCATTGTTCTTATTTCACAAATATAGATGAAAGACAAAATACGTAAAAAGGGACAAAATGAATATTTTATATTGATTAAAGGAAAATTTATTGAGAAAACAAAGTGCTCATGAATAATTATGTTGCAGTGTGACTGCAAAAAATACAGTCAATGCTGATGAAAGTCAAAGGAGAAATTAACAAAAACCAGGATCTCAAGAAAGGGTAAGTATGCTTACATGGAATGAAATAAAACAGTGGTTAAAACTAACCCAGAAGATATATAGAAAGATTTGTATCTAACAAATATTTCCCAAAAGTAGTAATATTCACAAAAAATAAACTAAGACTGGAAGAAAATTCATAAGCAGATAAATATTACTCAGAAGAAAACTGGCAAACAAAGCTGACTGTTGAAAAGTCAGGTGAATCCACCTCAAAGTCAGAGATAAGGCAAAGATGAGAAATGTTAGGACTGAATGATTGTGTCCCCTCGAGAATTAGTATGTTGAAATCCTAACCCCCAAGGTGATGGAATTAGAAGGTGGGGCCTCTAGGAGGGGATTGGGTCATAAAGGTGGAGTTTCATGAATGGGATTAGTGTCCTTATAAGAAGAGACACAAGGGCTTTCTTCCTGTCTCTGCTTATTTGGCCATCTGAGGACACAAGGAGGAGATGTGTATCTGCAAACCAGGACAGTTGCCCTCCCCAGACATCAGATCCGTGGGTGCTTTGATCTTGGACTTACAGGCTCCAGAACTGTGGAAGATAAATGCCAGAACTGACTAAGACAACAGCTATCACTGCTTTCAACTGCCGGGTGGATGCCCTAGCCGGAGCCCTATGACAGCAAGTTAAAGAAAGATATCTAAATATTACGAGAAAGAAAAAACACTATCATTACTTCCAGTTGATTAGTCACCTAAAGGCAGACGCAGCTGACAAACTTTGAACTAATAAAAGATTTAAGAAAGAAGACAATAGCTGAGCTAGGTGTGAGTGAAGAACAGTGAAGTGAAATGGAAAGAACAGACCTCATTTACACTCATGATGATAACCATAAAATACCAAAGAATCAACCTGGTGCCCATGCACCAAACCCTTCTGAGGAAAACGATAAAAATTCACCAAAGCACCTGAAAGAGTAAAAGAGTCAGGAAGCAGCATGTGGGGTCTGCCAGCTCTCCTTCCCCTGCAGCTGGGCCATGTGTTGGAAGCCTGGAGTAGCAGCAGGGTTACTGCCTGGGGTCCCAGAGTCAAGGACTTAGAACTGCTGTGCCCGGGCTGCCTAGTAGACTCTAGAGACGCTCCGCTGCAGTCTTCCTGGGGTCAAGAGGGGACAATCGGAAAGAGCTTTAAAAACTCTCAGGCTGCTCAGGGAGTTCTTAGATAGTGCTTTGGGCTCCATGTGCAGGATCTAGATCCTGCTTGCCTGGTTTGCTCTTCTGATTCGATGTTCCAATATCTGCTCTGGCTAAGAAGCTGCCGAGTGATTGTTAACAATGGAAACTGCATCTTTACCTCCTCAGGGTCTGATACAGCAGGTGTGGAGTACAGCTCAGGAATCGGTCATACATGGTCCCCCTGGATCACTTGTGAAAGACTCTGTCCTGCTGGGCGTGAATGCCAGCTTGCATTCCTTTAATTAGATGGAAACTAGGAGGTATTTGGTGGCTGGAAGTCATGAATTTCAGCCCATACACTTCCTTCAATTACATGCTTGTCTCCCTCCTGCTGTCCAGAGAAAACCAACTGAATGATGAATAGTGCTCTCACCATTGGTAGCTGATAGCAAAAAAAAAAATGATCCAGAACTTCATTTTGACAAATGAATGCTTCTCCCTGATACCTAGTTTGTGCTTCTCATTTTCCCAGGGATGCATTAATGCTAGAGAACTTTAGTGAATCACTACAGAATTACTTATGCATTTTGTAGTTAATAGGCAAAATATGTTGTGCCTGTAACATAGCTCCTTTGATGTTCTTAGTAAGCAGAAGGTAGTATGGATTCTACTTTATTGACTTCCAGATGGTGCCTCTAAAGGTTATGACTATGAGCTAGTTAAATGTTTTGTCCCTACCAGTGGGTTCATGGCTTCATAAAGACCTGTGGTAGGTAGCATCTGAGTTTGTAGTTTGCATTTATTTCTGACTTTTAAGTCTACATTGACACAATCTCTTTATCTTGGCTTTGTTGAACTCTGCCTCATTTATTATGAAAGCTGACTTCAGGTTGAGGGCAAGGCAAAGAAAGAAGCCTTCGTATTTCAAAAGAACAAGATGGGTAGCCACGACACAGTCAAATTGGTTAATTTCTGTTCCTCGTTCCCTAAACTGCTAAATTTCATTTTATATATCTTCCTTCAGTCCATCTACTTAATATATTTTATGTGGTTAGACGGACTGCATTTTTCACTCATCCTGTTTTCCATGGGTTTTTCTCATCATCATTTTAATAGTGACATAATTCATAGAGATGATACTTTCTAGTTCACCATTGTTGGATTTAGTATGTTTCTAACAGATTAATAATTATAGGTCATAAGAAATGGAAAAAAAATTATAGGGAGGTACATTTTCATATTCCTCCTAATATTCCCCAGCAGTAACACCTTAAATAACTCTAGTGTAATATCAAAGCCAAGAAATTAACATTGGTATATTCCACAAAGTTTATTCAGATTTCACCAGTTTTACATTCATGCATTTTTGTGTAGTATATATAATTCTAAGCAAATTCATCACATGTATTGATTCATGTAGCCACCAACAAATTAAGATAAAGAACTGTTCCACGACTGTAAAGATCTCTTGCACTATACCCTTATAGCCACATCCCGCTTGTCCCTAACTACTGGCAAACACTAATCCATCTCTGTCATTGTGGCATTTCAAGAATATTTTATGTGTAGACTAATATAGTTTGTAACCTTTTGAGGGTGGCTGAGTAGTGGTCTGTGGTATGGATGTGCCACAATTTGTGTAACTATTAATCCATTAACAGATATTTGAGATGTTTTCAGTTTTTCGCTATTGCAATCATAGCTTCTATAACATCCATGTCCATGTTTGTTTGTTTTTGAAGATGTTTCCATTCGTCTGGTATAAATTACATAAGCACGCAATTGTTAGGTTGTATAATAAGCAGATGCTTCATTTTATAAGAAACTGCCATACTCTTTTCCAGAGTGGCCGTTCCCACCTAAGTGATCAAGTAATTCCGCATCCTCCCCAGAATTTGGTGTTATCACTATTTTTTTTATTTTAGCCACGCTAGTAGGTGTGTAGTGATAACCCATTGTGTTTTTAATTTACATTCTCCTGGTGGCTAATGCTGTTGAACATCTTACTATGTGGTGGTTCGTCACTTGTATATCCTCTTCATTGAAATATATGTTCATGTCTGTTTGCCCGTTTTCTAGTTAGATTGTGTGGGGTTTTGTTTGTTTTATTTTTACTCTTGAGATTTAAGAGTTCTTTATGCTAGATATGCCTTTTGTCAGATATGTGTTTTGAAAATATAGTTTGTCTTTCTGTAGTTTATCTCTTCATCTTCTTTACAGGGTCTTTCACAGAGTAAACATGTTCTTTTTAAAAATTACAGTGAAGTTTTTTATCAAATTTTACTTTGATGGATTGTGTTTTTGATGTCAAGTCTTGGAACTCATAGCCTAGAGTGCTGAAGATTTCCTCCTATGTTTTGTTCTAAAAGTTTCACATTTTTAAGTCTTACATTTAAGTCTGTTCTTTAAGTTGATGTCAATTTTTGGTATGATATCTGAGATTTACATCAAAGTTTATCCTTTTGCCTGTGGATTTTCAGTTATTCCAGGTCCACTCATTGAGAAGACTATATTCCTCTTCTGAATTGCTTTGAAAAAATCAGTTGGGTATATTTGTGTGGGTCTACTATTGGGTTCTCAATTCTGTTTTATTAATCTAGATATCTCTTCCTCTATTATAGTCTTTTGCTTTCATCGTATAGTAATGCTTAACATTGAGTAGAGTGTTTCTTCCCATTTTATTGTTCCTTTTCAAAATTGTTTTAGCTATTTTAGTTTCTTTGTTTATATAAATTTCAGACTGACTTTGTGTATCCATATGTACAAAACTCTTGCTGGGTTTTTAATGGGAATTGTGTTAAGCCTACAGGTTCTCGTAGGGACAATTATGTTGAATCTTCCAATCCATGATCATGGTATGTCCCTCTTATTTCAATCTTCTATGATTTTTCCATCAGTATTTTGTAGTTTTCAACATGTGAGATTTATGCTTGTTTTGTTAAATTTATATTTGTTTCATTTTTGACCAGTTGTAAATGATACTGCATTTTCAGTAACCACATGTTTACTGTTAGTATAGCAATTATTTTATGTTGATCTTGTATTTCTGACCTTGCTGAACTTACTCATTAGGTTTAGCAGTTTTTTTTTTAATTGTTTTTGTTTTGAGATTCCTTTGGATTTTCCACATAGACCATCATGTCACCTGAAAATAGTAACTTTTTAAATTTCTTTCTGATTTCTAGGCCTCTTACTTCCTTTACTTTCCTGGCTAGGATTTCTAGTATTATGCTGAATTAGAATGTTAAAAGTGAACAACTTTATCTTGTTTCTGATCTTATGGCGAAAGCATCCAGTCTTTCACTATTAAGTATGATGCTAGCTGTAGGTTTTTTGTGGAATTGCTTTTATCAGGATGAGGAAGTTTCCCTCTATTCCAGTTTTCTGAGACTTTTTAATATGGATGAGTGTTGAGTGTTATTACTTGCTTTTTCTGCATCAATTGATATAATCAGGTGATTTTTCTTCCTTGGCATCTTAATATGGTAGATTACATTGATCAGTTTTCAATTATTGAACTAGCTTTACACTCATGGAACAAACTCTACTTGGTCATGTGTGTAATTCCTTATATATACTGCTAAGTTGTATTGCCAATATTTTATTAAGGGTGGTTTATGTATATTTATGAGAGAATGTGGTCTGTAGTTTTTGTTTTGCATTTTATAAATTTTTTCTACTGTCTTTGTCTAGTTTTGGTTATGAGGTTAATAAAAGCCTCTGTGTTTTATCCTTTTTTATTTACTGGGAGACAGTTATAGAATTGATATTAATTCTTCCTTAAATGTTTGTTAAAATTCCCCAGCGAAGCCATTCAGGATGTGGAGATACCTTTTTAAAAAACATTTAAAATTATGAACTCAATGTGTTTAATTGTTTTAGGGATCTTCAGCTTATTTATAGCCTATTGGTTGAGTTGTGGTAGTTTGTACTTTTCAAGGAATTGGTGCATTTCATTTAAGTTGCTAAATGTATGTGTTAATTTCTATGTAAAGAGTTGTTCATAGCTTTCCTCATCATTCTTTTGATGTCTACAATGTCTGTGTAGTGACACATAGAATACATTCGTGGTATTAGTTTGTCAATTTTATTGATATTTTCAAAGAAGATTTTCATTTCATTGATTTTTTTTTCTTTTTTTTCTCTTCTCCGTGTCAGTGATTTTATACTTTTATATTTATTATTTACTTCCTTCTACTTGTGGGGCTTGTCTTCTCTTTTCTAGTTTCTTACCGAGTGAGCATAGATATAGACTTGAATCTTTTTCTCTTTCTTAAAATAAGCAGTACTATAAATTTATTCTTAGCACTACCAGCATGTCATACATATTGATACATTGCATTTTTATTCAGTTCAGTGTATTTTTTTCCATTTCCTTGAGACTTTCTCTTTGACTCATGGATTATTTAGCAATTTGGCATTCAGTTTCCAAGTGTTTGGAGATTTTCTTGTCATCTTAATGCTATTCATGTCTAGTTTGATTCCATTGTGGGCAAATATCACACTTTGTGTGGTTTCACTTCTTTTAAATGTATTGAGGTTTTTCTTAGGCTCAGGATATGGTCTATCTTGGTATATGCTCCATGAGTACTTGTTGGTAGACAGTTTCCTAAATGCCAATTAAGTCCTGTTGTTTGATGGTGTAAGTTCTTTTATATCCTTGCTGATTTTCTGTCTAGTTGCCCTGTCATGAATTATTGAGAGAGGAGTGTTGAAACCTCCAAATATAGTTGTGAACTTGTCTATATCTTTTGAAAATTTCCATCAGTTCTGGGGTCATGTATTTTGAAGCTTTCTTGTTTGAGAAAGGATTTATGATTGCTGCATCTTCTTGGTAGACTGAGCTTTTATCATTATGTAAATTTATATCTATCTTTCATAATTTTCTTTTCTCTAAGATCTGCTTTATCTGATAATAATATAGTTACTCTTGTGTTTTTTGAGTAATGTTTGCAGGGTATGTGTGTCTGTGATATATATATATTATATATATATATTCTTCGTTTTTTCTTTCCTGCCTATGATGTACTTAACTTTTTTTTAGAATTTCTTTTTTAGAATTTTTAGAATCTTTTTTATTTATAGTGTTTTTGAGTATGTCTCTTTGTACACCTATTTCATGGTTGCTCTTGATATTACATTTTATGTATGTAACTTATTACGTTACTGACTACTGATATAAACATCTTACTGGTTCAAGTAAAGTAGATAAATTTTCTCTTCCTTCTTTTATTGTTTTTTTCTCTCTTTCAAGAACTTCCTTGAGCCATACTTCTTGGGTGATTCTGCTGGTCACTATTTCTCTTAGTTTTTTCTTCATCTGAAAATGTCTTGACATTTCTTCATTATTCCTGAAAGATATTTTAACTGGATTTAGAATTTTGAGTGTACAGTAAGTTATTTCAGCATTCGGAAACTGTCATACCACCTCCTGCTGGTCTCCGTGGTTACTGTTGAAAATTCTGCTGTCATTTAAATTTGTTGTTGTTGTTTAGTTTTGTTTTTCCCCCTTACGGATCATTTTTCTCTGGCTGCTTTCAAGATTTTCTCTTTGTGTTTAATTTTTAGATGTTTGATTATGATGATTCTTGGCATTAATTTTTTTGTATTTATCTGGTTTGGGTTTTACTCAGCTTCTTGAATCTGTAGATGTATATCTTTTGCTAAATTTGGAAAATTTTTAATAATTTCTTCAAACATTTTTCATTCTCATTTTCTTTCTCTTCTTTTTCTGAGACTCTCATGACACAAATATCAGATTTTGTTATGGCTTCACACCCCTGCAGGCTGTGTCGATTTTTTTTCTTTTTTTTGGTCTATTTTACCTTTGTTGCTCCGATTGCATAATTTCTATTCTGTCTTCAAGTCAGATTCTTTCCTTTGCTATCTCCACTCTACTATTGAGCCCAGCCTACATGTTGGTAATCCCAGTTACTGTATTTTTCAGTTCTAAATTTTCATTTAGTTTTTCTTTATATCTTCTATTTATTTGTTGAGACTTTCTATTTTTTCACTGGTTTCAAACATGTTCTTAATTGCCTACCAAAGCATTATTATGATTGAGGTTTTAAAATCCAGAGAATTCCAACTTTCTGAATTATCTGTTTTGGCATCTGCTAATTTTCTCTTCTCATTAAAGTTGAGGTTTTTTTCTTGATTTTGGTATTACAAGTGATTTTTAAAATTATATCCTGGACATTTTGGGTATTATTGTTTGAGACTCCAAGTCTTATTTCAGTGTTCCTTTTCACTAGACCTCCTCTGACACTGTGCTAGCAGAGGAGGGAGGACACCACCCCTGCTGTCGTGTGGTTCAGGCCCCCCACTCAGCCTCTGTTGACACCTGGGAGGGATGGGGACCTTGGTACTGCTAGGTGGGAGTGGAAGTCCAGGCTCCCCAAGTGTTCTCCACTGAAACAGCAGGAGGCGGCTGGGTCAAGATGAGGTCACTGCTTGGCCTTCTCTGACATCACCTCTTGCAAGTATGGGGAGGAGTGTCTCCCTTTTGCCTGGGGATGTTTGAATCTAGAGTGCTCCCTGGGCCTTTGCTGATGAGGCTGCTGGTGGAGTCCAGCTTTTTCCTTTGGTGTTTCCCTGGGGCAGCGCTCTTGGCTAGACACGGTCCAGCTGTCAGGCTGCTTCTCTCCTGACCATTTGGCGAGAGAGGGCAAGCTTTCCTCAGGACTTCTTTGGTCTGTACCTGTTGGGGTTTTTTTGGTGCATTCTTCTCCAGAACCCAGTTTGGAATAGGTAAGATAAATAGTAAACCTAGGGATGTCAGCACCATGCCGTTCTGCCTGTCACAAAGGTGTGATCCCTTCTGCCTTCTTCTCTGAACTGTTGACAGCCTTCTTATGTTTATTTATGGATTATGTGAAGACTTCTTAGTCATATTTAGCAAGAGTAATAATGATTACTCAGGTCAGCCTGTCATAACAAAATACCATAGACTGGGAGGCTTTAAATAATAGAAATTTATTTTCACACAATTCTGGGAGCTGAGAAGTTCAAGATCAAGGGTCTGGATTTGGTTCCCTGAAGAGAACTCTCTCTGGTTTATGGCTTCCTTCTCATTGTGTCCTTACATGGCAGAGAGAAAGAGAGAGGGAGTGGGAGAGGGAGAGAGAGGGGCACGTGCTGGCTTCCCTCTTCCTATAAGGCCACCAGTCCTATCAGAATAGGGCCCTACCCCTGTGACCTGATTTAACCCTGGTCAGCTCTTGCTTATCGTTTTTAGCTGTATTACCTCCTTATCGTTTTTCTTGTATTTATGCTGTCATAGCAAGTGGCATTTTTCTGAAAGCATATGCTTAGTTTATTTAGACTTTATATTTATTCAGATTAAGGTTGGTCAATTTCTTCACTCAATCTGAAGGAAAAGCTCTTTAAAAAATCAGCCTGATCATTTTTCAATGAACCTCTGGTGTGGACTTTGGGCATCCGATTGTGTAGGAGGCTCTCAAGGCTGGCTGTTTGCCCAGTCAGCATTGTCACTGGGGGACGAGCTGGCAGGGTGCAATGTTGTTCCCTTCACCTTTGTGTCTCCAAGTGACCCTTTCCTCATAGGGATGAATTTCCACCCATGATGAATAGTCCTTGTGTGCATAGTAATCCCAGTGTCAGAACATCTTCTCCTTCCACTGCTGGGGATAATTAGCTTCCTTTTTCTTTTGTTTCATACATCTGGAGCCAGAAAAGGCATAACAGGTCACATAGTTTAGAAATGGACATACTTTTTAAAAAATTTCATGAGCTCCTTCACGTCCATTTATCTAGGCTACGTAAAACTGTTAGAAGGAATGCCCAGGCTACAAGCTATAAGCAGGCAGGAGGGTGGGGCCCGTGGAGCCCAGCTCTCTCCCACACGAGGCCCTGGGAGTTCAGTCAACCATCCTGGGTCGCAAAAGTCATTACCCAAGAAGGCGGGAGTAAAACTCGTGCTTCTGCCCTCTTGCCCTGTACGAGGTGGGTTGGAACTGAGAAGGCCAGGACCTTCAAAATGCTGCATTCTCCCTGAGAAGTTGGAATTGAAAAAAATAAAATCTACCATCCAGTGCAAGACGATGAAAAAGAAGCATGACTGTTTTAGGCTGTGCTCAGTCAGGGCTCAGAGTCTTCCATGGGAATTCACAACAGATGAGGGAAGGGGTGCCTCCTGGTGCTGGTTTGATATGTCCAGCAGAACCCAGGAAATTCCAGCACCAATTGTAGTGGCATGCAAAGTGGTCTGATCTGTGAGGCTCTGGGCACCTGGCAGAATGGAGTGCAGGGCACCTGGAGAGAAGTCCCCCTCCGGCCAGGTCCACAGGATCTCCATAGACACGGTAGCAACACAGGTTGGGGATTCATTCCAGTATGTCCAGTCAGCAAGGTTCATGTGCCATGAACATGCTCTGCAGATGGTGATTGGGGTTTGAGACATGGGTTTTCTGCAGCCTGACAAATATTCCATGCTCTGATAAGTGTCCAGGTGTGAGGCCAGGTGTGCAGGCAATGCTGTGAGAGGGCAGCCAAGGGCTCTGCCCCTTTCTCTCCTGCGTCCTCCTCCCTCCACATCCATCCTGTCCCACCCCTGTGACTACATGTGGGTTTTTTTGTGTGTTTTTTTTTTTTCTGAGACTGAGTCTGGCTCTGTCTCCCAGGCTAGAGTACAGTGGCGGGATCTCGGCTCACTGCAACCTTCACTTCCCAAGTTCAAACAATTCTTGTGCCTTAACCTCCTGAGTAGCTGGGATTACAGGTGCCCACCACCATTCCCGGCTAATTTTTGTGTTTTTAGTAGAGATGGGGTTTCACCATGTTAGCCAGGCTGGTCTTGAACTCCTGACCTCAGGTGATCCGCCCTCCTCGGCCTCCCAAACTCCTGGGATTCAGGCGTGAGCCACCACACCTGGCCTGCATCTATATTTTTAAGCTCTTGTGCCATTTAGCCTTCATTAATTTTTTTAAGAAAACATTACAGATGAAAACTGTATGAGGAATGAAACACTATAAGAAATAATATGGAAACTCAATTTTTAAAAATCAGCTAAAAATGAACTTCAAATTAAAACACATACAGAAACATCTCACTTTGAGCAAGCATTCACAAACATAGCAAAAGGCAGGTTTGGACTCTTAAACACTTAAGACAATAGAAACTGACAAATGATTTGAAAATAATTACACTCAAGTAAGAATTAAAAACACAAATGAGAGAAACCCTTTAAAAAGCAACTTTGAAAAGAATCAAGTAAAATTAAGAGAGATGAGAAATAATATAGCCATCAAAATTAAAGACAGTGGAGGCATAGAATGTCAGATGAGACACAGTTGAAGGAGCAGAGGCAGTTTCCTGCGTGAATCATAGAAAGCTAAATAGATGGAAAGTAGGAAAGAATGATTTACGGTCGTGCAATAATATCCAACACTTCTGTAGTGCTTCTGTGCACCAGGTCCTGTTTCAAATGCTTTACATATATTAACAACCTTCTGAGGAAAGCGCTGTGATTATTTTCAGATATGACAGCTGGAGCACACTGTGGCCAAGGTCATGCAGAAAGCAGGTCTGGAAGCCTGCACCCCCCAGGAGAGGCTGTGCCTGACAAGGAGGGCTGCTTCCTCTCATGCCGGGGATAGGTGCTCCCATACACACTGGCTAGAATAGTAGAAGGCAATAATAAATTGCATGTGGGAGAAATATTAAAAGATTATTTTCAGAAAACAGGTAAAGTTATGGCTCACATACAGATATAAAAATGAGCATGTTGAAGAATCTATTTGACTCATATCACATGAGGAAACAAAGCAGATGTTCTCAGTTCAATGGGAAAGTCAAACTAGTACAAATTTATATAGAGTAAAGGAATTTCGAGATGAATTCTAAATGGACACAGAACTTGTTTATCTAAAGGGGCAGGAAGTCAAGGCACTACCAATTAAATCACTACTGGGCGACTGAGAACTTCCGCATCTATCAGCTGCTTACGGTCCGCGCACAGTGGCAAAGCAGCTCAGACAGTGAACAGGGCGAGACTTGCTAAGTGAGATCTATGTGCTGTAGGGGACACATCGTTTTCCATTGAAATACAATGATTTTTTTCAACAGAAGCCATGTCCCAAAAGAACAGCTGAGGATGTAATAATATTGATGAAAAACATACATCCTCAGCTTCAGGAGATAAAAGTCTGAGGAAAGATATGTGATAGGAAATGAGCCCAAGACATATTGTGCAAAAAAGCTGCAGGAATGTCCAAAGCCAAAAAAAGATCCTAGAAGCGATGAGAGAAAAATAGATAGCTTGCTAACAAAGAGATGGCAATTAGACTGACTGCAGACCTTTTAAAGGCAACAGTAGAAGCCAGAAAAATAAACGAAAATAACGTCTTTTAAGTATGAAAGGAAATAATTGTCAACCTAGAGTTTTATCCTGAGCTAAACCATTCTTTACCTGATGGGCAAAATCAAGACATTCTCGGGAAAACATATACTAAAGGAGTTTACCGTGCAGGGGCTGTGCTACTATTTTAAAAAACTACCAGAAGACGTTTAGGAACTAGGCATGAGAAGCAGTGAGCGAAGCAATTGGCAAAGATTCAGGTACATGTAAACAGATTTGGTTATATAAAATAATAATGATGAATTTGAGAGTATTAAAAACAAAGTGGGACAGGGCGCAGGGGCTCATGCCTGTAGTCCCAGCACTTTGGGAGGCCAAGGCAAGTAGATCACCTGAGGTCAGGAGTTCGAGACCAGCCTGGCCAACATGGTGAAACCCCATCTCTACTAAAAATACAAAAATTAGCCGGGCGTGGTGGCGTGTGCCTGTAGTCCCAGCTACTTGGGAGGGTGAGGCAGGAGGATCGCTTGAACCCAGGAGGCAGAGGTTGCAGTGAGCTGAGATAGCACCACTGCACTCCAACCTGGAACCTGAGTGACAGAGCAAGACTCCATCTCAAAAAAAAAAAAAAAAGATGGAATTAAAATACTGGAAAATATAGCATGAAATAGTAACTTGGACAGTGCTTGGAGGTAAAACCCTCAGGTGTACTTATATGACTCTGGAAGGCCATGGAGACGTCAGCTTTAAGTGAAATATACAAGGTTAAAGTGTGAGAATAACCACCAGACCAGACACATTAAGAATACTATATTTAACTTCCAAACAAGTAGGGGTCGAATGGGGAAGGGATGAAGAAAACAGGAGAAGGCCGGCGCGGTGGCTCACGCCTGTAATCCCGGCACTGTGGGAGGCCGAGGCGGGCGGATCACGAGGTCAGGAGATCGAGACCATCCCGGCTAACACGGTGAAACCCCGTCTCTACTAAAAAACACAAAAAAATTAGCCGGGCGTGGTGGCTGGCGCCTGTAGTCCCAGCTACTTGGGAGGCTGAGGCAGGAGAATGGCGTGAACCCGGGAGGCGGAGCTTGCAGTGAGCCGAGATCCCGCCACTGCACTCCAGCCTGGGCGACAGAGCGAGACTCCGTCTCAAAAAAAAAAAAAAAAAAAAAAAAAAAAGAAAACAGGAGAAACCTAAATGCAATCCAAGGAGGAAGAAGTCAAAAGCATAACATTAGATGGTAGAAATGAAAACAAATATTACAGTAGACAAGATAAAAGTAAATGGGATGGCCAGCTGGTTAAAACACAGATCTCCCCAGTATATCTCTATGCATTTAAATCGAACGATAGACTGTTTAGATGAAACTAAACCATATATACGTAAAGGATGAACGCAAAAAAGGAAAAACAAAAACAGGAACAAAAATAAAATGTGAGTGGCTATGTTTACAACACCACCCCCCCCACACAAACACAGTAAGAAAAACAAGTATAATTAAGGTTAAATAAGGTCAGGTGATAGTGATTTTTTAAAACTAAGGATATATAACAAATCTTACATGTATATATCTAATAAAATTGCTTTGAAGAAAAATTGGTAGAATTTAAAGTTTACTGGATAAGTCCACAATTACAGTAGAAGATTTTAATGTACCTCTTTTAGTAATTGATAGTGTAACAAGGGGAAAAAAAATGTAAGTATGTAGGAGTTTTGAACAACACAGTTAACAAGTCTTACCCAATATATAGATATAGATACAGATATAGAAAAAATGCATCCTCATTCCACTAGAAAATAAATATATGGAAAACTGGATATCTAAATGTGAATAAAAACATTTAGCATGTGTGGTGTGAGTTTGTGTGTGTACGTGTGTGTGCACACATGCACTCACATATGTATAGGAATGCAGGCAGACATACATAGCCTTTAAATGCTTATGTTAGAAAAGATACTTGTCTAAGCATCTTTACCATATGATCCAACAATTGTCCTCCTCAGTATTTACCCAAAGGAGCTGAAAACCTGTGTTCACACAGAAACCTACACACATATGTTGATAGCAGCATAGACATCTTTTTTAGGAAACCCTAAAGGCTTTTAATATCTTTTTTGGGAAAATGTGTGAGATAATTACCAAACTCAAGAAGTTATAAAATATAACATTAACTCCAATGAAAAAAAGAAGGAGGAATAAAGATAAACCTAGAAATGTATTAAATAAGAAAACTAAAATAGAGATCAACGAAGGACAAATTGGTTTTAAAAAAGAACTAATAAAATCAACATACCTCAGGAAATAATTACCAAGAAAACAAAGAAGGCACAAACAAACATTTACTGGATATAAAAGGGGTTTTCAACTACAGAAAAATACTTAAAAATAGAATATTGTGACACAATTTTATGCCAAAATTTTGGAAACTTAGATAGATTTAATATTTTCTAGAAAAATAGACCAAAAAGGGAATAGACTAGCAAAAAAACAGACTTTGTTTTTTAAAGCAGTTTGAGGTTCATAGCATAACTGTGTGGAAGGTACAAGTTCCCATGTCCCCTCCCAACCCCCACCCAAGCACAGCCTCCCCCATCATCAACATCCCCCACCAGGGCCGTACAATTGAAATAGATGAACTGATGCAGACACATCATTACCACCCAGAGTCCATAGTTTACATCAGGGTTCTCTCTTGGTGGCGTATGGGTTCTGTGGGTTTGCACAGATGTATAATGACCTGTATCGACCATTATAGTATCATTCAGAATAGCTTCACTGCCCTAAAAATCCTCGGTGCTCCACCTATTCATCCCGCCCTCTCTCTGCAATCCATGGCAGCCATTGACCTGTTATGTTTTGTTTTGTTTTGTTTTGTTTTGTTTTGTTTTGTTTTGTTTGAGATGGTGTATCGCTCTGTCGCCCAGGCTGGAGTGCAGTGGTGCGATCTCGGCTCACTGCAACCTCCACGTCCCGGGTTCAAGCGATTCTCCCACCTCAGCCTCCTGAGTGGCTGGGACTACAGGTGCACGCCACCACGCCTGGCTAATTTTTGTATTTTTAGTAGAGACAGGGTTTCGTCATGTTGGCCAAGCTGGTCTCAAACTCCTGACCTCGGGTGATCCACCTGCCTTAGCCTCCCAAAGTGCTGGGATTACAGGCGTGAGCCACTGCGCCCGGCCTGATCTGTTTTGCTGTCTCCATTGCTTTACTTTTCCTAGAATATCATATAATTGGAATCTTACAGTCTGTAATCTTTTCAGATTGACTTATTTCATTTGGTAATATGCATTTAAGGTTCCTCCATGTTTTTTTCATGGCTTGATAGCCCATTTCTTTTTAGCACTGAATAATAATCCATTGTTTGGATATAGCACAGTTAGTTTATCCATTTCACCTACTGAAGGTTGCTTCCAAGTTTTAGCAATTATGAATAAAGCTGCTATCAACATATGTATGTAGGTTTCTGTGTGAACACACGTTTTCTGCTCCTTTGGATAAATACAAGGGAAGGCAATTGTTGGATCACATGGAAAGAGTATGCTTCGTTTTGTAGGAAACTGCCAAACTGCCTTCCAAAGTGACTGCACCATTTCTCATGCCCACCAGCAGTGTATGAGAGTTCCTGTTGCTCTGCATCCTTGCCAGCATTTGGTGTTGTCAGTGTTCTGGATTTTGGTCATTCTAATAGATGCGTAGTGGTGTCTCAGTTTTTTTTTTTTTTAATTTGTATTAAATATGACAATGTGGAACATATTTCTATGTGCTTCTTTGCCATCTCTATATTGTCTTTGCTCAGGTGTCTGTTAAGGTCTTTGGCCCATTATTTTAATTGGATTGTTTGTTTTCTTATTGCTGAGTTTTAAGAGTTCTTTGTATATTTTGGATTACAGTTCATTATTAGATGTGTCTTTTGCAAATATTTTCTCCCAATCTGGAGGTCATCTTTTCATTCTTTTGATCAGTATATTTTTAAAAAAGAAATTCAAAAAGGTAGGTTTACAGGCAAGTTCCACCCAGCATAAAATATCATTATGAACATAAATGTATAAGCCTTTTTTATTATTATACTTTAAGTTATAGGGTACCTGTGCACAATGTGCAGGTTTGTTACATTAGGTATACATGTGCCATGTTGGCTTGCTGCATCCATTAACTGGTCATTTACATTAGATATTTCTCCTAATGCTATCCCACCCCCAGCCCCCCACCCCCCGAGAGGCCCCGGTGTGTGATGTTCCCTGCCCTGTGTCCATGTGTTCTCATTGTTCAGTTCCCGTCTATGAATGAGAACATGTGGTGTTTGGTTTTCTGTCCTTGTGATAGTTTGCTGAGAATGATGGTTTCCAGCTTCATCCATGTGCCTGCAAAGGACATGAACTCATCCTTTTTTATGGCTGCATAGTACTCATGGTGTATGTGTGCCACATTTTCTTAATCCAATCTGTCATTGATGGACATTTGGGTTGGTTCCAAGTCTTTGCTATTGTTAATAGTGCCGCAATAAATATACGTGTGCATATGTCTTTATAGTAGCATGATGTATAATCCTTTGGGTATATACCCAGTAATGGGATTGCTGGGTCAAATGGTATTTCTAGTTCTAGATCCTTGAGAAATCTTCCACTGTCTTCCACAATGGTTGAACTAGTTTACACTCCCACCAGCAGTGTAAAAGCATTCCTATTTCTCCACATCCTCTCTAGCATCTGTTGTTTCCTGACTTTTTAATGATTGCCATTCTAACTGGTGTGAGAGAGATGGTATCTCATTGTGGTTTGGATTTGCATTTCTCTGATGGCCAGTGATGATGAGCATTTTTTCATGTGTCTGTTGTCTGCATAAATGTCTTCTTTTGAGAAGTGTCTCTTCATATCCTTTGCCCACTTTTTGATGGGGTTGTTTTTTTCTTGTAAATTTGTTTAAGTTATTTGTAGATTCTGGATATTAGCCCTTTGTCAGATGGGTAGATTGCAAAAATTTTCTCCCATTCTCTAGGTTGCCTGTTCACTCTGATGATGGTTTCTTTTGCTGTGCAGAAGCTCTTTAGTTTAATTAAATCCTATTTGTATATTTTGGCTTTTGTTGCCATTGCTTTTGGTGTTTTAGTCATGAAGTCTTTGCCCATGCCTATGTCCTGAATGGTATTGCCTAGGTTTTCTTCTAGGGTTTTTATGGTTTTATGTCTTAGGTTTAAGTCTTTAATCCATCTTGAGTTAATTTTTGTATAAGGTGTAAGGAAGGGATCCAGTTTCAGCTTTATACATATGTCTAGCCAGTTTTCCCAGTACTATTTATTAAACAGGAAATCCTTTCCCCATTTCTTGTTTTTGTCAGGTTTGTCAAAGATCAGATGGTTGTAGATGTGTGGTGTTATTTCTGAGGCCTCTGTTCTCTTCCATTGGTCTATATCTCTGTTTTGGTACCAGTACCATGCTGTTTTGGTTACTGTAGCCTTGTAGTGTAGTTTGAAGTCAGGTAATGTGATGCCTCCAGCTTTGTTGTTTTTGCTTAGGATTGTCTTGGCTATGCGGGCTCTTTTTTGTTTCCATATGAACTTTAAAGTAGTTTTTTCCAATTCTGTGAAGAAAGTCATTGGTAGCTTGATGGGGATGGCATTGAATCTGTAAATTACCTTGAGCAGTATGGCCATTTTCACGATATTGATTCTTCCTATCCATGAGCATGGAATGCTCTTCCATTTGTTTGTGTCCTCTCTGATTTCCTTGAGCAGTGGTTTGTAGTTCTCCTTGAAGAGGTCCTTCACATCCCTTGTAAATTGGATTCCTAGGTATTTTATTCTCTTTGTAGCAATTGTGAATGGGAGTTCATTCATGATTTGGTTCTCTGTTTGTCTGTTATTGGTGTATAGGAATGCTTGTGATTTTTGCACATTGATTTTGTATCCTGAGACTTTGCTGAAGTTGCTTAATCAGCTTGAGATTTTTGGCTGAGACAGTGGGGTTTTCTAAATATACAATCATGTCGTCTGCAAACAGGGACAATTTGACTTCCTCTTTTCCTATTTGAATACCCTTTATTTCTTTCTCTTGCCTGATTGCCTTGGCCAGAACTTCCAACACTATGTTGAATAGGAGTGGTGAAGAGGGCATCCTTGTCTTGTGCCAGTTTTCAAAGGGAATGATTCCAGTTTTGGACTATTCAATATGATATTGGCTGGGGGTTTGCCATAAATAGCTCTTATTATTTTGAGATACGTTCCATCAATACCTAGTTTATTGAGAGTTTTTAGCATGAAGGGCTGTTGAATTTTGTCGAAGGCCTTTTCTGCATCTGTTGAGATAATCATGTGGTTTTTGTCATTGGTTCTGTTTATGTGATGGATTACATGTATTGATTTGCATATATTGAACCAGCCTTGCATCCCAGGGATGAAGCCAACTTGATCATGATGGATAAGCTTTTTGATGTGCTGTTGGATTCTGTTTGCCAGTATTTTATTGAGGATTTTTGCATCAATGCTCATCAGGGATATTGGTCTAAAATTCTCTTTTTTGGTTGTGTCTCTGCCCGGCTTTGGTATCAGGATGATGCTGGCCTAATAAAATGAGTTAGGGAGGATTCCCTCTTTTTCTATTGATTGGAATAGTTTCCGAAGAAATGGTACCGGCTCCTCTGTACCTCTGGCAGAATTCGGCTGTGAATTTGTCTGGTCCTGGACTTTTTTGGGTTGGTAGGCTATTAATTATTGCCTCAATTTCAGAACCTGTTGTTAGTCTATTCAGAGATTCAACTTCTTCCTAGTTTAGTCTTGGGAGGGTGCATGAGTCCAGGAATTTATCCATTTCTTCTAGATTTTCTAGTTTATTTGTATAGAGGTGTTTATAGTATTCTCTGACAGTATTTTGTATTTCTGTGAGATCGGTGGTGATATCCCCTTTATCATTTTTTATTGCGTCTATTTGATTTTTCTCTGTTTTCTTCTTTATTAGTCTTGCTAGCGGTCTGTCTATTTTGTTGATCTTTTCAAAAAACCCGTTCCTGGATTCATTGATTTTTTGAAGGTTTTTTTGTGTCTCTATCTCCTTCAGTTCTGCTCTGATCTTAATTATTTCTTTCCTTCAGCTAGCTTTTGAATTTATTTGCTTTTGCTTCTCTAGTTCTTTTCATTGCGATGTTAGGATGTCAATTTTAGATCTTTCTTGCTTTCTCTTGTGGGCATTTAGTGCTATAAATTTCCCTCTACACACTACTTTGAATGTGTCCCAGAGATTCTGGTACGTTGTGTGTCTTTGTTCTCATTGGTTTCAAAGAATATCTTTATTTCTGCCTTCATTTCGTTATTTACCCAGTAGTCATTCAGGAGCCCGTTGTTCAGTTTCCATGTAGTTGTGCAGTTTTGAGTGAGTTTCTTAATCTTGAGTTCTAATTTGATTGCACTGTGGTCTGAGAGACAGTTTCTTGTGATTTCTGTTCTTTTACATTTGCCGAGGAGTGTTTTACTTCCAATTATTTGGTCAATTTTAGAATAAGTGCAATGTGGTGCTGAGAAGAATGCATATCCTGTTGATTTGGGGTGGAGAGTTCTGTAGATACCTATTAGGTTCACTTGGGGCAGAGCTAAGTTCAAATCCTGGGTATTCTTGTTAACCTTCTGTCTCGTTGATCTAATATTGACAGTGGGCTGTTAAAGTCTCCCATTATTATTTTGTGGGAGTCTAAGTCTCTTTGTAGGTCTCTAAGGACTTGCTTTATGAATCTTGGTGCTCCTGTATTAGGTGCATATATATTTAGGATAGTTAGCTCTTCTTGTTGAATTAATCCCTTTACCATTATATAATGGCCTTCTTTGTCTCTTTTTATCTTTGTTGGTTGAAAGTCTGTTTTATCAGAGACTAGGATTGCAACCCCTGCTTTTTTTTTGCATTCCATTTGCTTGGTAGCTCTTCCTCCATCCCTTCATTTTGAGCCTATGTGTGTCTCTGCATGTGAGATGGGTCTCCTGAATACAGCACACTGATGGGTCTTGACTCTTTATCCAATATTCTAGTCTGTGTCTTTTAATTGGGGCATTTAGCCCATTTGCATTTAAGGTTAATATTGTTATGTGTGAACTTGATCCTGTCATTATGATGCTAGCTGATTATTTTGCCTGTTAATTGATGTGGTTTCTTCATAGCATCGATGGTCTTTACCATTTGGCGTGTTTTTGCAGAGGCTGGTACCAGTTGTTCCTTTCCATGTTAAGTGCTTCCTTCAGGAGCTCTTGTAAGGCAGGCCTGGTGGTGACAAAATCTCTCAGCATTTGCTTGTCTGTAAAGGATTTTATTTCTCCTTCACTTATGAAGCTTGGTTTGGCTGGATATGAAATTCTGGGTTGAAAATTCTTTAAGAATGTTGAATATTGGCCCCCACTCTCTTCTGGCTTGTAGGGTTTCTGCCGAGAGATCCACTGTTAGTCTGATGGGCTTCCCTTTGTGGGTAACCCGACTTTTCCCTCTGGCTGCTGTTAACATTTTTTCCCTTCATTTCAACCTTGGTGAATCTGAAAATTATGTGTCTTGGGGTTGCTCTTTTTGAAGAGTAGCTTTGTGGTGTTCTCTGTATTTCCTGAATTTGAATGTTGGCCTGCCTTGCTAGGTTGGGGAAGTTCTCCTGGATAATATCCTGAAGGGTGTTTTCCAGCTTGGTTCCATTCTGCTCATCACTTTCAGGTACACCAATCAAACATAGATTTGGTCTTGTCACATAGTCCCATATTTCTTGGAGGCTTTGTTTGTTTCGTTTTACTGTTTTTTCTCTAATCTTGTCTTCTCACTTCATTTCATTAATTTGATCTTCAAACACTGATATCCTTTCTTCCACTTGATCGAATCGGCTATTGAAGCTTGTGCATGTGTCATGAAGTTCTCATGCTGTGGTTTTCAGCTCCATCAGGTCATTTCAGGTCTTCTCTATACTATTCATTCTAGTTAGCCATTCATCTAACCTTTTTTCAAGGTTCTTAGCTTCCTTGCAATGGGTTCGAACATGCTCCTTTAGCTTGGAGAAGTTTCTTATTGCCGACCTTCTGAAACCTACTTCTGTCAACTCGTCAAAGTCATTCTCCATCCAGTTTTGTTCCATTGCTGGCAAGGAGCTGCGATCCTTTGGAGAAGAAGGGGTGCTCTGGTTTTTGGAATTTTCAGTTTTTCTGCTCTTCTCCTCATCTTTGTGGTTTTATCTACCTTTGGTCTTTGATGTTGGTGACCTACAGATGGGGTTTTGGTGTGGATGTCCCTTTTGTTGATGTTGATGCTATTCCTTTCTGTTTGTTAGTTTTCCTTTTAACAGTAAGGCCCCTCAGCTGCAGGTCTGTTGGAGTTTGCTGGAGGTCCACTCCAGACCCTGTTTGCCTGAGTATCACCAGCAGAGGCTGCAGAACAGCAAACATTGCTGCCTGATCCTTCTTCTTGAAGCTTTGTCCCAGAGGAGCACCCACCTGTATGAGGTGTCTGTTGGCCCCTACTGGGAGATGTCTCCCAGTCAGGCTACACGGGGGTCAGGGACCCACTTGAGGAGGCAGTCTATCCATTCTCAGAGCTTGAACGCCGTGCTGGGAGAACCAGTGCTCTCTTCAGAGGTGTCAGACAGAGATGTTTAAGTCTGCAGAAGTTGTCTGCTGCCTTTTGTTCAGCTATGCCCTGCCCACAGAAGTGGAGTCTATAGAGGCAGTAGGCCTTGCTGAGCTGTGGTGGGCTCCACTCAGTTCGAGCTTCCTGGCCGCTTTGTTTACCTACTCAAGCCTCAGCAGTGGCGGACACCCCTCCCCACCACCAGGCTGTAGCCTCACAGATCGATCACAGACTGCTGTGCTAGCAGTGAGCAAGGCTCCGTGGGTGTGGGTCCCACTGGGCCAGGCACAGGAGGGAATCTCCTGGTCTGCTGATCGCTAAGACCGTTGAAAAGTGCAGTATTTGGGCGGGAGTGTACTGTTTTTCCAGGTACAGTCTGTCACAGCTTCCCTTGGCTAGGAAAGGGAAATCCCCCAACCCCTTGCACTTCCTGGGTGAGGCGACGCCCCACCCTGCTTTGGCTTGCCCTCCGTGGGTTGCACCCACTGTCCAACCAGTCCCAATGAGATGAACCAGGTACCTCAGTTGGAGAAATCACCCATCTTCTGCGTTGATCTCGTTTGGAGCTGCAGACCAGAGCTGTTCTTATTCGGCCATCTTGGAAGCAACTCCTATGTATAAGTCTTAACTAAAATATCAGCATAACAAAGTCTAGCAATAAGTTAAAAATAAATCCTAACAAGTTTAGGCTTCTATTAGGAATGCACAGTTTGTTTAACTTTCAAAAAAGTCCATTAATATAATTCATTCTATTAAAAGATTGAGGCAGAAAAAAATAAATGATCATTCTGGTAGCTGGAGAAAAATCAGTTGATGTTATTTAAAACCCATTTGTAATTGGAAGAAGTTTCACCTAACCTGACATAGGGGTCTCACTTAATGCTGAAACATTAGAAGTTTCTAAACGTAGAATAAAATAAGAATATCAGTGTCATCACTTTTTAAAAATATCTTAGTGACTATATGAATTTCAGTAGTAATACAAGTAAAATAATAAAATGTTTATGAATAAGGAATAAACCTGTTATCATCTTTATAGGCCATATCTGTTTTTTACATAGAAAATCCCTAGAGACTGTCTAGAAAAAATATATCTGATACAAAACAAGATCTATCGAAGTATCAAATGTGTTTCTATATTCTTACAACAGACAGTTAGAAAATGTAATTTCACAAATTTTATTTTCAATATCTGCAGGTGTTGAGTACCAAAAAATAAATTTAAGAAAGAACAACATAAATGTTGAGTTGTATCACGTTTATGCCTGGGAAAACTCAATACCAGATGCCAAATTTTTCCAAAATAAATTGAGTGTGATTAATGTGATTCCAACTAAATTTAATGTGATTCCAACTAAAGTCTTAACAGGGACTTCATGAGACTGTACAAGTAAATTTAAAATTTACAATGATGAGCAAAGGATCAGTAATGAGCAAGAATAGTAAAACAAGACAATTTTAAAGAAAAAGAACCAAGTTGGGGGACTTTCTGTGCCAAATGCAACACTTTCATAATGCTGTAAGGATTAAGATGATGTTTTGCTGGGTCAGGGATAGACATGTAACACAAGGAACAAAAATAGGGAGTCCAGAAACTGGATATCTGCTGTGTTAATCTTCTCCCATGTTACTTATAGCTTTGCTGTAATCCATCCTATGCCATATCCAGTTGTTATAATATCCCATGTTACATTCAATTTAATATGCCAACTAGTGGCTAAAGAAAAGATTTCTGAGTGGGAGCTAAACACTGGGTACTCATGGACATAAAGATGGCAACAACAGACACTGGAGACTACTGTAGGGGGAAAGGAGAAGGGGGCCAGGATTGAAAAACTACTGGATACTCTGCTCACTGCCTGGGTGATGGAATCAATTATACCCTAAACTTCTGCATCGCATGCGATATACCCATGTGACAAACATGCACATGTATGTCCTGAATCTAAAATAAAAATCAAAATATGAACAGATAGCACGTGCCTGCAGTCCTAGCTGCCAGGAGGCTGAGGAAGGCGGATGGCTTGAGCCCAAGAGTTTGAGGCTCCAGTGAGCCACGATCGCACCACTGCACTCCAGCCTGGGTGACAAAGCATGACCCTGTCTCAAAATAAATAAATAAACAAATAATATAAATAAGTAAATATTTTCTTTTTTTAAAAAAAGGAAATATTCTTGAATGCATTTTTCTGGAAGCCTCCTCCTGGTACCTCAGAATTCTGCTTCCTGGAATCTCTGGCAGGTAGAAATGACCATAAAAGTTTGATTCTACTCAAGACTTTTTTGGTCATGGACTATGACAAGCCACATTGCTGATTGCAGACCCTCAACATTTTAGAATAAAATATATAACTAAAAAGATTTATGACAGGGTGTGTCTCTCCCTCTGTCTTCTGTTCAGAAAATTTACCCATTCTCAACAGCCTTGCTTTCCCTCTGCAATCTGGGCATTGCTTCCGTCAGTGGTGTCTTCACATGGAATTGGGGAATTGGCAGCTTTTTTTCCCCTTTCTTCAGAGATTTAAAGTAAATGACACCTTAGATCAGATAGATGAGCATCATCCTTCCTCCTCCCTTCCTTTTTGGATAGATTTCATCTTCATCTCTCTTGCCCTTCTCTCTCTCAGTCTTTCAAGGTTGCTGAGAGCTCAGAGGGAATGGGATTGATTTCACATGAGACCTTACTATTTAGGGTCATCCTGAACCCATGCGAAGCATTTTCTTTGCAGCAGGACAGAGTGCCTGGATTTCTTCTTCTTATTGTTATTTTATTATTATTCATCTTTACCTGAATGCAGAGGCTCATTCTGGTGAACACGTGCCCTATTGGGAGTTGGTCTTGCTGGACTTCTTTGATGGCTGGACCCCTGGCTTTTTCTCTCAAGGTTATAAGAGCCGGGCTTCTGGGTCAGATGATGCTTTCTCTGTGGAGGCACAATCACTCTCTTCTTTTCTGGCTCAGTGTTGAGGCCTCCCGTGCTCAGCCGTAGAGGTCAATGCTACAGAGCTGACTGAGGCAGGAGGCAAGGCTGAGCCTAGGATCAGAGGGCTCTTGTTCCAGGGCCAGCAGCTCTGCAGGAATGAGACCAGGCACCATTGTGTGAGGATCCTAGGGGATGTGGAGGAAGGAAAGGTGTGATCTCAGACCCACCCACAGGGTCCACCTGTGCCCCATGGGCTCCCCCTGCCTATACTGCCATTGACGTCTGAAAGCACAGCTTGTAATCCCATAAGGATTGGGCTTCTGAATCCTGCCTGGGGGGCCAAGCAGTGGTTTGCTCTCAAGCCCTCTTTCAGCCTCACTGCTTAGGGCAACATGGTGTAAGCAAACACCATGATCCAGGCAAGCCAGACCTTCCTGGAGCCTCCTTCGTTCTGGCTTATCTCCAAGTGTGTGATCCCACCATGCCCTCCGCCAGGGGCCTGTCCACATCCGTTTCCGTCTTTGGGAGCTCTGGCTATCCTTTAAAGCCTATGCAGACACCTCTCCTCCTCCTACCCCCGCTAAGGACACGTAGCTTGCGTCCTACATGTTTGAGTTACATTTGCCCCAGTCACCCCCTCCGTGGTGAGGGTAGGGCTCAGAGCTCTCCTCACTCCAAGAGTGAGCCCCAGTCATTGCTGGCTGGGGGAGGACAAAGGCAGCCAGATAAAGGCAGCTCCTGCAAGGACGGAGAGGCCACAGGCCGGCATCTTCACAAACTGTGGATGTACTGTGTCTTCCAGTAGTCAAAATAAAGAATATATTTGGCCATTTTCAGACTATTTAATACAGAACAGTTTACACACAGAAGAGGAGTGAGGAGGAGAATGAATCCCTGCAGCCCTACCCCTGTTTCCACGGTTATGGGTGTTTGCCAGCACAGGGCTGCCCAGCACTGGTGAGGGGGTCACTGTTGGCTGGCATCTGTCGGGCATCCCCGGGGAAGCTGCGCCGGTGCTGTGGTCACTGAGGTCCTCATAGGGGTTCTGGCCACTCACATTTCCGAGGTTCTTCATTTCCCACCTCAGATCACTGTTTTCAAACTCAGTTTTCAGCAACAGGGCCTTTCTTCAAACTCATCTTATCTCCACCCCTAATGCTCAAAACAGATAAAGTAGTATTAGCACAAATCCATTACAAGAGTTTACTTTTATACTATGTACTTATAAAATCAATTTGCCTATGGGAAAGAAGCGTAAAACTACCATCATGGGTATTAAGATTTGGATTTTGATAACATTTATGTGTTACAATTTCATGTAGCTCAATATTCTGTTTGGATGAAAAACATTCAGAAATCACTGAGTCACAAATCACTGAGTCACAGGTAAGCTGTTGCTAATAGCAACAGTTTTTTTATCTTGTTTTTACCTGTTTGCCTTGTGATCTCAAGAGTCTCTTCAATTAAATTGATCCAAATGCTTGAAAGAAAGGCTTGTAGGAACTTTTTTTTTTTCAGAGTTGAATCACTGATCTAACAGATGCTCAGTCTTGATTATAAATATGAAAATCAGACAGGAAGAAACCCAAGCTTAAAATAAGCAAAACTTTGTTCCCCATAACATGCATCAAACCACACTATTCTTAATTTTTAATTTATTTTTATTTCAAAAATATTTATGTTTTTATTTTATTTTATTAGAGACAGGGTCTCGCTCTGTCTCCTAGGCTGGAGGACAGTGGTGCAAACATAGCTCACTGCAGCCTCAAACTCCTGGGCTCAACTAATCCTCCTGCCTCAGCCTCCTGAGTAGCTGGAAACATAAGCTTATGTCACTGCACTGATTAATTTTGTCAGTGTTTTGTTTTTGTAGAGATGGGGTCTTGCTTTGTTGCCCAGTCTGGTCTCAAACTTCTGGCTTCAAATGATCCTCCCCTCTGGGCCTCCCAAAGTGCTAATATTATAGGTGTGGGCCACTGTGCCCAGACTATAGACCATGCTTTCTATGTTGCTGCTACTGAGGGTGATTGATGGGGGAACGCATCCCACGTCTGGTGCGGGTTAGATGCCATGTAATTGGAGGGACAGACTTTAATTTTTTAAAAGCAATGCAAAGCTGAAATCTCATTTGGTGACTCCTTTATAAGAGATTCAAATGCGTGCAAATTCATGGCCAGAGAGGCTTTAGTTTAACTTCCATGCAAAAAGGAGTTAAACAGGACACATAAATTAACACAACGGTAGTCTCTAAGAGTTAAAATTTTGTTAATAGTCATTTGAGTGTGTGACTTTTATTACCATTTTCAAATTCAAAGGAACTAAAATATTGGAGGTAAATATTTCCAGAAACCTTGAGGCGCCTCCATAGGGTCTCAGGGCTCCAGAGAACCTAGCTTGAAGATCATGATACTATCCAGAGTGAGCTTGTGCAGGTCCACATTTTCAGCTATTTTGTGCCCAATCACCATTTATAATGTGACTCATTAACAGTCAGATACAGACTACGGTCAAGCAAAGAATATTTACATCTTGATCCTACCTCCTCCTCTCTCTTTCCCTATGTGTTTTTGGAAGTAAGGGGGGGGGATGTGTCCTTTCATGACAACTTGGCTCTCGCCTTCTCTCCCTCTCTCCTTTCTCTCAGTCTCCCCCTTTTTCCCCCTTATCCCCCTTTCTTCCTTCCCTTAAACTTCATCACGTTTTTGCTTGTTTCATATTCAAATCACGGCTTTCTCATACAATTACTACTTTTTTCCTAGAGTTTCTGGTTGCCTTTTCTTATTATAAGAATGTTTAAAACTGTGTCCTTAATCAAGTCCATGATGTTTTTCAGCTCATTATATCTCCTCTTTCTTGCTCTGAACCCATTTGGTTCTGTCCTCAGTACTTTAACGTCTTGCTGGGATTTGGACCCACCTTTTTCTAGGCCTCCTGCTCAAGTCATCCTCTAAATCTCTTTTATCGATCTCCAGGTTTAATCTAAAAGTGTATTCTTTCTCAGGTTTCACTCTCATTGTTCCAAAGCTGACCAAGGAAATATATGTTGGGAACAAGCTCTTCAAGGCTTTAATGTTCTTGAAAACCCCTTTTTTTTTGCCTTCATGCTTGGGTGGTTTTTCTGCTGTGAGAAGTGTCTTCGTGTTATTTCTTAATTTTTTCCCTCCCACTCTCCCTGATGGAGCTTCTGTGAGTGAGGCGAGTTCCCCCAGCCTTGTCCTCTACGCTGTCTTCTTTCTGTGTTATGTTTGATCTCTGTGATTTCTATCAGCCAAACCTCCCACCTACTCATAAAAAGTTATTTCATAAATCATACCTTTAATTTCCATTTTTCTCTCTTTTTTCTAATTGCTATGTCCTCTTGAATGTTGTGAGGACATTACTTTTTTAAGAAGTGATTTTTCCTTCTTTTCATTGACTCATTCTTTTTGGATCTTTTTTGGTGTGTATCCTCCACTGTGTGTCGCATGCTGAAGACTGTCCTCCGGTATCTGTGATTCTAAGTTTCCCCTTGAGAAATCTCAGACATGGGAGAGGCTGCCTGAGGCTCTGTAGTCATGGGCAGCTCCTGCAGGGGCCATAGTGGCCAAAATGAGGGGAGCTTTACTCTGGGGTGCTGGTACTTTGATTGGCTGCCTGTGTTTTTTTGAGGTGGTTTATTTTTCTTTACCAGTAGGGCTGTGTTTTAAGGGTACCCAGGGTTGGTTTTAATCAGGCATGGTGAGACACTTAGACACAGAAGTGACTGTCCTGAAGGAAAGCAGTTTTACTCACTGTTCTTAGAAGCAGAAGGACAGGCTAGGCGTGGTGGCTCAGCCTGTAATCCTAGCACTTTGAGAGGCTAAGTGGGGGGTGGATCACGAGGCCAGGAGTTCAAGACCAGCCTAACCAACATGGTGAAACCCCATCTCTACTAAAAATATAACAATTAGCCGGGAGTGGTGGCACGCACCTGTAATCCCAGCTACTCAGGAGGCTGAGGCAGGAGAATTGCTTGAATCCAGGAGGCAGAGGTTGCAGTGAGCCGAGGTCGTGCCCCTGCACTCCAGCCTGGGCAACAGAGCTAGACTCCATTTCAAAAAAAAAGGGAAGCGTAGCACATGCAGGGACACAGGGAGGCACCAGGGCCACGCGGGAGGCCGAGAGAGTGCGGGAAACCTGAGCAAGGGCCGTCCTTCATTGTGGCTTCTGCAGGAAGGAAGGGAGGAGCAGGGCACGCAGGCTTAGGTTTAGGATTAGCTCCTTAGAATAATTGCAGTAGGCCCTGGGGCATAGGGACTCTTCCTGGTTGACTTTTACCTGGTCCTGCAGTGATGAGAGCAGGACTGGTGTCAACCCCAGTGTGACAGCCTGATAAAGGATGTGTTTGGGTGGGGGTATGGGTTCTGGATTGATTGATTTGTGTTTGAAAGGCCAGAGTTGTTTACTCTCTCTCCAAGGGGCCTCCAGAGTCAGCAAAGCCCCAGATGTCAACACATCAGAATCCAGAAAATAAAAGACAAGGCTAGTACAGGCTGTTGGTGTAATTGCTGTTGGGGCTGTGTGTGTGTGTGGGTGTGTGTCCTTTATCCCAGTTGTTAACTCCTGGCTGCAGGAGGCTGGAACAGGGGACGGAGAGGGGCAGAGGTGCATCCGTCTAAAACTCGCACTTACTTCTGTTGTCTTCCCTCACTCTCCTTCTTTTCATCGCTAACTGTGGAGCTGGAAGCCCTCTGGGGTTGTGGTGTCCAGCTCCCTCCTGCACCTGCAGTTCAGTCATTCAAGATATATATGTGGGCCGGGCACGGTGGCTCACGCCTATAATCCCAGCACTTTGGGAGGCTGAGGCGGGTGGATCACAAGGTCAGGAGATCGAGACCATCCCGGCTAACATAGTGAAACCCCCGTCTCTACTAAAAATACAAAAAAATTAACCAGGTGTGGTGGTGTGCACCTGTAGTCCCAGCTACTCGGGAAGCTGAGGCAGGAGGATGACATGAACCCAGGAGGTGGAGCTTGCAGTGAGCCGAGATCATGCCACTGCACTCTAGCCTGGGCAACACAGCAAGACTCTGTCTCAAAAAAAAAAAAAAAAAAAGATATATATGTGAAGCACAAACCAAGTGTGTGTCCGCTTCAAGAGGCTGGAACTAGAGCTTTGGACACAGCGAGTGAAAACCCTGCCCCATGAGGCTCACAGGGTGGCAGCGTGCCTCACCCACCCTCTGTTCTTCTAGACGCCATGAAAATGTCACATCTGCCGATGTCCTCCAGAGTTGTTTACAGGTTTCATTTGGTTAAGAGCTTGGTTTTATATACATTGTGAGAAAAATCACCAGTTCGGTGTGAAAATTGAAATGGGGGTAGACACTGGCCCTTCCAAGCTGTGCCCGGGGAAGACCTCCCAGGCCAGCCCCAGTGGTGCTCTCAGGCAGGGTGTGGGGTTGTGAGGACAGACAGGGGCCCCTCTCAAGGTCTTTGCTGCTCCATCAAAGACAGACCCCAGGGCTTCGGGAAATCCACAGCCTGGTGGCACTGGCTCATGCAGTCCTTTTCCTGTTTCTAGTGCTGATGAGCGCTTTGACGCCACATTCCACACTAACGTGTTGGTGAATTCTTCTGGGCATTGCCAGTACCTGCCTCCAGGTAAGCTGCACCTCCTTTGTCCTCTTCCAGTTAGAAAACTGAAGCGAGTTTGGGTGTCAGTCAGTCTGGCCGGTGCCCCCGTGTGGTGGACCAGCTCTTTGCTTCGCCTTTGCTCACTCCCACCTCTTCCTCTCTCTTCTCTTCTGTGCTTCTGTGTGCTTTCTACCCCCAGAAGTCCATCCTCCTCTTTTGTCTCAATCAAGCCGTCTTTGCCACTATGTCCTTATTTTCTGCCATGTGTGCCTTAAAGCCAATGTACAAATACAGCGAGTCTCCTTTGCCGGGCAGTGGCCACCTCACCTTCCAGCCTGGCAAGCCACCTCTCCAGGCTCTGCTTCTCAGTTCCAGCTTGCCATCCTCCTCCCTGCGGGACTCAGTGTCTTGGCAGGTGCAGCGCTCCAGCTGCCGGGGGTGAGATATGACAGTTCCAGGATCCTGAGTGCGTGCGCTAAAGAGCACACGCAGGTTACAGGCAAGGTCTGGTGGTTTCAAGGGAGAGCTCTCTAGCGGCTGACTTCTTCCCAACAGTGTCTCACCTCCAAGGCTAAGTGCTCCCTGGATTGGTTCTTTCCCACCAGTCCATCTTTTCAGTCGATTCACAGGGCAAGGGAAATGGGTTTATGGCCTACAGGTGCATGCAGAGTGCGCACTAGCATATTGATAGGAACAGCTGGGGTTTTTGATCTTTTAGAAGATTTTTAATGTGTTTATTCCAGGGTGATCTCCCACACTGCAGCTGTTTAACTTTCTGCTCAGAGGCAACCTGCAATTACCTCCACACCTAACTACCACTCACACATACGACTCACACACACACCACTCGCAACCACTCACACACAGCCACTCACACATACCACACACCACTCACCCCTCACACACACCACTCACACACACCTCACACACACACACACCACTCAGTACTCACACACACCACTCACACCACTCACACTACTCACACCACTCATACACACCACCCACACACACTGTTCACACAACACACACACCACTCACAATCACACACACCACTCACACAACCACTCACATACCACCCACATGACTCAACACACACACCACTCACACAACCACTCACATACCACCCACACGACTCAACACTCACACACCACTCACACAACCACTCACATACCACCCACACGACTCAACACTCACACACCACTCACACAAATATACCACCCACACACCACTCACCACTCCACACATACCACTCACACAAACCACTCAAACCACCAACACACACACACCAGACACACACACACCCCTCACACACACCACTTACACACCACTCTCACACACCATACACACCACTCACACACGACTCACAACCCTCACACACACCACTTACACACATGCAGGCATGCACTCTCAAACCAGATACACTATTCACACCACTCACATACCACACATACTGGCTGTGCCTTCTCGGTTGCTGTCTGTGTGCCTTCCCTGTCAGCAGGTGACAAGCATCTGGGGGCACAGTCAGCCTTTGCTCACCTTAGCATTTATCCCTGAATGAACAAAGGAGCGAGTGAACCTGTCAATGGTAGACACCTCCCAATAATATTGGAAGAGATTGAAGAAGTCCAGCTGTTCAGGCTTCTCGAAGCATCCGCTTTCCTGCTAGCCCTGGCATTTCCTCCTACCAGCAGGACCCTTGCAAACAGGGGTAGTGGGGGGAGCCTTCCATCACTCCCGAGGTCTTTCTCGCCAGGCCTGCGTGTTGCAGCTTCTGTTATGAGGGCTATTTTAGAAAACAGCCTCCGGTAGTCACCAGTGTAGAATATGCTGCTGCAGGTTGTTTGGAAGGCTGAGGCTATTTTCAGCTGCAGGACCAGCACTGCAAGCCTCGAGCTGCCTGAGTGCAGCAGCCCCTCTGGGGCTCCAGGCCTGTGTCCCCACTGCAGTGGCCCTGGATTCCGGTCAGGACAGGACACGTTGTCTTGTGACCATGAGGGGCTTCCTTACGCTGGCAGGAAAGGCCCAGGGCCGCCTGGATTGGGAAACCCCTGCCTGCTCCCTGGGAGTGTAGAACGAGTCCCAGGATGCTGCCCTGTCTGTAGTTAGAGGGGCATGGATAGGAAAGAATGTTTTGAGTTCAAGCTTTGAAATAGAGACTTGACCATAACATGACTTTCCCCCCCATTTCATGTGTTTATTTTTTAACAGCTTTATTGAGAGAGAATTTACATATCATGCATTTTAAGTACATGATTCAACAACTTTTAGTATATTTACAGACTTATGCAACCATTACCACAGTCTAGTTTTAGAACATTCCCATCACCCCACAAAGATCCCTTTTGCTTGTTTGCAGTTAATTCCCATTCCTACTCCCAGCAACCACTGATCTGCTTTCTGTCTCTAGAAATTCTCTGTCTGTCTCGGGCCATTATTTCGTAGAAATGGGCTCATGAAGTTACAAAGCTTTCCAACTAACTGGCAGACAAGGTGGGTTTTGGGGGGATCCAACTATTAATGGAGGGGGATTGTCTGTGATGATTCCAGATTCCTATAAACATTTCATGTAAGGACGCAAAGCATACTTAAAGGAACTTCAGGGGACAAAATGTGTATCTTTTCCCAACTCGGTTGTGGGGTGGGGTCCTTGTGTGCAAGGCTGTGGAGGCCCTTCCTGCGTGCACTCTTTCTGTAACTCAGTAACAGAAGTTTGCAGAGTGCCAGCCCTGCCCCAGGAACACCTGGACACCGAGTCTGTGCCTGTCTTCTTGTGCCATGCAGCCTTCCTCTGGGCAGGGAAGAGCACATGAGTGTAAATAACTGGAGTGGCCTCTATCTGGTTTCCTCCCCTTGGCCCTCTGGGAAATCCACTTCCAACCTGTCCTAGCCTGGAATAGCTCTTTTCAGCGGAAACTCTTCCTTCAAGCACCATCTCTTCAGCTTAAACCTATCTATCTGTTCTTGTTTTTGTTTGTTTGTTTGTTTGTTTGTTTTAACTTTTTTTCTTACAGACAGATTCTAGGTGTGTTCCCCAGGCTGGAGTGCAGGGGCTCGATCATAGCTCACTTCACTTTAGCCTCAAACTCCTGGGCTCAAGCAATGCTCCTGCCTTAGCCTTCTGAGTAGCTGGGACTACAGGCATGCATCACCTCACCCAGCTAATTTTTTTTATTAGAGATGTCTCACTATGTTGCCCAGTCCGGTCTCAAACTCCTAGTCTCAAGTGACCCTCCCACGTCAATGTCTTAGAGTCACTGGGATTACGGGCATGAGACACTGTGCCCAGCTTGTTCTGTTCTTCATCTAGAATTTAAATTAGTTAAAATTCTAGCTTTAACCAGAATTCTAGATTGTATTTCTCGATAATCATGTGTTGTTCTTCCCATTTTTAACCTAAAGAAAATGCCTACCTCACCCCGCACCAAACAGACACACACACACACACACACACACCTTTTAGATTCTATTTCTAACTTCATCATCAGGGTTATCAACTTCTCTGAGATATTTTGCATTCTTTACTTTTATTATTTAGAGTCTGAAGATGCTCATGGTAAATGCAGATTATAGAGCTAACTTTTTGCACAAAAAGCCCACAAAACAGTCTTTGAGAGAGCATGTCAGTGTTACGTTTGGATTTTAAAAGACAGTGAAGCTTAGCTGAGATTCTGTTTTACAGATTTTGCGAATAAATAAAAAGACAGATTCCGTTTGCTCTGGACTGTGTTAGCTGCAGTGCGGAGGGCGGAACCGGCTGAAGGAACTGCTGTGTATTTTCAGCACATCTCAGTCAGCTTCCGTTTCAGTCTTCTGTTTCCATCACCCACACAGGCATATTCAAGAGTTCCTGCTACATCGATGTACGCTGGTTTCCCTTTGATGTGCAGCACTGCAAACTGAAGTTTGGGTCCTGGTCTTACGGAGGCTGGTCCTTGGATCTGCAGATGCAGGAGGCAGATATCAGTGGCTATATCCCCAATGGAGAATGGGACCTAGTGGGTAAGCCATGAGACTAACCGCCTGGAAGAAAGCTTTCCTATTCCTGGGCAAGCTTTAAAAGTTTGGGATTTTCCACTGTCCTTTCCGGTGCGAGCATTTATTGAATTTTGCAGTAGTCTCCATAATTTACTGAGAGCTACAGGAGGAGAAACAGAAAACAGTTAGGATATGCCATGCTTTCCAAGAGGAACTGGCAACTGCAGTGAGGATGCATTTAAACAAACCAGTGTGAGGATAGATCTCTCTACGTTATGCAGATCCACTCCATTTCTAAAAGCAAGTTGAACAGCAAATTTCAGTTGATGGGAACCTATATTTGATTATTTTAAAATAGGAAAACAGTGATTACATTTATAACAGTGTAAAATTGGTAATGTATTATTTATAATTATTATAATCATGTGTTTCCAATCCACCAAAAGAATATGTACCAATTTGGCCAACTATCACTAAAATACTCTTAACTCTATAGTAAATCAACAAGGTTTTATTCAAGCTAATTACAACCCCCCCCTTTTTTTTTTTTTTAGCACTTTGCAAACTTTAGGACTGTGCTTGTGTGTGGTATACACATTGAAATAAACAGGGTAATTTATTGTATTCTAACAATGGCTCCTTCTCTCCTCCTCCCTATGGAGGAATCCCCGGCAAGAGGAGTGAAAGGTTCTATGAGTGCTGCAAAGAGCCCTACCCCGATGTCACCTTCACAGTGACCATGCGCCGCAGGACGCTCTACTATGGCCTCAACCTGCTGATCCCCTGTGTGCTCATCTCCGCCCTCGCCCTGCTGGTGTTCCTGCTTCCTGCAGATTCCGGGGAGAAGATTTCCCTGGGTAAGCGCCCCAGTGTCTGGCGGGAGTCTGAGACTGGAGACCTTCTGCTGAGATCAGCTCTGGAGGGCTCACAGCAGACAGCGCAGGACTCCATCAGGGTTCCTGGGGATTCCCTGGCTCATCCCATGGACCTCCGAGCCCACGGTGGCTCCAGGACACCAGAGGTCCCTGATTCGGGCTCCGTGCTGGACGGCTGTGTAATCCTGAGAATACTGGAGGACCCTCAGAGGATGGGGGATGCACAGGGAGGGGGCCAGCTCCATTCTGCCTTGAGAGGCCTGTGCTTTCTTCCCTCCTGCCACCCCACCTGTTCCTCAATGGCGACTGGTCATCGAGGGAACAATTTAGCTTAGTATCAGCTTGCATTTGTATGTTACAGTACCCAGTGTAATTCTTACGATCACTCCCATACGAAGCTAAGGAAACCAAGATTTTGAATGGTGGAATGAGTTTCCCAATGTCTTAAAGAGTTGCTAAACATCAGATGTAGCATATGGTAGAAATCATTCCCAAACCCATATCTTCTGAGTATGAGGTTCAGAAAGGTTGAATGTTGTATCTAAGGTCACATAGCTAGCTGAGTAGCAAACGTAAGACCTGAAATCAGGTCTCCTGACTGCATATTTTCTTTTTCCTGCTACGTGAAACTACTTCTCAATAATATTTTACAGAGAATATGAGAGATAATTGTGCCAAGTTAAATTTTTCAGTTTGTGTTGATGCTTTTAAAATTCTGGGTCCTAAACTTGTCTCCATAAGAGACTCCTTTGGGACTCTGGTAAGTGGCATGGAATGTCCCCTGGAAAATGCACACGCCCATACATAGGGAAAACATGCATTCCACGACATTCCCCCCAGCGCCTCCCTTTCTTTTGAGTGTCAGGTTAGGAGCCCTCGTTAGACAGAATTGAGGCCTTCTTGTCTGTTTTTGTCTGAGGAACCGCTGTGTGTTTATGTTTTAGGGATAACAGTCTTACTCTCTCTTACCGTCTTCATGCTGCTCGTGGCTGAGATCATGCCCGCAACATCCGATTCGGTACCATTGATAGGTAAGGCAAGAGTTGGGCTCCTCTCTTAGAGATATGGGGTTAGGGTTAGAGTGTGCCCAGGATTTCCCAGCAGATGAAACTAGAAGAAATACGGCTGCACTGCCCCCATTTTCTCTGGAAGGTGATGATTTGCTGTAACTATTCAGAGTCACCCGGGCCCAAGTAAGGGGAAGGGGATATTCAGCTTTGAGGTTTGACTTTTATCTCACAGAAATGCCCCCCTTCCCCTCATAATTCTCCTCCTCATGCTTGCTTTGAAGCCAGATATTTCATCGTTAGAGATGCATCATTTTAGCTTAAGATGTTGTTTTCCCACAAAGCCTTTGTTAAAATGGGAGAAGCACACAGTTACTGTGTCCTGAGATAACTCAATGTCTCTGTATAAAAGTTTCTAGGGAAATATGAATGAGAAAAATATATTTTGCACAGGTATAAGGCATGATCCTCTACCCAGGGAGGGACAACAAAAACAAGTCTCCACTCCCACTGGGCAGGGAAGGTTGGAAGGAGGTATACAGACTGTCATTACACCTGCTGGCCCCTGCTGTTTGAGGACCTATGCTGTGTCTACCTGGGGGTGGGCTAGAGGGAGAGCCCTACCTGGATACCCCCAGGCTTTAGGAACCAAGCAGCAAAGGCCCTTCTTTGTGGAACTCCCTGTATGTGCAGTATTTTGGCCAGAGAAACTGTTGGTATGAAAAGCCTTTGTGGGTATCATTTTTCTCTTGGTACCATCCAGACAGGGAAGAACCACCTTTCCACCTGATTCTGACTCCATTCTTTCTACCTTCCAGCACACTGCTTTCAGTAGAGATTTGCAGCCTCCCTTCCGGGGGCAGTTGTCAGGCCTTCTCTCTCTGGACTGATGACCCACTGGGAAAGGCTTGGTTGGTGCATAGCCCACATCTCGAAGGATGGGATGTTGATGGCCCCAGGGACATCAGCTTTGCTGCCCTCTGTTGATGGAAATTCAGTCTGGGCAATCCTTTGACCCCCATCTCTCCAGAGGTGGTTGGTCTGCTCAGGCTGCCGTGACAAAATACTATGGACTTAGGGGCTTAAATAACTAACAGAAATTTATTTTCTCACAGTTGCACTGCTGAAAGTCCAAGACCAAGGGGCCATTAGGGATGGTTTAACCTGAGACCTCTCCCCCTGGCTTGCAGACAACCACTTTCACAATGCTTTGTCCTCCCCTGGTAGTTCCTCTGTGCACCTGCATCCCTGGTGTCTCTCTGTGTGTCCAAATTTTCTCTTCTTCATTAAAAGAACACCAGTCAGATTGGATTAGGGCTTACCCTGATGACCTAATTGTACTTAATTACCTCCTTAAAGACCCTATCTCCAAGTACAGTCACATTCTAGGGTACTAGGGGTTGGGGCTTCAACATATGAATTCTAGGGGGAAGCATAATTCAGCTCATAAGGGTCACGGTTTGCTCCAGTCTCCTTCCTTTTCTCAGGGGCCCTGATGCTAACTTTAGGTCTCAAACTTCCAGCTCTGGCAGAGCTCCTCCCAGGTACCTCTTGGTCTTTGTAGGAAGGCAGTGAGTTCCTTCCTGGCGTGAGGGCCTGTGAGGGCTAGCTGAATGCTTAGCGCCCTGCACCCTGATGCTTTCCGCTTAGAGTTCAGCCCCTTGAGTGGACAGCCACACCAAAGGTTTAATAATTAGAGCTGCCCACTAAAGAATGCCCCCTCCTTTCTCCTAGACATCTTGGCCTGTGTAATTGCTCATCATTGCACAAATCCTGCAAGGAAGAAGTTCCTATTTTAATGGAGGCTACCGTAACAAATTGCTGTAGACTGGGGGCCTAAGCAACAGACATTTATTTCTCAGAGTTCTGCAAGGCTGCACGTCCTCGATAAGGGTGGCAGCAGGGCTCTGGTGAGGGGCCAATCCCTGGTTTACAGCTGGCCCTCTTCTCACTGTGGCCTCACGTGGCAAAAAGAGAGTGAATTAGCTCTTTAGCCTCTTTTTATGAAGGACTCTAATCCCATTCATGAGGGCTGCACCCTCAGGACCTGTTGAAGGCCCCTGAGAAAATCACTCACCATTTCTCTACTTACACAACACTTCTGACACCAAAGCGGGGCGTTTCTCCCACATCGACCAATTCTTGGAAACCAGCTGGGCGTCCTACAGTGAGTTCACTTCAGTCCTGACACCACCTGGAGTTAGCACAGCACTCACAGATTAAGGCTCACAAGACCATTTCTACTTGAGATGCCAGTTAGAAGTTCCGGCTTCCCATGCTTCTGACCAAGTGTCTATAAATCGGGGAGTTCCCAAAAGCACATCTTTGAGTTCAGCCATTTACTAGAGTGACTCACTCTAGTAAACTCAGGGAAACATTTTACTGATATTTATTCATTAATTATAAAGCACAGATGAATAGTCAGATGAAAGAAATGCATAGGGCAAGGTATTTGGGAAGGGGCATGGAACTGCCATGCCCTCTCTGCCCTCCAAACACCTCCCCGTGTTCAGCACTGGGAAGGTCTCCACAGAACTCCATCCTTTTGGGTTTTTATGGAGGCTTCACTACATAGGCATGATTGATTACATCATTGGCCACTGGCGATCCACTCAACCGTCAGTACCTCTTTCCTCCCCAGGGGTCAAGGGTTGGGAGAGGGGACAGAGCTTGAAGGTTCCAACTCTCTAATTACTTGGCTGGTTCCCCTGGCAACCAAACCCCATCCTGAGGGTATCCAGGAACCTCAGCCATAAATCATTTCATTAGCATATAAAAAGACACTGATGACTTCAGAGATTCAAAGGTTTTAGGAGCTGTGTGCCAGGAAATGGGAGGAAGACCAAATACATATTTCTTATTATAAATCACAATCTCATACCTCCCAAAGCCCCACCTCCAGATACCATCCCAGTTAGGACTAGGGTTTTAACCCATGAACTTCGTGGGGACACAAACGTCATCCTTTGTACCACCCCCATTGGAGAGCTGAGGCCCGAAGAGGCTGAGCATCCACTCCAAACTCACAGCCAGTAGCTAGTGGACCAGGATGGAAGCACTCAGATGCTCCATGCTGCCCCTCACCTGGGCCCAGGTGGAAGGACACCCATGACCCATTAGAACCAAAGCTGAGACTGAAGTTCTCGTCCTGAAAAGTCCCTGCCACTGACCCCTTCCTCAGGCTGGACAGCTGGCAGCCAGGTGGTGTGCAGGTTTGCCCTCATTGTGCCCCTGGAGCACAGTAGAGGCCTGCATCATGAACACTGGATGGTTCCCATGCCCTCACATCCAGTATTTACCCACAGGAACAAGCTTATCACCATCCTGCCAGGCGATGCTAGCTCTTATTGACTGACAAGTCGGCCAGAGTGCATGGAAGTGCAATGAAGTGAGGGAAGGTCACTCCGTGGGCGGGAAGTCAGACCACACTGGCTGGTTTTGCCCACCCAGAATGTGGGCTGCAGGCCTAGACACATGGGCATCACTGCACCCTGAGGCCCTGACGGTCAGAGAACCTGATCAGGGTGTGCCTGTCCTGTGACGTGCAGTGCCACAGGATCCCCGGGTCTCACCCTGCATCTGTTCTCTCCACAGCCCAGTACTTCGCCAGCACCATGATCATCGTGGGCCTCTCGGTGGTGGTGACGGTGATCGTGCTGCAGTACCACCACCACGACCCCGACGGGGGCAAGATGCCCAAGTGGGTACGTTCCTCCCACCCCCGATGGAGTCGGAGCCCCGCTGTAAAGGAGGCTCCTCCTAGGGTTTATTTTTAAAATCACACAAAAAACGGGCATTCCTAAAGAAATAGCTTTGGGTTTTTTGTTTGTTTTTTTGAGACGGAGTCTCACTATGTCACCCAGGCTGGAGTGCAGTGGTGTAATCTTGGCTCACTGCAACCTCCACCTCCTGGATTCAAGCAATTCTCCTGCCTCAGCCTCCCAAGTAGCTGGGACTACAGGCGCCTGCCACCACACCTGGCCAATTTTTTTTTGTATTTTTAGTAGAGATGGGGTTTCACTATGTTGGCCAGGCTGATGTCGAACTCCTGACCTCGTGATCTGCCCACCTCAGCCTCCCAAAGTGCTGGGATTACAGGTGTGAGCCATTGTTCCCAGCCAGAAATAGCTTTGTTTCTGTATTTCGTCACCTATTGACGTGTCTTTGTGTAGTGTGCAGTCATGGTGCACGTGTTCCCGGATGCCCCGTGGCACTGCTGTCTAATCTAACTGCAGAGTAGAGTAAGGCTCTCAAACTGGCTGCCCTGTGTGTTCTATCAATCAGCACGGTGTTTTGAGAAGCTAGTTTGTTTTTTGATGCATGCCGTGAAGCACTGTGCTGCAGTTGGAGGCAACAGATGAGACAGATGCGTAGCAACATGGTTGAGGCTTCACAACAGAATGAGGAGCAAAGAGTAAGAAACAGAATGAGCTGTGTACAAATATGTACGTTCAGTACATCTAGGGATATCATCCAACCAGAAGTCTATGAAACAAAGACTAATTGTCACCAGTGCAGAAGGGGGAAGGGATAAAAGGAAACGGATGAAAACAGAAAGGATGGCATCCCACAGCCTGTCAGCTTAGCCTGGGCCATACCACTCCTGCCCCAGCTGCTGGCACCGTGCCCGGCCACATCTGCGGATGCTCACCCACCCAGGGATCCTCTCCTGCACGGTGTCCAGAGCTCTGCATCCACCCTTGCCTGGCAGTCAGGAAACCTTGATGAGGGCCTAGGGAGGGCCTGAGCTTCTTCCCCTCTTCATGTGAGCTTTGTAAAGCTTCCCCGTCCTCCTGTCTAGAGAGCCTGGCCTAAGGATTTGGGGAGCTAAAAAGGCCCTCACATTCCAAAAGTTGTCTGTCTTTGGAGAGCACTTGTGTCCCAGTTCAGAAGGGAATCTAGGAATCACCAACAAGCTAAATGCAGCTGTAGGGGGTGAGATGCTGTCAGGCACCCTCCAGGAATAGGGGATTGCTGGGCCTCCTGAAACAGTCATTGTGGAGTTGTTACCTGAATGCTCACTTAGCAAAGACTGCTTCTTAAGAAATGCTTTACAAAATTACTGTTTCTTCTCAGAGTTTCACCCACATGGCCCATTCCCCTTATACACTATTTAGTAAAGACTTACCTGTGAGCCCACCACAGTGGTGTGTGGCTGTAGTCCCAGCTACCTGGGAGGCTGAGGTGGGAGGATCATGTGAGCCCAGGAGCTCCAGGCTCCAGTGAGCTATGGTGGTGTCATTGCCCTCCAGCCTGGGTGACAGAGCAAAACTCCATCTCCTAAAAAAAAAAAAAAAAAAAAAAAAAAAGACTGACTTGTAGCTCATTACACAAGCAGTAATGTGAGCTCAGCCTACATGGTGATGTCTCACACACAGACCACATCACTACATTCCCTGAGGCTTGTTTTGTGAAGGCCCCCCCTTAAAACACTGGGGTACATTTGCACACATTCACCTGTATTTTTGTCTGATTTCCTTATAACGCTGACCCACACTTAAGAAAATGCAAGGCCAGAGGTGAGAGGCCTGAGAGCTGGAGGCTTGTTGGTTTGCTGCTCTTTCTGTCTGTCCATCCATCAGTTTGAAGCAGGTAATACATTTACCTGTTTCTAAAGTCAAAATAAAATTAAAATTATACATAAGGAAATCCTGCTCCCATTCCTTCCCCTTTACCCTGCATCTACCGTCAATACTGATAACCGTTTTAATGAATTCCTTATTTTTCCTTCTAGTATTTATTTATGCAAATACAAAAATCTAAACATTCTCATTTCTTGTAAGTATTTTGACTGATGAGAAGATAAGAGAATTAAGACATTGAGACACAAAACCATTTTTAACGACCTGGAGCACTCTACTGCTCTAGAACAATCTTAATTAAGAACATATGCTAATTATTCACCTCTCAGCATAAAAGCTTATTAAAACCAATTGGCTGCAAATGAAAGATGAAGCTTATGCATTTCTCTCGCTTTATATAGCACACTGCATTTTTCTTTCATTCCATGTGTATGTGAAACACAAACAGCCTCCGAGGGACTTTTATTATGATCTGTTGCTATGAAGAAGATACTGCCGGGTGCAGTGGCATTATGTGACATTTGCACAGCCAGAAACAAAACTGTAGCCTAACAGAAGAGGTCAAGAGCACAGTTTGAGGAGTGCCAAGAGGATAATTTTATCTTTTAAATGCTTTGGCTTTGAAAGTTAATGATTCAGGCCATGGAATTCAAAATGGACTTGGCAGAGTGTATCGTATGAGCTTGAGATGTGCACTGGGGGACGTGTAGACCCTGCCATGGAGGGAGAAGTGCCTGGTGCTGCTCGCTCCCTGTGTGCACTGCTGCCACTGGATGCAGGCACACTCACTGCCCTGCAGCCTCCCAGGAGAGCTGGCTCAGGCTTTCTGGTGCCTTCCCAGAGGGGTGGGGTTGTGCGAGTTTTGAAGAGAATCTTACAGACCCTTTGACAGATGAGACTGGGAAAGGCTAAACATGTGAAGTGACATAACCACTTACTTACTCATTGTACATCGTTGGGCCAGTTTATTAGCCTCTTTGAACCTCAGTTTGTTGGTCTGTAAAGTGAGGGGATTATACTCATTTCACCGGACCCTGAAAGGCCCAAGTGAGATGACTTGTCTCATGAGCCTTGTATGGACGGCCCAACTCACCCAAGGTTTCACCTGGGGCCATATGTCCCTGCTCCTTACTGATCATAAAAAACCCTCCAAGGTCAGCAGACCCAACCTTTCCAGGACACGCAGAGTGCCGCCTGCTTGTAAAGTACAATGGGAAACAAAGGGTTATTTTTATAGCTGCAATGAAACTGGTCTTGTGCTTCCCTGTTCTTGTCCCCAGACCTGTTTGTTGCAGTTATCTTTGATAAGATGTTATAAAAAGATGACCAAGAATGAAAGCTCTGCAGATACGAACTGCACAATTTACTATCTGTATATTTATTTCCTAAAGATAGGAAATAAACCTGTTAGGTTACTGATGGAATTTCCCCAAAATCATAAAACAAAATGTAAATGAAATCAGGATCTGGATAATTTCAGGGAAAAGGCCCACTTTTCATACACTTTACATGGATGGGCTTGCAAGAATGCTTCTTTACCTGGATTGAGGCTTCAGTTGTCTCTCTTCTTTCCATGAGAGGCAAAACCAGGATAAACTCCATGGTGATTTTTCTCCAGCTTCTTTCATGCACTCTAGGACACACTTTAGACCAGAAGTTAGCAAATTATGGCCTAGGTGGCCAAATCCAGTCCACCAAGTGTTTTTGTAAATAAGTTATTTTAGAAAACATGCCCATCCATTTGACGCCTTCAATGTGTGCTACATCAGCAGAAGTGAGTAGTTGCCTGGCCCTTTACAGAAAGTTTGCCAACTTCTGCCTTCAACTTTTCAAAGTACTCTCCCAGACATCATCTTATTCGGTCTTCATTGAAGCCTACTGAGTTAGGTTAGAGGTTCCGAAACTGCCTTGGTTCACAGCACGTTAGTATCTCAGGAAATTTTTCACAGAGCCCCTGGCCAAAAGAAATAATACCCAAGGCTCTCTTTTTAAATAGATCAAAACACTTTAATAAGTATTTATGCCTTAACAATGTAGCACCTATGGGGCACGGCACCGCCTCTCAAATCTTGGGATCAGATTGGAGACCACTAACCTAGTTTCTGTTTCACATGAAGTTCCTTGGTGTTTGCTTTTTATCAGGGTACTTTGAAAAACAGCTTTGCAAAGTGGTCATGTCATCACAAGAGATGTGGTAATCTGATGTTGGAAGCCTGAACTGCTTCAAGCTTCAAGTTTACCTGGTGTCTCATGGATATCCTGGGATTGCATTTGAAAATGTACAACCTCCCCCAGGCACTCTTTGCGAATTTGCAGTGGCCTTCCAGGGCACCTAACAGGTAGTGTGGGAGCCAGAGTTAGATCTGAAGGTCCCCGAGTTACAGATGAGGAAGGATCAGAGAGGGAAATTGACTTTCCCTCTTTACACAGCTCAGATAGCCTTCCCCTTCCACGAAGCTGTCTTCCCTGAGATTGCAGTGTGCCTGCCCCGGAGAACAATTTAGCTTGTTCCCAGGGTGCATCAGTTTTAGTCTTGCCTCACGTTGAACTCGACTGCTTGTCATACGCAAGCACTGCTTGCCTGCTAAAATCATCCGGGAGGCAGTGGAGGCTGCTACCCCCAGGACCAATGAAGCAGGGCTTGTATTGTAGGATCTTACTGCTGTTGGGATCAGCCCGTGTCCGCCTCAGGGCTGCTCTTAACGTTCTGTTGTCTCCCCAGACCAGAGTCATCCTTCTGAACTGGTGCGCGTGGTTCCTGCGAATGAAGAGGCCCGGGGAGGACAAGGTGCGCCCGGCCTGCCAGCACAAGCAGCGGCGCTGCAGCCTGGCCAGTGTGGAGATGAGCGCCGTGGCGCCGCCGCCCGCCAGCAACGGGAACCTGCTGTACATCGGCTTCCGCGGCCTGGACGGCGTGCACTGTGTCCCGACCCCCGACTCTGGGGTAGTGTGTGGCCGCATGGCCTGCTCCCCCACGCACGATGAGCACCTCCTGCACGGCGGGCAACCCCCCGAGGGGGACCCGGACTTGGCCAAGATCCTGGAGGAGGTCCGCTACATTGCCAACCGCTTCCGCTGCCAGGACGAAAGCGAGGCGGTCTGCAGCGAGTGGAAGTTCGCCGCCTGTGTGGTGGACCGCCTGTGCCTCATGGCCTTCTCGGTCTTCACCATCATCTGCACCATCGGCATCCTGATGTCGGCTCCCAACTTCGTGGAGGCCGTGTCCAAAGACTTTGCGTAACCACGCCTGGTTCTGTACATGTGGAAAACTCACAGATGGGCAAGGCCTTTGGCTTGGCGAGATTTGGGGGTGCTAATCCAGGACAGCATTACACGCCACAACTCCAGTGTTCCCTTCTGGCTGTCAGTCGTGTTGCTTACGGTTTCTTTGTTACTTTAGGTAGTAGAATCTCAGCACTTTGTTTCATATTCTCAGATGGGCTGATAGATATCCTTGGCACATCCGTACCATCGGTCAGCAGGGCCACTGAGTAGTCATTTTGCCCATTAGCCCACTGCCTGGAAAGCCCTTCGGAGAGCTCCCCATGGCTCCTCACCACCGAGACAGTTGGTTTTGCATGTCTGCATGAAGGTCTACCTGAAAATTCAACATTTGCTTTTTGCTTGTGTACAAACCCAGATTGAAGCTAAAATAAACCAGACTCACTAAATCCTTTCCAATAATTGACTGGTGGAAGGAAAACAAAAAACAAAAACTAAAAACCTCTTAGCTTTTCTGCAGTTCAACTTTTTATTTTTATTTTTATTTCTATCAAAGACGGTAGAGAGAAACAGCTTGATGCTGTTTCTACATTAAAAAAAAAAGAAAGACAGACTGTTGGTCTTACTAAGGATGTTTTTACCAGCCTGCCTGACTTCTGCAAACCTACCCTGTCAAGGAGATCAAAGGGACGCAGGTTTCTGTTTATTCTGAACAAGGGCCAGGCCCCGCGGAGTGTCTTTGGTGGATCCCAGATAACTCCTAGGTGCTGCTCTCAGACACTGAGGAGTTGAGCAAATCTGTTCTATTCTGCAGAACCCACAGGACAAATAAGAGTTCTACTAGAATTAACAGCCCAAAAGAATAGCTACAGCTAAGTGAAGCCACTTACGTGGGCTTTAAAAAAATAATGTGTTAGCTGATTCACATGCACTGGAGTTAATTAGTCTTAGAAATGTGTGCATCCATACAAATGCACAACATAAAGTGAACATATTCCTAGGCCCTTTCTGCCTGTGTCAGGGCCAGGAAGTAGAGGCTGGGAACTCTTCTGGTCCCCAGTATGGCAGGCGCCAGGGAGGGGATGGTGTGGCCCATCCCTTCTCTGGATACCTGGCCAGTGGCAGGCAGCAGGGAGGAGCTGGCCGACCCTCAGTGACTGACAAGCCAGCAATTCTGAGTTCTGGCCTTTGGGAGTCTGCCTGCTCCAAGCCAGTCCACCCCAGCTGCAGCCCCAAAAGCTGGCTCAAAGTCCTTGGGTGGATTCACTGGAGATGGGCAACTTAAAACAAGAGAAACTTTAATTTTTAAACCTAAGTGATGATACAGCTCTTCCCTTAGATTATCGCCCAGGCTGGAGTGCAGTGGCATGATCTCAGCTCACTGCAAGCTCCACCTCCCGGGTTCATGCCATTCTCCTGCCTCAGCCTCCCCCCGAGTAACTGGGAATACAGGCGCCCGCCACCATGCCTGGCTAATTTTTTGTATTTTTAGTAGAGATAGGGTTTCATCATGTTAGCCAGGATGGTCTCATTCTTATTCTTTAATGAGATCAGAGGGTAATTCACCAAGAAAGACCTCTCCTGTTCCATTGTGTCATCCAACAACTGCTCAGAGCTCAAAATTATAGAAGGCTTCTGAGCCCCTAGAGATTTTTAATTTGCTTCTAATCCCTGAGGTGGGAACATCATGAGGGAAGATTTGATTTTCAGAGTTAAATAAATTGTATGTGCTTTTCCAGCCATCTGGCTCACTCATTTCTGGGTAATGCACATGACTTTGTTTGCACTGGAGGAAGATGGAAGCTTGCGTGTGTGCGGTGTGTGTGTGTGTGTAAGTGTGAGGTACCTTGTGTGTGACAAGAGACCTCACTTACGAGAAAGTTGGTGGATCAGGACATTCCAGCCTCAGGCGGCTTGGAGCAGGATCATTCCTCAGCAGGCATTCCTTCCACATGCTATGGATGAGCCATGCACAAGATTTTCGTTTTTTTTTTTTTTTTCTGTTACAGTGTCTTTAGAAACAAGTAGAAGTGTTTTGATATATAAAAGGAATGCTTCATTTCTTATCATTATCCCAAAATTGATCCCTCCCACATTTTTGCTTTAAAAAGAAACCTTTTTGGTTTTGTATTTTATACAGGAACACAAAATGCAAACAAGTTGTGCATATTTTGGACTCTCAAATAACTACTCTGTCCTTTAATAAAGTAATAATAAGGAATAGATGTGCACATAGTTAGAAAAGTATGAGTGGTTAAAAACAACAGTCTCCCATACTGCCTGTTTTCTCTCTCAGAGGGGACCACTAATGAGCTTCTAAGGGCATTTCTAGAAAGGAAGAAAAGAAGATAAGAGGCCAAAGAAGGAGGGACGGGGGTTATGGAGAGAGACCTTCCCTTTCCAGCACTAACGCTCTGTGAAGGGCGCTGCACCTTGCATTCTTCATGTGGTGTTTTGTCTTAGAGGTCGTCCCATAATAACATATAAAGATCTACCTCATTCCTCCTAGTAGCTGCTTAGCATTCCATTATCTCAGCGGACTATCATTTATTTGAATAGCCTTTTATTGGTGAACATATGGATACTTCCAGTTTTTATTTTTATATACAAATCTATAATTGGCATACTTGTACATACATCTTGACATAGTTTTGTGACTAAAACGGTATAAATTCCAACTTAGAAATGGAATTGCTGGGTTTAAGGCTACATGTATTTAAAATTTTGATAGCTATTGCCAGATTATCTTCTAGAAACTGATCGAAGGATGTAACTCCATCAAGAGTACAATAAAAGGCCCAATTTCTCAGCTTTCTATAATAGCACTGGGTATTTTCAAACTTAATGTTTTTCCCAATATAATTGGTGAAACATGATATTTACGAATATTATTCTGATTTTGGTTTATTTTGTGTATAAAATGGGACATCTTTTAAAATTTTTTTGTAGTTTTAATTTTGATACATTTATATATTTTACCCAGTTCCTAATTGGGTTATTTGGCTTTTTCTTAATTTGCTCATGCACTTTGGGACATTTTTGTCTTATGTCTTTAAAATATTTTTATCATTTGTCTTTCGATGTTATTTATTGATTTCCTTATTTATTGGCATAGAGTTTAAATTTTTATGTTGTCAATTTGTGAGTATTTTTCTTTGTCGATCGTGGGATTTGTTTCCAGTTTTTAAAAGCCTTCCTCATTCTGAGATTATAAATAGACTTACTCGCATTTTCTTCTGAAACTTTATGGTTTTATTGGTTTACCTTCACATCTTCAGACTCCCTGGAATTCATTTGTTGCAGGACATGAGGGAAAAATCCATACTTTTTCCTCGAAATGGTGGTCAGCAGTATCAATAAATATGTAATAATGCATTTCTAAAATACAGTCATAGTGTTTTCCCCAGTTGTTCAAAATGCAGCCTTATTTGTAAACTAAATTTCTTTAAGTGTTTGGTTCTGTTTCTGTTCTATTTATCTCTATGAATGCCTTTCATTTCTAAAGCATTATTCATACTAATATCAGTATTTTCAAGTCAACACTCCCATCAACTCTGAATCTCTCTCTCATATGAATCTTTTTTCAATTAGAGTCACAATGAATTTACAGATTGAGTCTTCCTATTCAAAAGCATGAAATCTTGTGTTTAAGTCTAATTTTATGTAACTTAGTAGTGTTTTATGATTTTGTTCACTAAGGTGCTTTGAATTTATAGTTTATTTCTAGATGTTTTATCATTTGGCTATCATTTTCAATAGAATGATTTATTCCACTTTATTTTCTATTTTATCCCATTGTATAAGAAAGTAGTTGGTTTTTATGTATGAATGTTATAATCAACCACAAATTGTGATTCCTACTTGTTTCTAAGGTATACTTTTGACTTCTCCTTTCCAATGTGTCTCTTATTTCTTTCTTGTATCTAGTTGATTTGAGATCAGTGTTGAGTCACAGTGATTCAGGTGGCATGCTTATCTTGTTCGTGACATCAGTGGGACGTTTTAATGTCTCAGCGTTTAACTTGTATGAAGACATGTATTTTCCTTGCCATAATAAAAAAGTATCTGTGTGTTCTCAAACTATTAAGACTCTCTGGGGAAAATGTAGATGTTAGATTTTTGTCAAAGCCTTCTCAGTGTCCAGAGGGATTATCAGAAGGTCTTTTCCTTTGCTCTAGTAGTATGTTTAATTATATTAATAGAATACTTAAGACCAAATCATTAGTGTATTCCTGAGATGTTCTTTACTTATTAGTATCATGACTTTGGTTATCAATATTTATAATTAAGATTCATCATTCTACATCTTGCTTTTATGTGTTTTTTGTCCAGATTTAACTTTATGCTGACTTAAAGGAAGAAATATTATAAAACAAAAACCTCTATATTCTACAATCATCTATTGGTTTTGAATTATTTTCTGCTTAAGTGTAGAAGAACTAGCTGGGGCTGTCTGGGCCTGCCGTGGTATATTTCTGGATTTTGCTCATCAGGCAAGTTAGGTCCTCGAGCCCTTCTAGAGTCCATTTTAATGACATTTTTAAAAATAAAATTAATTCCATCCACTTTTCAACATAGTTGCGTAGTTTTGTAATATATGCACTTCAGGTGTTTTCTTTCCTCTGTATTTGTGGCTTTTTCTCCTTTTTCCGTTTGTAATTGTGTGCATTTCTCCTTTCTCCCGTGCCTATTGATTTAGCTTGCCATGAGTTTTACCGGTTTATATTTTTAAGACATTGGACCCTTAGACTTTGCAGTCCGAGGACCTGTCTGCAGGGTCTTGGGGTTCCCTGCGTTGACCCAGCCCTCCCAGGTGACAGCAGTGGGCCAGCACAGCAGAAGCCACAGTTGTTGCAGGTGCTTCTCCAGCCAGTGCTGGGCCCAACACATGGTTCAGCCCTTCCTCTGGGCCCTGGGAGCCTGTGGGACAAACTAGTCGGGGCAGCATGGTGGGTTAGATGTAGCTGGTCATTGCACTCCCGGGGACCCCAGTGAGTTGGAGAAAAGACTGACAGAAGCTTTAAGCAGAGCCCCCTGGAGGTGCACGCCTCAGGAAGGAACTCTTACATAATTTAACTTTTTCTCATTCCTTCATTTTTTATGTGGTACAAACCCTTCCCAACCTCCCTAGACCTTCCGTCTATCAGTGTTTCTGACCTCACCATGGATAGCTCCTTTTGTAATTACTGTTTACTTCATATGCGTTTGACCTTCTAATGCCATAGCTTGTCCTGAGTTGGGGAAGGGGTCTCAAAGTTATGGCCCCTGGGGATGCGGCCCACAGATTCTATCTTTCTCAAACTCTTTGTGACGAGACGCCCCCTGTGTTTGCACACAGCCCGCTTCGGGAATGCCACCTTTCTGCAGCGCTGCAGTTCCACACTCTTTCTTGTCTTCTCTCCACCGTCACGTGTAACATTTTGCACTGCTTTCTAAATTTCCTTTTTTTCTGCCAATGGCCTTCCTACCATTTCCTCTGCTGCTGTGTTAGAGTTCTGTGTGTTCACCTTTGATAAATAATTCCCATCAACAAATTCTGCAGGTATGTTTTCTAATTTTTAGTTTTCTGCTTTTATCTTTAATATTTTCATTCTATTTTACTTTTTAAAAATTATTGTATATTTTTAAATTTTCGTAAAATATACATAACATAAAATTTATCATTTTAACCAGTTTTAAGTGTACCATTCAGTGTCATTAAATACAGTCACATTGTTGTACAGTCTTCACAACCACATATTCCCAGAACTCTTTTCATCTTCCCAAATTGAAACCCTGTCTCTATCAAACATCAACCACTCTTGTTTTGGTCCTTTTTTTTTTTTTTTTCTTTTTTTGAGACAGAGTCTCATTTTATCACCCAGGCTAGAGTGCAGTGGTGCAATCTCTGCTCACTGCAACCTCTGCCTCCTGGGTTCAAGCGATTCTCATGCCTCGGCCTCCAGAGTTGCTGGGATTACCAGAGCACACCACCAATCCCAGCTAATTTTTTATATTTTTAGTAGAGATGGGGTTTCACCATGTTGGCCAGGCTGGTCTCGAACTCCTGGCCTCAAGTGATCTGCCTGCCTCCTCCTCCCAAAGTGCTGGAATTACAGGCGTGAGCCACCACACCTGGCCTCCTTTTGGTCTTTATAAATTTGGCTAGGTACCTGATACAAGTGGATTCATATAGTATTTGTCCTTTTGTGACTGACTTATTTCACATTACATGAAATAAGATATCCTCAGGATTCAGCCATGATCCTTTTACTTTTTTTTTTTTTTTTTTTTTGAGAGGAAGTCTCGCACTGTCGCCCAGGCTGGAGTGCAATGGCGTCATCTTGGCTCACTGCAACCTCCACCTCCCGAGTTCAAGCAATTCTCCTGCCTTAGCCTCCTGAGTAGCTGGGATTACAGGCACCCACTACCACTCCCGGTTAATTTTTTTTTTTTTTTTTTTTTTTGTATTTTTAGTAGAGGTTGCACCATGTTGGCCAGGCTGGTCTCAAACTCCTGACCTCAGTTGATCTACCCGCCTCAGCCTCCCAAAGTGCTGGGACTACCAGCGTGAGCCACCGCGCCCAGCCAGTTCTCTTCTACTTTTATTTTGTTGTTGTTGTACTAAGTTATTCAATAGATGCCTAATTCATGTGTTTCCAATTATTCTTATTTAATCAGATAAGTATTTTTGGCTCTGCATTTTATTCTGATCAAAGCTTTAACAGCAGTCCATACGTCTTAATATGCAATGTTTTCATTTGTATTTTCTGGATATTCTATAAGTTGAATTGTTGTACCTTCTTCAAGCTGACTTTTTAAATAAAGGCTAGTGAAGTGAAGCAGCAGTGGAAATGGAAAAGGAGCAAAGAAACCTGTAACTGCTTGTAATCAATTCCTTGTACACCCCACTGCACTCAGACCAGCCCGAACTGAGCTTTGTTGAGTGTTTTAAAATTTCCACATTTTTTAACTTAAAAATTAATTTCTAGTTACATTACCTTATGCTTTAAGCAAAATGCCTTTTGTTCTATTTCTAATATTTATAATGTGCTGAGGTGTTTCTGAGGGGTTTGTATGATCAGTGCCTGTGAATGGGTCCCTCTCTGAGAACGACCTGGGCGGGTGTGTGGGAGTTCCACCCCTGGCTTTGCTCACTGGCCTGGCTGGGGCCACGCTCCCTGTCAGCAGCATTCCTCTTTCAATCATCCTTCCATTTACCACAGGATGTTTAACGATTTACCGGATTTTCATTCTATTTTCAATACTTAACCTTGAATTCACATTTGTCTGCTTTTAAAATCAGCCCCACTGATTTCTTATGCTGAGATGCCTCTCTCGTTCATTCTTACACTCACACAACACCTCCCGTCTCCACATGTGTGGGGAAAAATCCCACCCATTCGCCAGCACCAGCTGGGTGTCCTACCGTTCAGCTCAACTCTGACACTAACTGGAGTTAGAGCCAGCCCCACAGGGGAGGGGCTCAATTCCCAGGACTGCCCTGCTCCAGATGCCAGTTGTAAGTGGTGGGTCTGCAGGTCACCCACAGCTTCTGTCCAACTTGGCTATAAATCGGAGGTTCCCACGCCCCCCTTCTTAGGTCCAGTCATTTGGTGGAACAGCGCAGAGAACCCAGGGCAACACTACTATGTTTATCCACTTATTATAAAGAATACAGCCAAATGGGAGAGAAATACAGGAAAAGATATGGTGGGGGTGGGTATGGAGCTGCCATGGCCTCTCCAGGAGCACCACCACGTGTTCCCCAACCCTGAAGCTCCCGCACCTGTACTTAGGAATTTTTAAGGAGGCTTCATCATGTAGGCATGATTGATTATTGATTCAATCTCCAACTCCTCTTTCCTCCCTAGAGGATGGGGTGTGGGGCTGAAAGTTCCAAGCTTCTAACCATGGCTTGGTCTTTCTGGTGACCAGCCCTCATCTAGGATTCCACCAAGAGTCGTTCATTAGAACAAAAGATGCTCCTATCACCCAGGAAATTCCAAGGGATTGGAAGTTCTGTACCAGGAACCCAGTCAAAGATGCTCCCAACCAATATTAGAACAAAAGATGCTCCCAGTACCCCCATCACTCAGGAAATTACAAGGGTATTAGGAGCTCTGTGTCAGAAACTGGAGACACAGACCAATATGTATTTCTTATTATTTTATACTCAATTTTATGTTTAACCTTTTTGAGGCACTTTGTTTTAGGTTTATTTATCTTGGATCTGCACTTATATTTTTAATACATATTGCTGATATATTTGGTTTAATATTTTTTTCAATATCTGTAATTAATATTTCTTTTGCATTCCCTTTTGGATTTTTTTATTTCCCCCCTCCTTCTGATTATGTGCAATCCTTTTGTTAAAATGAAAGATTTATTGCTTTTATGTGTTTAAGTGGTTACCTATATAATTTTACATAATTCAACCTATAGTTCATGATTTATCAACCTGACAGTTTCTATTAATTCTCCACTTCTCACTTCAAACCCCAATATATTATTAGTTATCTTTTTGTTTTTAGGTTTTCTGCAGGTTCCTTATACAACACTCTGTGATATGCTTTAATATTTATCAATTCAGAAGAGTATCTGTTGACTACTATTGAGAGAAAATTGAAAGATGTTTAATAGGATGGGCAATTCATTCATTTTGTGGTAATCTTCCCTTTTACCTAATTTTCATAGTGCAATTATCTTTGTTATTTTTACAAATTCATGAGTTATAACATTTACTTTCTGAAATTAATTTCCTACCATCACATACATGGTATATTTATTTATGCAAAATGAATTTTCCTTCTTTTTCCTCATTTTGGCTTGAATATGCAATGATGTGTTTTATTCCTCTTATTCCCTTTGGAGATCTGAAATTCTTCCTCTATGATGGTAGCTTTGTTATTTTTGGCATTGTCTATTCTGTTTCCTGCTATTTACAGTTCGGGTAGGTTTTTTTTTTTTTCTTCCCGTTCTGAAATGAGTTTTTGCTCTTCAATTTGTTTCCAAAACTCTGCAATTTACCTTTCATTTTGCTTTTCTATCTTTTAGCTCTTTTTTATTGAAATCGATTTCTTACTAACTTCTTACACAACATTTTGGAGAACTTTCTTGCATGGATTCAGTTACATATTTTGCTGCAGAATGAAATCTTTGTCTTTCTTTACAGACCATGGTCCACCCTGTGTTCACTGTTCCCCTGCAGTGCATTTGCAGGAATGCCTTGCCATTTATTTCACTCTTACTTTTGCTTAATTTGGGCAGCTCCATGTGGATCTTTAAATTCCTCTGAAAAAGCAGGTCTCAGCCCCTTTCAGACTCTGTGCTCCCCCTTCTTCCTGCTTTCCTGGCCTGGGGTTCTGAGAGGAAGGCCAGCCCCTAGGATGGACAGCCTGGGCGTTTTTGTCTTTACTTTGTTGCTGTTGATGTTGGTCTGTTGGTGCTCCAATACATCTTAGGCATTACCCTGGAAGGAGATCTATATCATTATTTATTGCTCTAATTCATGAAATTCTGGGTCTTTGGGGTGAGTGAACTCTTATTCAGCTTTCTCAGTTAGCCGCGTACTCCCGGTGAAATTTCCCAACCTCTCTCCTTACACCCTTCAACCTCCAGTCAGGACAGATAAAATGTCCATGGATTTGGCTGTTAGGGCTGGTAGTTGGAGGGCTGGTGGGAGCAGGAATTTGGTTATAGTCACATCCCCTTTCCTTCCTGCCCATAGGGAAGACACCTGAAGACCTCCTGCCTGTGACTTTCCTGCATCTGCTGAGATCCTTGGTGGGAGGCGGGACTTCTGCACTCATGGGCTCTCTTAAAACTTTTTCCCTCCAACTTACAACTTCCCTTCTCAATGAGCCTCACTCGAGACTGGCAGCGTAGGGTGGGGAGAGGGATCCGCTATTTGGGTTGGAGGGACACGCGGGGTGGGTCGCACTGATTCAGAGTCTGTCCTTTGCAGGCCCACACCACCTTCTTCTCTGTGTCCTCCTGGCTGCAGCGCTTTGAAGAGTGTGGCAGGAGGCTCCATCATTCTGTGTTGCTGCTGCTGTTTGCTATTGTTGCTTTTTTGGGCAGCGATATCTCTGATCCTGCCTTCCTCCACTCGCAACGCGTTGATAGTCACTGACCACATATTCAGGGCAATGGGTAACAATGGAGAGAGAGTGTGTTATGTCTCAGCACCAAGGCTGCTGGTAAATTATATTCCCAGTAATTTTAGAAGATTGTGGCAGATGCTTTTCACTTCATGTTGAAGCTATTCATCTTTACATTGAAGGACCTTATGAAGCTACAGAGTTTAATCTTTTTCCAACTATATTTGCCCCCTTTTCTTTCTGTGGTAAATGAAAACGGCCAAGAATTCGCCATTTAGTATCTTTGTATTAATATGAATAGTGTAATTGTTTTTCAAACACATTATTTTAAGCTGTCATTTAAGATAAAGATAGTCTTGGTGAAATCAATATGTCAGGGTTAAAGTGAGTATGTTTTTCTCCTACACATTTTGGTAATTACCATACAGTCACCCCCATCTGTGGCGTTACTTTCTTTTCTTTTTTTTTAGACAGAGTCTTGCTCCGTCACCCAGGCTGGAGTGCAGTGGCGCGATCTCGGCTCACTGCAAGCTCTGCCTCCCAAGTTCACGCCATTCTCCTGCCTCAGCCTCCCAAGTAGCTGGGACTACAGGCGCCTGCTACCACGCCCAGCTAATTTTTATATTTTTAGTAGAGCTGGGGTTTCACCATGTTGGCCAGGCTGGTCTCGAACTCCTGACCTCAGATGATCTGCCCAGCTCAGCCTCCCAAAGTGCTGGGATTACAGGCGTGAGCCACCACACATGTCCTGTGGTGTTTCTTTCTGTGGCTTCAGTTATCTGTGGTCAACCACAGTCAGAAAATAGGCGAAGACAATAAGATGTTTTGTGACAGAGACCACATTCACATAACTTTCATTACAGCATATGGTTATGATTGTCCTATTTTATTGCTAGTAAGTGCTGTTAGTTTCTTACTGTGCCTAATTTATACATTAAATTTTATCATAGGTATGTATATATCAGAGAAAAAACATATGTAGGGTTCACTACTACCCAAGGTTTCAAGCATCTACTGTGGGTCTTGGAACATATCCCTGTGGATAAGAAGGCACTACATTACAATATAGACTTCTGTTGTACTTTTCAAACATCATAATGCTCAAGAAATTACCATCCACTTGGAATTAGAATTTGCTGCAGTCCCAGCCATACTTCAGCATGCCCCCTGTGCCCTGGTCAACCTTGTTGGTTCTCTGGCTCCCGTGTGACCATATTAAACCCCCGCCAGCATCCTCATTGCCAAGCCCCAGGTGGTGTCTGGAGAGGGACGTGGGCTTAGTCACTTAAAAACACAGTGCCTCAAATCCTTTGTGGAAAAGACAAGTTCATGCTATTCAATTAGATTCAGAATTTCCAAATATACAGAAGCTCAGAGCTCGTCTATGGCATCAGGTTCCAAGCTTTTTTTTTTTTAAAGGTTAGTTCAAGTACAAAAGATAAGAGTATTTGTTCCAGAGACAGGTCTGGGGGACTTTGGTGTCTGGCCTTAAAGAGAAATTGTGAAGGAGTCATTTTGAAAATGGTGTTGGTGTGTACTGGGGCCTCAGCCAAAGAGACTTGGGCTCAGGAGGCAGTGGGTCAGCCAGGCAGATGGGGGCTCATCCGCGTGTCTGTGACTGGGGGAGACAGGGACCCTGCCATCAGGAGGGAGCAGGAGTGGCAGCAGTGGGGGCCAGCAGTAGGTGTTTGTTCCAGGTTCCCTGAGCTCTCCTGAGATTCTTCCAGACTCCTGGAAATAACTGGGCAGAGGAGAGCCAAAGCCAACTGGCTGAGGTCAACCCACAGCTGCAATTCAGATTCACATGGATGTGATCCCATTGAACTGCAGGCTGAGATTCAGTCCATTCACCTGAGACATGTGAGACCCCGTTGTGGTCTGAATTAAGATTCTTCAAATTTATATGTTGAAGCCCAACCACCGTACCTCAGACTGTGATCTTATTTGGAGAGGGCCTTTAAAGAGGTAATTGAGTTAAAATCAGGCCATGAGGGTGAACCTTAATCCATTCTGACTGGTGTCCTTATAAGAAGATGAGGTTAGGATACAGACACAGTCAGAGGGGTGATCGTCTGAGGCACAGGGAAGACAGCCATCTACAAGCCGAAGAGAGAGGCTGCAGGAGAAGCCAGCCTTGCCCACCTTGATCTTGGACTTCCAGCCTCCAGCACTGTGAGGAAATGCACGTCTGTGTTTAAGCCCCCAGGCTGTGGTTCTTTGTTGTGGCAGCCCCAGCCTCCAAGGCAGGCATCTGTCAGGTGCTGTCCCCTCTGCCAGACACAGGGGGTGCAGTCATGAGAAAGCTTATCTTAGCTGGAAGGAGCTCGTTCTTAGGAAGGGAATTAGGTAAAAAGAGAGTAAGGGCCACACAGGGAGGGATCCCAGCCTTAGACAATCATGGGAGACTTCCTAGAGTTGGTGGCGCCTCAGGTAAAATCAGATGAGGGGATTGAGGCCCACCCCAGCGACTTGCCCAGCCTCACACAAATAGCTGTTTGAACTGAGACTAGGAACTCAACATCCTGAGGCTGCTTTCGTTAACCTCAAACTTACTTTGTCCATTCTTCTTTGTAAATGGCAGGGAATGGAGAATGGCACCCTGTGTTTTGGTGTCTGCAGTGGAAGGGGGTGTAGACCCCTCTGGCTGGCTTGATTCAAAGTATCGGTTCCGTCACTGGTATGTGCTGTCCTCTGTTGCTATGAAAATTTATGGCTAAAACCATCTTGCTTTGAAAGGTTAACTTTTTTTTTTTTTGAATTGGAGTTTGGCTCTTGTTGTCCAGGCTGGAGTGCAATGGCGCGATCTCGGCTCACTGCAGCCTCTGCCTCCTGGGTTCCAGCGACTCTCCTGCCTCAGCCTCCAAAGCAGCTGGGATTATAGGCATGAGCCACCACACCCAACAACTCTTTAATACCATGATTCCTGGGACACTAGTGGTCCCTAAAACTGCTTTTACTTGGGGCATGGGCAGGGCATGGGCTGAGAAGGAACATCCCCCGGGCCTTGCAGTCACAGTTTCCCATGGGATGTTTTAGCGCGGTTAAGCGCTGTTTAGCGTGTTAAGGCACTGCAGCAAGAATAAGCATGCTGGGTCCTGATTCTGAAAACCTCTCTTTAAGGCACTCAGGCCTTGCGGTTCTGTTTTCTCTACACTCTCTGTGGTGCCTCTAGTACCGTGATTAAAAACAGTGGCCCCACAAACACGACCTCACCTTCAAATCCAACTCTGCCCCCTGCCGACTGACCTCCAGCACACTGCTCACGTTATCCAAACTCGGGTGTCCCCACGTTAAAGGAGTGACTATAGTACTACCTGCCAAGACACTGTCGCAAGGACAGCCCAGAACACAGGACGCACTCGAAAATGTCAGCTAAGTTTATTTTCCGCAGGATCAAACCTCACTCCTCCCACATAGGAGATGCCATCTTCTTGTTTTAAAGGCTTTATGACAAACAGGCATTCCTTTGAAGTTTAACAAATTCCTCCTGCCACCATGACAATGACGTCTAGCAACACATTCTCTGGTGAGAAAAAGGAAAGTTTAGAAAGACATTGTCAGTTGTCTCTTCCTAAGTGATATTTACCAGGACCCAAATACCAAAAAGCACAGCTCAGAAACACAGGGGCTAGGCCGGGCACAGTGGCTCACGCCTGTAATCCCATCACTTTGGGAGGCTGAGGCGGGCAGATCACCTGAGGTCAGGAGTCCGAGACCAGCCTGGACAACACAGAAAAACCCCATCTCTACTAAAAATACAAAAATTAGCCAGGCATTGTGGTGCATCCCTGTAATCCCAGCTACTTGGGAGGCTGAGGCAGGAGAATCACTTGAACCCAAGAGGCGGAGGTTGCTGTGAGCCAAGATTGTGCCATTGCACTCCAGCCTGGGCAACAGAGCGAGACCATGTCTCAAAAAATAAATAAATAAATAAAAATAAATAAATAAATACAGGGGCTTTGGCAGTGGGTCCAGGAGGCATCTGGTGAGGTCATTAGGGAGGGGTCATTACACATGGAAAGCAGCAGAGACCGTTTACTGAGTACATATTTGTTGAATGCTTTTAGGACATGAGATGAGAAGGGGGAGAAATACTCACGATGTGGAGCTGGAGGTGCGTGGGCAGCCGGTGAACAGTAATGGAACATTGACACAAGCCAGGTGGGACGAGTGTGGTGGGATGGCCTGCGAGAGGGGAGCAGAGGGGACAGGGCTGGGCAAGTACCCAGAGGCAGCCGCCTGGTGCACCTTGAGAGGTATGCATGAGAGGAACACCAGAGAGGGCCAGGGTGGGCAGGGTGGCGGTGGGCAGGAGGAGTGAGGGTGGGAGAAGGCACTGTCTGGGATGGGAGATGGGGGTCTTCGGGATTCCCTAGTGCTTTCCCTAAGAGCAGTAGGGGCGACTGAAGGCTCTGGGCCAGAGAGTGGTATAATTCAGTTGTTTTTAGATTCTGGAAAAAGAATTGGGAGCTACAGCATATTCTTTCCACTTCTGCCCTAAACTTTGTTGAGTCCCATATGCTGGGAGGCTGACCAGGTGTGGCAGTGGGAGCTGGATCTCCCTCCAGTCTTAAGGTGAGATGTAGGATGTGATTTATAGGTCAGATATGAGATGGAAAATGGCAGCCGACAGGACGTGGCTGATGAGGGAATAACCTGCTCAAAGCCTGGGACAGAAGGACTAGGAGGAAGAAATGTTGAAAGAGAGTTTCAAGGCATTTTCCAGGAGAGTATGATCTAAAGCATCTTCTCTATCTCCCCAGGTGAATGTTTGCTAGCGCTGCAGAGCCCCTCAGTCACTCAATCGGTGCAGACGGGTGGCAGAAACCACTGGAGTCATGTGAATGGGGACACTTTCCTATGAACAGTGGTTACACAGGCAAAGGCACCCGCCCCTAAAAGAAGTCAAAGACTTTTTGTCTGGAACCAAGATGGCCGAATAGGAACAGCTCCGGTCTACAGCTCCCAGCGTGAGCGACGCAGAAGACAGGTGATTTCTGCATTTCCATCTGAGGTACCGGGTTCATCTCACTAGGGAGTGCCAGACAGTGGGCGCAGGACAGTGGGTGCAGTGCGCCGTGCGCGAGCCGAAGCAGGGCGAGGCATTGCCTCACTCAGGAAGCACAAGGGGTCAAGGAGTTCCCTTTCCTAGTCAAAGAAAGGGGTGACAGACAGCACCTGGAAAATCGGGTCACTCCCACCCGAATACTGCGCTTTTCCGACGGGCTTAAAAAACGGCGCACCAGGAGATTATATCCTGCACCTGGCTTGGAGGGTCCTACGCCCACAGAGTCTCGCTGATTGCTAGCACAGCAGTCTGAGATCAAACTGCAAGGCGGCAGCGAGGCTAGGGGAGGGGCGCCCGCCATTGCCCAGGCTCGCTTAGGTAAACAAAGCAGCCAGGAAGCTCCAATTGGGTGGAGCCCACCACAGCTCAAGGAGGCCTGCCTGCCTGCCTCTGTAGGCTACACCTCTGGGGGCAGGGCACAGACAAACAAAAAGACAGCAGTAACCTCTGCAGACTTAAATGTCCCTGTCTGACAGCTTTGAGGACAGCAGTGGTTCTCCCAGCACACAGCTGGAGATCTGAGAACGGGCAGACTGCCTCCTCAAGTGGGTCCCTGACCCCTGACCCCCGAGCAGCCTAACTGGGAGGCACCCCCCAGCAGGGGCAGACTGACACCTCACACGGCCGGGTACTCCTCTGAGACAAAACTTCCAGAGGAACGATCAGACAGCAGCATTCGCGGTTCACGAAAACCACTGTTCTGCAGACACCGCTGCTGATACCCAGGCAAACAGGGTCTGGAGTGGACCTCTAGCAAACTCCAACAGACCTGCAGCTGAGGGTCCTGTCTGTTAGAAGGAAAGCTAACAAACAGAAAGGACATCCACACCAAAACCCATCTGTACATCACCATCATCAAAGACCAAAAGTAGATAAAACCACAAAGATGGGGAAAAAACAGAGCAGAAAAACGGGAAACTCTAAAAAGCAGAGCACCTCTCCTCCTCCAAAGGATCGCAGTTCCTCACCAGCAATGGAACAAAGCTGGACAGAGAATGACTTTGACGAGTTGAGAGAAGAAAGCTTCAGACGATCAAACTACGAGCTACAGGAGGAAATTCAAACCGAAGGCAAAGAAGTTAAAAACTTTGAAAAAAATTTAGACGAATGTATAACTAGAATAACCAATACAGACAAGTGCTTAAAGGAGCAGATGGAGCTGAAAGCCAAGACTCGAGAATTACGTGAAGAATGCAGAAGCCTCAGGAGCCGATGCAATCAACTGGAAGAAAGGGTATCAGCGATGGAAGATGAAATGAATGAAATGAAGCGAGAAGGGAAGTTTAGAGAAAAAAGAATAAAAAGAAATGAACAAAGCCTCCAAGAAATATGGGACTATGTGAAAAGACCAAATCTACGTCTGATTGGTGTACCTGAAAGTGACGGGGAGAATGGAACCAAGTTGGAAAACACTCTGCAGGATATTATCCAGGAGAACTTCCCCAATCTAGCAAGGCAGGCCAACGTTCAGATTCAGGAAATACAGAGAACACCACAAAGATACTCCTCGAGAAGAGCACCTCCAAGACACATAATTGTCAGATTCACCAAAGTTGAAATGAAGGAAAAAATGTTAAGGGCAGCCAGAGAGAAAGGTCGGGTTACCCACAAAGCGAAGCCCATCAGACTAACAGCGGATCTCTCGGCAGAAACTGCAAGCCAGAAGAGAGTGGGGGCCAATATTCAACATTCTCAAAGAAAAGAATTTTCAACCCAGAATTTCATATCCAGCCAAACTAAGCTTCATAAGTGAAGGAGAAATAAAATACTTTACAGACAAGCAAATGCTGAGAGATTTTGTCACCACCAGGCCTGCCCTAAAAGAGCTCCTGAAGGAAGCACTAAACATGGAAAGGAACAACTGGTACCAGCCGCTGCAAAATCATGCCAAAATGTAAAGACCATCCAGACTAGGAAGAAACTGCATCAACTAACGAGCAAAATAACCAGCTAACATCATAATGAGAGGATCAAATTCACACATAACAATATTAACTTTAAATGTAAATGGACTAAATGCTCCAATTAAAAGACACAGACTGGCAAATTGGATAAAGAGTCAAGATCCATCAGTGTGTTGTATTCAGGAAACCCACCTCACATGCAGAGACACACATAGGCTCAAAATAAAAGGATGGAGGAAGATCTACCAAGCAAGTGGAAAACAAAAAAAGGCAGGGGTTGCAATCCTAGTCTCTGATAAAACAGACTTTAAACCAACAAAGATCAAAAGAGACAAAGAAGGCCATTACACAATGGTAAAGGGATCAATTCAACAAGAAGAGCTAACTATCCTAAATATATATGCACCCAATACAGGAGCACCCAGATTCATAAAGCAAGTCCTGAGTGACGTACAAAGAGACTTAGACTCCCACACATTAATAATGGGAGACTTTAACACCCCACTGTCAACATTAGACAGATCAACGAGACAGAAAGTCAACAAGGATACCCAGGAATTGAACTCAGCTCTCCACCAAGCAGACCTAATAGACATCTACAAAACTCTCCACCCCAAATCAACAGAATATACATTTTTTTCAGCACCACACCACACCTATTCCAAAATTGACCACATATTTGGAAGTAAAGCTCTCTTCAGCAAATGTAAAAGAACAGAAATTATAACAAACTGTCTCTCAGACCACAGTGCAATCAAACTAGAACTCAGGATTAAGAATCTCACTCAAAACCGCTCAACTACATGGAAACTGAACAACCTGCTCCTGAATGACTACTGGGTACATAACGAAATGAAGGCAGAAATAAAGATGTTCTTTGAAACCAACGAGAACAAAGACACAACATACCAGAATCTCTGGGATGCATTCAAAGCAGTGTGTACAGGGAAATTTATAGCACTAAATGCCCACAAGAGAAAGCAGGAAAGATCCAAAATTGACACCCTAACATCACAATTAAAAGAACTAGATAAGCAAGAGCAAACACATTCAAAAGCTAGCAGAAGGCAAGAAATAACTAAAATCAGAGCAGAACTGAAGGAAATAGAGACACAAAAAACCCTTCAAAACATTAATGAATCCAGGAGCTGGTTTTTTGAAAGAATCAACAAAATTGATAGACCGCTAGCAAGACTAATAAAGAAAAAAAGAGAGAATCAAATAGACGCAATAAAAAATGATAAAGGGGATATCACCACCGATCCCACAGAAATACAAACTACCATCAGAGAATACTACAAGCACCTCTACGCAATTAAACTAGAAAATCTAGAAGAAATGGATAAATTCCTCGACACATACACTCTCCCAAGACTAAACCAGGAAGAAGTTGAATCTCTGAATAGACCAATAACAGGAGCTGAAATTGTGGCAATAATCAATAGCTTACCAACCAAAAAGAGTCCAGGACCAGATGGATTCACAGCCGAATTCTACCAGAGGTACAAGGATGAACTGATACCATTCCTTCTGAAACTATTCCAATCAATAGAAAAAGAGGGAATCCTCCCTAACTCATTTTATGAGGCCAGCATCATCCTGATACCAAAGCCGGGCAGAGACACAACCAAAAAAGAGAATTTTAGACCAATATCCCTGATGAACATCGATGCAAAAATCCTCAATAAAATACTGGCAAACGGAATCCAGCAGCACATCAAAAAGCTTATCCACCATGATCAAGTGGGCTTCATCCCTGGGATGCAAGGCTGGTTCAATATACACAAATCAATAAATGTAATCCAGCATATAAACAGAACCAAAGACAAAAACCACAAGATTATCTCAATAGATGCAGAAAAGGCCTTTGACAAAATTCAACAACCCTTCATGCTAAAATCTCTCAATAAATTAGGTATTGATGGGACATATCTCAAAATAATAAGAGCTATCTATGACAAACCCACAGCCAATATCATACTGAATGGGCAAAAACTGGAAGCATTCCCTTTGAAAACTGGCACAAGACAGGGATGCCCTCTCTCACCACTCCTATTCAACATAGTGTTGGAAGTTCTGGCCAGGGCAGTTAGGCAGGAGAAGGAAATAAAGGGTATTCAATTAGGAAAAGAGGAAGTCAAATTGTCCCTGTTTGCAGACGACATGATTGTATATCTAGATAACCCCATTGTCTCAGCCAAAAATCTCCTTAAGCTGATAAGCAACTTCAACAAAGTCTCAGGATACAAAATCAATGTACAAAAATCACAAGCATTCTTATACACCAATAACAGACAAACAGAGAGCCAAATCATGAGTGAACTCCCATTCACAATTGCTTCAAACAGAATAAAATACCTAGGAATCCACCTTACAAGGGACGTGAAGGACCTCTTCAAGGAGAACTACAAACCACTGCTCAATGAAATGAAAGAGGATACAAACAAATGGAAGAACATTCCATGCTCCTGGGTAGGAAGAATCAGTATCGTGAAAATGGCCACACTGCCCAAGGTAATTTATAGATTCAATGCCATCCCCATCAAGCTACCAATGACTTTCTTCAGAGAATTGGAAAAAACTACTTTAAAGTTCATATGGAACCAAAAAAGAGCCTGCATCGCCAAGTCAATCCTAAGCCAAAAGAACAAAGCTGGAGGCATCACGCTACCTGACTTCAAACTATACTACAAGGCTACAGTAACCAAAACAGCATGGTACTGGTACCAAAACAGAGATATAGATCAATGGAACAGAACAGAGCCCTCAGAAATAACGCCGCATATCTACAACTATCTGATCTTTGACAAACCTGAGAAAAACAAGCAATGGGGAAAGGATTCCCTATTTAATAAATGGTGCTGGGAAAACTGGCTAGCCATATGTAGAAAGCTGAAACTAGATCCCTTCCTTACACCTTATACAAAAATCAATTCAAGATGCATTAAAGACTTAAACGTTAGACCTAAAACCATAAAAACCCTAGAAGAAAACCTAGGCATTACCATTCAGGACATAGGCACGGGCAAGGACTTCATGTCTAAAACACCAAAAGCAATGGCAACAAAAGCCAAAATAGACAAATGGGATCTAATTAAACTAAAGAGCTTCTGCACAGCAAAAGAAACTACCATCAGAGTGAACAGGCAACCCACAATATGGGAGAAAATTTTCGCAACCTACTCATCTGACAAAGGGCTAATATCCAGAATCTACAATGAACTCCAACAAATTTACAAGAAAAAAACAACCCCATCAAAAAGTGGGCAAAGGACATGAACAGACAGTCTCAAAAGAAGACATTTATGCAGCCAAAAAACACATGAAAAAATGCTCACCATCACTGGCCATCAGAGAAATGCAAATCAAAACCACAATGAGATACCATCTCACACCAGTTAGAATGGCAATCATTAAAAAGTCAGGAAACAACAGGTGCTGGAGAGGATGTGGAGAAATAGGAACACTTTTACACTGTTGGTGGGACTGTAAACCAGTTCAGCCATTGTGGAAGTCAGTGTGGTGATTCCTCAGAGATCTAGAACTAGAAATACCATTTGACCCAGCAATCCCATTACTGGTTATATACCCAAAGGACTATAAATCATGCTGCTATAAAGACACACGCACACATATGTTTATTGTGGCACTATTCACAATAGCAAAGACTTGGAACCAAGCCAAATGTCCAACAATGATAGACTGGATTAAGAAAATGTGGCACATATACACCATGGAATACTATGCAGCCATAAAAAATGATGAGTTCACGTCCTTTGTAGAGACATGGATGAAACTGGAAATCATCATTCTCAGTAAACTATCACAAGAACAAAAAACCAAACACTGCGTATTCTCACTCATAGGTGGGAATTGAACAATGAGAACACATGGACACAGGAAGGGGAACATCACACTCTGGGGACTGTTGTGGGGTGGGGGGAGGGGGGGAGGGATAGCATTGGGAGATATACCTAATGCTAGATGACGAGTTAGTGGGTGCAGCGCACCAGCATGTCACGTGTATACATATGTAACTAACCTGCACATTGTCACATGTACCCTAAAACTTAAAGTATAAAAAAAAAAAAAAAAGAAGTCAAAGAGGGCTATCAGGTGTAACAGGCAACCATGTCAAGTGATTGCCAGCCCTGGGGCAGTGAGGAAAGGGCTGAGATTTTCCATTGTTTGATTTATTTCGAGAGAACCTGTCATTGCTGAAGCATTTTTAATGGCAGATACTTTAGAGCCCTTGTCAGATAATTCCAACATCTGATAGTTGGGTCTTGGCAGCAGCTGATCGTGGTGCTCATGCTGGTGGTGATCTCTGCACTCTTGGAAGGATGGTGAGTTTTCAGTTGTTTGGTGGACGTTCTGCCTGTCATGTTAGGTGACCTGGGTCCCCTGTGACTCTTTTGCTTTAGAAGGCAGTGACCTGTTTAGGTTTGGCACATGGGTCCTGGCCCATCTTGCAGGCTGTGGTTCTACTGGCATCTAATTTCCAGAGTCGCTGCTGTGTTGTTCTCTCCTGCTTGGTTTCTCGGGGGTCCTTGTGGCTCTCAGGATCCCTCCTGATGCAGGCTGAGGGGCAGACGGAGTTTCCCCAGGCTCTGCCCTGAGTGTCTCCCAGTGGGGCCCAAGGCTCAGGCTGTCTGAAGAAGAGGCTTGGATCCCCTGCAGGTGCCCACCAACCAGATATTTCTGGGTGGGGAGGAGGGGCTGTCAGTACACAAGGAGGGGAGCCACCCTGGGGCCACTTATGCGGACAGGGCTTCAGGTCCCTCCTCCGTCAGGTGGCGTCAGGCTGGCCTGGTATTGCCAGAGGGCCCTGTTCCATCAGAGCGGGAGCAAGCCTAGCTGGCTGCCATGGGTGCTAGGCTGGGGTCACCTTCTGTTGGTCTTGGGGCCATAAAGCACCCTGTTGCTGTGCCTTCCTTCTCCCCCTGGGGTCCCAAAACCAGCCCGCCTTCCTCTGAACACCTTTCGGAGTTCTGGTTGCCTCTGAGCCTGGTTTCTGGTTGTGCTTTGAGCAGCAGGGAGGGGCCTGCCCATCTAATTGGGACCAGCAGTGAGAGGGGGTTTCTGTGTCCCTGAGGAGAAGGATGCAGTGTGAGGGGAAGGTGGGCTGTCTGGAAATGCTTGTGGAATGAAGGAAGTGTTCAGGTACTGGAGAGATGCAGGTGCGGCTTGTGGATAGAGGCTGCCTAACTTAGGGAACTACCTCGCTGTAGGTGTGTTTGGGGAAAGTGAGTTTCCTGGATACTGATGGGGACAGACACAATCAGCCTCTTGTGGTCTCCCAGGATTTGGCTCAGTGGCTACAACACATCATTGCACACTTGAATACGGCGAGACCTGAATGCCTTTAGCCCAAGACCCTTTTATTACCTTTCCTTTATGCATCCTATAATTTGAACTATTGTCTCCACCAAATTATTCCTTCCCAGCATTTCTGGAGAAAGAAATGTAATGAAATATTATTCAGTAAAATCCCACAGTAAACAAGAACACACAGTGCTAACTTAGTCCTGGTGTTCATCAGTTATTATTGCTCTAAGAAGACAAAGGTGGCCCCTAATATGCAGGAGCTGGCCCGGTGCCCACAGCTGGGCCTTGGTCTCTCCTGATGAACATAAACAGTTCACTGAACAGGAACGGTCAGGGAAGCCACTTGGTGAGTGTGACGGAATAAGACAAGAACAAGACTGGCCAGGCGCGGTGGTTCACACCTGTAATCCCAGCACTTTGGGAGGCCGAGGCGGGTGGATCACAAGGTCAGGCGATCGAGACCATCCTAGCTAACATGGTGAAACCCCGTCTCTACTAAAATTACAAAAAAATTAGTCGGGCGCGGTGGCAGGTGCCTGTAGTCCCAGCTACTTGGGAGGCTGAGGCAGGAGAATGGCGTGAACCTGGGAGGTGGAGCTTGCAGTGAGCCGAGATCATGCTACTGCACTCCAGCTTGGGTGACAGAGCGAGACTCTGTCTCAAAAAAAAAAAAAAAAAAAGAACAAGACCATTATGTCATTAGGTCTGAACACAGACAAGGCAAGAACATGGTTCAAACCATAAAAGTGACTTAATATCCCCCTCTCCCAGCTCATGCTAGTGAGTGCTGCTGCTTTATAGTTAAAAGCCTGCTGCCTGGCTCTGGTCTGCCTTCTTCCAGGTAAGATTAACCCACGCATCGCATAGCATCCCCTTCTTCCAAACACCAACCAAATCTGGAGCAAAGCCCCACTTCCTTGAACGCTCTCCCCAGATCACCCGACATGCCCCAGTTCTGTAATGAGTCCTGGCAAACCCCCTCGGCCTGAGACACCCCACAGTTCCCGCTGGTGTGCCCTGCGTGTAGTCTCTCTCCCTCCAACAAATAGTAAATCCAACTCGTTCAACTATAGGCCTGATCCTGAGGTCTTTGGCTGGAGGACGTTTTCACTTATAGGATTCATAGGCTAATTTCCAGAGCTCTTTTGAAATTGGTAAAAGAGTTTACATTTTCCACCTTACCTGGCCACCAGGCTCCTGATGGCATAATGTCAGGATTAAACCTTAGGATTTAAAGTCTATGATTCTGGAACACTCAGGATTTTAACTTTCCAGCTCAGGACATCCTTGCATTTTTTTATGGTGTCTGGTTAAGACTAGCAGTGACTTCATGAAGGTGGAAATCATGCATTCTTCATTCATTAATCTGATGATTTCACTACTGACAAATGAAAATTACCCAGGCCTTTCAACTTCCCTTCCCAGCTCTCCTGCTGTTTGACCAAAAGACACACATTCTACTGATTTTCAATGACTATTTATCTGCACTGAAAGAACATTTTTCAGAAAACAGAAAGAGACATGATAATGGGTATTTACCACTGGTATGTTCATAGAACGGCCCCAAAATTGTTAACTTCACATGCATATTAGCATAAAACAAAATAATAAATAGGTAAAATTTACTTTAAATTTCTGTTTACAGATTTTTAACAAAATGGCACGGAAAGGGGCTTCCAAGCCAGAAAGCCTTGGCACATCAGGTGAGCCTTTGACACACTGCCTGAGCAGCCTACGGGCTGTCCCATCTGGAACTGGTGCTAGAGTTAGGGAAGCTTCAGGAAGAGACCGTGGGATCTACGCAGCTGTTCTGTTTTTCCTTCCTGAGAGTGTGAGGCCGGGAGGAGACATCATCTGAACGTGCACTTCCTTTCTTTCTTTCTTTTTGAGACAGAGTCTCACTCTGTCACCCAGGCTGGAGCATAGTGGCGTGATCTCGGCTCACTGCAACCTCTGCCTCCCAGGTTCAAATGATTCTCCTGCCTCAGCCTCCTGAGTAGCTGGGATTTCAGGTGCCCACCACCACGCCCAGCAAATTTTTTGTACTTTTAGTACAGATGGGGTTTCACCATGTTGGCCAGGCTGGTCTCAAACTCCTGACCTCAGGTGATCTGCCCACCTCAGTCTCCCAAAGGTGTGAGCCACCACGCCCAGCCTGATTGTGCACTTTCTACAAGTGCAAGACCCGGCCCTCCTGGACTTCATGGTTGTGGTCTGTGCTCTTTGTATATCACAAATTTGAAGGCCTTTAGCCTAAGACCCTTTTATTACCTTTCCTTTATGCATCTTATAATTTGAAATATCATCTCCACCAAATTATTGTGTAATTATATAATTGCCACTTTAACTACTTCACACGTCAATAAATTTAAAAAGCCTTTAAGTGTGTATTTTTGATATGATAAAATTGTGATAGGGTTCTGGAAACTGTGTTCTTCAGATTTGGTGGAGGGGCTTGGGAAAAGGTAGGGCAATAGGTATTTTTTAAAAAGAAAGAAACTAAAAAACTTAAGTTGTTTATTTGAAATTCAAAATTGTCACTGCGTATCCAGTGTTATCTGCCCACCTGAGAGGAGGTAGAGTGGGAAGGTCATCACAAAAGAACCCGAAAAGCTGGGCAGGGGAAAGGGGTGTTCTGCATTAAGGAAGGCTTGCTCTGTAATAGGATCCAAAGTGTGTGATTCCTGACTGCCCTGCAAGTGGCTTGGAGGCTTTGGGCATCTCTCTTGGAAAATAGAAACTTCATGGATGGCTAAAAGAGACATGATAACAGTGTACATGGCAGAAGATCCTCTGCTGATGGGTTCTAGAGAGTCACTGATTCCTTAGGAAGATCTAGTTACAGGCAAGAGCCTTGAATAATCATGAGTCTGGGCCAGTCAAAGGAGGCAAATGCCCCACCTGGGAAAGGTGGCTCTCTCTAATCCAGGTGGTGTTCTGGAAGAAAAGGGAAATAAAAGGCCTGTGTCCTGCTTCTCCACCCGGAGGACTCTGCTCAGCCCTTAGGTCTTCTGAAGGGCTCTCCTGGAAGCCTACTGCAGCTGCAGGCTTGCAGCACCAGTTGCGGATAAGGGAAGATGGAGGTTGACAGAGGGGCCTGCCTCCTCTTACTTTCCCTGCCCTGGCCTGAGTCCTGTGGTTCGTGACTGTGCTGTCTTTAGTGGGAGCTTGCCAAGCCCAGCAGTGTCCTGGTGTGGATGAGAAATTACACACTCATCCTATTCTTAGCTCAGGGGCCTCTGTGCATTGAACTGGTTGCATCAGCTTCATTTTTACTGCAAAACCACCCTTTACGATAGGTCGGAAGTATGATTCTGGCAGACAAAGTGAGGACAAGAGGACAAATGGGGCCAAAAGGAAGCAAGGTTGGGATAGTGGGTGGAGTGACTTCTAGGGATTGGGAGGAAAGTCCCTACCCTTCCCTCCATGGGTCTCCTGACCTGAGCAGGCTCTGGGAGGACAGGGCTGCTCGAGCCACCCTGAGAACCTCCCAGGCTGAGAGGATTCCAGGACGCCCACTCTGGAGATACTGAGACCAGCTCTGGGGAACACGGTGCCAGCTTGAGTGCACCCTGGGCCTGCAGCATGGAGAAGAATTTAGCATCCCAAGCCCCCACCCCTGAGATGCTTCAGGTGGGGCAAAGTGGCTGCAGCAGCCTAAACTTTAGGTTGTCAGAGTGATACGGAGCTGCACAAGGCCAGGCACTGAGTGAGTGCCCTGAAAGTGCTGGTGGGGGAAATATGTGAGTTCAAACTACCCTTGAAATTTCAGATACTTGTCATCTGTAAATTATGAAAACGTGCTCCTTACTTTCTTAGCAATAGTGTTGCTTTTACATATACGTGCATTCCTCTCCTGTGGCTACTGTAAAAGTTACCACGAACTCGGTGGCTTCAAACAGTGGGAATGTATAGTTCTGGTGGTCAGAAGTCTAAACTGAGTCTTATGGGAACAAAACCGAGGTGTCTGCAGGGCAGGGCTGGTTCTAACTGAGGCTCTAGGGAGAATCGCTTCCTTGCCTTTTCAGCTTCCAGAGCCGCCTGCGTCCCGTGGCTCCTGGCCCCTTCCTTGCATCACATCACCTTCCCCCCGACTGTGTCATCACACTGCCTTTCCCTACTGTCATCAAGTCCCCTGTGCCTTTCTCTTATAGGAAAATTTATGATTACATTTAGGGCCCGCCTGGATGGCCCAAGATAATCTCCCCAACTCAAAGTTCTTAATCACATCTGCAGAATCCCTTTTGCCTTCCAAGTCACCATATCACAGGTTCCAGGGACCAGATGGTGGAGGTCCTGGGGGGCCACTATTCAGTGGACCACACTGCCCTTTTCTCAGATTGAACTGGTGGCCTTGTCTGTCCCTCTTCCCCGACAGGTAAAGGGATTCAGGGTCTCTGCTCTTCACGACGTCATCCATAGAGAGTCTCTCTCATATACATCTAAGGTGATCTTCAAAATAACCCACGAACCAGGGATCATTTACAAACGGGAAATTGGGAAGAAAACTAACATTTACAGAGTTAAATAATTCAAATTTTAGTTAAACACTGCTATATACAGCCCCATTATTGCTTCATTTGACCCTCCTGCCATCTGGGAAGTATCTGTTTTTACTCCTATTTTGAAAGTAGAAAACCTGAAATAGTGAGGTCATGTAACTGATCTAACACTGCAGGTCTTGGAAATTAGAAAACCTGAAATTAGTGAGGTCATGTAATTGCTCTAAGACAGCAGAGCCAGAAGTAAAGGCACTGAAGTTTAAAGCAGACCTGTGATTTCCAACCCTTAGCTCTTCCCTGTCCCATTTTCCCCTGTCCATCACTCCCTCTGCACAGTCCTGCAATGGTCTGAGAATGGTGGCCAGTGCTGCAGGAGACCCATGGGTGTGCCTTTGGGGTGTGCATTGACAGTTTTCTTTGAATGCTTCTAGAACCACAAAATATCAGGGCAGAAAGGCATCTCAGAGAAAACCTACCCCAAATAACTTCTCAAACTTCAATGCACAGAACTATCTGGCTGCTTATAAAAAAACAAGAGTCTGTAAGCCCCATTCCCAGAAATTTTAATTTAATAGGTCTGCACTTGAGGCCCAGGCAGGTTTTTTTTGTTTGTTTGTTTGTTTGTTTTTTGTTTTTTGTTTTTTTTTTTTTGAGATGGAATCTTGCTCCATTGCCCAGGCTGGAGTACAGTGGTGCGATCTCAGCTCACTGAAACCTTGCCTCTAGGTTCAAGTGATTCTCCCACCTCAGCCCCCCGAGTAGCTGGGACTGTACAGGTGCATGCTACCATACCCGGCTAACTTTTTGTATTTTTAATACAGACGGGGTTTCACTGTGTTAGCCAGGATGGTCTCGATCTCCTGACCTCGTGATTCACCCTCCCAAAGTGCTGGGATTACAGGTATGAGTTATCCGCCTGGCGCATCTACATTTTTAACATGCCCCAAAGCTAGTTTTGAAACAATTTAACAGGAAAGAAAGGGTGAGAGGGGTGCATTTGTCCTTTCTCACACTGCTGTAAACATATTACCTGAGACTGGGTAATTTATAAACGAAAGGGGTTTAATTGACTCACCGTTCCACATGGCTGGGGAGGCCTCAGGAAACTTACAATTATGCAGAAGGCAAAGGGGAAGTAAGCACCTTCTTCACAAGGCAGCAAGAGAGAGAGAGCACAGGGGAAACTGCCATTTTTAAAATCAGATCTCATGAGAACTCACTCACTATCACAAGAACAGCATTGGAAGTGATCCAATCACCTCCCTCCCTCGACACGTGGGGATTACAATTTGAGATGAGATTTGGGTGAGGACACAGAGTCAAACCATATCAAGGGGTAATACATTTTCTCTAGAATGTAGCATTAGCCTTTCTTTTTGAGGAACATGTTTGTGTGTTATGGAAGTTAATCACGGTGGGCCACATCATTGGAAAACAGCAAATACTGCTTTCTGGTTTTTGGCCGATTAGGTCAGGTGAAGAAGTTTGGCAATCTGGCTCTGATTTGTGTGAGAGATACCAGTGAAAGGTGGATTTCATATTGTGAGATGAAACATCTGGAGAGGACTAGAGTCTAACTTGTGCATCAGCTGGAAAGAAAGACTGAGGGGTCATGGGAACTTGCACATTACGATCCACGTAACTGCACTTGCCAGAATGTAGGATCAATCTGCTGCTGAAGAATATCCTAAATCAGAGAGTAGATAGGAACCAGAGGCCGTAAACTCACCAGAGATGTTAGTGCGGCCTTGAGGTTAACTGCTGCTTGGAACACAGAGACGTGATGCACTGAAACTAAATCTGGGCTGAGGGAAAGCATGTCCACACCAGGTGCCCAGACATCTGGTTGGCTTTGGCTGATTTGTCCTGCAGGCACCTGCCTTGTCTGGATTTGCACACTTTCCAAGTTGCCCATTACCCTGTGCATTTCCCAAGCTGCCTTCCCTGGCTCTGATGTACGATGAACCTGCTTGAGTGGCATATTTATCATAGTGCAATCAAGAGGCATGAGCCATGATTGATGACATATCATAAATGGGAACATGCATATCATCACACTGGGATCTGACTTAGCAGTTCATTTGGCCTTACTATAAGCTGATTTCTTGAAAGAGCTCAGATTCCTGGCTCAGAATGCCTTTGATAGAAGAGTGTGTTCTCAATGGAAGGGAAGCAATAGTTATAATTTTTTCTCAGTGGACCAGTTCTCAAGTGAAGGCAGAATTTTAACCAGTGTTCAGCGTCTTCCATTAAAATCCCCAGCTCTCCATTTTTCAGTGTGAAAAAATCCAGGCCAGGGTTTCTGCAGACAGTAATTTTTGATGGCAGGGTCAGCAAATTGGACTAAGTGTATGTACTGTGATCTCCATAAAAGGGAATTACTGAATTTTCTGTCCACTTAGCAGCGTCTTTTGTTAATGATGGGCAAGAAGCTTGTATTATTTATGGAGCACTTTGACATCTCAGCAGTTTATGGAGTATATATGAAGAATGGGAGCACTTTATCTTCTAATAAAATGTTGCATAACAACTTTAGTACTGAACTTTTTTAAAGAAGGAATCATGGATTATCCTGCAGCCAAGTATTAACAGAAAGGACATACTGTGATCTCACATTCAAACTACTTCAAAGATAAGGAGATTTATTTTGCCCATTACAATTTTCTCCCAGAGCAAATAACCATTTTTATTAAAATGCTGTAAGTTCATCCAGGTAGGATTTGGGTGAAGATAATTTGGGACAAGCCACTGTGTACTGGTAATGAAAACAGAAATGAATTCAAGCTTCTAATGGAAAAGTGACAAGCAAATAAATTAATCTCCAGGTTATTCAATTTTAGAAAGTGATATAAGATGTAAGATATAACTAAAAACTGAAAAGGAAAGTTAAAACAGTCTCCAGGTTTCCATATGGATGATTTGTAATTAAAATGATACTGGAGGGGAGTCCAGGACACATCTGAATATCGAGCTTTGCCCACAACCTTTCTGATTGCTGTTTCTTAGGTGTTTACTGCAGTGCTTCTTTCTCCATTTCTGCATAAGTGTGGACAAAATTCACATGTGCCTATTACTAGTATCAAGGGCACACACGGCCAGGCGTGGTGGCTCACGCCTGTAATCCCAGCACTTTTGGAGGCTGAGGAGGGGGGATCAGGAGATCGAGACCATCCTGGCTAACACGGTGAAACTCTGTCTCTACTAAAAAAAAAAAAAAAAAAAAAAAAAAAAATTAGCCCGGCATGGTGGCAGGCGCCTGTAGTCCTAGCTACTCAAGAGGCTGAGGCAGGAGAATGGCGTGAACCCGGGAGGCAGAGCTTGCAGTGAGCCAAGATCCCGCCATCGCACTCCAGCCTGGGCGACACAGTGAGACTCTGTCTCAAAAAATATAAATAAATAAAATAAAATAATAAAGGGCACACACTGTGCTTGCTGCCTGAGACTGGCCAAGGGGTCTCTTAGTTTTGTCTGTTACTTAAATTATCAACTCCACCTAACTACAGGAAACACAGAAATGGTGTGTTGCAGTCCGGACACTGTGAGCAGCATGAAATTCTATCTCGGTGTCTAGGAAATGGGGTAGGGAAGGGCCAGTCCAGGGCACAGGTAAGAATAGACTTTTGCCTCTGAGCTCTCCCACCTTTCTCTTTCTCCTTATGAGTTGCTCTTTACCCTAGGATTTCCAGACACTCATGCTATTCTTTAGTCCTAAAAATTCCTCCTCAAAGTCTTGCTTTTCTCAAAATGCCTTATGCCCCATAGTTACCATGTGAGCTTCCTCCCACGTCCTTGGTCCCGCTTCCCTCCTGTGGGCAGCTTAGTCAGTGTGCCCTTCCCTCCACACGCCCAGAGGGCTGGCTCCTGCAGGCAGCACCTTTGCAATGGCCTCCAAAACAGACTTGAGACAAGCGCATAAAAGGGAGGAGGAAGCAGCGCTCCTGTAGGTCTCCTGGCTCTTGCTCCAGCAGGATGGCACAGGAAGACACATGAGGTCTTTTTTCTTAACTCAGATGTTCAGATCAGAACTCTTGTCTGGAGCCAATGAGCTGAGCCCCTGGGGAGCCAGGACTGATCCTGGTTTTAAGGCAGTTAATGTTCCCTATTCTTGCCTCCAGGTGTTTTTGAAATCCTCCCTACCCAGATAGGCACAAAAATAGATTATGTGTCTGGCTGCAAAGAAAAGCTATGCACATTCCTAAAAGCAAAAATGATACAAGCCATATTTCCTTCCATAAAACAAATAAACTAAAAATAAAGAATGAAAGGATAGCAAAAAAGAAAATAATTTATCAATAGATGCAGTTTTCAACAGATTACATAGAAATAGCAACAGAGAGAATCAGTGAGGTAGACATTAGCACTGAGAAATCACTCAGATTACAGCAGATATATAAAAAATGGCGACTGGGAATGATCATTTAGGAGGAATTAATGATAGAATGCACAATCTGTAAGAGTTCTAGGAGAGAAAGAATGGAGAGGAGGTATTTGGAGCTAACAGCTGAAAATTTTCCATAATTGAAAAATGTAATCAAATCAAAGAAAAAACAACCTAAAGAAAGTAGAAGCAATATAATAAGATTTAAACAAAATGATTTAGCAGCTAAAATTCACAGATTTCATCACTAAAATAAAAAGACAGTTCTTTGCAATGAAAAGAGCATTTAAAAATATTTTGTAATATAATATAAATACAAATATAATTTTAAAAGCAAGCTGGTATAAATATATAAATATATTTAAAATATAAGATATTAAATTAATATATTTCAATGTCTAGATTAAATGGACAGTTTTTGAGAACACTATAAATTATCATTTTTAACTTAATAAGAAACAAAATTCAAACAGTCAAAAGCATCTAAACCAAATTTAAAAGATAATAAAAAGAAAAAAATCTATCCATAATAATGAAACCAAGTTCAGGGATTTTCTTGAGTTAATAAATTTTATGAAACTTTAGCTCATAGATTAGATTATCCCTGTGTGATACAGACTTTGCTGTAGCATCAAACAATATGGGAAGGCTGCTACCTTATTCTGTGAGGCTAGTATAAAACTAACACCACAACTAGACAAAGCTGACACAAAACTAAATGAGATCAGCCAATCTCACTAACACAGAGAGCTGCAGAAATTAAACCCCAAAAAATCTTAGCAAATTTCACAGAATAATGATTTTTAAAAATGTGTGTGTCTTGTAAAATCAAGACTTAGATATGCAAACATGATTCAATAGTTTCAAAATCTATTAATTCAATTCTGTATGTCTTCAGATTAAAAGAGGAAAACAAGATCATCTCAATCAATATCAAGAAAGCATTTGCTAAAACCAACATCCTGATTACATTTCTGATAAAAATGTAAACAAAGCAAAACAGTGAAGTTAGAAATAAAAGAAAACTTTCTTAATTTTGTATAAGAGAGATCTAGAAAACTGGAGCAAACATAATAGCTAATGGCAAAATATCATAAATATTCATGTTAAAATTATACACAAGAAAAGGACACCTACTAGCACCACTTTTATGCAAACAGTGAATAAGAAATCTTAGCAGTAAATACAGAAACATTGTACAGACAGCATGAAGAAAAGACAAAACTGCCATTTTAAAAAGTTTTATCTGATAATCTACCCCAAAATTTCACAGAATTAACTGATAAACTATATTAACTAGTAAGGTGGTCTGATATAAAATAAACATTTAAAAATACTTACTAACAATAACCAATTAGAAAACATGATAGAAAGAAACAAATGCCATTACCAATTGTTTAAATGCACACAAAACCCCAAAGAAGAACTTTTATTATCTAAATGGAACCTCTTCTAGCATTACAGAGACCCCAATATCTAACAACTCCCTTAGCAACGTGACGTTCCAGGTGGTTCCAGGCAGGTGTGGAGGCTCTAGGTGCACAGGTGAGCAGCGACTCTGCCATCTTTTATACCCTGCTTCCAAGGCTATCATGGAGTTGCAATCCTGGTTAGCCAGAGAGGAGGAAAGCATGGAAGAGTGTGTATGTAAGGTTGTTATGGGGTGGCCTGGAAGTGGCATTCATGTATTTCAGGGCTCATCTGTGGCATCACACCTTCTTAAGGTCACTGGTTTGATACTGATTAGGGTAGAATCAGCTGTAGTAACAGACTCAAACGTGTAACAACTCCATCCAAGAGCAGTTCATGTTTCACTCATCCAAAAGCCCAGGGCAGCAGTCCAGAGGGGGAGGTTGGGACTCTGCTCCACTGCATCATTCAGGGACACAGGGGTTCTGTCACCTTCCACAGGTTTCTCCCAAGATCACCCTGGGAGTTGTCATCCAAGGCAGGAAGGAAAGAGAGCTTAGAGAAAGTGTGGGATGGTTTTAAGGTCCTGGCTTGGAAGTAACATCCATCACTTCTGCTCAAATTCCACTAACTACAACCTCAGTCATATGACCCCAACTAATTGCAAGGGAAGCTGGGAAGGGAATCTAACTGCTTGCACAAAGAAAAGGGTTGATTAAATTTTGAAGAGTTGCCAGCAAATTCTACCATAAACCTGACAAAGAGTATACAAGTCTGATGTGAATAAAATTGTAAACTTTGTTGAAGAATGTTAAAAAAAAAAAAATAAGAGGAGACATACCCTATACCTACACTGAAAGATACAGTCATGGAAAATGTAAATTATCTCCAGGTTAATCTATACATCTCATGAAAAACTGGATCCCTTCCTTACCCCTTATACAAAAATTAATTCAAGATGGATTAAAGACTTAAATGTCAGACCTAAAACCATAAAAACCCTAGAAGAAAACCTAGGCAATACCATTCAGGACATAGGCATGGGCAAGGACTTCATGTCTAAAACACCAAAAGCAATGGCAACAAAAGCCAAAATTGACAAATGGGATCTAATTAAACTAAAGAGCTTCTGCACAGCAAAAGAAAGTACCGTCAGAGCGAATACGCAACCTACAGAATGGGAGAAAATTTTTGCAATCTCCTCATCTGACAAAGGGCTAATATCCAGAATCTACAATGAACTCCAACAAATTTACAAAAAAAAACAAACAAACCACCCCATCAAAAAGTGGGCAAAGGATATGAACAGACACTTCTCAAAAGAAGACATTTATGCAGCCAAAAGACACATGAAAAAATGCTCACCATCACTGGCCATCAGAGAAATGCAAATCAAAACCACAATGAGGTACCATCTCACACCAGTTAGAATGGCGATCATTAAAAAGTCAGGAAACAACAGGTGCTGGAGAGGCTGTGGAGAAATAGGAACACTTTTACACTGTTGGTGGGACTGTAAACCAGTTCAACCATTGTGGAAGTCAGTGTGGCGATTCCTCAGAGATCTAGAACTAGAAATACCATTTGACCCAGCCATCCCATTACTGGGTATATACCCAAAGGATTATAAATCATGCTGCTATAAAGACACATGCACACATATGTTTATTGCAGCACTATTCACAATAGCAAAGACTTGGAACCAATCCAAATGTCCAACAATGATAGACTGGATTAAGAAAATGTGGCACATATACACCAGGGAATACTACGCAGCCATAAAAAATGATGATTTCATGTCCTTTGTAGGGACATGGATGAAGCTGGAAACTATCATTCTCAGCAAACTATTACAAGGACAAAAAACCAAACACCACATGTTCTCACTCACAGGTGGGAATTGAACAATGAGAACACATGGACACAGGAAGGGGAACATCACACACCGGGGCCTGTTGTGGGGTAGGGGTAGGGGGAGGGATAGCATTTGGAGGTATACCTAATGTTAAATGACGAGTTACTGGGTGCAGCACACCAACATGGCACATGTATGCATGTGTAACTAACCTGCACATTGTGCACATGTACCCTAAAACGTAAAGTATAATAAAAAATAAAAATAATAATAAACCCCCCCAAAAAAAGAAAATTTTCAATTTAACTGAAAGTTTTATGAACTTGATAAAAGGTTTTTAAAATTCATATGGCAGATGTTTTAGTCAGTTTTGTGCTGCTATAACTGAATATCTGAGACTAGGTAATTAATACAGAACAGAAATTTATCTCTGACCGTTCTACAGCCTAAGTCCAACTGAGGTGCTGGCTGGCTTAACTATCGGGTAACGGCTATTCTCTGCTTCCAAGGTGGTGCCTTGGATGCTGCATCTTCCAGAAGGGACAAATGCTGTGTCCTCACATAGCAGAAGAAAAGTGTATTATTAGTCCGTTTTCATGCTGCTGACAAAGGCATATCCGAGACTGGGCAATTTACAAAAGAAAGGGGGTTATTCGACTTACAGTTTCACATGGCTGGGGAGGCCTCACAATTACAGCAGAAAGTGAAATGCATGTCTCACGTGGCAGCAGACAAGAGAAGAGAGCTTTTGCAGGGAGACTCCCATTTTTAAAACCATCAGATCTCGTGAGACTTATTCACTATCACGAGAACAGCACGGAAAAGATCTGCCTCCATGAGTCAATTACCTCCACCGGTTCCCTTTCACAATATATGGGAATTCGAGATGAGATTCAGGTGGGGACACAGCCAAACCATATCAGGAAGGAAGGGTGAAATGGGGCCAGACTTTCTCCTTCAAGCCCTTTTATAATGATATCAATTTGAAGAAACCTAAACATCTCTCAAAATGCCCCATGTCCCAACACTGTTGTATTGGGCATTACGTTTACAACATATGAATTTTGGGGGACATATTCAGACCACAGCAGTGGAGAATGTCTAATTCATTTTTACAAAGAGAACGATAAGATGGCAAATTTACTTGTATTTCATTCCATTTTGTGTTCCCATAAAAGAATACCTAGGGCTGGGTAATTTATAAAGAAAAGCAGTTTCTTTGGCTCATGGTTCTGTAGGCTGTACAAGAAGCATGGTGTCAGCATTTGCTTCTGGTGAGGGCTTCAGGCTGCTTCCACCACCAGTGGAAGGTGAAGGGGAGCAGGTTTATGTTGTGGTGAGAGAGAGAGCGAGAGAGGGTGAGAGAGAGAGCGAGAGAGAGGGTGAGAGAGGGTGAGAGAGAGGGCGAGAGAGCGAGAGAGAGAGCGAGAGAGAGGGTGAGAGAGAGAGCGAGAGAGAGGGCGAGAGAGAGGGTGAGAGAGGGTGAGAGAGAGGGCGAGAGAGCGAGAGAGAGAGCGAGAGAGAGGGTGAGAGAGAGAGCGAGAGAGAGGGCGAGAGAGAGAGCGAGAGGGAGGGTGAGAGAGAGGGTGAGAGAGAGAGTGAGAGAGGGTGAGAGAGAGGGTGAGAGAGGGTGAGAGAGAGGGTGAGAGAGGGTGAGAGAGAGGGTGAGAGAGGGTGAGAGAGAGGGTGAGAGAGGGTGAGAGAGAGAGCGAGAGAGAGGGTGAGAGAGAGGGCGAGAGAGAGGGTGAGAGAGGGAAGGGGAGCTCAGGCTCTTTTAATCAACCAACTCTCTCATGAACTATTAGAAAAAGATCTCACTCACTGCCAAGCAGATATCACCAAGCCATTTACGAGGGATCTGCCCTCGTGACCCAAGCACCTTCCACTAGCCTCCACCTCCAACGCTGGAGATCAAATTCAGCGTGAGATCTGGAGGGGACAAATATCCAACTATACCAGCTTTTTCTTATCACTATTGATCTGTTGTATTTAAAACATTGTAGTATTGTACCAAAGTAGAAAAATAAAACAGATAAACAGGCTCGAGGTTTTAGAAATATACCCTTAATATTACTCATCCTTAAAAAAGGAAGGAAATCCTGTCACGTGCTACAACATGGATGAATCTTGAAGCCACTAGGCTAAGTGAAAGAGCTGGTCATAAAAAGAATGCTGCATGATTTTACTTATATGAGATACATAGAGTAGTCAAATTCATGGAGACAGAAAGTACACTGGCAGTTTCCAGGCTTTCCAGGATTTTCACCCTTTTGAGGGTGAAATGATGAGTTATTTTTTAATGGGTACATGTTCAGTTTTGCAAATTAAAGAATTTCTAGAGATAGATGGTGGTCACGATTGCACAACAATGTGAATGTACTTAATACTACTAAACGGTACATTAAAAACAATTAAGATGTAAATTTTATGTGTTTTTGCTATAAAATTTTTAAAACTCTTTAAAAATTAATATACTCTTCTGTTAATGAGATAGTAGCTTATGACAAAGATAATGGTGTTTAAAGTCAATAGTAAATGAATAGCTCATTCAATAAATAATTTGGAGATAATTAGATATCTATAGGAAAAATTTTTTCTTACATTATAAAAAATGTTCAGATATAAAATGGTACTGTAAACTTATTAGGAGAAAACATTATAGAGTGTTTTCATAATAGTGCAATGGTATAAATGCCAGATAAAAGTTAAGATTGTAAATTTAGTAAAAGAAAATATACGGAGTGGTTTCATTATATTGAAGTGAAGTACAAGTATTTCTAGGCAATGTGCAAAAATCAAAAGTCCTACATAAATCTAATGAAACGTTTGTCTTCATAAAAACCTAAAATCTTCTTTAGTGAAAAAGCAAAATACTGTAAAGTCAATGGGCAAGTGGTAGATTGGTAGATAATATTTGTAACATATTTAATCAATACGGATGAATATCAAGAATATATAAAGAGATCCTAAAATTGATAAGAAAGAAAAACATTTTAATAGAAAAATTTAGACCATGAACATACTCTCTCGGAAGAGTCAAACATAGTAAGCATATGAAAATGTGTTAAACTTACTCAAAAATCAAGAAATAGTATGTTACAACCATGAGACTTTTTCCTCATCTATTAGGCTGGGATTAATTTAGAAGAGGCAGGGTAATCAATGTTCTCATTCATCATTGGTGGGAGTGCAAATGTGTAGCCTTTCAGAAAAAGTGGCAGTAATTCTCAAAATTTAAATATGTACATATTTTGATTCATAAACTTTACAGCAGGAATCTATCTTAAATATGATGCCCAAGTGTGAAAAGGCATATATACATAAAAATGTTCATTTCAGCATTGTTGATTTAAGGAGAGATTGGGAAGTTAGATATTCATCGACAGGGGAATGAATAAATAAGTTTTGCTATAACCATACTGCAGAATACTCTGCAGCCATTAAAAAGAATAAGTTTGGCTTATAGGTACTAACCTTGGAGGATCCCTAAGACATGCAGTTTAACAAAACAATGCATATAGAACGATCAATTGTGTAATTGTATAGTAACGTAATGGAAAAGATTCATGCTGTATTGGTTGGGTATGGCCACAATTCTGTTGTGTAACAAACTCACTGGTCTTGAGGAAAATAACTTACTCGTATGAATCTCTGGGTCATGGAGCAGCTCTACCCTGACACTGAAGCAGTGCTCTGGTCTGCTGCACCTGATTCTCAACCTCCTGAGTCAGCAGGCTGGCCAGGATATGTACTTCTCACAGCGGTGGCAGAGGCGCAAGGGCCTGGACAGAAACATTTCAGACCTCTTAAAGTCTTGAAAGGAAGAAAGAAATATTTTTCCATTGCATTTAAGCAGTAGTGCATTTTAGCTAATTTCTACAATTACCATTGATGTAGTAGATGGAGAAATCTATTAAGTCCTTAAATTCTAATAACCTTGATGCCACAAGCCACATTAACAATATTAAGATTACTCCTTTGAAATGAACAAGTTAACCAGCTTTGCCCTTGTAGAGCTCACAAAGACCACAGATTTTATCCAGCCAATACCACTCAGTCAAAGCATTGGAGTTTTAAACGTAGACAGGTTCCCAACACAGCCACAGTCCAGCAGGTGAGGGGTTTGCTGGCTCTCTGGGACACTTCCAGGACAGATGTGTACTGTCCTACAAAACAGCTCATGCAATTCAAAGAAATCGAGATGGAGCTGATGTCAAAAGCACACTAAGTACTTAATAATGAGTTTGTATGGTTGTATAGTTAATAATTACTGTTAGGAAATCTACAATGGCTAAAATACACCCTTACATTTATCCAGTAAGTAGGGTTTAGATACCTATCTTTTTGAAGTCTAAAAATAAGTATGAACGCTAATATCATTTGGGCTCCTTCTTCAAAGCTGTTTCCCCTTGACTCTTTTATGAGTAAAAAAATATGCATAAAGTACAGAAAATGTGAGCCGTTTATGAACATCTGATGTGAGATGTTAGGGTTGACTTGGTATGTCCTTTGTCTTGAATGCAATGCTGAGTGGGAAACGGGATTCCTATAACCCAAGGCGTGCAGTGGTATTATGATTCAATTATCACCTCAGTTGCAGGGGAAGAAAGGCCTATTGCAGCAAGTACCTTGGGTGCTGTATCTGACCTTCACGGTGGTGGTGACAGCAAGGCTTGCGTCATGTTCAGAGAATCAGACAGCTTCTCCAGTGACACTAAAACCAAAACAAAACATCTTTGTTTTACTTACAAGCAGCAAGGCAGATAGAGCTGTATAAAATAGATGCAGAATTTAATGGAGTAGGTACAAAATTACAGTGTAAGTTCAATCCTCAGACTCGCCAATACATTTGTGTAAAAGTTGGGCTTTGATTGTAGCAGGGGGCTCTCCAAGACTTGGAATTGGGTTATCTGTGTGGATTCAAGAAAAGCTGGGAAATTTACACCCCAAGTCTCTCTAAGCCATCCTTGCTGAAGGAAGCAGCCTCCTCTCCCTGCCTGTAGAATCTTCCCTTATTTGAAGACCTTTTAATAACTTCACATGCTTGAGCTCCCTGGTAAGGTGATATCTAAAACTCTCAGGGCTCACTCCCATCACCCATTAGTGCATGAGACCCATAATTAGGGTCACAAATGTCAAGTATGTTCCACAGGGAGAAAAGCAAAGTCCAATCCAGAAGGACATGGTTTATAGGAGAGAGAGAAAAAAAAGAGAGAGGGAAGAAAAATGATAAAAAGGGCAATACTCACCAATTCAAAGTACCAGAAACATGGGTAAATGTAGTGCATGAATCCTAAGAACATTACACCACAGAGCACAGAATTCAACACTGAATAAGGCTGACCCCATCCATGTGAGAGCACTTACAGAGATTCTAGCTGAATGTGCTGATTTGGGCACCATGGAGCAGCTCTCACAGTTTGCATGGATGGTGGAGTGAATTTGAACTTAATGATGGCTCACATCTGAAGAGGCCAGACTCTCCTGCTCTCTGTGATGGACTTGTTCAGGGAAATGTCTGCATCCCAGAGAACATCTTCTTCCACCATACCCAGGACACCATCTTGGTTGAATCTGGTGAGCAAGCACAGCAAGAACCCTAAATGTCTTAATGAGACACATGTGTGGCAAAGAGTGAACAATAAACCCCATGAAATCTCGAGGCCCATGCCTTGGGGAGGTTTCTCATGGCCCTGTGGTCTGAAGCATGTTTGGGCATTTCTTCCAAAGTGAAACAGAAGTTGTTATTTCATCTATTACCTACCCCTAAAAAATGGGCACGGTGTTGAGAAAATGTCTTTGGAGGCAACAAATACCACATTTGAGAGTGCTGTCCCAACCCATTTATTGAGTAACCAACAAAGCTCCAAGGTAAGTGACTGGGGCCATATGGACACACATAAAAGCATAATTGAAGGCCAGGTGTGGTGGCTTACAACTGTAATCCCAGCACTTTGGGAGGCCGAGGCAGGCGGATCACAAGGTCAGGAGTTCGAGACCAGCCTGGCCAATATAGTGAAACCCCATCTCTAGTAAAAATACACAAATTAATCAGGCCTGATGGCGGGCACCTGTAGTCCCAGCTACTCGGGAGGCTGAGGCAGGAGAATTGCTTGAACACAAGAGGCAGAGGTTGCAGTGAGCTGAGATCTCACCACTGCATTCCAGCTTGGGTGACAGAGCGAGACTCCGTCTCAAAATAAATAAATAAATAAATAAATAAATAAATAAATAAATAAAAGCATAATTGAATATCTGTTTTCAGGAGCTTCTGGCAAGCCCAAATGAGAATCGCAATGCAAATATATAGGGCTTTGGAGAAAAGCCATGTTCTACTCTGCATATAATTATTATTTTAAGAATCAACTCTTATCTTGCTATGCTACTGAGCTTTGTCAAGACAAAATGAGAACTTCATGACCACTGTTCATCATGAATTGGCTATGCACCGACACACTAGGCCATAAGGTGGGAGGAGAATAAGATTCGGCAAGTCCAGAAACAGGTTTCATGAGCAGGTGACTGCTAAGGACTCCGATTCCATCTTTTCCTTCTTCTCCATCTTTTCTTCCCATAATTTACACTTAGGACCTCATTGGGAGTTGCCTACGGCAGCTGGTTTGCAGATGGTTCTGTTATGCTGGCACCAGCCATAAGTGGATCGCTGCCAATGCTACTGTCTCACTCAAGGATAGTGCTGAAGAACAAAGGGAAAAGGATAGCTTCCCAGTGGACAAAACTTGTAGCAGTAAAATTTAGTTTTTCATTTTATCTGCGTAACAGATGGCCAGAAGTACAGATCTACACAAATTCATGTGTGGTTCTCTGAGTAGATGGTCAGAGACTGGGAAAGAATGGCATTGGATAACTAGTGACAGACTGAAGAAGAGATGTGTAAATGGACTTCTCAGAAGGGACACAGGGTGGGGCATACCTGTGTCCCACGTGAATGTTCCCTGAAGGTCATCTGCTACACAGGAGACTTTCAGGAATCAGGGGGATGTGATGACACATTCAGTGGGTGTGCTGGAAGGCTCCGGGGTGTTTGCTCAATGGGTCTGGGTATAAAGTGGCTAAGGAAGTGGTGATAGAAGCCACTCAAGGGTTCAGCAGCATTAACTTCCCGGGGGAACCACTCAGCCACATGATAGGGCAAGCAGATTGTAACACTGACCTCCACCAATTTCTGCCTTGTCCTGATATAATGGCACAATGGCCTGAGAATACTCAGTTACAGCGCCAATAAAGTGACAGCATTCTGGAATTAGTATATGCTTTGAAGCAGCAATCAATCAACAGAATACAGGAGTCTGGAAATCAAAGAGGCATAATTGGAAATGGCTCTTCTCATATTTCTTCTGCAGGATTTTTGCTTCTCCCTCCAGAATCTTGTGCTTTGCTGGTTTGGAGATTCTAGTTCCTAAGACAGAAGTGCTTCTGCTGGAGAAAATAAGGCTGTATCTGTTGAATGGGATACTGAGGCTTTATTCTGTCATTTGAGGCTTCTTATTCCACTACAAAGAATAGAGTAACTGTCCTGGCTGATCCCTAAGCAGAAATTGGGTTTCTGCTCACAAGGGAGGTAGGAAGAACCATGTCCCCCTAAAAACCCAGGGGATGCTCTTGAGTGCTTCTTGGCTCTGCCACACATAATAGAAAATGTTAGTGGACAATTTTGTGGGCTAGATTGTGTCCCCCGAAAAAGCTATGCTAAAGTCCTAACCCCCAATACCTGTGAACGTGATGTTATTTGGGAGTACAGTCTTTGCAAATGATATCAAGGGTAGATGAGCTGGATAAGGGTGGGCTCTAGTCCATGTGACTATCGTCCTTATAAGAAACAGAGAAGGCCGGGCGCGGTGGCTCACGCCTGTAATCCCAGCACTTTGGGATACCAAGGCGGGCGGATCACGAGGTCAGGAGATCGAGACCATCCTGGCTAACACGGTGAAACCCCGTCTCTATTAAAAATACAAAAAATTAGCCAGGCATGGTGGCGGGCACCTGTAGTCCCAGCTACTCGGGAGGCTGAGGCAGAAGAATGGTGTGGACCCAGGAGGCAGAGCTTGAAGTGAGCCAAGATCGCACCACTGCACTCCACCCTGGGAGACAGTGAGACTCCGTCTTAAAAAAAAAAAAAAAAAGGAAACAGAGAAGAGACACAGACACACACAGAAAGAGTGCCATGTGACAATGGAGGCAGATACTGGAATGATGAAGCAACAAGCCAAAAAATTACCAGGACGTGCCAGCAGCATCAGAGCTAGGAGAGGGGCCTAGGGAGGCTTTTCTTTCAGAACCTCCAGAAGGAATGCATTCTGCTGACATCTTGATTTTGGACTTCCAGCCTCTAGAACTGTGACAAAATCAATTTGTTTTTTGAGCCACCACTCAGTTTGTGGTAATTTATTTTGTCAGCCTTTGGAAATAGAAATGGACAATAATAGCAACCTCACAAAGGCAGGACTGCTAAGGACTCACACCCTTTGGGAATTAAGGTTTGGGTCACCCGACAAGAAAAAGGATCCCCAACTAGTTGAGTTAAATATTAGCTACGATACTGTGGCCAGAAATGAAGACTGTAGCAGCTGTCCATATTTTCTTCTTATAAATATGTGTGTGCACACATGTGTGCATATATGTGCAAGTGTGGGCATGCATGTTGTAAACTAAAAATAAAATCCAAGCTGGGCACAGTGGCTCGCACCTGTAATCCCAACACTTTGGGAGGCCGAGGCAGGTGGATCACCTGAGGTCAGGAGTTTGAGACCAGCCTAACCAACATGGGGAAATCTCATTTCTACTAAAAATACTAAAAAGTACTAAAAAAAAAAAAAAAAAAAAAAAAAAAAAAAAAAAAAAAGCTAGGTGTTGTGGCTCACACCTGTAGTCCCAGCAACTTGGGAGGCTGAGGCACGAGGATCGCTTGAACTGGGGAGGCGAAGGTTGCAGTGAGCCGAGATCATGCCACTGCACTCCAGCCTAGGTGACAGAGCGAAACTCTGTCTAAATAAACAAATATAAAATCCAGACTCTCCCACCTATTGAACAGACCCCATTGTGGCCAAGGAGAGCCCAGAGAAACCTGAAAACTGAGTTCCTGGCCATGACAGGATGGGACATCAGACATGCCTTGTTATGCCCCTTCCCTTTTATGGTTTAGTCACAACAGCCAGCATTAATGTTAAAATAGAGACTGTAAGAATGACAGAACAGACTCTTTGTGGCCATAAGATACCAAATTATAAACAGGACCTACCATGCCAAGCAAGAGGTAAGTCACACACCCCTACACTGAAAGGATAAACTATGTTCTCACAGCTTTTTCTTTTTCTCTAGCAGCTAAACAAGCCCCAGCCTCAACATAAGCAATATTAAAACAATCACAATCCATCCAGCTCACAGACAGACACTCACTCACTAAACTCCTGTTCCACCAGCCATAGTTACAGCTTCGATCAGACAAGAGACTGATTTCAGTAACTTTCTCCTGATAAGAGCCCACCAATCATGGACTGGTTCTGGCTGGTTTACAGAGGTTGCACACTTAAGTGCCTTTGTCTCCTGATAAAACCTGTTGACATATAGGGCTAAACTGTAACAAATTTAAATGGTAACTCTCCACCCCAAGGTGAATATGGGTTGTATGTTACATGCATGTTTGTTCACTAGGCATGTGTCAGGACCACCTTCATGAATATTCACAGCTCCTCCTGTAACTTGTTGAATATGTGTGTTTAGTCAACCTATTCAGAATGAAGCTTCTACAACTCAACCCCTTCTCCTTCAAAGTGCCTGTCTCCGGGCTTCAGCCAGAGGCATGCTTCCCAGCCTGCAGGTTGGCCACCTTGCAGGATGTAACCCTTTATAAGAAAAAAGTCTCCTTTCCGTTTCTAAATTTAAAAATTGTGGATTTTTTTTTTCAGTTAACAATATCCATTTAAACTTTTCAAATAGATGGTTTGCAAATGTTTGGCATGGGAAAATGCAGGCATATTTCATGAGTAGTTGTCAGAAATTAGGATCAATTTTACGAGGTGACTATCCAACAGGGACCAAGGAAGGAATCTCTGCCATTTTCATAGAGCCACTGATTGGCCCACTCATTGAAAATGCTGAGCAAGACCTCACCCTCACTCGCCCGGTCCTGAACCAGCCTGGCAGAGTTCTTGTCCCACTCAGAGATAGCATTCTACATCCTATCTGAGTGACAGGATCAGCCCTGCCCTTATCAGCCCTCCGTAGATTCCATAATGAGGCTCCTACGAGTCTCTCTCATCTTCTCATTATCTCAACTACGATCCCTCTCCCTTTTATAGCACAAACTCCTCCAGTCCTGTGACATCTGTGATCATCAGGAACTTTTATTTTACCCATGGCTTTTTCCTCCTACACTGCTTCCCTCCACTTATCCAGAAACCCATCAATCTCTAAATGCTCTGCTCATGTATAATATCTTCCCTAAACTTCTGCACATCTCTAACCCATTAATATCACATAGTTTATGCTTAGTTCCTCCTCATTCATTTTATGAGATTTTGTTTAGCCCTAAAGATTTTTTCCATCTGTCTTGAAATTCTTACTTCTTTTTTTTAAATTTTTTGCCAAATTCAATCTTTAAAATAGGGGAACGATCCTCTTTCCTTCAAGAGATTTTGATGTCAGAAAGCACTGACTCACGCAAAGGTCCACATTTTCAGATTCACTGGCAAGCTGGTTGGTGAGGACAAGCTTTTGACTGAATCAAAGCTCAGTGGTTTTAAAGTGGAGTTGGGCAGAGCCTAGGCTTTTTGTGAGGGTGCTTAGGTGTCACTATGAAGGCCAGACGAGGGAGAGGGTGAGTGTGAGTTGAGTGAGTGAGACCGGAGCTTCAGCCAAAACAGCTATACTTTTGTCTATGTATATGCATATGTCTATATGTGTATATGTATGTATGTGTATGTGTACATGTATATGATATGCGTGGATACATGCTCATGTATATGCACTTGTGCATGTATTTGCATATGTATTTGTATATGCATTTGTATGTGTATGTGTATATGCATGTATATTTATATTAAATAGTGGGTAACTTTTCATTTCCCAGCAGGTTCAGATGCTTTAGAAACATAGTTTGAGATTCACTGCTTTAGGACCACATACTCATGATGAAAGACAAAAACGAAAAATAAACAGAGTCAGGGAGATTAAATCTATAACCAAAGACAACATGAGTATTTAATGTCAGCTACTCAAGCTCCAGTTTCCCCCTTCTGGTGAAAGGCTTGTTCCCTGGGGTCTTCTCTCTCAAAGGTCAGCGGCAGGAACTCCTTGGGGACTGGATGAGTAACTGGCATCTTTCAGTCCTGGGGTTGGGCTGTGCCTGTGGCTCTGAAACTCAGAAACTCCTCAGCCTGTGACCTCATGGGCTGGATCTGGCCCTGGCTCTGCCACTCAGACTCCGTGACATCTCCTCAATCCCTTCCCGCTGCAGCAGAGTGGCTACTGTGCTGCTCTCCAGCCAGCCTGGGGACTACCGTCTCTTAGGGCTTCACTGTAGGATGCACCTTTTATTCTCTGGATAGTTTTTATGACTTTGTTTGTTATTTACAGGCCAAGTTCAGTGGCCCCTGTAAACACAGTCACAATCTGCAACCGTGCTCTTAATTATGATCTTATTAAGAAATAGATTCCCACACAACTGGCACAAGGATGCCAGAAGCCAATATTTCTAATTCATAAATGTTTAGACTTATTTTCTCTCACCAAAATGTGCCTCTGAAAGCCTCAAGAGAAGAGGAAATAAAGAAATAAAAGTGAAAAAAGCAACCAGCAATAAGGATGATTCTGTTACTTCAACTATGCCTAAGACAGCCTGACCTTTAGCTGGAAATGGCCAGTCCCTTCTGGACTGTTAGGCAGAGAACTAAAAGTCAGGGGCTTCATGAAGAGGGTGGAGATGAAGTGAGGCTCGCCAAGGCCTGCCTGCCGTCCCATCGCTCTGAGGTGATGGGAGGTTCTATCCTGTTTCAGAAATTAGCACACTGAGCCTTTGGAACCCTGTAGGTCTCTCCTAGATTGCAGCCTGTCAGATGGTGTCCCTCAAGTGGCCCTACCTTCTTAATGTGAAGAGCAGCACTCAGGCAATATGACTTCCTCCAGCTTCAAAGGCAAACAAAACTTCAAAGGCTGATGCAGCCTTTCTTTTTCTTTACAGCAGATCACTAACAGAGCCTTTTGTACATTGCAAACATTTGTAAATATATATTAATATTTGTTCTAGTCCTGACCTGAACAGAACTTTTTGCATGATGAAATGCATAAACCTCATCCTAGAAATAAATGAGCATTCTGGATAAATATTTTAGCATTTTTATGAAGTTTTTTTTTTTTTTTTTTCGAGACAGAGTTTCACTTTATTGCTCAGGCTGGAGGGCAGTGGTGTGATCTCAGCTCACTGCCACCTTCACCTCCCAGGCTCACCCGATTCTCCTGCCTCAGCTTCCCAAGTAGCTGGGATTACAGGTGCCCACCACCACGCCCGGCTAACTTTTGTATTTTTAGTAGAGACAGGGTCTTGCCATGTTGGCCAGGCTGGTCTTGAACTCCTGACTTCAAGTGATCTGCCCACCTCGGCCTCCCAAAATGCTGGGATTACAGGCATAAGCCACCGCATCAGGACTTTATAAAGTTTTTTTGTTTTGTTTTGTTTTTTTGAGACGGACTCTCGCTCTGTCACCCAGGCTGGAGTGCAGTGGCACGATCTCGGCTCATGGCAAGCTCTGCCTCCCAGGTTCACGCCATTCTCCTGCCTCAGCCTTCCAAGTAGCTGGGACTGCAGGTGCCTGCCACCATGCCCAGCTAATTTTTTTGTATTTTTTAGTAGCGACAGGGTTTCATCGTGTTAGCCAGGATGGTCTCAACATCCTGACCTCGTGATCCACCCACCTTGGCCTCCCAAAGTGCTGGGATTACAGGTGTGAGCCATCATGCCCGGCCCATAAAGTATTTCAATGGGCTAAGAATTCTTCCAAACCTCAGCTGAACACCTGCTCTGCTGATTCCTGACAACTCCAGCTGGGTCCCCAGGACTAGACAAAGATTTCAAGCTTCCTTTAGCAGCTATGTTGCTCTTTGCACCCATGCCTGCAACTCTTTAATCTTTTTTTTTCTGTAAAGTTTTCTAATGTCAGTCTTTGAATTAGCTTTCTAGAGATCTGGAAGATCCCTTGCACCATGAATAGCTAAAGTTAAAAGAAATGTATAACATAGTTGAAAAGGAATGGAAGGCGTAGTAGATGTAGATTGAATTTTCCCTGATGTTTATAATTATTTGCAATTACTCATGTCATTTTCATCCTTTTACAAGATCATGGCCCCGTTTCATAGGGGAGAAAGCTAAGGGTAAGAAGGTAAAGGGATCTGTCCAAAAGCTGACAACTAACCCACTAAAGGCTCAAGGTCTTACTTAGACTCCATTTATTTTCTAAACCAAATGTTTCTGCTCTTTCCCTCACATCACAAGGGCATGCAGAAGGATGCTTATAAATCACCACTGACTGCTGGGGTGGAAAGGAGAAACGAGTGCACAGACCAACATGCAGATTCACCTGCAAACACTGTACACACCTGTCCTGGAACTCTCTCCTTGCTCTGGAGCCAAGGATAATACAGAGAGGACAAACACTGAGGTTTTAGTTCCAGGCACCTCTGTGCCTGGAGACAGGCAGCACCTTAAAAACACATGATGAGGCAATTTGAATGTGAAACATCAGGGTGCTTTCCCTAAAGCATCCTTCATGTTCCATCAGCAATTGTTCTGTGGGTGTAATCAGTTTATGTTTTCTTCTGCTCTTTCCACAGTCTCTCCAGATATGTCTTCCTCCCTCTGTAAGGGAACATGAGAAGCGTTGCCAGTTTAAAAAAAATTGTTAATAAACATACAACTTGCATGTGCTTGCTTGAGATGCCCATTACTGAAGAATTGGCTCTAGAAATTCTAGAATAGGAGCCCTGATACAATTATGAAACTGATCCTCCCAAGCAAAATACTCTAACTTTTTGTTAACAGAAGAAAAAGGCTTTGAGCCAGCTTTCAAAATCTTTTCAGTTTGTGCCTTTGAACTTTATGGTGAGGGTGGGGAAGAGCAAAATCTACTAGTCAAGCAGAGACCTTGTCTGCTTTCCTTCCACAGTCTCAGAAACTGGGTAGAAATTAACTGCCTTTAAAGACAAGAGGCAATTGCAATTCCATGAGCACCAGCCTTACATCCCCATCATTTGTGTGCTGAGAAAGGTGACAGCAGCCTTCCAGGGCCTTGGTATTCAGATTGGCAAACTCCACAGCAGGAATGCTGAATGAGGCAGAACTTTCTCGGAAGAAAAGTGTTGAATCAGTACATTTCGATGGAACAGCCCCCAGAGGCATAATATTTAGTGATTTCAGCCTACATTATTTATTGACTCATCAGGAGTTTGTGGGTTTAACATTTTATTAATATGGCACCAGGTCATCTGAGAAAGTGGTAGCCATAGGAAATCTTCCCAGAAGCACATTTTCATATTATAAACAGTGCCCTTCGAGGACTAAACAGAGTCCCCACTGTGTCTCTGGGGAGAGATAGAAAATGCCACATCTTCTACAAGCCATCTCTCTCTAAGGAAGTCAAATGGCAGTGAGTAAAATCCATACCTACTTTAATTCTTTTGTTGATAATCTTGTAGTCCTTATTCTGTGACTTCAGATTTGTACAGATCTGGGGCAGCTGCAATCTCTAGGACCTAAGGTAGATTTGGGTACTTAAATGAGTCCCTGCTGTTTCATTTGTTAAGTGACCCCCAGATGTCTGGCATCAAAGAAAACTTTCAGTATTGAGAATGTGGAATCAAGATCAAACAAAATCCATATCCAAGGGAATTTGAAAAGGGAATCAATCTATAGTATCAAGTTTCAATAAGATACAATTTAGCCATTTTCCAAACAAAAGGAAAACTCAATACTCATGATTTTTCTCTCCTATATTACATTACATACTATTTTAAGATAATCACAAATGCAGAACAAACTACCATCCGATATTCTTCTTAAAGAGATTGATAGGGATTTGGCCTAGAGATTTGGTTTGGTTTAATCTCAATGATTAATATTTCTATAAGTTTATATTGATTGATATTACAACATTTCAAAATGCCATTTAAGAGCTCAAACAAGAAATAAAGTTGTTAAGAATACTTTTACTGTGTTAGTTAGACATTGATAAGATAGATAGACAGGTAGAATATATAGTCATGTACCACATAACAACATTTCAACCAACAATGGACCACATATATGATGGTGGTCCCATAATATTATAATGGAGCATATATAGAAACCTAACTTATGGCACTTGTTATTGGCATTGCAGATCAAGTAGGGGAAATGACTGATATTTAGTAATGATGCTGGGACATTTGGTTTTCCATGTAAAAAATATATATAAAATAAGTATATAATATTATAAATATATAAGTATATAATATTATAAATATATATAATATACATATAATAATATGCATATACATCATCTAGGTTTGTGTAAGTACACTCTATGACATTCACACAATGACAAAATTGCCTAACGTTGCATTTATCAGAATGTCTCCTCATCATTAAATAATGCAGGACTGTATATAAACATACAGACATATAGCATACGTGACAACTTTCTCATGCATGGCTGAGAACAGGGCTCTGGAGCCAGATTTTTAAATTCAATTCCTGGCTCCACCAGCTGTGTGGCCTTGCCTAGGATGACTTGCCTTCCCATTTTGAGCCTCAGTTTCCTCATTTGTAAACTGGAGGTATTTCTAGCACCTACTTTGTATGTCTGTAAGAGCTAGCACAGTACCTGACACATGGTAAGTGCTAAATAAGTGTTGACAATTATTTCTATGTGTTTATTTTATTATCAATTCTTTTTTGGACCTCAGGTGCACAGGACATCAAGCATACCACTCAGATCAAGGCTCCTTATTAACTTGAGAACAGCCTCTCTTTCATTTTATGTTTTGTTCCTGTATTATTCTGTTCTCCCATTGCTATGAAGAAATACCTGAGGCTGGGTAATTTATAAAGAAAAGTGGTTTAATTGGCTCACCGTTCTGCAGGCTGTGCAGAAGGCATGATGCTGAGTACATAGCTGAGCATCTGCTCAGCTTCCAGGGGAGCCTAAGACAACTTAAAATCATGGCAGGAGGTGAAGGGGGAGCAGGCACATCACATGACCAGAGCAGGAAGAAGAGAGAGAGAGTGAAGGGGGAGGTGCCATACACTTTTCAACAACCAGATCTTGCAAGTACTCACTCACTGTCATAGGGACAGCACCAAGGGGAGAGTGCTAAACCATTCATGAGCAACCACCCCCATGATCCAATCACGTTCCCGCAGGCCTCACCTCCAACATTGGGAATTACAGTTCGACATGAGGTTTGGGCAGAGACACAGATCCAAACCTTATCAGTCCCCATCTCCTGCTTCATTCTACCCCTGAGCACAGGTTTCATTTTAATTTAATTTAATGTAATAGTTGGCATGCATTCTTTCCTTGTAGATGACATCATAAAATGTGTAGACCTGTTTTGTATGCATACATTTTAAATTACGTAAATGCAATTTTGCTTCTTCCTTTTTCCCTCAGATAAGTGTTTTTAAGATATCCTTGTTGCTGTGTGCACACCTTGTCAGTATCATGCATTCACCCTATTTTACATGTCTATTACCACAGTTGTTGGTTGAATTGTGTCCCGCCAAAAATATGTTGAAGCCATAACTCGATATAATTAAACTAAGATGAGTTTTTATTGTATTAAAATCTAAATCCTAAATCCCTAAATCCAAAAACTTTTGTTCTTATAAGATGAGAGAAATCTGAAGACATAAACAGGAAAGAAGGCCATGTAAACATGGAGGCAGATTGGAGTCATGGTGCTACAAAGCAGGGAATGTTAAGGATGGCTTTCAACCATCAAGAATTGGAGGAGGCAAGAAATAATTCTTCCCTAGGAACTTCAGAGGGAGCATGGACCTGCCAACAATTTGATTTCAGACTTCTCATCTTTAGAACTGAGAGATAATAAATTTATTTTGTTTTAAGCCACTCAATTCAAGACAGCTTGTCATAGCAGCCCTAGAAAACTAGTACAAAGTCTCCAACCATTTTTGTAGTAGAACTATCTATTTCTTCCCTTAATTCTGTCAATATTTGTTTCATATCTTTTGGGGCTCTATTGTTTGGTACATATGTATTTACAATTGTTATATCTCCTTGGTGAATTGATCTTTTAAATCAATATTTAATACCTTTTTTGTCTCTTGCAACAATTTTTGAATCAAAGTCTATTTTATCAAATATTAGTGTAGCCACTCTAGCTCTATTTGCATGGACTATCTTCTTATATCCTTTCATTTTCAACCTATAATATTTGTGTCTTTGGCTTTAAAATGAGTCTCTTTTAGACAGCATATAGTTGGACCATTTAAACAAAATCTATTCTGCCAGTCTCTGTCTTTTAACTAGTGAGTTCAATCGTTTGCCTTTAAAGTGACTACTGGTGATTTTTTAATTTAGTTCTTGCATGTCTTTTATCTCTTTGCTCACTGATAACCTCCAATACTGCTTTCTTTTGTGTTAGATTGATTTTTTTCTAGTTTGTCATTTTAATTCCCACCTCATTTCCTTTTATGTATATTTTTAGATATTTTCTTAGTGGTTACCATGGGGATTACATTTAAATCTGAAATTTAAAATAATCTAGTGTGAATTGATATCAAATTAGCTTCAAGAGCATATAAAAACTCTGTTCTTGTACAGTTCAGTATCCCCCTTTATGTTGTCACAAATAACATTTTTATACATTGCATGATTATTAACACAAAGTTAAAAGTACTATTTATGCATTTGTTTTTAAAATAAAATAGGATATAAAAAGAGGAGTTATACATCAAAAATTTAATAATACTGGCTTATGTATTTACCTGTATAGTTACCTTTACCAGAGCTCTTATTTCTTCATATGTGTTCAAATTCCTGTCTAGTTTCCTTTTATTTCAGCCTGAAGGATTCTATTCAGCATTTCTTAGAGGTCAGGCCTCCTAGTGATACACTTCCTCAGCTTTTGTTTATGTGGGAAAGTATTAATTTCTCATTTCATTGAGAATGATAGCTTGCTGGACATAGAATTCTTGGTTGACAGTTTTATTTTATTTTAAGCTCTTTAAATATGTCATCCCACTGCATTTTGCCCCCCACAATTTCTTATCCCTTAGGTTCTATAAATTTTTCTTTATTATTTTTTCTTTCTGCTCTCCAGACTGGATAATTTCAATTGTCCTAGCTTCAAATTCACTGATTCTCTCATGCCTGCTCAAATCTACTAGTGAACCTCTCTAGGTTAATTATTTGTTTCAGTTATCATGCTTTTCAGGCTCAGAATGTCTACTTCATTCATTTTTTATAATATCTATTGCTTTGTTGCTATTCTCTATTTTTTCATATGTAATTCTCCTGTTCACAGTTTCCTTTGTTCACGATTTACTTTAGCTCTTTGAGCATATTTTAGATAGTTAATTTAATTTCTTTGTTTAATGAATCCGATGTTAGGGCTTTATCATTGACGGTTTCTGTCTGTTTTTTCTTTGTTGTGTGTGAATAGGCCATACTTTCCTCTTTTGTATGCCTTTGATGTTTGTTGTTGATGTTGAAAACTTGACGCTGTGAATATTATAATATTGTAACTATGATAATCAGATCCTTCCCCCTCCCCACGGTTTGTTGATGGTGATAGTAAAGAACTGCATTCTGTTTTTTTATTTTTGCAAAGTATTTTTATGAAGACCGCATTCTTTATTGTACATAGTCTTGCAATCTGTTTCATTATTTCCTCATTTGACCTGTGACCTGATAGAGATTTCCTTAAATGCCTGGAGCCAAAACAAAAAACAACAAAAAAAAGATTTTGGTCTTTTCATATTGGCCCTGAGCTGGTACAATACTTTATTGTTTAGACAGGCCACCTATAACTCAGCCTTAGCTTTCATGAAGTTCCATGCCCAAAGATACCCAGAGTTGCAAGTCTAGGGCACTGTCAGTTCTTTTTATGAGAATGTATTTATCTTTGGGTGTAGACTTTACACTCCAGATTACTCATTATGTGCAGTGCCTTTACTTCCTCAAGAGTCTACCTCAGTAGCCACCTCATTCCCAGACCTTTAGGACCATCTGGTATCTGCTCCGTCCTCCATCACTTGTCTTAGGTGGCTATGGGTAGCACTCCAAACACTTTCATGAGATGATACCTAAAAGCCTCCTCCAGCAGAAAGAGATGAAACAATGGTCAGCCTCTGTGCTGGTCTCTCAGGGAACTGCCACATAAGTCAAAACCTACAAATACAATTTATTTTCAGAACAAGGTCTATATTCTGCCACCTACCACCCAGGCAGTGGCACCAGCAAGCCACATCATAAATTCATGTTGTGATTCCCAGGGCCACTGGTGATCTAGGGAATCAAGAATTGTCTGTGGGTCAGAAAAAAAGCCACAGTTTTTTCTTACTAAAATTCAGCTTTCTCTTTTTTCAATAGATATTCTCTGATTATTGTAAGTGTTGAATTAGATTGCAGAGTTTTAGTAAAAGTGGATTCTGCCAGTTTTTCTAAGATTAATGGTGGCTTCAGTGGAGGAACCAATTCTTGGAGCTCCCTACTTAACTAGTCCTATCATGTAACCACACTCCTAATCTTTTAAAATGAAGAGCAGTAGAAATGAACAAAGGTAACATAAAATTTACTGGCTTTCTCATTTTTGATTTCTCTAAAGTCTTACTATTTAAAGCAAAAATAATAACAGATTTTGTGTCTAAAGCATATGTAAAATTGTAGTGTATAAAAATAGTACATAGGTCAGAGGGAGGATTGGAGATATATATAGATATATATAGAGAGATATATACACACACATACACAAACACATTCTTATAATATGTAATTTTAATTTTATTTTTCCCTTTATTCTTATCATTGTATATGTAATGTTTTTGCAGCCCATTTTTTGCCACTTACTATGTGTTGAAGGACATGAACCAATCACAATATTTGTAATGACTTCATGATAATCCCTCTGTGTGTCAGTGAAAATGTATTCACAGATAAAAGGCTCCTGACTAACTAATTTAAGCAGAGAAGGACTTTGCACAAGGCATTAAATTGCTTAATCCATGACAGGAGTGAGACAGCTGGATTTAATGTCTAGAAATGACACCCAAAGACAGCCTGCACCACTAAAAGCCCAGGAGAGTTGCTTCTTTGGACTTAGCATTAGGCCACTTGTATTAGTCACAGTTCTCCTGAGAGTATTACACACATCTCTCTGTCTCTCTGTCGCTCTCTCTGTCTCTCTGTCTTTCTCTCTCTTTCTCTCTCTCTCTCTCTTTCTGTATATATATATATATATATATATATATATATATATATATTTGATGGTTTCTGTTTTTTCTTTTCTGTGTGTGAATAGCCCATACTTTCCTCCTTTGTATGCCTTTCGATGTTTGTTGTTGTTTGCTATATATATATATATATATAGAGAGAGAAATACACATAAAATACACACACATATATGTGTGTGTGTGTATATAATATACAATATATTACATATGTTATATGTAATAAGGATTTGGCTTGCACAATTTTGGAAACTGGCAAGTTCAAAGTTCAAATCTGAAGTAAGATCCAGGAGAACGGATGGTACAGATGAAGCCCAAAAGCACTCTTTTGGAAAATTTTCCATTACTCAAGGTATGGTTTGCCTTTTGTTCTGTTCAGGAATTCAAATGATTCGATGAGGCCCAACTACATTATGGAGGGCAATACACTTTACCAATTGAAATGTTAAGTGTCATCTCCAAACACCCTCATAGAAACACCCAGAATAATGTTTAACCAAATATCTGGGCACCCTATGGCCCAGTTAAGTTGATACAAAATTAATCATCATAAGCATCCCTTGTCAACTTGACAACCATGCACATCTTGAAGAGATAATAACAAGGTCATTCTTCTGCCTAACATGGTGCAAACATCCTGTGTACAACCAAAAACACATGAAATATTTCCCCAGAAAAATAAGCAAAATAATTGGATGATGTTTATATTTTTCGTTTATATCCCAAAACTTAAATATCATGTTGTAAAATGACAATATTTAACTACTATGAAAGAAAGTCAGCCAGGCGTGGTGGTTCATGCTTGTAATCCCAGCACCTTGGGAGGCTGAGGCAGGCAGATCACGAGGTCAGGAGATCGAGACCATCCTGGCTAACATGGTGAAACCCCGTCTCTACTAAAAATACAAAAAATTAGCCGGGCGTGGTGGTGGGTGCCTGTAGTCCCAGCTACTCGGGAGGCCGAGGCAGGAGAATGCCATGAACCCAGGAGGCGGAGCTTGCAGTGAACGGAGATCACACCACTGCACTCCAGCCTGGGTGACAGAGCAAGACTCCATCTCAAAAAAAAAAAAAAAAAGTCAATACTTGTTATGTTACATAATAAGGGAATAAGAGAGAGAACAAAAGATATATATACACTTACACACAGAGACACACACAGACATATAAATAACAAATTAAGAAAGAAATACTCAGTCAGGCATGGTGGTTTATGCCTGTAATCCCAGCACTTTGGAAGACCCAGGCGGGTGGATCACCTGACGTCAGGAGTTCAAGACCAGCCTGGCCAACATGGTGGAACTCCCTCTCTACTAAAAGTACAAAAATTAGCCGGGCATGGCAGTGCACACCTGTAATCCCAGCTACTCAGGAGGCTGAGGCAGGAGAACTGCTTGAACCTGGGAGGCAGATGTTGCAGTGAGCCTAGATCGTGCCACTGCACTCCAGCCTGAGCTACAGAGCGGGACTCTGTCTCAAAAAAAAAAAAAAAAAAAAGAAAGAAAGAAGAAGAAAAGAAATACTCATGACAATTACAGTCCTTACAGTCCTTGTTTCTATAACTGGTCATGTGGTCGTAGCTGGTGTTTATAGCTACCTTCCTCCACTACCCATTCTGTATTACTTTGCCTTCAGCAAGCACCTCAACTGGTTGTAGCTCTTTTTTGGGGGGGATGACTCAAACATTCATTCCTGGAGAGTCATCTGAAACATTAGATTGGGTTGTAGTTTTCTTCTGATTTTAATCACAGGGCATGGTAATACTAAGAGATTCCCTAAGGGATCTTCTGAATTCTAGATATACTTTTCCTTACCTCCATTGTGGAGTAGCAGTCTAATTTCTCCTTGATAATCCAGCCAGACCAGTATCAATCATTCCAGCCAGCATGATAACTTTCTTTGGCAGTTAATTTAGAGGCATGAGGAGCCCCAGATGACTGGGTGGCACTCTTAACTTCAGGTTCAATGGAATCATTTTGTTTCCTGGTGGAAGTATTCCTCCCTTTGGAACTAAGACCCCTAGCCCAGCAGAGTATAAAGTCATGGGAACAGGAAGCAAACATTCCGCTAGTGGTCACCAGGGGTAATGGTGAGTTGTGTCACTCCCATATCTACCCCTTGATTCTTGGTCCTATGCATTTGGCCATGGGAGAAACAGAACCATATATTAGACACTGATTTAAAGCATATTCAGCCTTTTGGAGAACTTTGTCCCAGCCATGCAAGGTATTGCCATCTAGCTGACTCTGTGACTGAGTCTTCAAAGAGCCATTCCACTATCTTACCAAGCCTGCTTTTGTAGCATGGTGGGGAACATAGAAAGGCCAATGAATTCCATGAGCATGAGCCCGTTGCTGCACTTTGTTTGTTGTGAAGTGAGTTCCTTGATCAGCAACAATGCTGTGTGGAATAACATAACAGTGACTAATGCATTCTGTAAGTCCACAGATTGTAGTCTTAGTAGAAGCATTGCATGCAAGGAAGGAAAATACATATTCAGGGTAAGTGCCTTGTCTAGTAGAAACAAAACCCTGCTTTTCCCATAATGGAAGCAATAGAATGTAATCAACCCGCCCCAGGTTACTGACTGATCATCTCGAAGAATGATCCTGTATCAAGTAATAAGTGCTGTTTCTTCTGCTGACTGATTGAGCATTCAACAGTGGCCATAGTCAGGTCAACCTTGGTGAGTGGAAGTCCGTGTTGCTAAGCCCATGCATAATCCCCATCTTTGCCACAATGGCAAAGAGCCCATTGGACTATGACAAATGTGGATGGGGAAAGAAACTGACTGTATCCACAGAATGAGTCATTCTATCCATTTTATTACTAAAATCTTGGTAAGCATTCACATGGGACACAGATATCTTCATGTTTTTCTCCCATTCAAAGAGGTCTACTCTCATACCTCTTCTCCATACTTCGTTTTCACCAATACTCCTATATTGTTCCTTCTAAGGACATGACCATTAAGCCAAACCATTTGCCACAGCTCATAAATCAGTATAGAATCTCATTGCTGGCCATTTCTCATTGTAAATAAAGTGAACAACCAGGTGTGCTGCTTGAAGTTTTGCCCATGGAGAGGATTTTTTCTTTATCAGTGTTCTTCAGGAATGATCCAGAGAGGGTCGCAGTGCTGCAGCTGTCCACTTTTCGGTAGTGTCTGCATATGCTGCAGAACTATCTGTAAACCAGGCTTGAGATTCTTTTCCTCTACAATTGATCATAGGGAACTCTCCATGAGGCCATAGGTTCAGGCTTCTACGGAAGGCATGGACATTTGTGTCATTTCTTCATGTAACTTAACTGTGCCATTAGGGCCTGCTCAAGCTCAATCTTACATATACTACTTCCATTTGATGATAGATTGTTACTGTGCACATCTACCTCTTGAGTTGGTGGGTAAGAAAATACCCAGCTCATAATGGCCAACTCAGCTTGCATGGTAATTTGATGGACCAGGATTAGGTGTTCAGGCTCTAAAAGGGCCCAGGAATAGGCCAAAAGCTGTTCCTCAGAAAGACAGTAGTTATTCACAGGGGATGGCAGATCCTTTCTCCAGAGTCCTATGTCTGCACTGCGATTCACTTAAAAGGGCCTGCCAAAGGCTCCACACAGCACTTCTCCCTGCCACTGACACTTCAAGTACCATTGGATCTGATGGCTCATGTGGCTCAAGGGGCACAGCAGCTGCACAGTAATGTAGGCCTTTTGCAGAACCTTCTCTTTTCTAGGCTCCACTCAAAACTCGCAGCTTTTTAGTTCACTTTGTAAATGGGTTGGACCTGAATGAGGAATACGTTGCCTCCAAAATACTAAGAGGCCTCTAGGCCTTGAGCCTCTTTCTTGGTTATAGGAGGGACGGGATGTTGCAACTCTCTTTCACCTTACAAGGGATATTTTGACACACCCCACAGCACTAGGCCCCTAGAAACTTCACTGAGGTAGAATGCCCTTGCATTTTAGTTGGATTTATTTCCTACCCTCTGACATGCAAATGTCTTACCAATAAGTTCAGAGTGGTTGCTACTTCACACTCACTAGGTTAAATCAGTATAATGTCATTAAGATAATGGACCAGCGTGGTATCTGGTGGAAGGAAAAGGCCTCAAGTTCTGTATGAACTGAATTTATGACACAGGGCTGGAGAGCTGATATACCCTTGGGATAGGACACTCAATTTGTATTGTTGGCCTTGCAGGTTGAAAGCAAACTGCTTCTAATGGCCTTTCGAAACAGATACAGAAAAAAAAAGGCATTTGCCAGATCTCAGATACCAGGTACCAGGGGATGTGTTAATTTGCTTAAGTAATGAAACCACATCTGCTAAAGCAGCTACAATTAAAGTTAATACTTGATTAAGCTCATGAATCCACTGTCATTCTCTAAGGTCCATCTGTCTTCTGCACAGTCCAAATAGCACAATTGAATGTGGATATGGTAGCAACTGCCACGCCTGCATCTTTCAAAGTCCTTGAGAGTAGCACTAATCTCTGTAATCTCTCCAAGAATGCAGTATGGCTTTTGGTTTACATTGTTTAGGTACAGGCAGTTCCTATGATAATGGCCCTCACTCCACAGGTCAGAGAACCAATGTGGGGATTCTGATAGTTGCTGAATATGTCCATTCCAATTATGCACTCTGGAACTGGGAAATAACCACAGGATGGGTTCAGAGATTACCTGAATCTACTATAAGATGAGCTAAAACTCCACTGATCACCTGATCTGCATAACCCCTACTCTGACTGTTGAGTCACAGTGGTGTTCAGTGCCACCAGGAATTAGTGTCAATTCAGAGCCAGTGTCCAGCAGTCACCAAAATGTCTGATTATTTACTTTTCCCTAATGCTTAGTCATCTTGTTAAAAGGCCATAAGCTCCTCTGGGGAAGGCTGAGAAAGAGATTAACATTATAAATTTTTGGCAGTGTCATGGGTTTCTTCCTCAAGGGGACTTGGCTTTTATCCCTTACAGGAAGAATAAAGGCCTTACTTTGCCTCTGATAATTGATTGAGGGATCATGATTCTCTGTTTTTCAGTATTAGAGTTAGACTTTTATTCACTTGACCTACAACTTTTTCTGCTTATACAGATCAAGTAAGAATTTAGTTGGCTTCCTCTCTATTTCACTTCTAGGAGCACCATGATCAACTAGCCAATGCCATAGGTCTCCACGAGTGAGACTATTCTAGTGGCTGCTGTGACATTGCTGTCCACTGTGTCAGCTAGGCCCACCTGGATTTTGGTGGCTGAATGCTGGTACTTGGCTCCTGCCAACCTGGGATCCAGTTACTCCCATTACATTTAGTTTTCCCAATTCAGTGACTCTAGTTTCCACTAAAAATCTTGCCTATAGAGAACAAACACATCAAGGATGCTGAGGCTCTCCTCAAAAATTTATTTCTCACCATTTTGGTGAAAGGTATGTTTTTTGAAGCCTCCCAGGGCATATAAGTAGGTCTTAAATGGAAAATCCACTCTAACATCCCAATGTCTTTAAGCCTTTAATCCCTTCTTCGGCATTAAACCAAGGCACACCTGGCATTTATATTTTAACTCCCTTGCTGTGGGCCACCTTTTGATCCCTTTTTGGGTCCACCAACCAAACTGTTAGAGTCCTTTCTGACTCCCCAAGCTACAATATTAAATGCAGAGTCTCTGCTTAGTGGGCCCATATCAATAAACTTACCCTGATCTAACTTTCTCTCATTAGCCCACACACTTACTATTCATTTCTGCACATATAGCCTGGATTTTTGTCTGTATAAATAAGAAAACACAACTAATTCCCTTGGAGTGTGTCACGCCTCTTCATGGGTCACACTTTCTACCTCGCCTTTAGAGTCCTGTTGTGATGTGAGTGTAGTTATGGGGTGGGACCTGAAAAAAATCAGCTGTGTTTTGCATGGCAACTACCTCAGGGGGCCCATTGCAGTCACCTCAGGCTATACAGTGTTAATTGCCCCAAATAGGTTCAGAGCAGCCATTCCTACTGGGCTGGAGAGTTGTTTCTACTGGCAAAGAAGATTCATCAGAATGTAGGGTCTTAACGATCCCAGCTTCATCAGAGTCTTGCCCCACATACCCATTCCAACTTTCAGGATGCTCTCAGGGCAGCTATTAACTTAAGACAAAGCAGGCTTCCAAAGAAAAAAAAATAGCAGGGATAAAGCAGAGACTTACACAAAGATTGATGAGGCTAATTCTCCAACAAGATGTAAGTTGAACTGAACTGAAACATCAATCAACTGAATCTAATTAACATTTATAGAATAATTCATTGAACGACAGCAGAATATACATTCTTCTCAAGCTCACATTGAAACACTCACAAAGGCCACATGTTTGGCCATAAAACACACCTTAACATATTTAACGTATTTGTTTAAATAAAAATTAAATATAAAATATAAACTCAGATGACAATAGAATTAAAATAGAAATTAACAACAGAAATATACCACAAAAATCCTAAAATGCTTATAAATTAACCTCAAATAACACATGGGTCAAGAAGGAGCCTCAAGAAAAATTTTTACAAAATATTTTGACCTAACTGAAAATGAGAATTCAAATTATCAAAATATGTAGAATGCAATGAAAATAATACTTAGAGAAAAATTTATAGCATTAAATGCATATATTACAAAGGAAGAAGATTTAAAATCAATAATCTAAGCTTCCACATTTGGGAATTATGAATAGAAAAAAAAATTTAAGCCTAAAGCAAACAAATAAGCAAAATTAGAGCAGAAGTCGATGAACATAAAAAATGGAAAATAAGAGAAAATAAAATCAGAAGCTAGTTCTTTAAAGAGATCAATATAATTGATAAACTTCTAGTCAGACTGAGAAAAATACAGAGAAGACCAAAATTATTAATATCAGAAATTTAAGATATGTCATCAGCAGGAATCCCTTCGATGTGAAAAGATAGTAAAATAATATGATGAATAACTCCGTGACCCCGAATTTGATAACTTATATGAAATGGGCCAATTACTTGCAAAATGCAAACTACCAAACTCATCAAAGACGAAATAGATAATCATTACAGGTCAATATGTATAAAAAATAAATCAGGAGTTAATAACCTTCCAAGAATGTCAGCAGAAGGATCAGATAGTTTCACTGGTGCATTGTATCACACATTTAAGACAGAAAATACAATAATTCTCTACAATCTCTTCTGGAAAATAGAAGCAGAGGGAACACTTTCTAATGCATTCTATGAGGCCAGCACTTCTCTGATACTAAAATCAGATAAATCATTATTAGTAAGAGTAAGAAAAACTATAGACTAATATCTCTCAGGAACAAATACACAAATCCTCAAAAAATATTTGTAACTTGAATCCAACAAGGTATAAAAGAATTGTATTCCACAACCAATTTATTTCAGATATGCAAAGCTGGTTCAACACTGGAAAACAATGCTATCTACCACATCAACAGGTAAAAAAATAAAATTTATATGACCATATCTGATATGGTTTGGATTTGTGTCCCTACTCAAATCACATGTCAAATTTGAGGAGGGGCCTGGTGGGAGGTGATTGGATCATGGGGGAAGATTTCCCCCATGCTTTTTTTGTTGTCAGAGTGAGTTCTCATGAGATCTGATGGTCTACGGGTATGTGGCACTTTCCCCTTTGCTCTCTCTCTCCCGTCACCACAGTAAGATGTGCTTTCTTCCCCTTTGCCTTCTGCTATGATTATAAGTTTCCTGAGGCCTCCCTACCATGCTTCCTGTTAAGCCTGCAGAACTGTGAGTCAATTAAACTTCTTTTCTTCATAAATTACCCAGTCTCAGGTAGTTCTTTATAGCAGTGTGAGAACAGACTAATACAGAAAATTGGTACGGGAGTGGGGCATTGCTATAAAGATACCTGAAAATGTGGAAGCGGCTTTGGAACTGGGTAAAGAGCAGAGGTTGGAACAGTTTGAAGGGCTCAGAAGAAGAAAGGAAGACGTGGGAAGGTTTGGAACTTCCTAGAGACTTGTTGAATGGTTTTGACCAAAATGCTGATAATGATATGAACAACGAAGTCCAGGTGGAGGTGGTCTCACATGGAGATGAAGAACTTGTTGGGAATTGGAGTAAAGGTCACTGTTGCTATGCTTTAGCAAAGAGACTGGTGGTATTTTGCCCCTTCCCTAGAGACCTGTGGAACTTTGAACTTGAGAGAGATGATTTAGGGTATCTGGTGGAAGAAATTTCTAAGCAGCAAAGCATTCAAGATGTGACCTGGCTGTTTCTAAACATGTACAGTCATATGCATGAACAAAGAGATTATTTGAAACTGGAACTTACATTTAAAAGGGAAACAGCACAAAAGTTTGTAAAATTTGCAGACTGACCATGTGATAGAAAAGAAAAACCCATTTTCTGGGGAGAAATTCAAGCCTGCTGCAGAAATTTGCATATGTAAAGAGGAGCCAAATGTTAATAGCCAAGAATGGAGTCTCCAAGGCATTTCAGAGACCTTTACAGCACCCCCTCCCATCACAGGCCTGGAGGCCTAGAAGGGAAAAATGATTTAGTGGGCCAGGCCCAGGGCCTAGCTTCTCTGTGCAGCCTTGGGACATGGAACCCTGCATCCCAGCCACTCCAGCACCAGCCATGCCTAAAAGGGGCCAAGGCGCAACTCAGGCAGTGGCTTCAGAAGGTGCAAACCCCAAGCCTTGGCAGCTTCCATATGGTGTTGAGCCTGCATGTGTGCCAAAGACAAGAATTGAGGTCTGAGAACATCTGCCTCGATTTCAGAGGACGTATGGAAACACCTGGTGTGCAGGCAGAATTCTGCTGCAGGGGTGGAGCCCTCATGGAGAATCTCCACTGGGGCAGTGCAGAAGGGAAATGTGGGGTTGGAGCCCTTACACAAAGTCCCCACTGAGGCACTGCCTAGTGGAGTTGTGAGAATAGGGCCACCATCCTCCAGATCCCAGAATGATAGCTCTACCAACAGCTTGCACTGTGCACCTATAAAAACCAAAGGCCCTCAACACCAGCCCATGAAAGCAGCCACAGAGGCTGTACCCTGCACAGCTCCTCCCCAGGGGTGGAACTGCCCAAGGCTTGGAGAACCCACCCCTTATGTCAGTGTACCCTGGATGTGAGACATGGAGTCCAAGGAGATTATTTTGGAGTTTCAAGATTTAATGACTGCCCTGCTGGGTTTTGGACTTGCATAAGGCCTGTAGCCCCTTTGTTTTGGCCAATATCTCCCATTTGGAATGGGAGCATTTACCCAATGCCTGTACCCTCATTGTATCTTGGAAGTAACTAATTATTTTATTTTATTTTTACAGGCTCATAGGTGGAAAGGACTTACCTTGTCTCAGATGAGACTTTGGACTTCGGACTTTTGAGTTAATGTTGAAATGAGTTAATACTGGGGGACTGTTGAGAAGGGATAATTGTATTTTGAAATGTGAAAAGGACATGAGATTTGGGAGGGGCCAGGGGCAGAATAATAGGGTTTGGATTTGTGTCCCTGCCCAAATCTCATGTCGAATTGGAGGAGGGGCCTGATGGTGATGGGATCATGGGGTCACCCTGGTAAGACGTGCCTGCTTCCCCTTCTCCTTCTGCCATGTTTTTAAGTTTCCTGAGGCCTCCCAGCCATGCTTTCTGTTAGGTCTGCAGAACTGTGAGTCAACGAAATCTCTTTTCTTCATAAATTACCCAGTCTAAGGTAGTTCTTTATAGCAGTGTGTGAATGAACTAATACAATATCTATTGATGCAGAAAAAGCACTAGACAAAGTCCAGTACCCATCCTTGATATAAACTTTCAGCAAATAGGAATAGAGGATAACAGCTTCAACTTGACAAGGAACATCTGCAAAAAACCTACAGCTAACATCATACTACTTCGTGGTAAGAAACTGGAAGCTTTCCCCCTAAGTTCAGGGACAAGGCAGGGAGATCTTTTCCCCCCACTCCCATTTAACATTATACTATAAGTCATAGCTAATACAATAAGACAAGAAAGGAAGTAAAAATTGTGTAGGTACAGAGGGAAGAAATAAATCTGTCTTTATTGATTGTGTTAGTTTCTTATTGCTGATGTAGCAAATTATGACAAAGTCCATGGTTTAAAATGATACATCCTTATTCTATTACATTTCTGGAGGCTAAAAGTCCAAAATTAGTCATATAGGGTGTCATGACTTGAATGTGTACCCCAAAGTTCATGTGTTGGAAACTTATTCCCCAATGCAACAATGCTGAGGTGGGAACTTTAGGAGGTGATTAGGTCATCAGGGTTCTTCCCTTATGAATGAATTAGTGCCATTATTGTGGCAGTGGGTTAGTTATTGTGGGAGTGGGTTCCTGATGAAATGATGAGTTTGGCTTCCCTCTTAGCTCTCTCACCATCTCTCACCTTTTGCCTTCTGCCATGGGTGACATAGCCAGAAGGCCCTTACCAGATACTGTCACCTTGATATTGTACTTCCAAGTCTCCAGAACTGTGAGAAATATAATTTCTTTTCTTTATAAATTACTCAGTTTGTGGTATTTTGTTATAGCAACCCAAAACAGACTAAGACATAGGACTAAAATCAAGGTGTTATTGGGGTTGGTCACTTGCAGAGTGGAGTCTGTTCCTTGCTTCTTTCTGCTTCTGGTGGCTGCTTGCATCCCCTGAAGTGTGGCCGCATCACTCCAATCACCATTTCTCTCATCACATTGCCTTCTCCTACCCATAATCAAAGTTACTTCTGCATCCCTTTTATAAGGACACTTGCAATTATATTTCAGGCACTCTGGACAATCTCAGACAATCTCCCCATCTTTTAACCACATGTGCAATATCCCTTTTGCCACGTAACATAATATTCACTGGTTCCAAATATTAGGACTTGGTTAGCTTTGGTAATTATTATTCAGTCTATTGCATACACAGATGACATGATTATTTATGTATAAAATCCTAAGAAATGGTCAAAACAAAGTCCTGGTATTGATGTGATTACAGCAAGATCACAGGATAAAAGGTCAATATTCAACAGTCATTTGTTTTCCATACACCAACTATGGACATTTGAAATTCAAAATTATACTCACAAAAACATTTACAATGGCACCAAAAATGACATTCTTAGGTAAACAGCTAACATAATATGTACAAAATCTATATGCAGGAAACTACTAAACTCTGATGACAGGAATCAAAGAATATTTAAATACATTGAGAGATTTATTTAGACAAAAGAGCCTTTGGGATCCAGGTGGGAGGTTGTGAAACCCTGGTCTGGCTTAAAACCTAGGAGGTTGAGGAAAGGGGAGGCCTGCATCTAGGTGGCAGGCTTGCTGACTGTTGGTGCAGGCAATAGGTCTGGAATCAGCCTCATCTCCTTGTGGGCTCGGCTATAAGCCTGTTTGGCCTTGATCCTGCTACCACAGTCATCTGCCAAAGGACTGGGGTGGAGTCACGGGCACTGCTCCCTCTGGTGATGGGCTCGCTGACCTCAGCCTGGGCAGTGAACTCTGAAGCAGTCCTGTAACTCAGCCATAGACCCTCTCAATTGTGTTTTGAGAGCATTCTTGCCCAAGCACAGTCTTGCCAGGAGATACATCTATCTGTGCATTCAGAGAAGGTCTACCAATCTCAGACCCACAGAAGGTCCTGTAATAGTTTTGTAACTTGGCTCTAGGCCTTCTCATCTGTGAGCTGAGAGCAGTTTTTCCCACTCAAAGACCCCCCAGGAGGCATGCTCAATCTTTCACACCCAGGGAGGCAGGCTTGTTTACCTTGATACCACAGTAGACTCCAAAATGGCCCTGTAACTCTTCTCCAGTCACTCTTACCTGTGCAGTCATGCCTGCCCAGGGACTTACCCAGTGACCCAGGAGGAGCTATCCCAAGGACCTAGAAGGATCCGCACCGGTATACACACCTGGTAACAACCAACTATGGACCCTGAGTAGACAGACACTTGTCCCATCACCAGCCCTACTGACCAAAGTCATGGAGGTATAATCCATGCCAGCTTGAGCACCTGGGAAGAGGCCCACTAAACATGGTCCCCACTGTGGGCCCAGCAGCAGTTGTAACTCAGCTCTGACTCCACTTGACTGCAATCTCAGAAGTAATCCCATTAGCCTAGGGACCCAACAGAAGGTCTTGACCTTCTGTCTAACAGCAGTAGCATACTTACTCTTCTCCAGAGCACATGGAACATTCTTTAAGATAGATCATATGCTGGGATATAAGACAATTCTTAGCAAATTTAAGAGTGTTGAAATCATATCAAGTATCTTTTCTGACCACAGTTGTATGAAATTAGAAATCAATAACACAAGAGATTTTGGGAAATTCACAAATATGTACAAATTAAACAGCATACTCCTGAAATCAATGGCTCAAATAAGAAATCAAAAGAGAAATTTTAAAGTATCTTGAGACAAGTAAAAATAGAAACACAACATACCAAAACGTATGGGATGCAGGAAACACAGTTTTAAGAACAAACGTTATAGCAATAAATGCCTATATTAAGAAATAAGAATAATCTCAAATATACAAGCTACTTAGCCCAAAAAAAAACCAGAAAAGCAGCACAAACTCAGTCCAAAGTCAGAAAATTAAAAAATATATATTAGAATAAAAAGAAATAAAATAGAGACTAGAAACACAATAGGAAATATCAACAAAACTAAAGTCGCGTTTTTGAAAAGATAAGCAAAGTTGAGAAAACTGTAGTTAGAGTAACCAAGAACAAAAAAGATGGCTCACAATAAAGAAAACGTAACGAAAGAGGAGGCATTACCACTGATACCACAGAAATACAAAGGATCATAAGAGACCACTATGAACAACTATACACCAACAAATTGAATAACCTAGAAGAAATGAATAAATTCCTAGAAATGTACAACCTGCAAAAAGTTAATCATGAAGAAAGAGAAAATATGAACAGAACAATAATGAGAAAGGAGATTAAACCTGTAATCTAAAACCTCAAAGAAAAGAAAATCTCAGGACTAGATGGCTTCAAGGTGAATTCTATCAAATATTTGAAGAAGAATTCATGGCAATTCTCCTCAAAATCTTCCAAAAAGTTGAAGAGTGGGAAGGACTTCCAAACTAATTTTATCAGGCCAGCATTATCTTTATACCAAAGCTAACTAAGAACACTACAAGAAAAGAACATTACAGGACAAAATCACTGATGAACATAGATGCAAAACTCCTCAACAAAATGTTAGCAAACCAAATTCAACAACACATTTAAAGGATCATACACTATAATCAAGTAGGATTTATCCTGGGATGCAAGGATGTTTCATAATGTGCAAAACAATAATTGCGATATACCACATTAACAGAATAAAGGATAACAATCATATGATCACCTCCATAGATTCAATAAAAGCATTTTACAAAATTCAACATAAATTCATGATACAAACTTCACAAATGACATATGGAAGAACTGTGCCTCAATACAAGAAAGGCCGTATATGACCATCCCACAGCTAACATCATACTCAGTGATGATAGCTGAAAGCTTTTCTTTTAAACTCAGGTACAAGAAAAAGATGCCCACTCTTGCCACTTCTGTTCAACATAGTACTGGAAGTCTTAGCCACAGCAATTAAGAGAGAAAAGTAAGTAAAAGGAACCCAAATTGGAAAGAAAGACATTAAATTATCTCGGTTTGAAGATGACATGATCTTAAATATTGAAAACTCTAAAGACTCCATGAAAAAACTGTTAGAACTAATAACTAAATTCAGTAAAGTTTCAGGATACAAAATCAACATACAAAAGTCAGTGGGTTTTCTATACATCAACAACCAACTATCCAAAAAATTAAGAAAACAGTCCCATTTACAATAGCATCAAAAACGATAAAATAGTTAGAAATGCATTTAATCATGCATGTGAAATATCTAGATATGTATGCTGAAATGTATAAAACACTGATGAAAGAAATTAAAGGAGACACACATAACTGGAAAGATAGCTCATGTTCACTAATTGAAAGAATTAACATCGCAAATAGATCCATACTACCCAAAGTGATATACAGATTTGATGTAATCCCTATCAAAAATCCAATGACATTTTTCACAGAAATAGAAGAAACAATCTTAAAATTTGTACAGAATCACAAAAGACTCTGAATAGGCAAAGCAATTTTGAGAAAGAGCAACAAAGCTGTTAAGAATTATACTTCCTGATTTCAAACTATATTGCCAAGGTACAGTAAATAAAAACAGTATGATACTAGCATAAAAACAGGCTCTTAGAACAGAATAGAGAGCCCCAAATTAAATGCCTTTGAGAAGAGTCCTAAGAATACACGATGGGTAAAGGATACTCTCTTTAATAAATGATGGGAAAACTCCATAACCACATGCAAAAGAATAAAATTGAACCATTATTTTATACCAAATGCAAAAGTTAACTTGAAATAGGATTAACAACTTATATGGGCCAGGCGCAGTGGCTCATGCCTGTAATCCCAGCATCTTGGGAGGCCGAGGCAGGTGGATAACCTGAGGTTGGGAGTTCGAGACTAGCCTGACCAACATGGTGAAACCCCATCTCTACTAAAAGAAAAAAAAAAATTAGCCAGGCGTGGTGGTGCATGCCTGTAATGCCTGTAATCCCAGCTACTCAGGAGGCTAAGGCAGGAGAATCACTTGAACCTAGGAGGCAGAGGTTGTGGTGAGCTGAGATCACACCATGGCACTCCAGCCTGGGCAACAAGAGGGAAACTTCATCTCAAAAAAAAAAAAAGAAAACTTACATGTAAGACTTGAAACCGTGAAATTCCTAGAAGAAAAAAGAGAGAAAAAGTTTCTGTACATTGGCCTTGGCAATATTTTTTGGATATAACACCAAAAGCACATAGCATGAAAGCAAAAATAAATAAATGGGAATACATCACACTAAAAATCTTGTGCACAGCAAAGAAAACAATCAACAAAACAAAAAGCCAAGCTACAGAATGGGAGCACATATTTAAAAACTATATATCTGATAATGGGTTAATATTCAAAATACTGAATACACATACAACTCAATAGCAAATTAATAATAATAATGATGATGATGATAGTAACGTATTGAAAAATGGGCAAATGCCCTGAACAGACATTTTTTCAAAGAAGACATACAACTGTCCAACGGGTGTATGAAAAGCTGCTCAACATCATGAATCATCAGGGAAATGCAAATCAGAACCACAGTGAGACTGAGACATCACCTCACACCTGTAAGGATGGCTATTATCCAAACGACAAGAACTAACAGGTGTTGGTGCGGATGTGGAGAAAAGAGAATCCTTGTACACTGTCAGTGGGTATATAAATTGATATAGTCAATTTATATAGAAAACATTGTTAGTTCTGCAAACTATTAAAAATAGAACTACTATATAATCCAACAATCCTATACCTAGGTACATATCCAAAGAAAAGGAAAAGGATAGTGAAAGGAAATAAAATATCTTGAAGTGCTATCTACACCCTCATGTTTATTGCAGCATTATTTACAATAGGGAAGACATGGAATAACCTGTGTCCATTGACAGATGAGTGGATCAAGAAACTATTGTCTATATACACATATATATGATGTGTATATATACATATATATATGATGTATATATACACACATATATACAATGTGTATATATACATATATATGATGTATATATACACATATATATGATGTATGTATATACATATATATGATGCATGTATATACATATATATGATGCATATATACACACATATATACAATGAAATATTATCCAGCCATAATAAAAGAAGAAAATCCTGCCATTTGTGACAACATAAGTGAATCTGGAAGACATTATGCTATGTGGAATAAGCCAGATACAGAAAGGCAAATACTGTATGATCTGACATATATGAATCTAAAAAGTGCAACTCATAGAAGCAAGGAGTGGAACAGTGCATGCCAGTGTCTGAGGGGTGGGAAAAATGGGGAGATGTTGATTTAAGGGTACACACTTTCAGTTATAAGATAAATAATTGCTGAGTATCTAATGTACCACATGATAATTATAGTTAATAATATTATTTACTAGAAATTTGCTAAGAAAAAGTATCTTAAGTGTTATCACAACACACACACACACAAAGGGTAACTCTGTGGTGATGGATAGGTTGATTAATTTGATGGTGGTAACCATTACACAATGAACGTGTATAGTATATGCACATCACATTGTACATCTTGAATGTATATTATTTTTATTTGTCAGTTATAGTTCAATATAGCTGAAAGAAAGAAAAAAAGTAACTCAAAATGAATCATAAACCTAAATGTAAATAGCAACACTTTGAAACTTTTAGAGGAAAATAGAGAAAATGTAGGTAACCTTGGGTTTGGCAATGAGTTTTTCAACACAACATCAAAAACATGGTGGATGAAAGAAAAATAGGTAAGTTAAACTGTATTAAAATTAAAAGCTTATGCTCTGCCAAAGACATTGCAAGATAATAAAAAAATAAGCCTCAGACTTGGAGAAAATATTTGCAAAACATATGTCTGATAAAGAACTTATATCTGAAGCTTACAAAGAACTTTTACAGTTAAACAATAAGAAAGCAAACAACTCAATTAAAATGAAGTTAAAAGATCTGAACAGAAAACTCAGCAAAGAAAATATACAAATGGCAACCTAAAATAATTTTTGAAATCATTTCCCAATTGGGAATTGCAAATTGAAACCACATACAGGTAGACATGCATTAGAGTAGATAAAATCTGCAAAAATTGCACCACCGCATGCTGGAGAGGATTCAGTATGGAGGAACTCTCTTTTGCTGCTGGTGTGAATGAAAAATGGTGCAGTCATTGGAAGATAGTTAGGCAGTTTCTTGCAAAGCTAAACATAGTCTTACTATGTGATTTAGCAATCAAGTTCCTAGTAAGAATTGATTTGAAAACTTATATTCACACCAAAAGCTGCATGAAAGTGTGTTTTAGCAGCTTCATTCATAAACTCCAAAACTGAAAGCAACCGAGGTAAACAAAGTAGAGAGCATCCACACAAGTGACTGTTATTCAGCCATAAAAAGAAATGAGCTATCAAGCCATGAAAAGACATGGTTAAATTTTAAATGCATATTACTAAGTGAAAGAAGCCAATTTGAAAAGGCTACATAGCATATGATTCCAGCTATATGAGGTTCAAAGAAATGCAAAACTATGGAGTCAGTAAAAATAGTTGTTGCCAGAGGGGATGGGAGGGGTAAATAGGTAAAGCGCAGGATTTCTATTTTTTATTTTTGTTGGTACATAGTAGGTATATATATTTATGAGGCGTATGAGATGTTTTGATACAGGCATGCAATAAATAACAATTGCATCATGGGGAATGGGGTATCCATCCCCTCAAGCATTTATCCTTTGTGTTACACACAATCCAATTATACTATTTTAGTTATTTTAAAATATACAATTGAATTATTGATTATAGTCACCCTGTTGTGCCATCGGATGCTAGGCTTTATTCATTTATTCTATTTTTTGTACCCATTAACTTTCACCACATCCCCTCCACCCCCCACCCCACTCCCCTTCCCAGCCTCTGGTAACCATCCTTCTACTCTCTATCTCCATGTGTTTTGATTTTTAGATCCCACAAATAAGTGAAAACATGTGATGCTTGTCTTTCTGAAAGCATACGTTTTTTGAGTGCTGAAACTATCCTAGTGGGCTTAAATCCCCACTCCTTAAGCACGAGGTGCTTCGTTCCAAAGAGTACGGTGTGGAAAGTGGGAAAAAAAGAGCAACTTTACGTGAAGAAGCCTGACAAAGACTCCCGGAGCCAGGTGACCAAGGTCCACATCAGCAGTGGTGGGCCATGCTGGCACCTGCCTAATCAGAGAAAGAATTCACATCAATTCCATTCGAGGGACATCTTACCAAGTATGACCGTTACTCCTCAAATTTATCAGTGTCATCAAAAACAAGAAAACTCAGAGAATCTGTCACCACCAAGAGAGCCTAAGGAGCCGTGAGAGGTAAGTGCAGTGTGGAGTTATGAACAGACACCTGGAACAGAAAAAGAAGTTCTACAAAAAATAAGGAAATCTGGGCCAGGGGCTGTGGCTCACGCCTGTAATCCCAGCACTTTGGGAGGTCGAGGCGGGCAGATCATCTGAGGTTGGGAGTTCGAGACCAGCCTGACCAACCTGGAGAAACTCCGTCTCTACTAAAAATACAAAATTAGCCGGGCGTGGTGGCGCATGCCTGTAATCCCAGCTACTCAGAAGGCTGAGGCAGGAGAATCGCTTGAACCCGGGAGGCAGAGGTTGCAGTGAGCCAAGATCGTGCCATTGCACTCCAGCCTGGGCAACAAGAGCGAAACTTTGTCTCTAAATAAATAAATGGAAATCTGAATAAACTGTGGTATTTACTTAATAACAATCATATATCACTATTGATCCATTAACTTTAAGAATGTAAGATGTTAATAATAGGGGGAAAAGGTTATGCTGGCATATGCAAGATCTCTGTAGCTTCGCAATTTTTCTGTAAATTTAACACCATTCTAAACAATAAAGTATTTTTTAAAACACTGCTTTATGCTATTTCTATCTCACCTAAAACAGATCCAAAGTCAAATCACACATAAGTACATCTCATTGGCAGAGCTAAGTCATGCCTGTAATCCAGGGAGCTTAGCAAATGTAGTTTCTGGCTTTCTGGTCTCTGCAGTCCAGGGAGACACAAGGGAAGAAGATTGGAAATGAGCCAGTCCACAAAATTGCCTATCAGTTGTCATATCAAAACTCATTTAACCATTGTCTTTTAGTAGCTATTTAAGCTCTATCCAATTTTTTCTCTGTTACCAACAGTGCATCTAAGTAAATGTTTCTAGAAGGTAAATCAGAGGTCACAGGATTTGTATATTTTAATAGATATCCCCTGAAAAACCATCAATATATATTCCCATGCAAACCACTGCCAACACAGGTAGTTAATACTGGTTCATAATTTTATGAATCCATTGGGTAAAAATATTCCGTATCATTGCTGCTTCAGTTAATGTTTCTCTGATTACAAATGAGGTGACTGTTCTGACCACTTGCATCCACCCTGCGGGACTGGACAGATAAGCTCATAGCGGTTTGTTGCTTACATATGCTCAAGGCCTCGGGGAGGAGGACATTGCATTTTACACAGGGCCATAAGGGACTTGCACATGGGAACACAGAGAGCCTGCAGGGACTCTAGTGAAAAGGAGGCAGGCTTTGAACTAACAAGATGCTGAGGTGCCTCCAGGCCCCATGTGAGGATGTGACTAGCTTTTTTGAATAATTTCATGAGCTGGCAGGGAAGCGAAGCCCATTAGAGTGAGGATCAGGTTAAGTGAAGCTAGTCCAGCTAATGGGGAACTGGCCAGGCAAGGAGCCTTTCCCACTGGCGGGGGTACACGTCTGGTGTGAGCATAAGGACTTAGGATTAGACCCTTGGGGCCTTGTGAGGGTCGAAGGCGTTAAGGTGGGAAATGAAATTTCAGGCCTTACGATACAGTGACCATTTTTTCATAGATTTATCGACTAATTGTATCTCTTTTTCTTTTAATTGTCTGCTTTGTTTTCTAACTAATTTTATTTATGTTATTTCTGGGAACATTTTGAAAAAAAATACTAGTTTTTAACTCTCTTTTTTTGGTTACACATATTAAAAACACTTTTGCCCAGTCTGTTGCTTTTTGCATTAAAAATGCCCTTTGACAACTTTAAATCTGATTTTGACACTGTGCTGCTTAGAGCACTTCACTGACTTTTGAAGCAAATTCTAAAAGTTTTCACCTGGCCGGGTGCCCTGCGTGAGCGGCCTCACTGGCTCTCACTTACACTCCCGCTGTCCCCACTTCTCGCCCGGTTCCTTCCAGCCTCCTCTGCTTCTTCGCATCCCTGCCTCTTCCACCTCTGGGCCTCCTGCTGGAGATTCTCTTCTCTTGGTGCATTCCTGTGAGAGACTGATGGGCATTGAGGGGTGAGCAGTAGCAGTTGTAAAATTGATCAAAGATGGTCATATACCCATTGTGGGGTTTATCACATTTCTTGTATTGTTCTTCACTGAGTTTCCAACAGCCATTTTATTGATTAATGCTAAAATGGAAACATATATCTATGGTTCAAAATTTAAAATATTTAAGAATCTGTAGTAAAAACAAAAACAAAAACACAGTGTTCTTCCCCCAGGGCTGGCGGCGGGGACAGTGAGAGGGTTAGAAGCGCCTGCTGAGAGCCGAGCTGTCCTTGTCTATCTTGCCCTCTCCTGGCCATTGTTTTGCTAAAAGCATTTTTAAGTTCCCTGGTTCTCTTTAATACGTAGTTTATGAGATTTTCCCAGGTCTATTTGTCAAGACCTCATGATATCATCTGTCTTGTTTTTCCTTTGTTGTCGCTTCATATGGATTTTTTATTTCTGCAGTGTTCTTCCTCCTTTCCATGTCCTAATGGACTCTGACAGCTCTGTTCACATCCTCTCCCACTGTCACACGGCCTCTTACTTGAATATCCTGACTCTTCCGTGACAGTTCTCGTTTCAGGTGCAGAAAATGCTGCCTGCTGCATAGAATCTTTGTGCAGAATGAAGCACTGTTGGTGAGAATCCCTCTCTGTGTCCTTGAAAACTGTCTTTCGTGATATCTGCCCCGATGTGCCTCTGTCTTTCCTTTTTTCCCTCCATCAGGTATTTGATGGATGCTGCCAATTGATTGTTTGATGGCAGTTGTTCTCCATGGGCCCAGGCCGTTCTTCTCAATATGACTCATCTTGGAGAAGGGACAGTCAGTAGCCCCATTGGCTGAGCTAGTACTGCCGAGGGGTGGGATGGGAGTGTGGCGGGATGCGGGATAGGGAAAGCCTATCTACGGCTTTCACGTGGGTGTGTTCTTGAGTGCCCTCCAACAAACCTGCTCTTTCTTCGCCCTGGGGACACTCCTTCACCTTCCCCAGACTTAGACTCTTAAGCCCTTCCAGCTTCTCCACTTTCCCGCTGTGTGCCTCTGGCCCTCTTCCATCAGGGAAAGCAGCTGGGGCCGGAACATACAAGTGAACACGGAACCTGCCCTTTTAAGAGCACGTGTATCCTGGCCCAAGGTCTCAGGTGGCAGAGATCAACTTTTTATTGGCTCTCGAGCTCCAGTCAAGATGTTTTGAGAATATAGCCATTTTCTTGTTATATATAAATTGGATTTTTTGCCCTCTATTTTTTATTGTTGATTTGTGTGCATATACATGAGTGTATAAATATGTGTGTATATACACATATGTGTATACATTCATATACATATACACAAACAAATCAACAACAAAAAATATATATGCACATGTGTGCATATATATATATTTTATATATATATATATACACACACATACCTAGTAATACATATATATTTGTGGGTTTTGAGAGATGAGATTAAGGAAAATCATCTTTTTTTTTTTTTTTTTTTTTTGAAACAGAGTCTCGCTGTCGCCCAGGCTGGAGTGCAGTGGCGCAATCTCGGCTCACTGCAGTCTCCGCCCCCTGGGGTTCACGTCATTCTCCTGCCTCAGCCTCCCAAGTAGCTGGGACTACAGGCGCCTGCCACCTCGCCCGGCTAATTTTTTGTATTTTTAGTAGAGACGGGGTTTCACCGTGTTAGCCAGGATGGTCTCGATCTCCTGACCTCGTGATCCGCCCGCCTCGGCCTCCCAAAGTGCTGGGATTACAGGCGTGAGCCACCGCGCCCGGCCGGAAAATCATCTTTAAACAGAAATCAATTTATACTTTTTCTGAGTAAATTTCTATCCTCATCTTTGAATTTCCCTTACATAATAATGTAGCTGACATAAGATTAAAATGAATCAAAACCACTAAAGTAGTTTTACATACTTTCAAAAAGAGGATGTAGAGCTTTAATATCATCATTTTTTGGAAGAACCTAGGGTCCTTAGCTCAGCATTTATTATCTGTTAGGAACCTGATGAAACCCACTGAGACCTTTCAAATTGGTTCTTCCCCATGTTTTTCTGAGGCTATCTAAATGGGCAAGGAGATAATACAGATAGAAGGAAGTTGCTGTATTGGGAAGGAAACAGGAATTGGAGGCCAGGAAAGGAGCTTAGCTACAGCAGAGACAAGAGGATGATCAAATTCGGTGTTTTTCTATGACCAAGTTAAGAATTGCATTGATGATCTGCAACACTTTTTTTTTCTTTTTCTGTTTTAACACAACAATGTGGACGGAGAATCTTTTCTGTCATGATTATAATCGTTAATATAATTGCTGTGACTATTCAACCTTCAGAAAGCTGGTTTCCATCCAGCCCTGGCTCTGGGGCTCACAGGCTCTGTTGCCACATAAGGAAGCAGCACTGGGCAAGTTCCTGGACCACTTGCACCAGCACCATAGGGAGCATGAATCCACTGGTGATTTGTGGTTGTTCATTTATTTCGTATAATGAGAACAAACTCCCTGCCACATTTAAATAAAAGCCTAATTACATCTCCATTGCTACAGATGCTATTACTACCTTTCTGACTGGCTATAAAAGTTAATGAGTTTTTTATTGCTTTGCAGAGTTTCAAAATAAAATGCAAAGTTTAGAGATAGATGCTATATAAGGTGAGGTCCACTCTGCTTTGCTCTTTTTGAGGGAACCTAGAACCTTAATTTAATGCTTTTCATTTTAGAATATGGCCTGCTTTGCATTATTTCCCATTTTTTTGGACATAAGTATGGCACAGGGATTAAATATAACTAAGCACCATTGAAGAAAATTGCATCAAATCAGCTGAAGATAAGTGAAGAATGTTTTTATGAGCTACACGTTTTTGAAAGAGATACACAAGGCTGACAACCTAATAAAAGTTTAATAATGTGTGCTCACCCATTTGCTATGCTTTCAAGGTCCTCTGCAACACTGATGTGCTTGGGAACTTCCAGGATGGATTTCCAACTGTTAGTCACCAACTAGCAGAGGTTAGTTGTATTGTGCTGCCAGTCTCATATATGTAAACCTGAATTTGTTTTTATTCCTTCCTGCATTGCTTGATTTTTAAAAATTCAGTTACTCTAGGAAAAGAAAAGCCAAAATAAGCCAGAAATTTATATTTTTTCTTCATATTTCAAGAATCATTCTAAAAGCAAGTGATAAAGTTAACTAATTTCTCTCTGCATTTAGTACAGTTACTTTATCTTCCCAAAGAGGAAACCAAGGCCTGGAATCAATGCCATGTAGGCACGTGCAGGTCTGTGTGCTACACTGTGGTGGCACCGCACAGGGCACCTGGAAGCATGGATTTGAGCCTGGTCTGCACAGAAGCCTGCTTTTCAAGAGTTAAACGAGGCAAAATAACTTGGCACAATGCATTTCACATGCAGTGCTTACTGAATGCCATGAAAAAGCTGGCACTATGCCAGGGATGGAAGTTCAGGGGCAAAGACATTGTCCCATCTTCCAGGGACTCTCCCTCCACAGCTGGGGCTTAGGAATCATAATGCAACCAGCAAGTCAACTTCCAGGATTAAGGTTAGAAGAGACACCTAAGTTGAGGAACCACCTGGAGGTCTTCCTGGAGGCTAAGGAGTTGGCTAAGGTTGTAGGCTGAGCTAGTAGTGGTGGGCAGGTGAGTATGGAGGAGCCGAGGCTGCAGGCTGGTGAGCCCCGTTAGCAGAGGCTGCAGGGCCAGCACTGCTGACTATGGATCTGGTGCCAGACCTTGTCTGCGTGGCAGCTGGACCAATGGGCAGGGAGCAGGTGGGGCATGCGTTCTTCGGGCTTCAATCATGTGCCTCAGGGAATGGGGAGACATGGAGGATTTCAAGTGGAGGAATAGTGTATTAGATTTCCTTTTCATAACAGTCACCCTAACTGCCATTTGTACAAGTGTTGATATGTTTCAAAACTAAATGCTGGATACCTATGAGGAGTAAGCCAGACCAGACTTTACAAACTTCAAGACTCAGGAGAGGCAGGAAGAGAAAGTGGTAGTTGATAAGGAACAAACTGGAGATGAGAAATAGGAGTGTGTAGGTCACCCCTCTGCCCCGTTTTTGTCAGGGACAGTGCACCTATCAAGTACCAACCACATTCTGGATCCAACACCCTTTCATTTTGCAATCAGGGATGGGTCAGAGTGTGTTTCCTTGGTCATCTCCATGTTTACCTCCCCACCACCACCTGTGCTTAGACTCAACTGTGCAGAACTGGTAGAAAGATGAACTTATCCTCAGTGAGAAATCCCGGAGCTCACACCTTAAAGCTGCACTCTTGCCAACCCCACACCTACCACCAGAACCTGGAGACCTTCCTTCAAGTGCAACAGTGATTTATTACTCGAATGTTTACTGAAGATGCACACAGACAGGTTCTAAACGATGCTCCTGCTTCGAGGCTATTCTTCCCAATAAAAATGCAGGGTTTTCTCTTGACCTTCCTGAGTGATTGGATCAAAAGACATTTTATATCATTGCCAGAAAATCTGGATTCAAAAACTGTTGAGTGTGTGGGTTGGGGTCAGTGCCTTTCCTTTCTTTTTTAAAAATTATTTTTAAGTTGTGAATACACATAAAAACTCATCATCTTAGTCATTTCTAAGTATATAGTCCAGTGGCATTAAATGCATTCACCTTTTTGTGCAACTATCACCACCAACCATCTATAAAACTTTCATCTTCTTAAAATGAAATTTTGTACCTATTAAATGCAAACATGCTATCCCCAACTCCTTATCCCCTGGCAACCACCATTCTATTTTCTGTCTCCATGAGACTGAGCACTCCAGACACCTCATGTAAGTGGAATCACACAGTGTCTGTTCTTTTGTGCCTGGCTTATTTCACTCAGCATAATGTCCTCGAGGTTCATCCATGTTCTGGCGTATAGAAGATGTCCTTCCTTTCCGAGGTTGGGTAATGTTTCATTATACACATGGACCACATTTTGCTTATCCATTCATCCACACAAGGACACCTGGGTGACTTCACTTTTTGGCTATTGTGAATAACGCCACTATGAACATGGAGTCCCCTGTATTTCTAATCATAGGTATTGGTCTTCGGTTTGGGGACTCATGAAATTCCACTCCTACTTCTCTGTTCTTCTACTGCTCCTCCACATCTTTGTTCTTACCATGAGTGGTATTTTGTTTCTAATAAATGAAAAAGTATGATAGATATGATACTTCATTTAATGAAATGATCAACACAAACCTCGGGCAAATCACTTAATTTCTTCACAATGTGGCCTTCTCATCTGTAAAACAGTGATGTCATTCTTTACCTCTTTGGCTTATGAGGAAGATAAAATGAGACCATGTCTGTAAAGAGCTTAGCACTTAGACTGTCACGTAGCATCTGCCCAGCAAGTTGAGGTTGGTACTTGGTTCCCCACAGTGGGGAGCAGGGATTGAGGCAGAACTCATTCATATGGGCATAGGGAACAGATAGAGCCACAAGCTCAGAGCCAGAGGGACTGTGAGGGCAGGTGCACCCTTAAAGATCTTTAGGAGAAAAGATTTCCAGCCTTTGTCACTGGGCACTGGAGTTCCCTGATAAATTCAATTGGCAACCAGTAGGGTTTTCAGGGTAGTAGTGCAAGACAGAACCCCCCAAGCCTGGTAAACAAGGGCTCACAATTCTTCAGCTCCTCTGGCCCTGTTACCCTTCCTGGGATGGTTTGAGTAACACAGCCCCAGAAGGGGAATCCACCCTGTGATGGGCTGAATTGCATCCCCCTCACTTTCATGTTAAATCCTAATCCCTAATACCTCAGAGCATGATCTCATCTGGAGGCAGGATTTCAAGTGAGGTCATTAGGATGGACCCTAACCCAATGACTGGTGTCCTTATAAAAAGGGAAATTAATAAGGTCATTAGGGTGGGCCTTAATCCAATATGACCTGGTGTCCTTATAAAAAGGGGAAATTTGGACACAGAGATGTACATACATACAGGGAAGATGATCTGAAGAGACAGAGGGAGAAGGCAGCTGTACTAGTCTGTTTTGTGTTGCTATAAAGGAATACCTGAGACTAGGTAATTTACAAATAAAAGAGGTTTATTTTGGCTCATTGTTCTGCACACTGTACAAGAAACATAGTGCTGGCATCTGCCTCTGGTGAGCCCTCAGGAAGCTTTTACTCATGGTGGAAGGTGAAGGGGGAGCAGGCATGTCACATGGTGAGTGAAAGAGTAAGAGAGAGAGGGAGGAGGCACCAGGCTCCTTTAAACAACCAGCTCCTGCATGAACTCACAGAGAAAGAACTCACTCATCACCACAGGGAGGGCACCAAGCCATTCCATGAGGGATCCGCCCCCATGACCCAAACACCTCCCTCCAGGCCCCACCTCCAACATTGGGGATCACATTTCAACATGGGATTTGGAGGGAAAAAATAACAAAACTATAGCTCAGCCATCTACAAGCCAAGGAGAGAGGCCAGGAACAGATCTTTCCCTCACAGCCCTCAGAAGAACCAACCCTGCCACCACCTTGATTTTGGACTTCCTGCTTCCAGAACTGTGAGACCATACATTTCTGTTGGTCAAGCCACACTCACTATACAGTATTTTGTTATGACAGCCCCAGGAAACTAATGCACACCTCTACAACCCTTTCAGGGACAATGGAAGATGCTGGTGAGAGCCCCTCCAAGCCAGTGGAACCCAAGGAAGCAGAGTGACTGACAAAACAAACTTCTGGCCTTCAAGGACAATTATAAAGTCTGTATAAGCTTCTAAAGTGTGGCTACATTGCATATTAGTAAATATCCTTTTTTTGGCCAAAGTATTTTATTTTACTATTATACTATATGTAATTTGCAAATCGTTTCACAAGAAATTTTTAAAGCAAAGTTATAAAAATGTATATAAAAAAGTACAGAGTTGACAGGAAAATTACTTTTTTTAATAGTTCAAATAAAATCTTTTTGTTTTTCTTATGCTGGCTGAAAATTGTATAATCTATTCTTCCATAGATAGTTGCAATATTACATTTTAATGAGCAGTCTCATAGTTAATTCATTTATTAAAAACAGGTTCACCCTTTGGATGATGAGAATCAATTGCTCGATTTTAAAGAGAACGATAATAAAATTTGTCATATACGACATGAAGTCATAAATAGCTCTTCAAAATTCAGATGTGTTCAGCCTTGTTTCTCTATTAAATTCTTCACAGTTCTAAGTTAAGGAAGTGTCTTTTACTTTAGCCCGACTTCAGAGCTAAAGTCTGGTTTAACTTCAGAGATCCAGAAGTTGTGGCTGTGAGGCATTTTATGGCAGCAGCTGGTCTGATGACAGTGGCTGCTCCCTGGCTATGCTTTTCAACCCCCATAATCACAGAGAGGCATTTTGCTTAAATCTTCAGGTTTTTGCTGTAGCATTGTCATAAAATATTCTCTAGCTTTGTCCACATGCAGCCCATGGAGGTCTGAGACATTTGGTGACAACAGGGAGGCGTGATGAGCTTTGCACGTCTACTTATGGGGACTGACCTGGTGGGCATGCCCTCCACTTCTGTAGGTGCATGAGGGCATCTCCTCTGCAACCATCCAATGCCTAGAAATGGTCCACTTTTTTTTTTTTTTTTTAAGACAGAGTCTTGCTCTGTTGCCAAGGCTAGAGGGCAGTGGCGCAATCTTGGCTCACTGCAACCTCTGTCCCTAGGTTCAGGCGATTCTCCTGCCTCAGCCTCCTAAGTAGCTGGGACTACAGGTGCCCACCACCACGCCCCACTAATTTTTGTATTTTTAGTGGAGACAGGGTTTCACTATGTTGGCCAGGCTAATCGCAAACTCCTGACCTCAGGTGATCCGCCTGCTTCGGCCTCCCAAAGTGCTGGGATTACAGGCATGAGCCACCACGACCGGGCCCACTTCGTATGTCTTGAGTCTCTTTCTTTGCCTTTTCTCTTTAGCCTTCCATTCAGCAGAAGTGACATTTGCATTTTCATGAAAAACTCCTGTGCTATAACTTTTTGTAAACGATTCCTTTCAAGAACACAGTTTTAAAATTGCACTGTATGTTCTAAGAAATAACTGTGGTCCTTGAAAGTGTACACCTCCAAATTTTGGTTAATGGCGAGGAGTAACTTGGAGAGCTGCTGCTTCTTCAGTCTGATGACACATTCTATTACAAAGATAAGTGACTTCCTTCTTAAGTCGTGATTTTTCCTGTAAGGCAATTTCTTCTGTTAGCTATTTCTGTGAGTGACACTTTTTTTTTTTTTTTTTTTTTGAGGCGGAGTCTCACTCTATCGCTCAGGCTGGAGTGGTGTGGTGCGATCTCGGCTCACTGCAAGCTCCGCCTCCCGCGTTCACACCATTCTCCTGCCTCAGCCTCCCGAGTAGCTGGGACTACAGGCGCCCGCCACCATGCCCAGCTACTTTTTTGTATTTTTAGTAGAGACGGGGTTTCACCGTGTTAGCCAGGATGGTCTCGATCTCCTGACCTAGTGATCCGCCCGCCTCAGCCTCCCAAAGTGCTGGGATTACAGGCGTGAGCCACCGCGCCCGGCGTGAGTGACACTTTTAAAAACTTGACTATTCCGATGATCCAATTAGACAGAGTAACACTTCGGGTGCTGCTAAAGTCTGCAGTAATTTCTTGTTCTCTGAGATGAATTTTGTTCAGTATGATCAAGTCCAACATGCCCAACCAGGGGAGGGCCTCCCGTAAGCTTGCCATAGGACACAGCTTGTTTTTGTTACTTCTAAACACATGTGCAGGACAAGAGATTGGCAAAGGACGGGTATATTAGTAAATATATTTATATTATTTTTTCTAGAAATCATTTCGCCTTTTAGAATTGTGACAAAATCATTCTTATTAAATGTAAGTCAACAAATAAAGCTGGATAAATAAAATTGTAAAGTGTGACTCCACTCACCATGGTGGAGCTCCAGGACACCTATGCGATCCCTCCACTTAAGAGAATTCGGCTGCTGCTTTAAAAAATAAAAACTGTTTTTAAAACTCAATCAATCAGCATTGCATTATTTAACTGAGAGAGTAAAAATCTCACTGTTTCGAGGTTTTTCCCCTCAGAAACAATCATTCACATTAAGTTTCATCACTAATGGTATAATTTGCCTAATCTGATATTAATCTAAAAACTTAGAGGAAAACAAAATCAGCAACGTGTTAACTGGTGAAAGTTCTCTCTCAAAATCAAAATTCAATAGAATTATTTCATGTAACATGGTTTATTTTGTTATAGAAAGTAAAGGTGACAAAAGTAAAGGTGACAAAATGAGCACAAAGGGAGTTCTTCATAAAAAGAAACCTGCCAAGAATTCTTGCAATTTCTCATAAGTCACTTTTGTCAGGTTCAAATCTACATGAACTAGACTATCCTCAACTGTTAGAGACCCTAAAATCCATTCCAACATGGCCAAATATCATGTGTTTCTTAATGATAGGAATATGTTCTGAAAAATGCGTTGTTAGGTAATTTCATCACTGTGCGAACATCACTAAGTACACTTACACAAACCTAGATGGCATAACCTACTACACGCCTGGGCTCTGTGGTACAGCCTACTGCTCCTGGGCTACAAACCTGCACAGCATGTAACTGTACTGAATACTGTAGGCAACTGTAACACAACGGTAAGTATGTTTGTATCTAAACATGTCTAAACATACAAAGAGTGCAGTAAAAAATACAGTATAAAAGACACACATGGTACACCTGTTTAGGGCAGGTACCACTAATGGAGCTTGCAGGACTGGAGGTGGCGTTGGGTGAGTCAGTGAGTGAGTGGTGAGTGAATGTGAAGGCTAGGACATTACGGTACACTACCGTAGACTTTATAAATACTGTGCACTTAGGCAACACTAAATTTATAAGAAAATATATTTTTCCTCAGTAATAAATTAACCTTGGCTTATTGTAACTTTTTTACCCTATGAGCGTTTTAGTATTTTTTTGTTTTTGTTTTTTACTTTTTGACTACTGTGTAATAATACTTAGTTTAAAACACAGATTGTCCAGCTATAAAAAAAATTCTTTCTTTATATTCTTATCCTATAAGCTTTTTTAATTTAATTTTTACTCTTTCGACTTTTTAAACTTTTTTGTTAAAAATTAAAACATGAGCCCACACATTAGCCGAGGCCTACCCAGGGTCAGGAGCATCAGTGTCACTGTCTTCCACCTCCACAACTTGTCCCACTGGAAGGTCTTCAGGGGCAGTAACACGCATGGAGCTGTCACTTCCTAAGATAACAGTGCCTTCTTCTGGAATAACTCCTGACAACCTGCCTGAGGCTGTTTTACAGTTAACCTTTTTTATAAGTAGAAACATACATTCTAAAATAACAATAAAACCTATGGTATAGTAAATACATAAACCAGCAACATAGTTATTGCCATTATCAAGCATTAATACTGTACATAATTCTACGTGCTACCGTTTTATAAGACTGGTAGTGCAATAGGTTTATTTTCACAGCATCACCGCAAACATGGGAGGAAAACACTGCACTATGTTACGATGGCTACAACTTCAAGAGGCTATAGGAATTTTTCAGCTCTGTTATAATCCATGGGATCACTGTCGTATACGCGGTTTGTCACTGACTGAAACATTATTACACAGTGTCTGACTGTAATTCATTGATCTGGAAAGCCAGTTCAGCAGGTGTTGGCACCTCCAGACAGTGGATGGTAAGAGATTTGATCATCCCTGGCATGGCAGTCAACATATCAGCCTAATAATTGTCACTGACTCTGGCTGACAAAGTACCGCATGATATTAGAATTTTCTCCATTTCCTGTTCATCGTCATTCATAAATTCTTCTGTGTTTATCTAAAATTTCACATAATCTGGCCCGGCGCAGTGGCTCATACCTGTAATCCCAGCACTTTGGGAGGCCGAGGCATACGAATCACCTGAGGTCAGGAGTTCGAGACCAGCCTGCCCAACATGGTGAAACCCTGTCTCTACTAAAAATATAAAAATTAGCCGGGCTTGGTGGTGCATGCCTGTAGTCCCAGCTACTTGGGAGGCTGAGGAAGGAGAATCGCTTGAACCCAGAAGGCAGAGGTTGCAGTGAGGCGTGATCGTGCTACTGCACTCCAGCCTGGGCAACAGAGACTCAGTCTCAAATAACATAAAATAAATAAAATAAATAAAATAAAATAAAATAAAATAATTTAAACAATAAAATAAAATAAAATAATTTAAACAATAAAATAAAATAAAATAATTTAAACAATAAAATAAAATTTCACATAATCCTTTGGAAATCTTTCATTTTTTTCTTTCTTTTTTTATTATACTTTAAATTTTAGGGTACATGTGCACAATGTGCAGGTTACATATGTATACATGTGCCATGCTGGTGTGCTGCACCCATTAACTCGTCATTTAGCATTAGGTATATCAACACAATTAATTTCCTCATTTAATTCAAGATGTGAAGAGCTCAACACAGAGTTCAAAATATCACACAGATTCAAAGAAGAATGTATACTGTGTCCAATGTCTGCAGCTACTGGGTTCTTCTCCATTCCATTCATGTCTTTAGGGGTTGTAGCGTTTAGATACCTAGAAAAGACTACTTGATGCTATGTAAGCCTAAAAGTTCTGCCTAACTATTAGGGAGCAGTTCGTTAGTATTCTTTGGGTCTACAACAGCATCAGGAAATACACTTGCTATTAATTCAGTTTTTTTTGTTGTTGTTTTTATTTGTTTGTTTGTTTGAGGCAGAGTCTCCCTCTGTCCCCCAGGCTGGAGTGCAACGGCCCGATCTCGGCTCACTGCAAGCTCCACCTCCTGGGTTCATGCCATTCTCCAGCCTTAGCCTCCCGAGTAGCTGGGACTACAGGCGCCCGCCACCACGCCTGGCTAATTTTTTGTACTTTTAGTAGAAACGGGGTTTCACCGTGTTAGCCAGGATGGTCTCGATCTCCTGACCTTGTGATCTGCCCGCCTCAGCCTCCCAAAGTGCTGGGATTACAGGCGTGAGCCACCGCGCCCAGCCTATTAATTCAGTTTTTTCAGAAGTTACAGCTTTTATTTCTGCTTGTTCTGAGCTTTCCCTTTCTGCATCTTTGGTAGGCTCTGCACACATTATTGTTACTCATTCAAAACTGAATGTGAAGTTAAGGGATGTAAAGTGAATACAGGAAAAATTTCCTAAATTTTTATTATTCAAATTTGCATTTTGTGTAGAAATACATATAATACTTATAAACTCACTTGAGTCACAAAGTATTAACATCTCGTTAAGGCAAAATGAATCTATTTGGTCCTCGGGAAGAAAGTTCAATTTCTTTTCTTTCTTTTTTTTTTTTTTTTTTTTTTTTTTTTTTGAGACGGAGTCCCGCTCTTTCACCCAGGCCGGAGTGCAGTGGCGCCATCTCGGCTCACTGCAAGCTCCGCCTCCCGGGTTCACGCCATTCTCCTGCCTCAGCCTCCCAAGTAGCTGGGACTACAGGCGCCTGCCACCACGCCCGGCTAATTTGTTGTATTTTTCAGTAGAGACGGGGTTTCACCGTGTTCGCCAGGATGGTCTCGATCTCCTGACCTCGTGATCTGCCCGCCTCGGCCTCCCAAAGTGCTGGGATTACAGGCGTGAGCCACGGCGCCCGGCCAGGAAGTTCAATTTCTTAAAAGCATTCTCGGTTAAGGAATCCAAATCTTCGATTCGCTACATGTCCAAAAGTGAATCCATGTTTGAAGCTTCACTCCCTTCTTAAGAAAGCCACTTTTCCATGATCTCACTTCCTGATGCACTCTCCTGACTCTCAGAACCAATTCATCTGCCCGAGAAGATTCTTATTTCAGATAATCTTAATAGACAATCTACTGCATTTCAACTGAGAGGATTGCTGTGCGGACTAAACGAGATAATCCCTAAAAGCCTGCTGTGTAAGAAGACTGGCACTTAGTAAGCACCCAACTACGTTCCCTTTGAAGTCACATTCGGAGCGCATCCAGTACACAACATCCAGTCCAGGTAGAAAACGTCTCTGAGACACTGGGGAAAAGCTCTTTCTGATCTATTTTTGTCTCTTCCATACTTTTTCTTTCAGAAGGAAGATACTGTCAATATGACATTTCACCACTAAAAAATGTCCATTATATATCTCCTTAAAATGGAAATATCCTGCTATAAAATGACACCCCCATAATCAAAGCGAAGAAAATTAAACTAATCCCCACTATCATCTCGTACACAGTCCATATTCAAATTTCTCCAAGTGCTTCAAAAATGACTTTTATAATTTTATTAAAACAAGAATACAGTCTACATTCGCATATTACATTTTGTTATTGCGTCTCTTCAATAAAGAAAGCCCTCTCCTTTTTTCTTTTGTCGTGGTATTGATTTATTGAGGGAACTGAGCTTGTGGAATATTTTGTATTCTGGATTCATGGTTGAATCTTCTATTTTCCATATTTCATACAACTGAGAAACTAGATTTAAAAGCTTGTTTAGATTTGTACTAAATATTTTTGGCAAGAATACGGCTTCTGTGTATTTCATACCACCTTGCACCAAGAGGCACATAATATTAGGAAGTTTCTGTTAGTGATGTTAATTGTATTGCATAGCTAAATGTGTAACGGTGCTCCGTTATCTAAGGTATGTTTACCCTTTCCAGTCCGCAAGCACTCCATGGGGTGATGTTATGAGACTGCAGGAATATCGTGTTCCTTATTACCCTGCCTTTACTGCTTTTCAGCATCTCTTGATGATCCTTATCTGAATCCCTTATTTTACTAGTTTACACTATGGTGATTTTTCTATTTTGTTCATTCCTTCTACATTTATTTACTGATTTTCCTCTTTCCCCCCTCATAATGACTACTGAAATGCTTCTATTAAAATATCAATTATCAAAATATTTCAACCCCACACTTCTCCACCAAGGCTGGCTTTGCTGTACCTTAAGCCTGAGTTTATGGGGGTAATCCAGCCCCTTGAGCAGGGCTCCTTCACCTGAGACCCCAGCTAGGCTGCTCAGTTCAGGTTCTGGAGACAACTTCTGAGTCATCTCCAAATTTTAGTGGTAGACTAAGCACCAGTATATGAGGTATTTATACATTTTTTACTCTTTATTTTACGATAATTATAGATTCACATGCAGTTCTAAGAAATAATCACATCCCATAAACTCTTCCCCCAATTTCACTCAGTGGTAACATATTGCATGACAAGAGTACAGTATCAAAAGTGGGACACTGGCATTGATGCAATCCATTGCCTCTATTCAAATTTCACCTGCTTTACATGCACTCATTTGTCTGTGTGTGGATATTTATTTCTATGAAATTTTACCTTACTTATAGATTTGTGTGACCACCGCCACAGTCAAGATACAAACAGACCCATCAACAATTCTTTACTAACCTTCATAGTCACAGCCTCTCCCTGTATCTTGAGCCCTTGGCAATCATTAATCTGTCTTCCAACTCTATAATTTTGTCATTTCGAGAGTGCTATATTAATGGAATCATATCACATGTAACTTCTTACGATTGGCTTTATTTTTCTTTTTTTTGGTGGGCACAAATTCCTGGAGTTCACCAAAGTTGTTAAGCATATTAATAGTTTGTTCCTTTTTATTTCTGAGTGTTCCATATGCATGTACCACAGTTGTACCATTTGCCCACTGAGGGACATTTGAGCTGTTTCCAGTTTTCAATTATTATAAACAAAACTGCTGTGAATATTCACATACTGGTTTTTTGTGAACATAAGTTTTCATTTCTCTGGGATAAATGCCCAAGAGTGTAATTCCTGGGTTGTATAATAAGTATACTGTAAGTGTTTTGTAAGAAGTGTTTCTGCTGAACCTTTCCCAGAGAGGCTGTACATACTATTGTCCCATTTTATATTTCCACCAAAAATCTATGAGTTATCCAGTTATGTGGCATTTTTGCCAGGATTTGGTGTCATCACTGTTAGTTTGCCTGTTTGTTTTAGCCATTTTGACAGGTGTATAGTGATATTTCACTGGGATTTTAATGTGCATTTCTCTAACGGCTAATGATATTGCACGTCTTTTCATATGTTCATCATCTGTCTGTCCTACTTAGTGAAATATATTTTGCTAATTTCTCATTGGATTGATTTTTAACTGTTGAGTGTTAAGTGTTCTATATACATTATAGATACAAGTCATTGTTTAGATACGTGGTTTATAAATATTTTCTCCCAGGTTTTTATTCTTTTCACATAGGCTTTCACAGAGCAAAAGTTTTGGTGAAGTCCTATTATCAATTTTTTCTTCCCCTTTCTAGATCATGATTTCTGTGCCAAGTCTAAGAAGTTTTTGCCTAGCCATATATCGTGGAAGATTTTCATTTGTCTTTTTAAAAAGGTTTTCTAATTTATGTTTTGCATTTGTGTGTGTGATGCACTTTGAGTTAGTCTTTTGTGTAGGCTGTGATGTTTAGGACAATGTTCGTTTTTTGGCTTATGAATGCCAAATTGTTCCAGCGTCACTTGTTAAAAAGACGATCCTTCCTCCATTAAATTGCTTTATCATCTCTGTTGAAATGAATTCCTTTATTAGTCAGTTGGGCTTATTTGTGTGGGTTTATTTTTGGGTTCTTTATCCTGTTCCATCTATCTGTGTATCTATTATTTGCTAATAAACATTGTCTTGATTATTGTAGCTACATAATATCCCTTATTGTGTATCTAATAAAATATGCATACAATTGACCCTTGAACAACATGGGTTTGAACTGTGCAAATCTATTTATATGTGGATTTTCTTCTGCCACCCCGAGACAGCAAGACCAAACCCTTCCCTTCCTCTTCCTCCTCAGCTCACTCAACATGGAGACAATGATAATGAAGGCCTTTATGATGACTCACTTCCACTTAATGAATAGTAAATATATTTTATCTTCCTTACGATTTTCCTAATAACATTTTCTTTTCTCTAGCTTATTTTATTGTAAGAATACAGTACATAATACATATAACATACAAAGATTTTTTCACTCACCTGTTTGTGTGATCAGTAGGTCTTCCACTCAACAGGGTATTAGTAGTTAAGCTTTGGGGAGTCAAAAGTCGTATGTGGATTTTTGACTGCACAAAAATCCACATATATGTCGGGGAGGGGAGCTCCTGATGCTCACATTGTTCAAGCGTCAACTTCATGTACAGTTATCCCTCGATATCAATGGGGCAGAGTTCCAGAACCTCCCACTGACAATCAGAATCCCCAGGTGTTCAAGTCTCTGATATAAAATGGCATAGTATTAGCATATAACTTATGCGCCTCCTCCCATATACTTTAAATCATCTCTATTATTAGTTATATTGCCTAGTACCATGTAAACACTATGTAAATAATTATTATACTTATACAGTATTATTTGCAATAATGATAAAAGTCTGTATATGTTCAATACGAACTCCATTTTTTTAAAATATTTTTGATTCATGATAGGTTGGATCCACAGATGCAGAACCTATGGATACACAAGATGAAATATATTTGGTTTTTGTCCCTGGTTCCTGGCACAGAACTGCAATTTCCCGAGTGATAGGCGTGTCTTTTGAATGAGTGTTGGATTGTGTCATATTTTTCTGAGGATATCTATATGATTATATGATTTTTCTTTAGCCTATTGATATAATTATTATATTAATTGATTTTCAGATATTGAACCAGATATATATCTCTGGAATATATCCCACTTGGTCAAACGTGTAATTCTTTCTATGCATTTGGATTTGATTTGCTAATACTTTTGAGGATTTTTGCATCCAAGTTTATGGGAGATATTGGTCCATAGTTTGGGGGTTTTTTGTACTCTTTGTTTAATTTTGTATTAGGGTAATACTAACTTCATAAATGAGTTAGTGTTTCCTTCTCTTCTATTTTCTGGAAGTGATTGCATAAAATTTGTGTCAATTCTCTCCTAAATGTTTGGTGGAATTCTCTAGTAAAACCATCGGGGCCTGAACATCTCATTGCGGGAGATTTTTATTATGTATTCAATTAATTTAATGATTGTAAGACTAATCAGATTTTCTATTTCTTCTTGATTGAGTTTCATAGCTTGTGACTTTTGAGAAATTGATCCATTTCTTCTCAGTTGTTGAATTTATGAGTGTGAAGTTGTTCATAATATTCCCTTATTCTTTTAATGGCTACATGATCTGCAGTAATAACTCCTGTTTCCTTCCTCATACTGGTGACACGTCTCTCTCTTTTATATCTTTGTCAACTTGCTAGATGTTTATCATTTTTTATTTTCTTTTCAAAAAAGCTGCTTTTGATTTATTGGTTTTCTTCCATTGTTTTTATATTTTTAGTGTTATAAATTCCTGCTTTTATCTTTATTATTTCCTTTCTTTTGCTTACCTTGAATGTATTTTGCTCTCCTTTTTTCAGTTTCTTGAGGTAGGAACCCAGACTAATGATTTGATCCCTTTTTCTTTATCTAAACTTTGAGAATTGTTATTGTTTCTTCCTTGAATGTAGAAATAATCAGTGGAGCCAGGTACGTCTGAAATTTTTATTGTGCGAATATTTTAACTATGAATGCAATTTTAAAAATAGATACAGAGCTACTCAGAGCTTCGATAATTTGGATATTCCAAGAAATATGTCCACTTTATCTAAGTTACCACACTTACCGTAATGAGGTGTTTATAATACTTTAAAAATCATCTTTTTAATAGTTGTAGGATTTGTAGTGATGTCCCTTTTTAATTCCTGATAATAATGAACTAATTTTATTACTGCTTTTTAAAAAGTGGATTTTAGTTTTATTTCTGATTGTTATTCTATTTCATTGATTTCTGCTGTCATGTTTATTATTTGCAAATATTTGAAGATTTTTCAGATTTTCATGTTACTCATTTCTAATTTAATATAATTGTTGTCAGAAGAATTGTGGATGATTTCAGTCCTTTTTTATTGAGAATTTTTCTGTGGTTTATGATATAGTCTATTTTGGTAAATAGTGCATGTTCACTTGAAAGGAATATGTATGATGGAGTATTCTATAAATGTCTATTAGGTCAGGATTATGGTAATGTTGCTTAAGTTGGCTATATTTTTACTGATTTTCTATCTACTTCTCACTGATTATTGTCAGTGGGATGTTGAGATCTCCAACTATAAATGTGAATTTGTTTCTTCTTGTAATTCTCAGATTTTTTTCCTTCATGTATTTTGAAGTTATGTTATTAGGAGCATAACATTTAGGGTTATTATATTGTTTTGATGAATTGCTCCTGTAATCATTATGAAAGACCCTCTTTTTTCTTGGCACCATCCCTTGTCCTGAAATATACCTTGATATTAATATAGTTTCCCATCTGTTCTTTGTTCTCCTTTCTTATATTTTTCTGCCTTCACTTGGGTCAACTGAGCACCTTTCATACTTTTAATTTATCTTCTTAGTTATTTTTTCACTCATGGCTATTTGCTCTTAGTTTATAATGTGCATCTTGACTTATGAAAGTCTGATTTCAAATAATATTACCACTTCAAATCTCGTATAAGAGCTTTACAACTGTATACTTACATTTTCCTCTCCCATTATTGCATGATTGTTGTCACATTTTACTTCTGAATTTGTTTTAAAATTAAAATACATGGTTACTTTGCTTTAATCATCTATTTTCAGAGTGATTTCAAAATATAAAAATGTCATTGTATTCACCCAAATATTAACACACACATCTCCATTTCCAGTGTTCTTCATTCATTTAGGTAGATGCACATTCCTATCTGCTTTTATGGAGAAAGTCAATTTCTGGTTTTTCTATTTTTGTTGGGTGCAGAATTCTAGGTTGCCAGATTTTTCCTTCAGTACTTGAAAGATGTTTTTCCACTATCTTCTGGCTTATTGTTTCCACTATTTCACTGTTGTTTTTCTTTTTCTTTCTTTCTTTTTTTTTTTTTTTTTTTTTTTTTGAGATGGAGTTTCGCTTTTGTTGCCCAGGCTGGAGTGCAATGGCGCAATCTCAGCTCACCGCAACATCTGCCTGCCTCCCAGGTTCAAGTGATTCTCCTGCCTCAGCCTCCCAAGTAGCTGGGATTAAAGGCATGCGCCACCACACCCACCTAGTTTTGTATTTTTAGTACAGACGGGGTTTCTCCATGTTGGTCAGGCTGGTCTTGAACTCCCGACCTCAGGTGATCCGCATGCCTTGGTTTCCCAAAGGGTTGGGATTACAGGCATGAGCCACCATGTCCAGCTGATTTCTTTTTCTTTTTTCTTTTTTTAGAGATGGGGTCTTGCTCTGTCACCCAAGCTACAGTGCAGTGGTGCAATTATAGCTCACTGTAACCTTGAACTTCTGGGCTCAAGTGATCCTCCCACCTTAGCCTCCCGAGTAAGCTGGGACTGAAGGTTAATTTTTTGATGTTGGTTTTACTTTCTCTGCCCAATCTGAAAATCTCTGCCTTTTATTTGGGAACACATTCAATTAAACTCAATTAGATTTTACTTGCTAAAAAGAGTCCAAGGCACAGACACAATGGTAAACCACATAAACTCTTCAGGTTCCCTGCCAGTTCCAGACATCAGTTTTTCTTCTCCCCGAAAAAACACAGTAAAACCCTGTCTCTACCAAAAAGGAAAAAAATTATTATTTTTTTTTTGTAAAGACAGGGTTCTGCTGTGTTGCCCACGCTGGTCCCAAATTCGTGGCCTCAAGTGATCCCCTGCCTTGGCCTCCCCAAGTGCTTGGATTACAGGTATGAGCCGCTGCACTTGGACTTCTTATTCTTATCTTCGTTTCTCTGTATGTATTGAGTTTCAGTATGTGTTAATACATTACTGTATTTAAAAAAATTTTTTAGTTTTGTTTTAGGACGCAGATAAGTTATTTAGAAACAAATCTGATCTTTTCTAGCTTTGCTTTTAATCTTTCTTACGTGGGATAGATCAAACCTTTAATCAAGGGCTATTTTTTTTTTCTGTTACTGAGCCAATATATTTCCGATTACTGTACCCAATGTGTCATGCATTTTAACAGTTTGCCTTTCTGGCTGATAGAAACAAAATATCCCTAGTTCCATGTGATCCCTGGAAATTATTATGCCTACTTCATTAGACTGTACTTTGGTCTTGGATATTTTCATACACATGCACTTATCAATACTAACCTGGAGACTCAAGTGACATCTTTGCAGATATCTGGAGTTCAATGTCTCTCTCTTCTTTCCTCTCTTCCTCTCTTCTCTTCCTCTTCCTTTTGCTCTGCCTCTTCTTCTTCCTCTCTCTCTCTCGTTGTCTCTTCCCTCGTACTCTGTCCCATGAACTCTAGCTACGTTGGTTCCCCTGAGCCAACTCTGTCCCAATTCTGTCTCCTCAACTCAAATGCTGGCTTAAGTTATCCCTCCCTGGGCTCTTTCCTTAAGCAAGTTTCCTTTAATAGCATTTTATCCACTGTAGAACTTCAATCAGAATTGAAGTCAATCCTCTCAAACCCTGCCACTTCTTTACTAACTAAATTTATGTAATATTTTAAATCCTTTGTAGTCATTTCAATGGTGTTCATGGTATCTTCACCATGAGTAGATTCCATCTTAACTAATCACTTTCTTTGGTAACTCATAAGAAGAAACTCCTCATCCATTCAAGTTTATCAAGAGATGCAGCAATTCTCCACTTCTAATTCTAGTTTTCTTGCTATTTTCACCACAACTGCAGTTACTTCTCCCACTGAAGCCTTGAACCCCTCAAAATCATCCTTAGGGTTGGAATACACTTCTTCCAATCTCCTGTTAATGTTGATATTTTGACCTCCTCCCATGAATTACACATGTTCTTTGTGGCGTCTAGAATGGTGAGTCCTTTCCAAAAGGCTTTTTATTTACTTTGCCTGGATACATCAAAGCGATCACTATCTATGGCAGCTGTAGCCTTAGAAAATGTTATCTATGTAATGTATCCATGTTCAATTCAATTAAACTCAATTAGATTTTATTTGCTAAAAAGAGTTCAAGGCACAGACACAATAATAAACCACATAAGTTCTTCAGGTTCCCTATCAGTTCCAGACATCAGTTTTTCTTCCCAAAAGCGTTGTTCTGGATTGCAGGCCCAGGTCAGGTGAGAGGGTACCAGCAGAGGGATGCCTGCATGCCTGCTCCAAACCGGTGCCTCCCCAGCAGTCCTGAGTTGCACTAGAGCATTTCACAGTCGCCACCTCCTTTGCCATAGCAAAACTTGGTTTTGTTTGTGCCTCAGTAGAGGCTGAGGGCCATCACTGAAGAAAATCCACAATAACAAGCAGACAGGAAACCAATATATGAAGCAAAATAATTCTTTATTTTATAATAAAATTATCTACCACAAAACTGAAAGTTTATTCTGACTTAAGGGAAGTCAAATGAGAATCCGAAAGTTTTGTGGTGCATATAGATTCACAGCAATGGGAATTAGTTAGAGGTCTTATATGTAAGTTCACTCAGTGAATGTGTATGGCCTCCAAGCACAGGCCTGGAAGGAACTTCACTGACATGTTTTCTTAAATGACCTTCAACTTGCATCTCTGATTATGTCTTCTTGTAATCCACGCTGGACTCTTTTCTTCTAAGTGACACATTACTTCTTCAGGTAGATCAATATCATCAATTAAAATGCAATTTTGTCTTGTTTTTGCACGGTCTGTTTTTTTAAGTCTAACTTTGCATACTTACCCACTTACCTACACTTTAACTAAAGTGTGTTTATTAAACTTTCCAAACTCTGGGATGCCTTGCTTTCATGCCTACTTATAATTACTTTATGTGTGCTAAAAAGTCACAAATAGCACTTTTTGCCCTATGTTCTTTTCTTCTTTGTACTCTGGAAGAAGAACCAATGACGACAATGAAAAGCAGGCAGTAGCAGAGTTGAAGAAGAGCATAGGACTTGGCAGTGCACAGCATGAATCCTCAGTCCTTGGCCAACAAACGTCATCATTTCAACAGACCAAATCTATTGTCAAGATGTGTTTTCTGTTAAGTCTCCATTGGCCCAATGAGAAACACTTAAATTGAGCTTCCCTAGACAACATTTTGCAAAGGGACTGTGATGCTAACTCTCCCTTGAAAACATTACAATTTATATATTAATAAAATCTTCTTATTTTCATGTTTTAAAACTTCAGCTTGAATTTGAGCCCATTAAGTACAACTGGCAGTAATTTCTTCGCCATGGTCATGTCCAAATGTTGTGATGAACACAGAGATAAGGCTAATTGTCATAGATTTAAATCATCTAAAACAACTGGGATTGCTTCATGTCACCGGTACTCTCTGCTCCAGGCTCAGACATGATAACTTTATGATCAGCATCTTAAATATCTCACATCTCTCAACTCAATTCATATCTTGAGATTGGTTCCAGCTCCAGCATGAATTTTGAAGAGCTCCCTGTGGCTACAAGTCTCTGATTCTTCCCTGTCTGATAGGGGAGCTGGGTCCTGCCCACTGCTTTGTCCTGTGTTCCAGTCCTCCTGGAAAGTCCAGTCCCCCAGTCCCTTGTCATGATGGTCTGTGTCTCTTGGCCAGCTAGGGTTAGGCTCAGAGTTAAGCTAACTGTTGTAGACTCTAACCGTGGCTTGCTTATTTGCACCTGTCTTCTTTGGCTACTAAATAGTTTTTTTTTCTTTTGACCGATTGCATCTGGCTTCCCCACCTGCTCTGTGCCCCTAGTGTATTAGTTTATTAGGGCTGCCATAACAAAATACCACAGACAGAGTGGTTTAAGTGACAGAAGTTTATTTTCTCGCAATTCTAGAAGCTAGAAGTCTAAGATCGAGGTGTCAGCAGAGTTGCTTTCTCCTGAGGCCTGTCTCTTTGATGTGTAGATGGCTGCTATCTTCCTTTGTCTCTGCCTGTTCTTCCCTTTGTGCAGGACTGCATCCTAATCTCCTCTTAAGGACGGAAGTCATATTGAATTAGGACCCAGGCATATGACCTCGTTTAACCTTAATTGCCTTTTTAAACACTCTAGCTCCAAATCCAGTCACGTTCTGAATTTTGAGGCACCAAAGGGGTGGTTAGAACTTCAACATCTGAATTTGGGGGGGATGCAATTCATCTCACAACACCCAAGATGGTTCTTACATCCGTTCTCAGCCTCAGATGTCCTCAGTCCTGGTGCTGCCTATGCGGCGTGCCTGAGGGCAGAGCTCACTGCCAGCCTGGTGCTCCACAGCTGAATTTCTGACTGTCCAGCAAAGTATCCTTTGTCCAATTTGTACCCACAGGTAGGCTTTAGCTTTCAGGCCAATGTTAGATTCTTCTCCTGGCTTTAGAACAACTTGGTGGTCTCCTCCAGTTTCTAGGGACATCTCTATGCCTTTCAACTCCTGATTCCATTTGGACCCATCTCTGTATGACCTCTCACAATGCGAGCTTGGGTATCTTTCCCTTCTTATTGTGACTCACCACTAATAGCAGTACAAAATCCTGTTTCATAAAGTGGGTTCCTCAGAACATTAGTTATGTTGGATATAAATAGATTTCGTGTAGGATACCAAGAATGTTTGAGAAATGTTGCATGACAGAAAACAAAGTTTCTTTCATGCAAAACTTCCTATATGTCCACAGGTGGGAAAGTGGGAAGATAGACCTTGCGTGATTTCCAAATGTTTTTGTTTCCAAATGTTTTATTTGGGTTGGGGTGTGAACTGTGAACTCCCCAATGACCCAAAGGACTTGCCCACATGCAGTGCTGAGATCCTTGGCCACACTTCAGCCTGGCTTCTACCTGCACTAGTCATGTGCCTAAAAGTGACACAGCTCTTGTGTGAGTCTCTGCTCAAGAAAATGCAATGCTCCTGAACTGCCAGATGTAAATTGTCCCAACCCACAAGGCCAAACCATTTTCAGTAATCCTCTGCAACTCCACTCTGTAGCTTCCTACTTATAGCCCCCAGTCTCTTTTCTGGTCCCCCTTTTTTTACTTCCCATAATCTCGTTGTGTGCCCTATCAGATCTCCCTTTGAAAATCCCCAGTCACCTTTGTCTTATTTGGAATTAAACTGATTCATACTGGAGCCTCTCTGCCCTACTGCAGTAGTCTGAGTGAAATCTGTCTTGCTGCCTCTAACAGTGTCCAGTGCTCTTTCTCTGACAAGGGGAGGTGCCTCACCAACCCTGAGATATCTGTTAGGAAAATGCTGCTCTGGCATTATGCTCCAAGTGAACCAATTCCAAGATATTCTGCAGAAACTATGGCCCAAAGACACTGAGAACACACAGAAATATGCTTGTGCTTTCTATAAGTTTTCCACTTTGTATTAAGTGAAAAAAATTCTATAATAAAACAAACAGTGAATTTGTGTCACATGTCAGGTATATATGAGTGAGGGCCACATGGCCTCACAGTACATTACACGAATGATGACGCCATGATAACCTGAATGATGAAAGGACTGAGCCTTCCAGGGAACATTCCCATGCTGAGGCCAGGGTCCCCCCTCTGCCACACTGGCAGGATGTGCTGCCACATCCACATTGCAGGCAAATGTCAGCTGGCTGCCCCTTGAACACACACTGACTTGGACATTCACTGACAGTCAACATAATTGTCACTGGACTGCAGAGGGAGTGTTAGGGCTCCCTATGTGGATGTCAGCTCTTACAAATAAAGCTACCCTCATGTTTGTATGGGGGCAGCAGTCTGCAGTCTGTCATCCAGGGGTAGGGGAATAAACCTGAGGATCAACAAAGTCCATTCAATATTAAATAAACCTAATTACATACAAAAGAGGGGTCATGTCTTAGTCTGCTCAGGTTGACATCACAAAATGTCATAGATTGAGTGCTTCAAACAACAGAAATTTTTTCTCACAGTGATGGAGGATGCAAGTTCAAGATTAAGTTTCTGGAGGCTGGAAGTCCAAGTCAAGCAAGTGACACCTGTGACCACCTCCAGCAGCAGAGTCCCACTAAACAGTGGAGAACAGAAAGCATAACAATGCCTGCCTCCAGGAGCAGTAATCCCAAGACGTCAACCCACCACATGATTTTCAGGCACGACTCATGCAGGCACTGGATGGAACAACGCTTTATGCACATAGAGAAGACACAGAGCAAGAGCAGCTTCAGTTTCGACTGTTGATCCCTCATGGCCAGTGGGTCTCACCCCACAGCCAGCACAGGGAGATGTTCCACACACTCATGCTATAGACAAAGGCCCCTGTTCCCAGCAGTGGGGTCGTTCAGGTGCCATATGATGCACATGCTTTAGTAGAACGAAGAAGTACGCCTCCAGTCCAGAACAGAGAAAGAGGTTCCCCATAAAGGGTAATGGACAGCGCAGGCTGTGAAAGCTCTTTATCTCTTTGTAAGAAAATGTTCCTAACCCAAGGCACACTCCTATGCAACTGTACAGAGGTCAAAAGACTACGTTTGTGTGACTGCTTCTCTCAACATGTTCCTGGTGAGGGCTCTTTTCCTGGCTTGCAGACAGCCACCTTCTCCATGTGTCTTCACATGGTCTTTCCTTGGGGCTTGCATGAAAAGAGACAGAGAGATGCTGTGAGAGAGCACTGGGGTGTATCTTCTTATAAGAACACAAATCCCTTCGGATCAAAGCCCCACCCTTAAGATCTTATTAACTTTAGTTCTTTATAGACCCCCCTCCCCCACCTCCAAATATAGCCACACCGGGCATTATGGCTTAAACCTGTGGATCTGGGGGAGACACAAACATTCTATTCATAATAGGCCAAGATGCATAAACAGAATAATTGACTCAGGAGAAAGATGGCAAAAATTCAAAAATTCATCAAATGTAGTACACTTTTAAAATATTCTAACTTGTATCTTAAAGAGAAGCTGGACAATATTGCACCCATTAAACAAGGGCATATGTCAATGAAAAAGAGGAAATCAGAAAATAAAATATTCTTAAATATTAGAAATATAATCATTACAATAAAGACACGATGTCTGAAAGAAAACTTGAAGGACAACTGTCAGCATGTACATAAAAAGAGAAAACATGAAGAGAGATATGAGAAAAAAAGTTTAATAAGAGCATTTAAATCCAGGAAGTCCAAAGAGTTACATAAAGAGAAAATACAGAAACTGATAAAAATGAAATGATCAAAGAATAGCCTATTAGGAGAACATTTTCCAGAGCTATGAGGAGGTGCTGCATGCATCTCGACTTAAAAAGTCACCGACGGTTGATCAGGAGATATAAAAAAATCACCCACCCCTAAATGCATCATTGTGATGTTTTAGAAGAGAAGGAACAAAACAGGGCATCTGTAAAGAAATCACAGTCAAACTCGCATCAGATTTCTCATTAGTAACACTGGAATACAATGAGGCAGTAACTTCAAAGTCCACAGAGGAAATTATTTTCAACTTAGAATTCTACACCTGGTAAAAAAAAATTATACTGAGTGTCGATGCCAAATAAACACATTTTCAGTCATCCTAGGCCTCAGAATGTTTACCCTTTATGCATCTTCAGTGAAAAAGATAAATCCTTGATGATATTCTGCAGTAAAACCAATAAAAATCCTAGACAAAAGGAGACATAGCCCCATCCTCAAGACAATAAAGGACTATCTCAGATGACAACTGAGCAGCAGACTTAGAGAGCAACTGGTCTACCACAGTGCAAGGTCAGGGGAGTGCAGGTGCAAATGTTGCTAGGGAGAAACGTTTAAGAAGAAAGCAGACTTGTGAAAGCAAAAGCATCACGATGGTGGAAAATCTTGGTGATAAGTCAGAGGACAAGTTTAAAACAAAGGGAAAATGTTGGGAATTCTAGGAAACTCACAAATATGTAGAAGAGAGTCATGCTTTAGTGCCAAGCAACAAGCACATGCCATGGGCTAGCAGCATGGACACCTCCTGGAAACTTGTTAGAAATACACATCCTTAGGCCACCCCAGACCTGCTGAATCAGGAACTGTGGATGGCACCCAGCAATCTGCCTTCAGCAAGCCCTCCAGGGGTTTTTGATCCTCTGCATTGGACCAGGGTTTGGCAGTGGCCTCTTTTTGTAAATCAGTTTTGTTGGAACTCATGACACTTATTTTATCCTGCAGTTTCTATGGCTGCTTCCACTCTGCAACAGCAGAGGGTAGTGGCTGTGACAGACACCCTATGGCCCCAAAGCCTAAATATCTGCTATTTGATTCTGTACAGAAAATATTTGCGAATCCCTGCTTTATACCTTTAGATAGGCTACAAAAGTGTTTGAGACTTCATTTGACTTGACTTTGAATTTTAGTATGTGCTTCTTAGATGTATCAGTCTGGGAATCCCAGGTCCTTCTATCTGCAGCCAAGTGCACTACACTCCTGTTTGCAGTGACAATCCTCCTAATATTGTGAAGGCTGCTTCTTAGTTTTCAGTCAACATCTAGAGCAAGCCCAGGAGACTTGGGATTAAGGAATAGGAGTGTAAGAGTTAAAACGTCATAAATGTGAAAGTCAGGTACAGCTCCGGAAACTAGCAGAAGGGAAGCACAGGGAAAAATATTTCCTCATCTCAGATAAAAGGGAGACAAGAGAGACTGTCAAATTGGTGCAACCAGAAAAATATGCTCACACAACTCATAAAAAGTTTTAAAGGCAAAAGAAGTAAAAATCAGACCATAACTAAGAAAAATTGAGAGGGAGTGGAAAGAGAGAAGAGGCAAGGAATAATAGAAAGTATCTAAATCAAGAAATGAGGGATAGAAGATCCTCCAGAGGAACAGAAGAAGAAACAGAAACAAGAGCTGGCTTTGAGCAGGCATCCCAGATGTTGGTTTGACATGGGGCAGACTTTTGTTTTCATTTCTTTGTTTAGTTTTTGTGTGCAAATGTACATTTGACTCCAATGATAGTACAGATTTTGAAAGGTAGAGATAAACACTGGCAGGACCCTGGCCCATGGAATTAGGAAACTTCCAAGCCTCACTCTCCAGCCCTCCTGCCCCCACCAGGTCTGCCCAGTGCTATGTGCTCCCTAAGCCCCCTCTTCCCCACAAACTGCCTTCTGTCTTTTTTAACTGCTGTTGCTTTAATGTTTGTTTTGTCTGATATAAAAATAGTTACTCCTACTCACTTTTGGTCTCTATTTGCACGGAATATCTTTTTCCACCCCTTTACCTTAAGTTTATGTGAGTGCTTATGTGTTAGCTGAGTCTCCTGAAGACAGCAGAAACTTGGTTGGTAAATTTGTATCCATTCTGCCATTCCTTTTTGTTTGTTTGTTTGTTTTGAGATGGTGTCTCACTCTGTCACCCAGGCTGGGGTGCAGTGGCATGATCTCAGCTCACTGTAATCTCCATCCTGGGTTCCAGTAATTCTCCCACCTCAGTCTCCTGAGTAGCTGAGATTACAGGCATGCACCCACATGACCAGCTAATTTTTTTGTATTTGGGTTTTCACCATGTTGGCCAGGCTGTTCTCGAACTCCTGACCTCAGGTGATACACCTGTCTTGGCCTCCCAAAGTGCTGGGATTACAGGCATGAGCCACTGCACTGGGCCCATTCTGTATCTTTTTTTTTTTTTTTTTTTTGAGACAGAGTCTCGCTCTGTCGCCCAAGCTGGAGTGCAGTGGCATGATCTCGGCTCAGTGCAACCTCCGCCTCCTGGGTTCACACCGTTCTCCTGCCTCAGCCTCTCACAGGCTGAGGGCGCCCAACAACACGCCCGGCTAATTTTTTTCTATTTTTTTGTATTTTTAGTAGAGATGGGGTTTCACCGTGTTAGCCAGGATGGTCTCGATCTCCTGACCTCATGATCCGCCCGCCTCGGCCTCCTAAAGTGCTGGGATTACAGGCATGAGCCACCGCACCCGGCCCCATTCTGTATCTTTTAAGTGGAGCATTTAGGCCATTTACATTCAACGTTAGTATTGAGAAGTAAGGTAGTATTCTATTCATCACGCTATTTGTTACTTGAATACTTTGTTGTTTTTTTCATTGTGCTATTGATATACAGGTCCTGTGAAATTTATGCTTTAAGGGGGTTCTATTTTGGTGTATTTTGAGGATGTGTTTCAAGATTTAGAGCTCCTTTTAGCAGTTCTTGTAGTGCCAGCTTGGTAGTGGTAGATTCTCTCAGCATTTGTTCGTCTGAAAAAGACTTTATCTTTTCTTCATTTCTGAAGCTTAGTTTCGCCGGATACAAAATTCTTGGCTGATAATTGTTTTGTTCAAGGAGGCTAAAAATAGGACTCCTATCCCTTCTAGCTTGCAGGGTTTTTGCTGAGAAATCTGCTGTTAATCTGATAGGTTTTCCTTTATAGGTTACCTAATGCTTTTGCCTCACAGCTCTTGAGATTCTTTCCTTTATCTTGACTTTTGATAACCTGATGACTATGCGTCTAGGTGATGATATTTTTGTGATGAATTGCCCAGGTGTTCTTTGAGCTTCTTGTATTTGGATGTCTAGATCTCTAGCAAGGCCATGAAAGTTTTTCTCAATTATTCCCTCAAATATATTTTACAGACTTTTAGATTTCTCTTCTTCCTCAGGTACACCAATTATTCTTAGGTTTGGACACTTAACATAGTCCCAAACTTCCTGGCAGCTTTGTTCATTTTTTAAAATTCTTTATTCTTTGTCTTTGGTGGATGGGGTTAATTCGAAAACCTCGTCTTCGAGCTCTGAAGTTCTTTCTTCTGCTTGTTCAGTTCTATTGCTGAGACTTTCCAGTGGATTTTGCATTTCTATAAGTGTGTCCTTGATTTCCAGAAGTTGTGATTGTTTTTTATTTATGCTATCTATTTCACTGAAGATTTTTCCCTTTATGTCCTATATCATGTTTTTGATTTCTTTAAGTTGGACTTCACCTTTCTCTGGTGTCTCCTTGATAGTTTAATAATCAACTTTCTGATTCTTTGTCTGCCAATTCAGTGATTTCATCTTGGTTTATATCCATTGCTGTTAAACTGGTGTGATTTTTTGGGGGTGTTAGAGAAGCCTGTTTTGTCATATTACCCGAATTGTTTTCCTGGTTCCTTCTCATTTGGGTAGACTATGTCAGAGGGAAGATCTGGGACTCAAGGGCTGCTGTTCAGATTCTTTTTTCCCACAGGGTGCTCCCTTTATGTGGTTTTCTCCTCCTTCCCGTAGGGATGGGAATTCCTGAGAGCCAAACCGCTGTGATTATTTTTTGCCACTCAGCAGAGCTACCAGGCTCAGGCTGGTACTGGAGAGTGTCTGCAAAGAGTCCTATGATGTGATCTGTCTTCAGGTCTTCAGCTGTGGATACCAACACCTGCTCTGGTGGAGGCAACAGGGGAGTGACGTGGACTCTGTGAGGGTCCTTAGTTGTATTTTTGTTTAGTGTGCTGGCTTTGTGCTGATTTTGTGTTGGTTGGCCTCCAGCCAGGAGGTGGTGCTTTCAAGAGTGCATGAGGTGCATGAGGTGCATGAGGGAGGATGCAAACTTGGCCTAGGGTCACCTGGTTAAGCATTCAGGTTTCTCAGGTGTTGGGCAGGGCCACAGAGCTCCCAAGAGACTATGGCCTTTTTCTTCAGCTACCAGGGAGGGTAGAGAAAGACTACCAGGTGGGGACAGGGATAGGCATGTCTGAGCTCAGACTTTCCTGGGGCAGGGCTTGCTGTGGCTGCTGTGGGGGTGTGGCCCCCAGGCCAATGGAGTTATATTTCCAGGGAGATTATGGCTGTCTCTGCTGCATTACACAGGTTGCCAGGGAAGTGGGGGAAAACCGGCAATCATAGGCCTCACCCCACTCCCATGCAGCCGGCAGTCCTAGAGGCCAGTATTACTTCCACTGTGCCCCGGCAACAGCACTGAGTCTACTTCCAGGCAGCTGGTGACCAGGGCTGAGAACTTGCCCCAGACCACCAGCCTCCCCACTGAGAAAATAAGCAGACTCATAGTTTTTTGGCATCTCAGGGAGCCTGTAGCAGGGATCCAGTTCCTTCAAAGGGTCTGTGGATTCTCTTGACTTTCTTGGTAGATTCCTGTGGTACTTCTTGGAGCAGAAGTTCACAATGTGAGTCTCCACACACTGCTCTGTCCGTCCAAGTGGGAGCATTAAGCTAGTCCTCCTCTCCACCATCTTAATCTCCTTGCTGTCTTGTGAAAAACCATCTCCACGGCTGCCTCCTGCCTCCTCTGCAGGATGTGAAATGGTAGCTGGCAAGGTGAACACGAGCACCGCAGCTCCAGCCAATCCTGCGTTGCCACCAAATGACCCTGAACACTGGTGTCCCTCTTCTGCAAGCCCCTCTGAGCCCATCCATCAAGATACACTTCTTGATTCTCCACCCCCATCCAGTCCCAGAGACCATCTTGTTGCATATTCTATGACAACACATCCTTCTCCTTGCTGGTATTTATCACAAATGTAATTATTAACTACATGTGCAATTATTTGTTGAATGTTCTCCATATCCAGCTGGGCTGAAGACAGAGAGACGGTGTCTGGCTCATAGACAGCTGGACCTGCCACTCCTCCCCGATGCCTGTGATACAGGGAGGACTCAATCAGTGCCTGTTACTGGAAGGAGCGAATCCTGCTGGCAGGCAGGCCTCAGCACAGGGCCTGGCACTGCTCTGCTGCAAGACTCAGTACCTGCATCAAGGCACACAGGGAGAGAGGTCGTCAGAGTGTTTGGGGGTAAGATGATCTTTGAGCCTCAAGGTGACAGTCTGTTTGGATTGCTAACAACTTTGGCAGTGGAAAGGGGATGTTGCAGGCTGAGTCTGTCCATCTTCCTAGTGATGTCCTGTCACATCCTCCATATGGGCAACAAAAACTGTTTTCAGGGACATATCAGAGGAGCTGTTTCCAATTTTGTGAAAATTACCTTTGAGATTCCAATCTGAGCTGGGAAATCATTTGACAAACATCAGTGGGGATGGATGTGCCAGCACTTCAATGACAAAATCAGATGGATCCCTGGGGCCAAAATATAAGCAGCAACCAGGACTGGCCCTGGGCCCCCTGTTGTCCTGTGTGGATGCTGGGTTGCCATAATCAACAACATAGTGGCCACACTTTAGAAAACTACTGGAATGAAATGATGAAGGGAATGAATGGGCTGGGAGGCAGTGTAGACCTTCACTATGGAAATTCAGGCAGATCTTCCAATTATAGGCAGGCTTGGTGCCTGTTCTCATGCAGAGCACGCTGCAAGCAGAGACTCCGAATACAGTCATTGAAACAGCTCTGGAGACACAAGCATAAAGCAGAAAAAAACTGATTTGAGTGTCATGTGCAGACAGAGGTGAGGTTTAGGCCACAAGAGAGAATAAGCTCTCCGAGAGAAAGAGAGGCAGAACCTTGCAAAGTATACCTGTGACCTTGTAGAATAGTACTAGGGCAAACCTCCCAGGTTGCTGAACACTGAACCGTTAGTGAGGAAATAAATGTTTTTCAAGAATCACAGTGGAAGTGAGGCTGAAGGCCCACATTTCATTAGACAGAAGAGCACACTCCTCCCGTGCCCCTATGAAATGTAATGTCTGATGAAGCCCAGCAAGAATTTTACTGACCCTTTGGGGCTTTGCAATTTGGCTGAAACAGGTTGTGAAGTCAGCAGCCATTTTCTTCAGCCTTCACAACCTGAAAATCTTTCACTCAATCCAGAAAGGATAGGAATGAGAGGGTGAGGATTTGTGAGCGAGCTTCTCAATCATAGCAAGTTAACCAGATTCGAAATGGAGGAACGTGAGTCTCTCACGCACCAGTCTTAGGTACAGATTTTGCATCTGGCTTTTCAACAACTGTGCAGAACTTCAGAGGTCCCTTCTCTCTTCTGTAAGCCACGGGTCTTCCAGCACCAGCTGACCAAGAGCCACTGAATTTTTATATTTCTGATATCTCATTTTTGATAAATTTTTTGCCTTTGGAGGGTTATTTATGTGTTTATTATTTCTACGGTGACAAAAGTGATGAAGGATCTTATGGGATTTTAAAAGAATGCCCTTTGGAGGCTATTTTGATTACCAAAAAGATTGAACAGGAGAATGGGCTGTTTAAGAAAAGCCCAAAAGTTCTCATGGTAACTAGAGCTGTTATTGACAGAAGGGGATTGGAGATGGAGGTATCTCTGCCCAAATTAACCCATTAACATATCAAATCCTTTAAAAGAAAAAAAAAGTCCTACATGATTCAATATTTGAGAATATTTTCTCATACAGATGGTATAGGAGGGTTCGGGTAAAATAAACAGAACAACAGCGAAGCCCCAGGAACCCGGACCTCATGGCGAAATTCACACCCTTTTTGAGTTTTTGTCCATTCTGCAGCTCTGAGGGCCCCCCCACCTCCACGCGCCTCTGTCAGGTTACAAAGCAGAAGGGTCTTCCAAGGCCAGGGCTTGGCTGGACTTCAGCTGTGCGGGGATGCGGAGCTGCAGGAGAGGGGCGCCCTCTGGTGGCCGCTACGGGCTGTGCTGAGGCCGAGTGGATGGGAAATGGGCAAAGGGGCCTAGAAAACCCTTCCTGCAGACTCGCGGAAGGAGGAAAGTAGGGAGGCATGATGAGAGCGCTCATGAGAGATGAGTGGTAACCACAGCTGTGGCCAAGCCGCTTTTTTACAAGACTGAGATTCCCCCAGGGCCTCGGGTCACCCTGGCTTTCCTCAAGACACCCCCGACCCAGCCCTACTCCCTGAGGTCCTGAAGGGACCTCTGGGGTCCTGGTTGGTACGGATTCTGCTTGATTCGTGTCGGGGTTGATGCTTGTCCCATGTGGTGGTTAAGGATTTGGGACGTGAATCCCTGGGGAAGTTGGTGTTTGGGACAGATTGGAAGAGGTGAAGAAGGAAGGAGAGGAACTGTTACACTCAGAAAGGGAGGCAGACAGAGTAGTAAAAAGAACCGGGCGCTCCCAGGCTGAGCTGAGACCTGGCCTCTGTGTGTGGCGCTGGCTATGCTCCCAGCGAGGATGGAGAGCCTGCCCTTGGCACTCTCTGGACACTTCCAAGGGGGGACGCGTCCATCCATCCCGCGTGTCTGTGTTACGGTCCACATGGTGGGGCATACCTGGACACCTCTACACGATCTGGCACATATGTCATCAAACTCCTTAGGATGGATTCTGAGCCTCCTCCAGGTAGCTCCTGGGGAGACGGGAGTCCCTGCCTCAGCAGCGCCAGGCGGCACAGGTGCGGGAAGATCTGGACACACTGGGCTGCAGCAAAGGCGCTCTTCGCTGGACCTGTCAATGTCTGTGTCTAAGGCAAGGAGCAAGCTGGTAGGAGGGGGAGGGCGACGGAAAAGAAGAGCCAGGAGAAAGGGCAGTGCAGGAAAGGGAAACAGATCCTAGGCACAGGGACCCAGGACATGCCCTCCTGGAAGAAAGATGAGGACCAAGAGAACAAGTGCTAAAGAGGGGACGGAGGGAAACAGGGCGAGGCTGGAACGACAGGCGGCCAGCCGGGGGCAGAGCAGGATGGGCTCGGGGAAGCCATGAAGCTAGAATGGTGCTATTTACCCCACACTAAACTGTCTACTGGGCAGGCAGCCTTAAATTCGTCCCCGTACCTGGGAGGCTGAAAATACAGTGGTGTTTTGGCAGAAAAAAATAAGTGAAGCGGCTGAATCCAGTACTGAAGGAAAGCATTAGGTGTGGAGCCTCATTTTTATCTCTGCCAAGTTCTAAATGCAAGAGTGCTGCCTGGCTCGTGTCACATGGCTGTGGGCAGGTTCACACAAGAGAATGCAGGGCAAGGTTCTTCAAATCAGAGTGCTATATTGTATAAAGCTGTATTATTTCCAGCATAGACATTTTTGCACATGTAAGTCATTTTCTCAAATATGAAGAAACTGGATTCCTAGAACATCATTGCTATGATTCCATCACCTTTCCCCAAAGGTAGATCTTTCATCCTTGTTGGGTTGAGATGAGAATGTGTCAGCTGCTAAGGGAACCCATATAGCTCAGGCTGTCACCTCCATCTCCCAGTGTACCAGGAGGAGTGGCTCCCCTGGTCCTCTGCCCACAGCTGCCCCGCAGCACCAGCCACTTCCAGCACACTGCCAGCAGACCCTGGGAGAACTGGCATACGAAAGAAGTGCTAACTCCAGAGGTAGCACTAGGACCCACAGGTGCAAATTGCAAAAGAAAAAGTTCAGTTGCACTCTGACCCTTGGAATTTTCCAAACCCGGACAAGGAGGTCTCTGCAGCTGATAAGCCCCATCTCAGGAGTGGGCATTGCTTAGAGCCCGCACAGCTCTATGGCCTGAGCCTAGTGTTCATGGCATTATCAACAACCAAGGCTGGCGGCAGGCATGAATGTGGGGGTGGTGACTATACAAGGCTTAAGAAAGAGAAACGTTCTGTATTCTCACCAGTACTGTAAATGGTATCCTTGTTTCCCACAGAGCCTTTGAATCTGGGCAATAGGATCTCTTGTTAAGAATGGGGCTGGGCTGGGTGTGGCCCAGCACTTTGTGAGGCCAAGGAGGACAGATCATGAGGTCAGGAGTTTGAGACCAGCCTGCCCAACATGGTGAAACCCTCTCTCTACTAAAAATACAAAAATTAGCCAGGCATGGTGGACATGCCTGTAATCCCAGCTACTCAGGAGGCTGAGACAGGAGAATTTTTCGAACCCGGGAGATGGAGGTTGCAGTGAGCCAAGATTGCACCACTGTACTCCAGCCTGGGTGACAGAGCAAGACTCTGTCTCAAAAAAAAAAAAAAAAAAAAAAAAAAAAAAGAATGGGGCTGAGACAGTACAAGCAGCTTGGAGCTCTGGACTTGGAGCAAACAGCTATGTTTAACTCCTTATCATTCACCATCTGTGGGCATTTAGCAAGGCATTTTGCAACACTTTTGCTTTCTTGTAAAATAAAGTTCAAATAGCTTAATTTACAATGTTATTGTACAATTCAGCTAAGCTTATCCTTGTAAAAGTCTCGAGTAAAAAGTATAAAAACTGTGTGTCATTTATCAATCGGCATTATTGGGATGTGAATAGCACACTGCATGTGGGCTCAGAGAATATGGGCTAACTATGGGCCTTTCCAAGAGAAGTGGGAATCACTCACGACCTTTCCCTCCTTCTGCAAAGGCAAATTTACAAGTCTTCTTTTAAGCATGTCATATTGATATATGCATAAAATTTTGGTTTTTTAATTGAACTTATTATTGAGATAACTGTTGATTTATATGCAGTTGCAAACAATAATACAGGGAAATCCTAGGTACATTTAACTCACCTTCCCCCAGCAATAACCATTTTAGTATATCACACCAGAATATTGACATGGATACAATTCACTGATTTTGTTCAGATTTCTCCAGTGTTACTTATACTTATCTGTGTGTCTGTGTATGTATTTAGGCGCGTTTAGTTCTAGATAAATTTACCACCCATGTTAAGTTCATGTATGCACCACCAAAGTTAAGATTCTTAAGAGTACTGATCAATAGATACCTACATTAAAAGAGAAGATGGCCCCAAATAAATAGCCTAACATTACACCTCAAGGAGCTAAAAAATGAACAAAGCAAGCCCAAAGTTACAAGAAGGAAGGGAATAACAAATATCAGAACAGAAATAAATCAAAATAGAATAAAAAACCATAGAAGAAATCAATAAAACTAAGAGTTAGTTTAAAAACAAACAAACAAAATCGACAGACCCTGAGGTAAACGTAAAAAAAAAAAAAAGAGAAAAGCCTCAAATAAATAAAACCAGAAATAAAAGGAAGGACATTACAACAGATGCCTCAGAAATAAAAAGGATCATAAAGGACTATTGTGAACAATATTATGCCAACAAATTGGATAACCTAAGGGAAACAGACAAACTCCAAGAAAAATTTAACCTACCAAAATTGAATCAGGAAGAAATAAAAAGCCTACACAGACCAATAACAAATAAAAAGATCAGAGTAGTAATTAAAAATTTCATAACAAGTACGACAACAACAAAAAGCCCAGAATCAAATGGTTTTGCAACTAAATTCCTTCAAACATTCAATGACAAATTAATACCAACATTTCCTAAATTCTTCCAAAAAATAGACCTAGAGGGAATACTTCCTAACACATTCTATGAGTGCAGGATCACCCTGATACCTAAGCCAGACAGATACTGTAAGAAAAGAAAACTACAGGCCAATATCGCTGAAAATATTGATGAAAAAAACACAATAAAATATTAGCAAACCAAATTCAACAACACATCACAATATTATACATCATGATCAAGTGAAATTTATCACTGACATGGACCCTCATTTAACATATACTAATTAATCAATGTGATACATTAACAGACTGAAAGATAAAAATCACATGATCATCTCAATTGATGCAGAAAAAGCATTCAACGAAGTTCAACATTGTTTCTTGATTTAAACTCTCAACAGTTTAGGTATAAATGGAAAGTTTGTCATCATAAAAAAGGCTATGAAAAAGCCACAGTTAACATCATAGTCAATGGGAAAAAAATTAAAGCTTTTCCGCTAAGATCTGGTACAAGGCAAGGATGCCCACTCTTGCTGCTTCTATTCAGCGTGGTACTGGAAATACTAGCAAGAGCAATTAGACAAGAAAAAGAAATAAAAGGCATTTAAATCAGAAAGAAAAAACTCAGATTATCTCTATGGATGGCATGATCCCATATTTAGTAAACCCCAAAGACTCCACCAAAAAAAAAAAAATGTTAGAACTAAAAAACAAACTTGGTAAAGTTAAAGGATACAAAATCAGTTGCATTTATGTGCACAAATAACAACCTACGTGAAAAAGAAATCAAGGAAACGATTGTATTTATGAAAGCATCAAAAATACAGTTAGGAATAAGTTTAACCATGGAAGTAAAAGACATGTACACTGAAAATTATAAACCATTGATAAAATTAATAGAAGACACAAATACGTGGAAAGATAACCCATATTCATGGATCTGAAAACTTGATGTTGTTAAAATGTCCATATTACCCAAAGGAATATGCAGATTCAATGGCATCCTTATCAAAATCCCGATGGCATTCTTCACAGAAATTTAAAAAATCCTGAAATTTGTATGGAACCATAAAAAAACTAAATAATAAAAGTAATTTTGAGAAGAGAAAATGACATTGGAGTTATCACACTTCCTGAGTTAAATTAGATTGCAAAGCTATAACAATCAAAACACTATGATACTGGCATAAAATCAGACCACAGACCAGTGGAACAAAAGAGAGAGCCCCAAAATAAATAAATAAATAAATATATATATATATATATATATATATATATATATATATATATATATACAGTAAACTAATTTTTGACAAAGGCACCAAGAAGACAAAATGGGAAAAGGATAATCTCTTCAATAAATGATGCTGGGGAAACTGGATTTGCATGCGCAAAAGAATAAAACTGGGCCCTTGTACCATACACAAAAATCAACTCAAAATGGATACAAGACCTAAATGTAAAATCTGAAACCATAAAACTCCAAGGAGAAAACATAGGAGAACAGGTCCTTGACATTGCCCTTGGCAATAATTTTTGAATATCACACCAAAAGGCTACAAAAGCAAAAATAAATAAATGGGAATATGTCAAACTGAAAAGCTTCTGCACAGCAAAGAAAAGAATCAACAAAATGAAAAAGTAACCTATAGATTGGAAAAATAATTGCAAGACATATATTTGATAAGGTTTAATATCCAAAATTTATAAAATGTTCACACAGCTCAATAGCAAAAAACATATAACCCAATTAAAAAATGGGCAAATTATCTGAATAGTTATTTATCCAAAGAAGACATCAAAATGACCCACAGGTTAATGAAAAGATGCTCAATGTCACTAATCCTCAGGGAAATGCAAATCAAAACCATTATGCGTTATCACCTGACACCAGCAAGTGGAGCTTCCTAAAGAAATTAAAGTTAGAAGTACCATAAGATGTAGCAATTCCTCCTCTGGGTATGCATCCAAAGGAAAGGAAATCAGCACTCAGGGAGATATCTTCACTGTCATGTCCATTCCAGCATTATTCTCAATATCTAAGATAAGAAACAACCTAAATGTTCATTGGCAGGCAAATGGGTAAAGAAACTGTGATATATATGTACAAAGGAATATCCTTCAGCCTCAAAAAAGGAGATCCTGCCATTTGCCACAACATGGATGGAATTGCAAGACATTATGCTAAGTAAATATGTCAGATGCAGAAGGAAAAATATTGCATAATCTCACTCATATGTAAAATCTTTTAAACAAATTCAAATATACAGAAATAGAGAATTACACCGTGGTTACCAGGGGCAGTGTGGCAGGAAGGAATTGCAGAGAAGTAGGTCAAGGGTTACAAAGTCGCAGATAAGGAGGGCGGACAAGTCTAGAGATCTAATGTAAAACATGAGGACCGCCAATACTAACAGTGTCTTGTATTCAGGATTTTTGCTAAATGAGTTGATTGTAGATACTTCAGCCCCACACACAAAACATGGGTACATTAATTTGCTTCACTATATTAACCAATTTACTATATATATATATATACACATATATATATATAAACATCATGATGCTTACCTTAAACATACACAATTAAATGTATTTAAAAAATCCATCATGATGTACAACTTATATACATAAAATAACTAAAATAAAATTTAAAAAATAAGATTCTCCCCCTCCCACAACAAGAAAGGCTTTGGAAGGACTTGAATATAAGATGGCAGAATAATTTGGTAATAAATGCCAACGACTGAGATCTGGGACATCTGTTGACTGAGATGCCAGGTGCCATGTTGCATGGCATGGCATGAGGCCAGAGCCATGGGGCAGGCATTGTAGGATATGTACCAATGTCCAGTCTCCTCCACGGTGACTCTCTATGTGCTCAGACCATCAGGAATTATTTTCTTTTGCTCTTTTGGTGTCTCTGTAAATCCCATCTTATCTCCCAAAAATTTCCTCCTCTCCTCTGCTTTAAATGCAATGTCCTTTGAGGCCCAGCTCACAGGCCACATCAGCTACGCAGCGACGCAGCCCTGGAGGAACGAGCCCAGAGCCTGGGCTGTATCTCATGTTGCAGATTTCTGGCATCTTGAATCTTCTTATCCTGACCTCTCCAATCGCTGCCACCCTTCATCTTTGATCCCATTGGTGGGCTTGTGCAAGTGTGCAGGATGGAACCTGAGTTCCAGCCCCTTACGCTGACAATTACAGTAGTTGCTTACCAGCATCCTATGTCTGGGCCCTCTTCCCCTCAGAGGCAGGTTGCCTGGAAAGAACAGAAAGAACAAAGGGATCCATTTCTGTCTTTCTCCGAGGGACTGTCTGGAGCATCTCCAAAGATGGGGACTACAAAATGCGATTTGCATCACAGCCCACAGCAAACACAAAACTGCACACATCTGTGTCCAGTGGCGTATTAGCCATGTGGCTCCACCTCCAGAGGAGGATATCTGATCAGCCTCCAGGGCTTCATCCCCTAAGTCCCTGGCAGGTGTTGCAGCTGTTCCTTTCCTCAGGCTGCAGGTGAACAAGTGGGTGGCCACGCTTTGTTAAGTGGCATGGCCATCGAGAGTCATCCGGCTCTGTTGAGGCATCATTGTCCTTTCTGCTGGAAAAGTTGAGTCTTCCTGAACCTTGAAGACAAACCACAAGCTCATCGGTTGTTGTTTGTATGCATGTGTGACAGAAGAAAAAAAATTTCTCTTGAGAGAGGTGTTCAGTGCTCCCCTCATCCTCTTGCCCAGAAGGTGCCCCTGTTAGCACAGAACGCCCAGTATCTGTGAGTGGAGCAGGGGCAGGTGCTATGCGCCTGGGGACAGGCCACTTCATCTTTATGTGCCTCGATCTCCCCACCCACAATGAGATCTGGATCACACTTCTGAGTGACTGCTACCAGGTAGCCACTGGCCCATGTTTCAGTGGAAAGGAGAACAGGAGCCCAAAGATGACAAAAGACACAGCCCCACTGTCCAGAAGCTCACAGCTAGGAAATGAGATGCCCTTTCCTTAGTTCCTAATCAAAATTCCCATTTCAGGCCAATAACCATGAGCTGCTCTGTTGGGGTGATGCTGCAGTTAGCAAGACGTGCATCCCACCCTCTGGAAATTCATGGCACCAAAAGTTGTCACAGAGTGAGTTGGGGGCAAAATGACACTAAATGGTGCATCTTTAACCTTATGTCACAGATGTTAGCAAACTCAGTCCAAGAAAAAAAAGGCAATTAGTGCTCGCTTCGGCAGCACATATACTAAAATTGGAACGATACAGAGAAGATTAGCATGGCCCCTGAGCAAGGATGACACGCAAATTCGTGAAGCGTTCCATATTTTTTATTCACAATAGCAAAGACTTGGAACCAACCCAAATGTCCAACAATGATAGACTGGATTAAGAAAATGTGGCACATATACACCATGGAATACTATGCAGCCATAAAAAATGATAAGTTCTTGTCCTTTGTAGGGACATGGATGAAATTGGAAATCATCATTCTCAGTAAACTATCGCAAGGACAAAAAAACAAACACCACATGTTCTCACTCATAGATGGGAATTGAACAATGAGAACACATGGACACAGGAAGGGGAACATCACACTCTGGGGACTGTTGTGGGGTCGGGGGAGGGGGGAGGGATAGCATTAGGAGATATACCTAATGCTAAATGACGAGTTAATGGGTGCAGCACACCAGCATGGCACATGTATACATATGTAACTAACCTGCACATTGTGCACATGTACCCTAAAACTTAAAGTATAATAATAATTTTTTAAAAAGGCAATTAATACTGTTTTTACACATTATTTTGAAAGGCATTTTGATGATGCAAATAACCCACGTTACATACAGAATAATTATGAAATATAGGTAAAAGGAAAATGAAAATTACAAAATTACGGATACCTGGAAATATGTGCTTCTGACTGTGGGTCTGTCTCTCCATCTTCACTTGCTCAAAAGTAAAAATAATGACATCTTTGCTGCTCTGCAACCTGCTTAGTACTTAAATGAATTTTCCATATTTATATAAATGATGAAATCCCAGCACTGCTGTTTTAATGAATGCAGGATGATTCAGTTCAGATGTACCATGATTTGATTATCCTAAAGAAATTACAATAACCATCTTTACATCTATATATCTGTACACATCCTTATTTATTTAGAAGGAATTCTTAGAAACTGAATTGCTGAATAAAGGCACGTTTTATACATACTGCAAAATGGCTAAGTTTTTTGGGTAATCTACTTCATGGATAATAAACTGCAATATGGTATACTAAACCTGACTTCTTCCCAGCATGTCACAGATCCGCCTCCACAAGTTACCATTCTGACTTCAAATGACTTGCTTGAACAAACTCACGTGCCTGATGTTGACTCACCTATGTTATTGCACCATGAAAGATGTGGAGCGCATCATGTTTTCACACGAATTAGCATGGAAAGCTGGTAACTTTATAGTTTTACCACCTCAAGCTTTTAATACCTTTCTTGCTGCAATGTATTGCCAACCAATGTGAACCATAATAGCACCGAGAGAAAACAGGATGCAGGAGGGAAGGAAGAAAAGTAATATTCCTTAAAATGTGCAGCACCATGTTCTCTAAATTTTGAAATACTGAACAAAAAGCATTAACAGGTTTGTAAACCTTTAACACAAATTGAGTTCTATTTCCTCTGCTGGCCCCTGGGAAGGGTATGTGGCCCAGTGGTGGGGACCTGAGACTTGGCTGGAAAGTCAGGGCTCTGGGTCTTTTTCCACACTTTAAAGCTCAGTGAGCAAATTTGAGATCAATTAAGTTCCCCATCTGGAACCGGATGAAAAAGCTTGCCAGATCCACCTCACGTGATACCACAATTTCCTATGAAGATTACTATTAAATTAAGGAACTATGATGAAGACCAACTGGCGTAACTGCTTGGGTTTAGTTATCTTCCAGAAATGATTCATGCTATACGTATTTAATTAGTTTTTTTCAGTTATTTGAAAGGCTCCTTTCAGGAGGATGTTGGGACACAATTACATGTGACATTTGGCTGAGAGCAGTGACTCCTAGGTCGTGACCTGTCCACCTGCGTGTGCCCGTAGCAGCATTGAGCAGGTCTTCCCAGAAAAGCCAAGACAGTGGGAAAATGATCACCTGGTATAGCTAAGTGTGAGTACAGGCTACAACATTGTTGAGCTACACATAGCCACAGACACCAAATGCATTAGGTCGTTCTAAAACCATAAAGGATTCCAATGTTTCATAGCTACATTTGTGGACTAGAAATGATGGAGCTACCTAAATTCCACAGATATTCTGATTAGAGTCTCCTACTAGATGTAATTTTTTCCTCAAGCTATCAATAGCAAAATTAACAAGTGAGCAAGCTCCTCTCCATCTCCCTGTGGAACAGCCAACAATTAGGAGAAAGAAAAGTCTTATAGCTGGTGAGAGACTAGGATGTGAAGGCTGGAGGAGCTGGGATTGGTGCTGCAAAGGAGATAGCACGGACAGGAGTGGCTAGTGCTGACCTTGTCCCAGGCACTGCAGCCAAAAGAAGTTTGCTTGTGACCAAACTTCTCAGTCATTAGGATTCATCTCCATTGTACAGATAATGAAATAAAGACTCAGAGATGAATCACTTTCAGATGCATCCACAGTCAGTCAATAGATGTTTGAAGTAGTTTTCTGTGTTTCTCTTGTGCCAAATACTAAACTGTTTCTTCTAGAGAAGAGAGATCTTAAAATCATGAAGTCCAACAATGGCCAAGGTGTAGCTAGGCAGAGCTGGGGCTGTTCAAATATGAACATCATTAGGAATGATGACAGGAATAATCATTATTATTATAACAATAATAAACATTTGCTGAGTACCAACTATGGGCCAGACACGAGTTTGGGCACTTTAGATTCTGTTTTCCTTAAGATGGGGGAGGCTGGCCGGGCGTGCTGGCTCACTTCTGTAATCCCAGCACTTTGGGAGGCCGAGGCAGGTGGATTGCCTGAGGTCAGGAGTTCGAGACCAGTCTGGCCAACATGGTGAAACCCCATCTCTAATAAAAACACTAAAAAATTAGCCAGGTGTGGCAGTGTGCTCCTGTAATCCCAGCTACTCTGGAGTCTAAAGCGGGAGAATCACTTGAACCCGGGAGGTGGAGCTTGCAGTGAGCCAAGATCACGCCACTGCACTCTAGCCTGGGTGACAGAGTGAGACTCTGTCACAAAAAAAAAAAGATGGGGGAGGCCATATTGCAATAATAAAATATCATCAATATTTTCTGGGACCTAAACCGACAAAGTCCCAGAAGATTTTATGGTACTATGTGTCAGTTTTGGACTGGCCAGGCTGTGCTGTATGTCATTTTGCACTACCTGGCAGATAAAGAGAAATATCAAATCACACGCTGTCTCCTGAAGCTCCAGCCAGAAGTGAACAAACAGATACCACAAGCCAAAGCACAATCCCAAGGCCAGGCCTGATTTGAAGGGGAGCAGGCTGTGCCTAAGGATCAGAAATATTAGGTGCCAGCAGCAACGACCCCCATACATGTGTTCTGTCATTTACCTCCCCAAAAGACTTTTACAGAAGAGAAAATGCGGCATGGAGAGCTTCAGGGACCTGTGTAAATGCCACACAGCTAAGTAGAGACAAGCTTGGCCTTGACTCCAGGCAGCTGGACTCCACAGTCTGTGCTCTGTTTGTAAATTTTTACTTATTTATTTATTTATTTATTGAGAAGGAGTCTCGCTCTGTCGCCCAGGCTGGAGTGCAATAGTGCGATCTCGGCTCACCCCACCTCCGCCTCCCAGGTTCAAGTGATTCTCCTGCCTCAGCCTCCCAAGTAGCTGGGATTATAGTTGTGCACCACCACGCCCGGCTAATTTTGTATTTTTAGTAGAGACGGGGTTTCTCCATGTTGGTCAGGCTGGTCTCAAACTCGCAACCTCAGGTGATTCGCCCATCTCGGCCTCCTGAAGTGCTGGGATTACAGGCGTGAGCCACTGCACCCAGCCATAATTTTTTTTTTAATTGACGGACACGAACTGTATATATTTATGGTATATGACATAATGTTTTTTCTTTTTTTGTCCTCATCGCCTGTCCTAAGAAGAACATAGTGTTTTGATATACAGTATGCGTACACTATGGAATGGCTAAACTGAACTAAGTAACATATGCATTGCCTCACCTACTTGCCAGTTATTTGTGGTAAGAACACTTAAAACTACTCTCTTAGAAGTGCTCAAGAATACAAGACACTGTGTTTAGCTGTGGTCACCATGCTGTGCAACAGATTTCTTGAAGTTTCTCCTCCTAACTGAAATTGTGTATCCCTGGCCAACCTCTTCTCAGTCCTTCCCCTGCCCCAGCCTCTGGTAAGCACCATCCCACTCTCTGCCTCTGTGAGTTTGACATTTTTAGCCTCTGTATATAAGTGAGATCATAAAGTAGCTGTCTTTTGGCACCCAGCTTATTTCGCTTAGCATAATGTCCTCCAGGTTCATCTATGGTGTTGCAAATGACAGGATTTCCTTGTTTCTTAAGGCTGAATAGTACTCAACCGTGTATTTATAACACATTTTCTTCACCTGTCGATGGACACGGAGGTTGATTCCATATTCTGGCTGTTGTGGATAGTGCTATGATGAACATGGGTACAGGTAGAGTAGCCTGCACTCTTTACCATCATTCATTTCTCTCTCTCTAGCTACTGTCGACAGCACCAACTACGTACCAGGCATGGAATGCAATATTATTTATATCCTTTACTCCTCCCAGTCCTGCAGATTTTATTCATCACATTTTACCCATGAGGACCATGAATCTTTCCATGAGGACAATGAAGATGTAGAACTTATTCTAGTATCCTAAGCAGTAGTCAAAGTTTGAACCTTAGCTTGCCTGACCCCAAAGCCCATGCTCTTCAGCATTACATTATGAAATTCTTGGGAGACCTAGCACAACTCTGAATTCGAGAAATATTAACTCAGCACCTACTCTGCACAAGATACATGAAACTCAACCCTCTCTCTTGTTGGCTTGTAGTCAGTCATTAGTGATATTTGAGAGCAATAGGTCATCTGGAGAGACTGGATGCAAAGCAATCACAGTCCATGAGCTGTCTCCATGAAGATTAGAAAAGAGGCACTTCTTTCTCAAGACATGTTACTTCTATCTCTTGGGATGCTGTCATATTACACTGTTTTGTTAGAATAAGATCTCCTACTACCATCTTCTAGAGAACTGTTGTAAAGCACATGTGAGTCTGTGGAAGTTGTGATGTGCATGGGGCCTGCAAGGATGTGCACCAACACAACCTAAATGGGTGGCCTGGCTATGCTCACCAAAGGGCTTCTTGCTCTCCTTCCACATTTTTACCAGGCTGGATTCCATTTGCATTTTGTATTCTAGGACACACAGAAGCAGCTTTGTTGTCATGATGCAATGGCAGTGATCAAAAATGATCACCCCTTCCATGAGAAAAATCATGAGAATCTAAAAATATGCAGACTTCCTACCTTACTCTAATGCTGAAAGAGAGTGATTTGAAGTCACCACTTTTTTTTTAAATAGGTTTTCACTTTGCCTCCCAGGCTGGAGTGCAGTGGTGCGATCTCAGCTCACTTCATCCTCGACCTCCCGGGCTCAAGCGATCCTACCACCTCTGCCTCCCAAGTAGCTGGGACTATAGTTAAGACTATTTTTTCCAGCCAGGTGCAGTGGCTCACTCCTGTAATCCCAGCACTTTGGGAGGCCAAGGCAGGCGGATGACCTGAGGTCAGGAGTTCAAGACCAGCCTGAACAACATGGTGAAACCCCGTCTCTATCAAAAAAAAAAAATTAACCTGGTGTGCTGGTGGGTGCCTGTAATCTCAGCTACTCGAAAGGCTGAGGCAGGAGAATTCCTTGAACCCGGGAGGCAAAAGTTTCAGTGAGCCAAGATCGTGCCGTTGCACTCCAGCCTGGGCGACAGAGCAAAACTCCATCTCAGGAAAAAAAAAAAAAAAAAAGCTATTTTTTCCCCTCTTTTTAGAGGTGGGATTTCACTCTGTCACCCAGGCTGGAGTGCAGTGCTATGATCATAGCTCAGTTCAGCCTCAAACTTCTGGGCTCAAGCAATCCTCCAGCCTGAGCTTCCTCAGTGGCTAGGACTATAGGCACACAGCACAATGCCTGGTGAATTTTCTATTATATTTTTTGTAGAGACAGGTCTTGCTATGTTTCCCAGGCCAGTCTCAAACTCCTGGCCACAAGAGATCCTCCTGCTTTGGCCTCCCAAAGCACTGGGATAATAGACATGAGCCACCATGCCTGGCCCTGCAAATGACTTATAGTCTGCAGATCTGAGTGTTCATTTCAGCTTTGCCACGTTCTTCCCAGTGACCCTTCACAAGTCACTCTACTTCTGAGCATTCAGTTGCTTCTCTTTGAAAAGGAATTGTGTCCCCAGCCTGTGTGCCTCACATCGGGGCCACGGTTCTGCTTTGTAAGGGCTTTGAAGCACTAGGGGAATTGGGATGCACCACATGCCTGCTAGTTCTGCATCACCAGGCTCTCTTCGGAGTGCTCCTTACCTTCATCACACACATGTGAGTTCCCGTTACCAAGCCAGGGTCTGTGTCAGATGTTGAGATACAAGAATGAAGAAAACTTTACCTGCATAGTTAACTAGTGTCTATTCACCAGAATGAGTCGTTTGAGAGTAGAGAGTCTACATTAAGCTTTTCTCTGCCACCCCACCCTTGTACCTAGGACAGCTCCAAGGTCTCCAGATGTGCCTAATGAGCTGTTTTTCAGTTAGGAAATATTAAGAATAAATCTCTGCATATGACCCAGTGTCTCTGTGGTGTTAGATTTTTCTGTGGTACCAGATGACCAAACTGAAGTTAACCTTAACTAGTTTCCTCGTTCCAGAAAATAAGGACTTATTATCTTAACCCAACCCCTTATCTAGTTTTTAAACAATGAATTTGGGAGCATTTAGAGGATAGTGTATTGATTAATACAAACTGATAACAATAATACTAATGCGCACACTTTGTTGAATGATTCCTACGTATCAGCTTTACAGCTCCAGGTTTACCAGGAGTAAGTCCGTTCTAATGGGGAAAAAAAACTGTTATTGCCCTTTAGAACAGAGTGTGGTATGTATCTCTACTTCAGCCGAGTACTTGACACTGTGTCTGTATCTTGATAGATTAGTGAATTTCCTGGGTAAAGAGAATTTGCCTGGGTTTAGAGATCAACCCAAGTGATTTCCTGGGTTTAGAGATCCTAAACTAGATCTCTAAAGAGTATTACTACCAGGTCTGTGTCAAATTGAAAGGTGATTCTGAATGTTGGGTCATCAGCATATATTGTTTAGTATGTTTATCAGAAGCTCAAGTGGAAACAGATTTGCAGCTCTGCTGTAGAAGACAGCTTCAAGACTTGTAAAATGACATTGACAGATAAGAATGAGGAGCTACAGAAAAATGAAATAAAATTTATTAGGAAAAAGTGTGATAGCCTGTATTCCAGAAAGTCGCTTGCAAGGTACAAAAGATTCCTGGCTTGGTGATGACTCATGTGAGGAAGGAATGAGATTTAGGCAAATAAAACCTCACATAAGGAATCCTGTGACAAGGCTGCCAAAACAGTGAGAACAATTGAAATCTACCACCCAATTAAAAGGTGGCAATAGTTCTACTTTCTCTGTGAATACTACTATAAGTAGAATTATTATTCCATTCTGAATTCATTTTTACATTCTAAATACATTTATATCTATTGAAAATTTTCCCATCAGATAATGATATATTATCAATGGATTTGAAAAATTAGAAATATCTTAATATTTCAAAATAAATATTTAACTCCAGAGAATAGGATAGCTTTTCTCATGTTCATCATTGTTGAAAATGCTTGTAGCAGTTACTTATATACATACTTTTAAAATAATTTTTATTAGTTCTGTTAATTGACAATTTATAATCTGGGAAAGATTATAAATTCCTTTTATAAAGAGAAAAATGAAATTGAGATGTGACCCTGTCATAGTAATGCATTCAGGAATCTCATATAAGCATTGCTAGATGAGTCATTTTGCTGGGAGCAGGGCAGCTCATTTTAAGGATGATATTGACAAAGAGGGTATAATACAGATGGCAGAAAACATGAAAATCATCTTGTGTGTAGAAACCTGGAATATTTATCCCAGGAGTCATAAATAATAAAGGTTTTCCACTATGTGATATCACAGCCTGTGAATAAGTAATCCCTGTGTTCTTAATATCACCAAATGTCAGAGCTACGAGTCCCAAACAGGATGATTAAAACAAGTTATAAGAAATAAAGATAGAGAGAGGAGCCAAGATGGCCGAATAGGAACAGCTCCGGTCTACAGCTCCCAGCGTGAGCAACGCAGAAGACAGGTGATTTCTGCATTTCCATCTGAGGTACCAGGTTCATCTCACTAGGGAGTGCCAGACAGTGGGCGCAGGTCAGTGGGTGCGTGCACCGTGCGCCAGCCGAAGCAGGGCGAGGCACTGCCTCACTCGGGAAGCGCAAGGGGTCAGGGAGTTCCCTTTCCTAGTCAAAGAAAGGGGTGACGGACAGCACCTGGAAAATCAGGCCACTCCCACCCGAATACTGCGCTTTTCCTACGGGCTTAAAAAACGGCGCACCAGGAGATTATATCCTGCACCTGGCTCGGAGGGTCCTACGACCACGGAGTCTCGCTGATTGCTAGCACAGCAGTCTGAGATCAAACTGCAAGGCGGCAGCGAGGCTGGGGGAGGGGCGCCCGCCATTGCCCAGGCTTGATTAGGTAAACAAAGCAGCTGGGAAGCTCGAACTGGGTGGAGCCCACCACAGCTCAAGGAGGCCTGCCTGCCTGCCTCTGTAGGCTACACCTCTGGGGGCAGGGCACAGACAAACAAAAAGACAGCAGTAACCTCTGCAGACTTAAATGTCCCTGTCTGACAGCTTTGAAGAGAGCAGTCGTTCTCCCAGCACGCAGCTGGAGATCTAAGAACGGGCAGACTGCCTCCTCAAGTGCGTCCCTGACCCCTGACCCCCGAGCAGCCTAACTGGGAGGCACCCCCCAGCAGGGGCACACTGACACCTCACACTGCAGGGTACTCCAGCAGACCTGCAGCTGAGGGTCCTGTTTGTTAGAAGGAAAACTAACAAACAGAAAGGACATCCACACCAAAAACCCATCTGTACATCGCCATTGTCAAAGACCAAAAGTAGATAAAACCACAAAGATGGGGAAAAAACAGAACAGAAAAACTGGAAACTCTAAAAAGCAGAGCGCCTCTCCTCCTCCAAAGGAACACAGTTCCTCACCAGCAATGGAACAAAGCTGGACGGAGAATGACTTTGACGAGCTGAGAGAAGAAGGCTTCAGACGATCAAATTACTCTGAGCTACAGGAGGACATTCAAACCAAAGGCAAAGAAGTTGAAAACTTTGAAAAAAATTTAGAAGAATGTATAACTAGAATAACCAATACAGAGAAGTGCTTAAAGGAGCTGATGGAGCTGAAAACCAAGGCTCGAGAACTACGTGAAGAATGCAGAAGCCTCAGGAGCCGACGCGATCAACTGGAAGAAAGGGTATCAGCAATGGAAGATGAAATGAATGAAATGAAGTGAGAAGGGAAGTTTAGAGAAAAAAGAATAAAAAGAAATGAGCAAAGCCTCCAAGAAATATGGGACTATGTGAAAAGACCAAATCTACGTCTGATTGGTGTACCTGAAAGTGATGGGGAGAATGGAACCAAGTTGGAAAACACTCTGCAGGATATTATCCAGGAGAACTTCCCCAATCTAGCAAGGCAGGCCAACGTTCAGATTCAGGAAATACAGAGAACGCCACAAAGATATTCCTCGAGAAGAGCAACTCCAAGACACATAATTCTCAGATTCACCAAAGTTGAAATGAAGGAAAAAATGTTAAGGGCAGCCAGAGAGAAAGGTCGGGTTACCCTCAAAGGGAAGCCCATCAGACTAACAGCGGATCTCTCGGCAGAAACCCTACAAGCCAGAAGAGAGTGGGGGCCAATATTCAACATTCTTAAAGAAAAGAATTTTCAACCCAGAATTTCATATCCAGCCAAACTAAGCTTCATAAGTGAAGGAGAAATAAAATACTTTACAGACAAGCAAATGCTGAGAGATTTTGTCACCACCAGGCCTGCCCTAAAAGAGCTCCTGAAGGAAGCGCTAAATATGGAAAGGAACAACCGGTACCAGCCGCTGCAAAATCATGCCAAAATGTAAAGACCATCGAGACTAGGAAGAAACTGCATCAACTAACGAGCAAAATAACCAGCTAACATCATAATGACAGGATCAAATTCACACATAACAATATTAACTTTAAATGTAAATGGACTAAATGCTCCAATTAAAAGACGCAGACTGGCAAATTGGATAAAGAGTCAAGATCCATCAGTGTGCTGTATTCAGCAAACCCATCTCACGTGCAGAGACACACATAGGCTCAAAATAAAAGGATGGAGGAAAATCTACCAAGCAAATGGAAAACAAAAAAAGGCAGGGGTTGCAATCCTAGTCTCTGATAAAACAGACTTTAAACCAACAAAGATCAAAAGAGACAAAGAAGGCCATTACATAATGGTAAAGGGATCAATTCAACAAGAAGAGCTAACTATCCTAAATATATATGCACCCAACACAGGAGCACCCAGATTCATAAAGCAAGTCCTGAGTGACCTACAAAGAGACTTAGACTCCCACACATTAATAATGGGAGACTTTAACACCCCACTGTCAACATTAGACAGATCAACGAGACAGAAAGTCAACAAGGATACCCAGGAATTCAACTCAGCTCTGCACCAAGCAGACCTAATAGACATCTACAGAACTCTCCACCCCAAATCAACAGAATATACATTTTTTTCAGCACCACACCACACCTATTCCAAAATTGACCACATACTTGGAAGTAAAGCTCTCCTCAGCAAATGTAAAAGAACAGAAATTATAACAAACTGTCTCTCAGACCACAGTGCAATGAAACTAGAACTCAGGATTAAGAATCTCACTCAAAACCGCTCAACTACATGGAAACTGAACAACCTGCTCCTGAATGACTACTGGGTACATAACGAAATGAAGGCAGAAATAAAGATGTTCTTTGAAACCAACGAGAACAAAGACACAACATACCAGAATCTCTGCGACGCATTCAAAGCAGTGTGTACAGGGAAATTTATAGCACTAAATGCCCACAAGAGAAAGCAGGAAAGATCCAAAATTGACACCCTAACATCGCAATTAAAAGAACTAGAAAAGCAAGAGCAAACACATTCAAAAGCTAGCAGAAGGCAAGAAATAACTAAAATCAGAGCAGAACTGAAGGAAATAGAGACACAAAAAACCCTTCAAAGAATTAATGAATCCAGGAGCTAGTTTTTTGAAAAGATCAACAAAATTGATAGACCGCTAGCAAGACTAATAAAGAAAAAAAGAGAGAAGAATCAAATAGATGCAATAAAAAATGATAAAGGGGATCTCACCACCGATCCCACAGAAATACAAACTACCATCAGAGAATACTACAAACACCTCTACGCAAATAAACTAGAAAATCTAGAAGAAATGGATACATTCCTCGACACATACACTCTCCCAAGACTAAACCAGGAAGAAGTTGAATCTCTGAATAGACAATAACAGGAGCTGAAATTGTGGCAATAATCAATAGCTTACCAACCAAAAAGAGTCCAGGACCAGACGGATTCACAGGCGAATTCTACCAGAGGTACAAGGAGGAACTGGTACCATTCCTTCTGAAACTATTCCAATCAATAGAAAAAGAGGGAATCCTCCCTAACTCATTTTATGAGGCCAGCATCATTCTGATACCAAAGCCAGGCAGAGACACAACCAAAAAAGAGAATTTTAGACCAATATCCTTGATGAACATTGATGCAAAAATCCTCAATAAAATACTGGCAGACCGAATCCAGCAGCACATCAAAAAGCTTATCCACCATGATCAAGTGGGCTTCATCCCTGGGATGCAAGGCTGGTTCAATATACGCAAATCAATAAATGTAATCCAGCATATAAACAGAGCCAAAGACAAAAACCACATGATTATCTCAATAGATGCAGAAAAGGCCTTTGACAAAATTCAACAACCCTTCATGCTAAAAACTCTCAATAAATTAGGTATTGATGGGACGTATATTTCAAAATAATAAGAGCTATCTATGACAAACCCACAGCCAATATCATACTGAATGGGCAAAAACTGGAAGCATTCCCTTTGAAAACTGGCACAAGACAGGGATGCCCTCTCTCACCACTCCTATTCAACATAGTGTTGGAAGTTCTGGCCAGGGCAATTAGGCAGGAGAAAGAAAGAAAGGGTATTCAATTAGGAAAAGAGGAAGTCAAATTGTCCCTGTTTGCAGATGACATGATTGTATATCTAGAAAACCCCACTGTCTCAGCCCAAAATCTCCTTAAGCTGATAAGCAACTTCAGCAAAGTCTCAGGATACAAAATCAATGTACAAAAATCACAAGCATTCTTATACAGCAACAACAGACAAACAGAGAGCCAAATCATGAGTGAACTCCCATTCACAATTGCTTCAAAGAGAATAAAATACCTAGGAATCCACCTTACAAGGGATGTGAAGGACCTCTTCAAGGAGAACTACAAACCACTGCTCAAGGAAATAAAAGAGGATACAAACAAATGGAAGAACATTCCATGCTTATGGGTAGGAAGAATCAATATCGTGAAAATGGCCATACTACCCAAGGTAATTTACAGATTCAATGCCATCCCCATCAGGCTATCAATGACTTTCTTCACAGAATTGGAAAAAACTACTTTAAAGTTCATATGGAACCAAAAAAGAGCCTGCATCACCAAGTCAATCCTAAGCCAAAAGAACAAAGCTGGAGGCGTCACGCTACCTGACTTCAAACTATACTACAAGGCTACAGTAACCAAAACAGCATGGTACTGGTACCAAAACAGAGATATAGATCAATGGAACAGAACAGAGCCCTCAGAAATAACGCCGCATATCTAAAACTATCTGATCTTTGACAAACCTGAGAAAAACAAGCAATGGGGAAAGGATTCCCTATTTAATGAATGGTGCTGGGAAAACTGGCTAGCCATATGTAGAAAGCTGAAACTGGATCCCTTCCTTACACCTTATACAAAAATCAATTCAAGATGGATTAAAGACTTAAATGTTAGACCTAAAACCATAAAAGCCCTAGAAGAAAACCTAGGCATTACCATTCAGGACATAGGCATGGGCAAGGACTTCATGTCTAAAACACCAAAAGCAATGGCAACAAAAGCCAAAATTGACAAATGGGATCTAATTAAACTAAAGAGCTTCTGCACAGCAAAACAAACTACCATTAGAGTGAACAGGCAACCTACAAAATGAGAGAAAATTTTCGCAAGCTACTCATCTGACAAAGGGCTAATATCCAGAATCTACAATGAACTCAAACAAATTTACAAGAAAAAAACAAACAACCCCATCAAAAAGTGGGCAAACGACATGAACAGACAGTTCTCAAAAGAAGACATTTATGCAGCCAAAAAACACATGAAAAAATGCTCATCATCACTGGCCATCAGAGAAATGCAAATCAAAACCACAATGAGATACCATCTCACACCAGTTAAAATGGCAATCATTAAAAAGTCAGGAAACAACAGGTGCTGGAGAGGATGTGGAGAAATAGGAACACTTTTACACTGTTGGTGGGACTGTAAACCAGTTCAACCATTGTGGAAGTCAGTGTGGCGATTCCTCAGGGATCTAGAACTAGAAATACCATTTGACCCAGCTATCCCATTACTGGGTATATACCCAAAGGACTATAAATCATGCTGCTATAAAGACACATGCACACGTATGTTTATTGCGGCATTATTCACAATAGCAAAGACTTGGAACCAAGCCAAATGTCCAACAATGATAGACTGGATTAAGAAAATGTGGCACATATACACCATGGAATACTATGCAGCCATAAAAAATGATGAGTTCATGTCCTTTGCAGGGACATGGATGAAACTGGAAATCATCATTCTCAGTAAACTATCGCAAGAACAAAAAACCAAACACCGCATATTCTCACTTACAGGTGGGAATTGAACAATGAGATCACATGGACACAGGAAGGGGAACATCACACTCTGGGGACTGTTGTGGGGTGGGAGGAGGGGGGAGGGATAGCATTGGGAGATATACCTAATGCTAGATGACAAGTTAGTGGGTGCAGCGCACCAGCATGGCACATGTATACATATGTAAATAACCTGCACAATGTGCACATGTACCCTAAAACTTAAAGTATAATAATAAAAGAAAAAAAAAAAGAAATAAAGATAAACAGGCCAGGCGCAGTGGCTGATGCCTGTAATCCCGGCACTTTGGGAGGCCAAGGCAGGAGGATCACAAGGTCAGGAGATCAAGACCATCCTGGCTAACACGGTGAAACCCCGTCTCTGCTAAAACTACAAAAAATTAACCAGTCGTGGTGGCGGGCGCCTGTAGTCCCAGCTACTCGGGATGCTGAGGCAGGAGAATGGCGTGAACCCAGGAGGCAGAGCTTGCAGTGAGCCGAGATTGCGCCACTGCACTCCAGCCTGGGGGACAGAGCTAGACTCCATCTCAAAAAAAAAAAAAAAAAAAAAAGAAAAGAAAGAAAGAAACAACAAAGATGTTTTCAGAATGAGATAAGCTGCCTCTTAGAATAGTCTTCTTTACTAGGTTCATTCTGGAGAAAATCTTTAAATTTTAGGGTAATCTATGGGGTGATTCATGAGGTCCTTTCTGACTACAGGGTTGTGTGCCCCGTGGTGATGATTTCTGGAGCCAAATTATCGTCTGAATACTAATCCACATGTCTGAGCTCACCTCTGCCATGACAGCCACTCCCTTTGCCACAATTCCAAAATGTTTTTGTTTGCAAACTCAATCTGGTGAAGTATTGAAATGTTTGAACAAATTCTGTGTTTCTCGATATGAGGCAACTTGTGGAATGTGTAAGTGACTTGAGGTTTCCAGAAATATTTAGGTTCCATTTCTCTCTATGTGTACAGATGCTTCCCTATTCTGGTAACAGTGGATTAACTTTGTGGGAAATAGCTAGGTTGTGGCTGAACAAAAAGCAAAGTGTTTCTAATCATCAGTGTGTTTTTTTCTTCCCATGAGAAAATATACTTACTATAAACTTAGGAGGAAGTCAAGCCACCTCACTTCCTTTCTGTTTTTTTTTTTTTTTTCAGGTTTAAAATACTCCATTTTTGCTATTCACTTTTACTTGAGCAAAAATAGTTAAAGAAAGACCCTGGAGATACCTAAAAAAGGTACACTATTTAGGTTCAGTTCCATGAAAGCAAGGCCTAGAAAGCAATAGTGTCTTTGTGATCACACAGAATTTGGGAACAAGGCTGAGAGAATTTTCCTTTAAGTGATATTTCATAGGACTTATAAAACATAAATAAATAGTTATAGAATAATAACTACAGAAAACACTCTATGATACCAGCTGACAAGCTGCATGAGAAACCTTATCTATCTCCTGCATAAATCCCTATTACAAACAGACCCATGGCCAGGAGGAAATCAATATAATTAAACCTCACAGTGGGGAGAACTTCCTCTGCCAAACTTCAAGATCAAAGAAGGCTTTGCGGAAGAGATGGCATTGGATCTGGTTCTGAAAGATAGGAAGAATTTGAAGTATAAAGTGGACTATTATTCAGCCATAAAAAGAAAATCCTGCCATTTGCAACAACACAGATGAACCTGGAGGACATGTTACATAAAATAAGCATAGAAAGACACAGACAGACAAATACTGCATGATCTCACTTATGTGTGGAATCTAAAAGTGTCAAACTGGGCAGGGCATGGTGGCTCACACCTGTAATCCCAGCACTTTGGGAGGCCGAGGCAGGTGGATCACCTGAGGTCAGGAGTTCAAGAGGAGCCTGACCAACATGGTGAAACCCCATCCCTACTAAAATTACAAAATTAGCTGGGTGTGGTGGCACATGCCATGCCTGTAATCCCAGCTACTCGGGAGGTTGAGGCAGGAGAATCACTTGAACCCGGGAGGCAGAGGTTACAGTGAGCTCAGACTGTGCCATTGCACTCTAGCCTGGGCGACAAGAGCAAAAATCTGTCTCAAAAATAAATAAATAAATAAAAGTGTCAAACTCATAGAAGCAGAGAGTTAAATGGTGATGCCAGGGGTGGGGGAGAGGGGAAACTGGGTGAGAGGCTGGACAAAGAATACAAGCTTTCAGTTACAAGACGAATCAGTTCTGGGGTTCTCATATACAGCATGGGTGGTGATGGATGTGTTAATTAATTTGATTTTGGTAATCACTACACAATGCATACATATGTCAAATCATCATGTTGCACACCAAAAATATTCAATCTTTGTCAATTAAATATTTTAAAATTTAAAAAATACATTTTTAAAATAAAATATAATAATGAACTGTCATCATGGTTAAGTAACCTACCCAGATTCAAACGAGACATAAAACTAGATATTCTCAAGTATGCAGAAAGAGCCACTAACACTATGCAAGTCAATAAATGCAATACACCACATAAACAGGATTAAAAACAAAAATTACATGATTATCTCGATAGACGCAGAAAAAGCATTTGACATTAAGCATCCCTTAATGATTAAAGCCCTCAGCAAAATCAGCATAGAAGGGACACAAGGTAACAAAAGCCATCTACAACAAACCCACAGCCAACATAATACTGAAGGGGGATGAGCTGAAAGCATTCCTCCTGAGAACTGGAACAAGACAAGGATGCCCACTTTCACCACTTCTATTCACCACAGTACTGAAAGTCCTAGCCAAAGTAATCAGACAAGAGAAGGAAATAAAGGGCATCCAAATGGCTAAAGAGGAAGTCAAACTGTTGTTGTTTGCTGATGATATGATTATATACCTAGAAAACCCCAAAGACTTCTCCAAAAAGCTCCTAGAACTGATAAATGAATTGAGCAAAGTTTTAGGATACAAATTTATTGTACACAAATCGGTAGCTCTACTATACACCAACAGCAACCAACCTGAGAATCAAATCAAGAACTCATCCCCTTTTACAATAGCTGAAAACAAAACAAAAAAAAAAACTTAGGAATATACCTAACCAAGGAGGTAAAAGACCTCTACAAGAAAAGCTACAAAACACTGCTGAAAGAAATCACAGATGACATAAACAAATGAAAACACATCCCACGCTCGTGGATGGGTAGAATCAATGTTGTGAAAATGACCGTATTGCCAAAAGCAATCTACAAATTCAATGCAATTCCCATCAAAACATACCATCGTTCTTCACAGAACTAGAAAAAACAATCCTAAAATTCATATGGAACCAAAAAAGAGCCCACGTAGCCAAAGAAAGACTAAGCAAAAAGAACAAATCTGGAGGTATCAACTGATATACCCTAAGGCCATAGTCACCAAAACAGCATGGTACTGGTATAAAAACAGGCATATAGACCAATGGAACAGAATAGAGAACCCAGAAATAAAGCCAAATACTTACAGCCAACTGATCTTCAACAAAGCAAACAAAAACATAAAGTGGGGAAAGGACACCCTATTCAACAAATGGGGCTGGGATAATTGGCAAGCCACCTTAGGAAAATATTACCAATATAAAAATCCACGGCAATATACTAAATTGTATTTTATAACTGATTAAAACAGGAATTGGGTAGTAAGAATTGGCAGTATTTATTAGTACTCTCCAGTTGAGAGACATGTTGGGGATAGAGAGTAGTCTGGCCTTGTCCTATATACCTATATGGATCTGGGGTAGTCTTCCAGATTCATATGACTTGTGTGAAATATCCCTTAAGAGTATCCAATTCCTCCTGGGCCAGGCCGTGTTGCATCCAGGTCACTTGTACCTCCCCTCTTTCTCTCCGAGGCTGCTTGTCCTCTCCCTGCATGCTCCAGGCCTCCTCGGACTTTCAGGGAAGCTCTAGTTGGGAAAGAGAGCTATTAATTAACCACCCACTTGCTCAGCAATTCAGTGTTATGCTAGTTTGCTTTCCTGTGGGGACAACCTCAAAATCTCGGGGGCTTATACCAACAGCTATATTCCACTTGGGTTAGATGAGGGCTGCATGTTGTCTATTGGTCTGATCCATGGGTTGCTTTTGCTCCAAGGTCCAGGCTAAAGGAGATGCCCTCTCTTGGGGAATGTCATGCCCCTGCTAGAGGTAGTCTCTGCTTGGACTGGGCACACTGCTACTTCGCTGCTCATTTCATCAACCCCAGCCAGCCACTGTGGGGCAAGCCAGTGTTCCTTGCTTGTCAGAGATGCTGTACTTTGCATACAATGGTGAAGAGAGTGAACAGCAGGGTGTAATTAAACAGTCAACCACAACCTGAAGCCACTTTCCCTGCTAAGTGGACCTCAACTCAATGGTCTCATTCTGAAAGATGTGGCCTAAATTCTTGCTTGGAATGGTAATTCCTCTCTAATAGACTCTGCTGTTCTCTTGCCAGTCAAGAGGACTGAAGGGGATTGAAGCTCTGAACCTAGGCTCAGTGGCTACTGCCCCTCCTCCACAGCCGCTGGCTTCCAGCAGACATTCCTGATGCTGATGTGCTCCTTGGAGTGCTGAGCTTTGGGGGAAATCCTGTTGCATGGTGCCAGACCCTCCTTCCCCATCTCATAACTCCATCACAGAGTTGGTCTACCATGGATGAACTTATCCTAGGTTCAAGATATTCTGCCCAGGTGACTAGGCTTCTCCAGTGACAGATGGACCACTGCTCTTACCCCCTCATACCTGCTCCATCTGAGCTACTGGCCAGCTGGCCTCACCTGCCAAAGGCAACTGGGCCATGACGGCTGAGTAATAAAAAGCAATGCTGTGCTTTGCTTCCAGACTCACCAAGAACCCTCTGGCTACTAATTTTGTGTAGCAGATTTGCATTTTGATCCACATCCTTAGGTGCTTATGAAATAAAACTTGGATGCCTTTTGATAATCATGTTCTGGGTGTGTACCCAAAAGTGGAGTTGCTAACTCATAGGGTATGATTTTGTTCAAAACTGACATACTGTCAATAGTTTTCCAAATTAATGGTAATAATTTATACCTACACCAGTAATATAATGTGTTTCTGTCAATCCTTAAATTTTAGCCATCATGAAGTTAAGTAATGTGATGCCTCTGGTTTTATTTTTCTTAGAATGACTTTGGCTCTTTTTGGGTTCCATATGAATATTAGAACAGTTTTTCTAATTCTGTGAAAAATTGCATTGGTAATTTGATAGAAATAATGCTGAATCTATAGTATGGACATTTTAACAATATTGATTCTTTCAACACACCAGCATGGAATGTTTTTCCATTGGTCTGTGTCATCTATGATTTCTTTGAGTAGTGTTTTGTAGTTCTCCTTGTAGAGATTTTTCACCTCCTTGGTTAGATGTATTCCTAAGTATTTTAATTTGTTGGGGGGTGGTGCTATTTTGAATGGGATTTCACTCTTGATTTGGCTCTCAGCTTAAAAACTATTGGTATATAGAAATGCTACTGATTTGTGTATGCTGATTTTGTATCCTGAAGCTTTACTGAAGTCATTTACCAGGTCTAGGAGTTTTTTGGTAAAGTCTTTAAACTATTCCACAAGGCTACAGTAACCAAAACAGCATGGTACTGGTACAAAAAGAGACACATAGACCAATGAGACAGTATAGAGAACCCAGAAATAAGGTCACACGCTTACAACCAACTGATCTTTGACAAAGTCAACAGAAACAAGTAATGGGGAAAAGACTCCATATTCAACAAATGGTGCAGGGAAAACTGCCTAATAATATGCAGAAGAATGAAACTAGACACTTAGCCCATATACAAAAATTAACTCAGGGGGATTAAAGACTTAATTGTAAGACCTGAAACTGTAAAAATGCTAGAATAAAACATAGAAAATACCTTTCTTTAGCATGGCCTTGGCAAAGAATTTTTGGCCAAGTCCCCAAAAGCAACTGTTACAGAAACAAAAATTGGTGAGTAGGATTTAATTAAACTAAAGAGATTTTGCACAACAACAAAAAAACATCAACACAGTAAACAGACAACCTACAGAATGAGAGAAAATATTTGCAAACTGTACATCCAACAAAGCAGCATCTATAAGCAACTTAAACAAATCAACAAGCAAAAAACAAATAACCCCATTAAAAAGTGGGCAAAGGACGTGAACAGATACTTCTCAAAAGAAGACATATAAGTGGCCAGCAAACAGATGAAAAAAAAAGTTCAACATCATTAATCACTAGAGAAATGCAAATCAAAACCACAATGAGATATCATCTCACATCAGTCAGAATGGCCAATATTAAAAGTCAAAAAATAACAGATGTTGGTGAGGTTGTAAAGAAAGGGGAAATTTTATACATTGTTGGTGGGAATGTAAATTACTCCAGCTACTATGGAGAGCAGTTTGGAGATTTCTCAAAGAACTAAGATTTGAGGTACCATTTGATCCAGCAATTTTATTACTGGGTGTATGCCCAAAGGAAAATAAGCCATTTTACTGAAAAGACACATGAGCTTATATGTTCATTGCAGTGCTATTCATAATAGCAACGACATGGAATCCAGGTGCCCGTCAACTCTGGATCGGATAAAGAAAATGTGGTACCTATACACCACGGAATACTATGCAGCCATAGAAAAGAATAAAATAATATCCCTTGCAGCAACATGGATGCAGTCGGAGGCCACCATCCTAAGTGAATTAATGCATCAACAGAAAACCAAAAGTCACGTGTTCTCTTATAAGTGGGAGCTATATTGTGGGTATATGTGAGCATAAAGATGGGAACAATAGACACTGGGGACTCCAAAAGAGGAAAAAGAGGGGAGAAGGGCTAAAAACTTCCTATCGTGCAGTATGTTCACTACATGGATGACGGGATCAATAGAAGCCCAAACCTCAGCATCATGCAATATACCCCTGTAACAAACCTGTATATGTACCCCCTGAATCTAAAGTAAAAATGTAAGCAAATAAAATAAAAAATGTAGGCCTCTTGATGAGTATACAGTGTTATCTCTTGGTTGGTTTACTTTGCAGTTTCCTGATGATTAACGATGTTGAACCACTTTTAATGTGAGCATTGATCATTTGAATACTCTTTTATTATGAAGTGCCTATCCAAACGTTTTCCCAATGTTTTAATTGAGTCTTTTTCTTACTGGCTTTTAGAAGCACTTTATATCATCTAGGCATAGGACCTTCGCTGCCATACTTAAAATATTCTCTCCTACTCTGTGATTTATGTTTTCATTATTTAAACATTGTATTTCATTGAAGATATATTCAATATTTTAGTGTAGTCTAACTTATCAATCTTTTTTATGTTTAAAGTTTCCTATATAGTGTTTTAAAAAATCTGTTCCTACACCAAGATCATTAATATAATCTGTTAGAATATATTCTAAAATTTTTATTGCTCACTTATTGCATTTAGATTTAAACTCCACAAGGAAGTTATAGTGTGTGTCTATGAGATGTGAAATAAGGCTCAAATTTCTTTTTTGAACATGAATACTCAATTAAGCCAACACTGTCATTAAAATGACTGTTCTTCCTTCACCATTCTGCAGTGTTACCTTTGTCTCCATCGAGTATGCATGCGGCTGGTTTTGTTCTTTTGTCACGTTCTGTTGGTATGTGTGTTTATATTTATGTCCCTACCATACTGTCTTGCTAATATATCTTTATAATAACTTTTAATATTTAATATTGACTTCTTTACGAAATAAGCTAAGCACAGAAAGACAAATAATGAACCAGGTGCAGTGGCTCACACCTGCAATCCAACATTTTGGGAGGCCAAGGAGGAAGGATCATTTGAGCCCAGTAGTTTGAGACCAGCTTGGGCAACATAGGGAGACCCTGTCTCTACAAAAAAAAAAAAAGAATTTAAAAAATTAGTCAGGCATGGTGATATAGCCTGTGGTCCCAGCTACTTGGAGGGTGCTGAGGCAGAAAGATCGCTTGAACCCAGGAGTTCAAGGCTGCAGTGAGCTATGATCACGCTACTGCACTCCAGCCTGAATGACAGAGTGAGACCTTGTCTGAAAGAAGGAAGGAAGGAAGGAAGGAGGAAGACAGAAAGAAAGAAAGAAAGAAAGAAAGAAAGAAAGAAAGAAAGAAAGAAAGAAAGAAAGGAAAGAAAGAGGGAGAAAGGAAGGAAGAAAGGAAGGAAGGAGAGATGAAAGAGAAAGGAAGGAAGGAAGGAAGGAAGGAAAGAGAGATGAAAGAAAGAGAAAGAAAGAAAGAAAAGAAAAGAGAGAAAGAGAGGAAGGAAGGAAGAAGGGAGGGAGGAAGGAAGATATCACGTGATCTCACATACATATGAAATCTAAAAACCTTCTAAGAGTAGAGCTCAGAATGGTGGTTCCACGGGCTAGGGAGAAGAGGAAATGGGGAGATAATGGTCAGAGGACACAAATTTTCAGCCAGACAGGAGGAATGACTGAAAGAGCTCTATTGTACAACATGGTGACTGTACTTAACAACAATGTATTGTATACTTAAAAATCACTAAGGGAGTAAATATTAAAAGTTCTCATCACAAGACAATAATAAGTATGTGAGGTGGCGCATATATTAATTAGCTCCATTTAAACATTCTACATTGTACACATATATCAAAACATCATTTTGTATACCTTTAACATACAATTTTTTTGTCAATTAAAATTAAATATAGGCCAGGCATGGTAGCTCACGCCTGTAATCCCAGCACTTTGGGAGGCCAAGGCAGGTGGATCACCTGAGGCTGGGAGTTCAAGACCAGCCTGACCAATATGGAGAAACCTCGTCTCTACTAAAAATTAGCCAGGCGTGGTGGCACATACCTGTAATCCCAGCTACTCGGGAGGCTGAAGGAGGAGAATCACTTGAAGCAGGAGGCAGAGGTTGTGGTGAGCTAAGATTGCACCATTGCCCAGCCTGGGCAACAAGAGTGAAACTCCGTCTCAAAAAAAAAAAAAAAAAAAAAAAAAGTAAATATAGTTCATGTCCTTTGCAGGGACATGGATGAAGCTAGAAGCCATCATTCTCAGCAAACTAACACAGGAACAGAAAACCAAACACTGCATGTTCTCACTCATAAGTGGGAGTTAAACAATGAGAACACATGGACACAGGGAGGGGAACATCACACACTGGGGCCTGTAGGGAAGTGGGGGGCAAGGGGAGGGAGAGCATTAGGACAAATACCTAATGTATGCGGCGCTTAAAACCTAGATGACAGGTTGATAGGCACAGCAAACCACCATGACACTTCTATACCTATGTAACAAACCTGCACATTCTGCACGTGTATCCCAGAACTTGAAGTAAAATTTAAAAATATATATGTATAAATTAACCAATTTTAAAAATAAATACATACATACATAGAAAAAATATGACTTGTTTAATCATGGCCACTTAATTTGCCATGTAAGTCTTAAAATAAGAGTTTTGTGACTTCTTTCTTTTATGTAATAAACTTTTTACTTTTGGAATAATTTTAGATCTACAGAAAAGCTGCAAAAAAAGTAAAGAGAGTTATCTTATCCAGCTTCCCTTAAAGTTAACATGTTACACAACCATGCTACGTTTGCCAAAACTAAGAAACCAATATTAAATTCTGAATTTTCATTAACAGTAATGTATTTGCATTCCACTAAGTTTTTACACCAACGTTCTTTTTCTGTTCCCAGTATCCAGTTCAGGATACTATCTGGCACTTAATCATTACGTTTCCTTGGGTTCCTCTGGCCCGTGGCCAACTCTTAGCCTCTCCTTGTTACTGTGTATCGACAGTTTGAAGATTACTGGTCAGGTCCTTAGAATGCTCTTTAATTTGTGTTTGTCTGATTATTTTTTTCCTGATTAGGCTGGAATTATGAGCTTTTGGAAAAAATTCTGCAGAGGTTAAGCTTCCTTCTCATCACTTCATATCAAGGGGATGTGATATCAACATGCCTCATTACTGGTGATGTTCACCTTGATCATGTGGTCAAGGAGGCGTTTGCTAGGTTTCTCTACCACACAGATACTCTTTCCCGGCTTTCAATACTCTAGTCTTGCATGTGAATCACTAAGTCCAGGCCAGGCACAAGGTGGCCTGGGAGGTAGACACTAAGGTCCAATTCCTGGAAGAGACAGTATCTATTCATATTATCTGGAATTCTTCTACAAAGAGTTGTCCTTCTTCTTTCTTTTGTATTTACTTGTTCATTTAATCATTTATTTATATCAGTGTAACCTCATGTATATTGATTTTATACTTTGGGTTGTAAGCCAATACCATGTTATTTATTTTATATCAGGGTCACTTCTATATCTCTCTGATATGCCCCATCCTTTTTGCTTTTTTGAGCATTTTCATTATTCTGGCACTTGAAAATGATACACGCTTTTCTGGCTATCTCTTGCCTCAGTGCACAGACTAGCACCTCCAGTATCATGTTGAATAACAATGGTAAGAGCAGACATCCTGTTGTTTTAATTTCTAATCTCTGAGAATGCTCTTACAACATTTTTTCATTCAATATAAAAACACCTTTCTCACATTTAGAAAGTGTATTCCTATTTCTAATATAGTGATAGTTTCTTTTTTAACAATCATAACTAGACAGTTCAATTTTTTAAAATGTTTTTTTCATGGAGAATTATGTTGATTGATTTTCATATGTTAAACTAATCTTGTATCCCTGGCCCCCAACATGACCATGATGTATTTTCCTTTATGTATATGTCACTAGACTCAGTTTGCTAATGTTTTTATTTGGATTTATTTTGTAGTTTTATGTTTTGAGACACAGTCTCACTTTGTTGCCAAGGCTGGAGTGCAGTGGTGCAATCTTGGCTCACTGCAACCTCTGCCTCCCAGGTTGAAGGGGTCCTCCTGCCTCACCCTCCCAAGTAGCTGGGATTACAGGCACCCGCCACCACGCCTGGCTAATTTTTTTGTATTTTTAGTAGACATGGGGTTTCACCATGTTGGCCAGGCTGGTCTCGAACTCCTGGACTCAAGTGATCCGCCTGCCTTGGCCTCCCAAAGTGCTGGGATTACCGGCATGAGCCACTGCGCCTGGCTTGGATTTATTTTTAAGTCATATTCAAGAGAGAAATTGTCTTTCAAGAGTTTAGAGTAACTTATTAAGAATTCAAGAGCAATTTTATTTTTTCCGATACTCTTATTTTGGTTTTGGTTGTGACCAAGATTATCTTTCCCTCATTGGAAAGTATTTTCTCTTCTTCTATTCTCTAGAATGATTTGTGTAATATGACTTCTTATTTCTTCCTCAAATGTTTGGTGGTAAAAATCATCAGTAAATCCTTTGGGACTTGGCATTTCTTGATGACAAATTGTTTAATTACAGATTCAATTTTATAATTATAGGGTTGTGAAGACTTTATATTTTTGAATGCACTTTAATAAATCATATGCTTGGAGGAAGTTGTCTGTTTTTCAGCAATTTTTGTATAAAGATTTTCATAGTATAAAGATAATTTTGTATAAAGATTTTCATAGATTTACTAGTTATTTTTTAATACCTGTATGATCTGTGGCCATATCTCTGTTTCAGTCCTAAAATTTGTTATTTGTGTCTTAATTACCTTAGAATTCATTATAAATTATTTTCATATAATTTATATTTATAATAATTATTTTTATACTTATATTTATGTTAAATATATAAATTATGTAAACTATAAGTAACTGTATAAATCATCATGTATGATTTCGTGTGTGTGTGTGTGTAATGAGTGAGACAGAGAGTGAGAATAATATAATCAACCACCATTAACCTATCACCCAGCTTCAAAAATTATCAACTCAGGGCCAAGTGTTTTATTAAAAACCCCATAAATTCTCTAATATGAACAGAGATGTAAAATTATGTTAAATACATTACAGAGATCTTTTCAAATGTTTATTGGGCATTCAGTTCATTCAATCAAGAATTGTCTTTTTCTTTTTTTTTTTTTAAATTTTGAGACAGTCTTGCTTTGTCGCCCAGGCTGGAGCGTAGTGGCAAGATCACAGCTTACTGCAACCTCCGCCTCCCAGGTTCAAGCGATTCTTGTGCATTAGCCTCCCAAGTAGCAGGGACTATAGGTGTGTGCCACCACACCTGGCTAAATTTTGTATTTTTACTAGAGGCGGGGTTTCACCATGTTGGCCAGGCTGATCTCGAACTCCTGACCTCAACTGATCCACCTGTCTCAGCCTCCCAAAGTGCTGGGATTACAGGTGTGAGCCACCGCACCCGGCTGAAAATTGTCTTTTTCTATTGGGTCATTTTTCTATTCTATACTGATTTTTACATAACCCATTGGGTTCAAAATTATTCTTTTTATGAACAGCCAATCTAAAATAGCATCTCCCATCTCTCACGAAGCTCTATTCTCCCACCTGCTTTAGTTCTCTCCTTGGTACTTTCTGAAATCTGAGGTTTATCAACATATGTAATGACGTATTTATTAGTGTCTGCCTCTCCTATGAGGGGAGGATATTAGTTTTGTTTCCTACAGTTACCCTGGTGACTAGAACAGGGCCTGGCACATAGACATTCAATAAGGATTTGTTTGAATGGATTAATTAACTTGATTGATGTATAATCTGAATATACTAAGCCCCTGTCAGCTATATCACATGGTTAGAGATACATGATACCTAATCCTTGCTGGCTTATGGTGTCTTTTTGCATACAGGTATGTTTAACTTTAATGTTGTCAAATTATTATAATACCTATTTTCTTATGATTGTCTACATTAGTAAATCTGTCCCCATCCTGAGAACAAGAACATGATCCTTATTCTTCCAAAGACATGCTTAATTTCGCTGCTCACTATTAGGTTTTAATCTATCTGAAACATTTTTATAAACGGTGTCTGATAAAAATCTACATTTTTCCTGAATAAACAGTGTTTGGATCACTTTATCCCATAATTTACCTCTTACTTGCTGATCTGCAATGCATTTCTTTGCACTTAAGGTTTGATTCTCTTTTGCCTATTGGCTATGTCTATGTACTGCCACGTTGTTTAATTTTCATAGATTCCTAGTAGGTTTGATAGTTTTAGTTGGTGAGTGCCCACCCACTTTGGTTCCAGTGCACGATTTGCTAGAAAGACTCACAGGACACAGACAGCTGTTAGACTCACAGCTATTGTTAATTACAGTGAAAGGATATAGATTAGAAGCAGCAAGGAAAAAGGTGCACACAGCAGAGTCCAGCACTAAGGAGGAGGCATGGGCTTCCAGTTGTGCTCCACATGACTGACCTCAACCACTCAGTCTCCAGTCAGCTGCCTGCCACCCCCAGAGGTCAAAGTGACACAATGTGACCCAAGGCCCAGGCATACATAAACAGGTGTTCACTATAAAGCATGTTGATAGCATGTGGTGTGACCCAAAGCTTCAGGTTTACAAAGTCACTCAAATCACACAGAATATTACAAAGGCTCAGAGGTTATCTCCAGGAGCCTGTCAGGGACTGTCCTGAAGCCCTTCGGAATATGCAGGGTTTGGGCAGCCCAGGCCTGCTGAGTTAACACTTTACTGCACAGTTCTTCTTTTCCAAAATTTTTTTTTCTTGGCCCTATACACTTTCATATAAATTTTATATTTAACTTTTTTCAATGAAATACCCTGCTGGTATTTATATTTGAATTGCATTTAATTATTAAATATCTTCATAATATTTAGGCCTCTGATACAAAAACTTTGCCTATCTACTCATTCATTTTTAGTTTATTTTCTGTGTTGAAAGACAATGCTACATTTACTTCTGCATAAATGTTTTGCATATCTATGTTAGATTTAATTTTAGGTATATTGCTTTCTGTGAGTAAAGTATATACTTTATTTTTTTAAATTCAGGATATTTGCATCTCTCTCCATAAACGAGCTTGGACTATAATGCTTTATTCTCACATATTTTTATATATTTATTTCTGTTTCTTTTTCTATTCTCTAGTACAGATGATATAAGACTAGAAGTATCTGTACCTTGAATAGAATTTATTAGCAACACATCTTTGGTACTTTGTCAAAGTTAATTTTCAAGAGTTGATGTAATTCATTTAATTCATGTAGGACCATTAAAGTTTTCTATCTCCTGTAATTACTTCAGCTGGTATAAATTTTTCTAGGAAACAGGCAACTGTAATTTGCCATACTGTAGGTTGTCTAGTGGACCTGTAACTTCTGCCTGGCTCTCCCTGGCTCTTACATCTCTTCATTTCTGGAAGAAGTCAGCCACCACCCTGAGAGGACACTCAAGCAGCCCTGGGGCAGGAGGTTGTGTGGGAAGGAATGGACTTCTCAGAACCTACTTCCCAGAAATGTGAGTTAGCTGCCTTGGAAGTAGGTTCTCCAGTTCAAGTCTTTTTTTTTTTTTTTTTTTTTTTTGCCGATGCTGTCGTTCATTGCGCGGAATGGGGGTGTGGGGGTTAATTGGGCGTAGGGGCCACGGTGGGGGCACTGCTGCCTCAGCTGGTCAGTACATTCATCACGGTGGCCCTCGCCCCCGCGCCCGGCGCAACCAGGCCCGCCCCTCGGTGCCAGTGCTGGAGGGAGCTGGGGTGCTGCTCCCCAAGGTCACCGCGGGACGCGCGTGGACCGGGGCCGGGTCGGTTATTGCATGAGCGCGATGGGGGCAGCGGGAAGCCGGTGGGCCAAGTATTGCACTTAAAAAACGATCCTCATCGGACGGCGGGCCACCTAGAGGGCGGGGGGCGGGCGGGGCTCCACAGCCGGCTCCTCTCAGCCACTGGGCCGCCCCGTCCCTGTTTTACACCTAGGGGAACTGAGGCACTGAGGTGAAGGGAGCCCCCTCGCACGCGAGGCCGCCGCCGGGGGCAGGGGCGATGGGAGTGGGCGCAGGGCGATGAGGGGGGACGGCCGGGGACGCGGAGGGGGCTGCCCCGCCGGCCCTGCCCGTCAGTCCAACTACGGCTACCTATGTCTTGTCTGTGGCTTCTGGGCGGGCTGGCGGCCGGGGCAGCGCAATGGCATGGCTTTGGTCTGGATGACGGCCCCGCCTCCGGCCCTCCTGGGCCCGCAGGGCGGTTGGCGAGGGTCACAAGTTGGACGAGAGGCGCGAGCGCGCGGAGTCCTGGGGGTCCAGGCCGCTGGCGGCGCCGGGTGAGGCGGAGTCCCTGCGATCCGGGCTGGGCGCGGCGGCCCGGGCAGCGGGCGTGGGTCCCAGGCGCGGTGTGGAGCTGCTGGCCGGGCGTGTGGAGGCCGCTGGGACGGGCGTTCCGTGGGGCAGCGAGGGCTGCGAGGCGGACAGTGGGCGCAACGCGCGGCTCAGGCGGCGCGAGGGCAGGGCGGTCCCAGCAAGGGGGGCGGCGGGCAAGCTGCCGTAGGGCGAGGTCCGCGGTGCCCGGGGGCTGGCGGGCGCGCCCAGGGGGCTGGCGGGGGGGCGGGGGCCCGGGTGAGGCGGCGGCAGGTGCGGGCCCCGGGGGCGGGCGGCGCACGAGGCGCGGCGAGCCGAGCGCCAGCGGCCCCACGAGCGGCCGCGCCACCTGCGGGCAGAAGCTCATGACCACGGCCTGCTGCAGCGTGGCGATGGCCGAGGTGACCTGCGGCGGCGGCGGCGGCGGGAAGAGGCCCAGGCGCCGACCCAGCTCGGCCTGCTGCACCATCTCGCCGTCGTACTTGACGATCTCCTGGATGATGGCGTTCTACTGGTTGTTGAATACGCCCGAGTTAAGGTCATGCTGCACCTTGTGCAGGAGGATGGAATTCTTCTTGCCGATGCGGTCCAGGCGGTCGATGGCCACCGTCTCGAAGGCGCGCCGCATCATGGGGTACTCCTCCAGCACCTCGTTGAAGTTGTCCACGCTCAGCGAAAGGAGGCGGCAATAGGTGTTGGCCCGCACACTCGCCATGCGGTGGCCCCGGGTGAGCAGGCAGATCTCCCCGAAGTAGGAGCCATCGAACAGCTTCATCTCCTTGTTGCCCTTAGCGAGCACGCTGACCACGCCGTGCTGGATGAAGTACATCTTCCCGATGGTGCCTTCGCGGATGAGGTAGTCACCCGGCTGGAAGACCTCGAACTTGAGCTTGGTCAGCATGGCCGTGACGAAGTTGGGGTCAGCATTGGCGAACAGCGGCATGGAGGTCACCAGCTTCCGGCAGTTGAAGTTGACAATCTCCTCCCGCAGGGGCCCGTTGAGCTCGCCCAGGATGCTGTCCTCGTCGAACATCTTGCCCTGGTAACGGTGCTCGTAGTAGTCGTGGATCTTCTGGCGGAAGTCGGCCGGCAGCTTGTGGAAGGACATGTACTGCTCCACCTGCTTGTACTTCTGGTACTGGCGCCGCGAGGAGTCCAGCGACTGGATGAGGGCAGTGGCGTGGCCGATGAACATGGCGTAGCAGGTGGCACTCACAATCATGCTGAGCATGGTCAGCCAGATGTCCGTCATGCTCTCGGGCGCCTGCCGGCCATACCCAATGCACAGCATGTGGCTCATGGCCTTGAAGAGTGCGAAGGAATACAGTTCGCTCCACCAGTGGTTCACCATGCCATTGATGGACACCCAGCAGTTGCACGGGAAGTCCTGCAGCATGGCCACCAGGAACTGCAGGCAGCCATCCCAGTGGCAGAGCAGCAGCATCATACTGATGAGGTTGCAGAACCGCATCACCGCGCTGGCCAGGTCATAGGTCATGTGGAAGATCTCCTCCCACTGGTGGATGTAGCGGATCAGGCGCGAGAGGCGCAGCAGCCGCAGGAGGCTGAGGATCTTGGTGAAGCGCACGATCCGCAGGGCGCACGCCGTCTTGTAGACCTCGGAGTCGATGCCCTTCTCCACGATGAGGAAGATGTAGTCCACGGGGATGGAGGACACGAAGTCCACCATGAACCACGTGCGCACGTACTTCTTGATCTTCTCTTGGTCCAGGATGATCTCCGTGTTGTCCTCGATCACAATGCCGGTGCGGAAGTTCAACACCAGGTCCATGAGGAAGAAGGTGTCCGAGACCACGTTGAACACGATCCACAGGGCAGTGGTCTCGTCCTTGAAGAAGGTGATGCCCACTGGGATGATGATGAGGTTTCCCACCATGAACAGCAGCATGGTGAAGTCCCAGTAGAACCTGAAGTCGCTGTACGGGTGGATGATCCAGGACCCCGCTGACTGGACGCGCTCCTGCTCGCGCTCCACGGCCTTCTGGCTGCCGAACATCCGCAGCGAGAACTTGTTGACGCCCAGCTGCAGGAGCGCGCCGAAGTGGCGCTGCATGAAGCTGGCCCGGCTGCGGCGCGGCTCCGCCGCCGGGCCGCCACCTCGCTGCCGGCCTCCTCCGCCGGCCCCGGCCCCGGCCCCGGCGCGGCCCCGAGGCCGCCCCGGGGCACAAGAACTACACCTTGGGCCCCCGCGCCGGGCCCTCGGGCCCCGCGGGGCTGCACTGCGGCTAGCCGCGCCCGCACTCGGCCGTTCCGGCTGCCCTTGGCCGTGCTCGCCGTGCCCGGGATGCCGGGGCGGCCGCACTAGCTGTCGCGGCTGCGGCGCTGGCCCCGCGGGCCGCCCTCCTCCGCCGCCTCCGGGGGCAACGCCTCGGCCCGGGGCGGCTGCTGTTGGGGGGGCGCGGCGGCGGCGGGGCTCTCCCCTGGCCGCCCGCCGCCCCCGCGCGCGTCCATGGCGAGGCGGCGCCCGGCAGTGCGGAGCGGAGCCCCCGACCAGTTCAAGTCTTTACATGGCCGTTACCCCAGACATCTGCCTGAAGCCTCCTGAGAGCTCCCAAACCAGAAATATATATTTGAGCTGCTCCTAAGTACATGACCCACCCACAAATGAGAGATCATCAAAGATTATTGTTTTTGAAATCACTAAGTAGGGGGGCGACCTGTTATGCAACAATATATTACTAATACAAATGTTTTCTTATGATTACAAATAAAAATTGTTATTTGACTGACTTATGAGGATTTTAAAATATTAACATACAATCTTGTTATTTTTTATTTTGATTTCTAATTGCATTGCCTTACGACTGAAGAACAATTGGATAACGTCTGCATATCTTTATTGAAAATTTTCTTGTATTTATGGCACATAGCCCATTTTTATAAATGTTCCATGAGTGAATGAGAATATGTACTTTCTAATTATTTGTTGCAGTTAAATATTGACACACTTGACAAATATGTGATCACTTTACTTACCAATTTCTTCATGAAGTTCTGACTGTGCATAGTTGATATTATGTTCTTAGGTTTAGACAAAAACTGTTGTCTATTTCTGAGGAGTTGTATACTTGACCCTCATGTACTGAATGTATTTATTCCTAATGATACATTTTACTGTATGGTTTATTTTTCTGGATGGTAATAATACCATGGTGGCTTTCTTCTGATTAGAAAATGTCTGCTATATATTTTCCTTCCTTTTATATTAATATGTCTATTTCCCTATACTATACACATGTTTACTCTCAACATTTTTCTGTTATAAAATATTTCAATACGAATATCTATGTCTTTTTATTGGCATGTATTCATCTCGTCTCCATCCCATTTGTGGAGGAGAGATTCCCACACTGGGGTTATGGAAATGACTGGACACATGACACCCAACACTAGACAGTTGAGTTCACAACAGCTTATTAGTCACAGGCACACACAGCCCAGGGGAGGATGGAACCACATGATGTGGGGCCACATGAGGGCTGCGCTTGGAAACAGAGTGAACAAGCAGGAGCTGAGGGAGTCAGGCTTTGTAGTAACAAGAGGGTGGAGTGACACTTGCTTCCGGGCTCTGCCACCCATGATAAGGAAGGTTGTCTAGTGGACCTGCCACTGGAGCAGGGTGGGTAGGGGTATTATAGTTAGGCTATTCAAGGTCCTCCAGATTCTACGTATAAAGTGGCAGATAATGTTAATTTTGTGCCTTAGAAGAAACATCTTTTGATCGTTTATATTTATTATTTTACCAATACATTTAGATGTATTCCATTCTTTTTATTATATGCTATGTATTATGCTCATTTTTCTGTTTTTGCTTTTTAGTATCTTGCTGGAGAGCTATACATTTTATTTCCCTATTTTTGAAGATTCCCTTTCATATTTTAATACATATAGTTAACTATACAGTTTTAATTCCACCAGTTAACCAGGATAATTCAAAGACCTTAGGATTCATGAATTCTAATCAGCTCCCTTTCAAGTTCCATTATTTAAAATCTGGTATTTTAGCTTCACCTGGTTTTTTAAATCTGAAATTAATTATGCTGTAGTTACGAGAACTGCCATCATTTTCTATCTTTATCCTGCTAGATGGGTCAACTGGAATCCTAGGTGGAGGGCCTGCCCTTCACAGCTGCCTTGTGTTTGCTTCTGCTAGAACCCTGTGGTGACACAGTGATGGCCACCCTGATATCCCTTCAGGAGTAAAGGGCTTATTGCCCCAAGACTGACAGTGCTGCCAGCAGAAGCCCTGGACAGACAGTCCTTTCAGGAGTAAGGACTTACTGCCTGCCCCATCTGACAGTGCAGTCAGGTGCCAGCCCTTCCGACATGGCCCCACCACCCAAGGTCATGGCCCCCTCCCAGAGCATCCCGAGACTGATTCACTTGGAGCACTAAGGGCCTCGCCTCTCGCCCTACTCCAGATAATTCTTAAGAGCCACGTAATCTTTAGAACTCCCTGCAAGGCTGGCTGAGTCTTGCCCTCTTCCTCGGCCCAGTCCCAGTCCTGCTTTCTACTCCTCACTTCCAGGTGGAGATTCCAAGAGCATTCCCTCATCCCTCTCCTGCATGTCAGTCTCTGTCTCAGAGCTTGCTTCCCACAACAATGTCACAGTGGTATTACCATCCAGGAAACAATTCCTATCAGTGTCTTACTTTGTCCACTCCCAAGCCACAAGGAGAGCATGAATTCACACGTGAATACACTGGAGGCATCAGCCTTTGCCTATAAATTCTTAGGGGAGACTTTACCACCTAGAACCTGCGATCAGTCAAACAGGCTCTCTGTTGTTTCTCTGAACCCACAGGAGGTTGAATGTTTTTCTAGTCTCTGGCTTACTGGGAGGGAGGGGCAGTGTCAGCATATAGGACAGGCTTACTGTGGATCTAGGTCTAATTTCTACCTGATGCAGCCCAGAGCACCACCTCCTACTATAAAACAAAGATGTCAGTGAGGTCCACTCATGTGCTTTACAGTTCTGGTTTGCAGATTCGTCTTAAAATGTGGTCTTGGGACTTTGTTGGAATTTCAGCTCCCCATTTGAAACTGTTTGCTACAGTATCCAGTACTTCTGAATGTTCTGCACTAGGGAGATACTCAATTATCTGCTCTGCCCTATTGCTGGGAATGAACATCTTCTCATTATAAATGATGTAAGCATTGTTTATGCATTTTTTATGAGCTTGATTTGTGAGATTCGTCCTTTCAGAGACCTATTCTTGTAGGAACTGGTATAATGAGGTTTCTAAATCTAAAATGCATAGAATCTCAGGCTCTGCTGCTGTGGAAACTCCTCCAGGTACAGACACAATTGTACAGACAGTGCAGCGCAGCTAATATCCTCATCTCAAAGAGATCCGTTTAGTTGAACGCATTATCTACCAAAGAAATCAGGCCCTTGCGTTCATTTGATAAAGGAAGTCCCACTGGATTGCATATTTCCATCTTTTTCTTCTAAACTCTATGACTCCAGAACCGGGCTCAGGGCCTGGAAATCATAAGGGCTTAACATAGTTATTTTGATGAATTTTTTAAGAAGTGATTTTCCTCATTCTGTACTTTCTTCCAAAGAGTGAAAAAGAAATCGATTTTGCTGAGTTTTTGGAATAAATCAAATATGTTAGATATGGTTTTTCTACCTTATAGAGGAGTAACAGTACCATGGTTTCTGAAAACTTGAAACAGCACAGAAGTGGCTGCTCTCAGCCTAGACAGGAGTTCTCCTGAATATTATCTGTGAGTAATGACCTTCAAGTTCATATGAATAGCACTTTTCAAATGGGCCCTAAAACATTCTTCTTTAACTTTAAAAAGACTTGGAAGTAATATTTCTCTGAATTACTGCACTGCACAATGAATGTCTTTCTTTGCCAGTGAAGGGTGTCTCTGGACTAAATAATTTTGTTTTGCACCAAAAATAAATGTATTCTACTAAGGAATTATATTGGAGTACATGTAAATGCCTAGCTTAAAAAGAAATGGCTCACATTAAGGTAAAAGCTCATAGTTTAAAAATTAGACTTCCACCTTCTTGTAAGGAGTAATGCCGCATCCTTTCCAACTGTCCTTTGATGAAGAAGATTAGCAGATGAATGGATACAACTCTTCCAGCTGAAAGAATCCTTAGAGGTCATTAAAGGGAACTCCCTACCTAATATGAGTATTGACATTACAATAGATAACAAAGAATGGGCTTGGGAGGAATCAGACATGGATTCTTTGAAACCAGAGCCATCCCTTCTTGCCTTTCTCTGTGCTCGGCTCAAGATTACCATCAGTAATTTCCTCTTTCCTTTCTTCCATCAAGACAAACCTGATCTGTCCTGTGCTACACTTTCTCAGTTCTTATCAGGTGACAGAGTGCTTCATGCTAAGTTGCTAATAGTTTTTCGGTTTTTTTTTTTTTTTAGATGGAGTTTCACTCGTCTCCCAGGCTGGAGTGCAACAGCACAACCTTGATTCACCGCAACCTCCGCCTCCTGGGTTCAAATGATTATCCTGCCTCAGCCTCCCGAGTAGCTGGGATTACAGGTGCACACTACCATGACCAGCTAATTTTTATATTTTTTAGTACAGCCAGGGTTTCGCCATGTTGGCCAGGCTGGTTTTGAACTCCTGACCTCAGGTGATTCACCTGCTTCAGCCTCCCAGAATGCTGGGATTACAGGCGTGAGCCACTGTGCCCAGCCAGTTGTTAATAGTTAATAATACCTTGATCTCATACCACTTTCCTGCAGAATGTTCAAGTGAAACATTAACTTTATTTCTAATTTAAAATAGAGATCTTTGGGGCTTATGTAGGCTATTATATAGGGCTGAATCAGATAATTTGGTTTGATGCTCTTTTTAATGCTCCCAAAGTCAGAATGCCTGTACTCTACCTGTGAGGCTAGTCCTGACGTGGCCTCCAGATGGACTACTCCAGAAAGGTTTTCCTTCATATCATTTGCCAGTTATCTGAATCCCTCTGTCTTGGGATGAAGATTGAGCACACACTCAATGCATTAAACACAAATGACCTAAGTGAGCATTTAAAAGCTGATCTTGGCAACTTTGGTAATGCTGGGAGTAATGTCAATTATTTTTAAATTATAAAATTATAAAATTACTCTGAATGTACCACACTGACTTGCTTTTCACTACAACATTCTAGAAAGCAGCGTGGATCAAGGCTTTTTCTTTTGCAGAATCTATCAAATTTCAGGAGGGAGAGACATGAAGGACCCGAGCACAGACTGGGGTAGACGGTGTCTCTGATGGGTCCTGGTGATTCCTGCCTCCTGGTAGGCAAGCCCTCCCCTGAGTTTCAGCTGGACTTAGTGACTCACTTCTAACATACAGAACACAGCAGATGTCACTTCTGAGATTAAGTTACAAAAAGGCAGTGTCTTTTGCCTTGAGCACTCTCTCTTGCTCTCTGCTCAGTCTGAGGGAAACCAGCTGCTATGCTGTGAGCTTCCTAATGGAGAGACCCACAGAGTCAAGAACTGAGGTGGCCTCAGCTAATAACCAGCAAGGAGCTGAGCCCTCTGTCCAATAACCTGAAAGGGGCTGAATCCTGCCAACTCTACAAGAGTTAAGTTTGAGTGGCTCCTTGCTCAATTAAACCTTTAGACAAGATTACAGTCTGAGCTGACAGCTGGATGGTGACCTTGTGAGAGATTCAGAGCTGAAGATGCATCCAAGCCATATCCAGTTTCCTGGCCCACAGAAACTGTGAACTAATGGTGGTTTTAAGCCTGTATGTTTGGGGATGATTTGTTGTGCAACAATTGATACCTAATACACAAGGTAAAACATATAGAACTATTCTGATTTAATCTTTTCTTCTGGAACTAACAGCAAGAGGAAACCAGTTCTGGTTAATAAAAAAGTTAAGAACTGATGTGGCCAGTTAGCAATTTTTTTGTATTTCTTTAAAATATTGCATGTCTTAAGTATTGTATGTGCTTATCTCAATATAAGGCAAAATACGTTTACAATTGTGTTTTAGAATTCAGGCTTCACAGCCAACACCCAGGCACCATGGTCAATGATTGCTTTGGACTCTAAATGAAAAACGATTGAATGTTAAGCTTGCAAATGCAGCATTATAAGATATCAATTGTGGCAGGCATCAGAATTCTCCTGTCTCTAACTTAAAATTGGGGGCTCAGCATAGCTCCTCCCCCATTTTTTATACTTTTAATCAGATACAGTCATCAATACTTTTCTAAACAATTATTTGAATTTGCTCTGCTTAGCAATACCTATTACTAGACCCTCATCACTTGAACTCAAGTAAAAAAAAAAAAAAAAGGGAGAGAAAGATATCTTATGAGCACCTGTCAAGTACGAGGTCCTACACCTGATATTTATAGAGGCAAAGATGGAGTGGTCTAGTGTCTATGCTCAGATAAGTGGCTGCAAATTAGGGATAAGTAAACACTACACAATGCATCTAATATGAGGCAGAAGATGTCCAATGCCACAGAGACATACCAAAAAAGTGACATGAGGTTTCAAACCAGAGAGACTTCAGAGCTAATCGAGAAGATCAGAGAGGATATGTGAAGGGTCTCATGCCCAGCAGCTTGGTGCCTTGTCAGCTCCACGCAGGGATGGATTACTCTGCAGTCACATGAGAAAGTGGCCCAGCTTCTCAGGGAGCATCTCTTCTGAGGCCATGTCTTCTTTTCTGTTGACACCCATCACAGTGAGTTGGTCTCAGGTCCATCTTTGACCTGCCTGCCCGAACTCCTCATTGGATATGAGGTTCTGTTTCCCCAGTACTCTGGGACCTGGTCCCATTTCATTCCCCACATACAGTGTTGTGCTTGGTCATGGAGGGAACAGGTAGGCCACACTTCCCAAGCCAGCCCCATCTGGTTTCCCAGTCCTGAGTTCTCTGCTTACTTTGGAAGGCAGCTCAGACAGAGTTGACATTTGTGATGAGGAATGGGGTAGATGGCAGTGTAGAGGGAGATGCTCAACCACCTTGGAGTGAAAAACACCAGGCACACAGCTTAAAGCTGGAGGTATGTAAATACTGTACCCTCTTCTTTGTGTTCAATCTAGGAAGCTTCCAGGATCAAATATCATGGTTTACAGAACTGTCCTTGCAATTGAAGGTTTTATGTGATGGATAGTGTTTGTTTCTAGGAGAAGGTCTAAAGGAATTTGCCTCTATGGCTGGTTTTATCCTCTGTAATTTAGGGGACACAAAAGGGGTACTTAAAAATGCATGCTTTCAGTAGATTTTATTTAAAATAATCTACATAACTTTGGTATGCTGGGAGGCAAACAGGGGGTCTAACTGCACTTTATAAAGTATGGGATGGCAAAAGATGAAAAAAATACCAGCAGTTTTCCTCTTGGACTCTAATTGAATTCACTCTTTTGCAATATAGGTCATTATAGTAACAGCAGGGGCTGTGGAATTATGAGAGTGGAGAAGATATTATAATTTTGAGATCCTTAAATTCATGGTGAATAGAGTTTTCTTTCAGTCATATTTGGTGAGGAATATATTTGACACCCAAGAGAAATTTGGAATATCATTAAGTCAATACATTCTGTGAAGACCAAAATTCTTTTCTCTATTATCATGGAGTCTTAGGACAAAAAAAATTGTGAGAAGTCAGAGGATGGAATAGATTTTGGGAGCAGTGTGAATAACGGTGCTATATTGGGAAAGAGTAGATTAGGGTGAGGATTGGAATTTAAAGATCTATTGAAGGGAAAAAAAGACATCACAGGGTTATCAGTTTAATAGAACTGATCCAAATATCAGAAAAAAAAATGATCAGACATGGTGCCCAGTATAGAATGAGTGAAAAGAGGATGATGAAGATAAGTTATTAGGAGGCTACTGTAATAGCTCAGGCCAAAAGAATGAACATGTATTACTGTGCCTGCCTTAGTCCAAAGATGAGCAATGATCTCTAAGACCATTTAGTGTGCTAAATTGAGAAGCCAGTAGGAGACAATTTTGAACCATTACTAAGTTATTTGAGCTTTCGATGAGAAAAGCATGCAATTCCCTTACTCAGGTTATGTTGGGATTTGAAATGTAGACTGAAGTATTTCTAGCTTCCCCATAATCAATTTCAATTTTGCCAAGCTTTGAGGCGATGGGAATTCAATGAGGGTCATTAATCCTACTGAGAATAAAGCAGACACAGTCCACAGAGTTTCAGGCTCTGATTGTGTGTAGACTCAGCCATTGTATATAGGCCATGGTCCAGCCAGCTGCACAGGAGCTCCGTGGAGGCCCACAGGCAAAGTGAGAAAGTAGGTATCAAAAAAATTGGGATCATGTCTTTGTTCCAGCCACTGGGTCCTCAGCCCCGTGGGGCATGGTTGTCCTTCTCCTCTGACCAAAGCACATGTGCACTGCCAGCCTCTGGTTCAGGGACCTTCTGCCCTGGTGAGCTCTCACTCTCTGGGCTACTGAGAAGCTGTCTGCAACCATCATGTACCTGTTTTTAGTTGTGACTGCTTTGCTGGATGAAATGTTCGGGCATTGATATAACCTCAGCGAACAGTAAGGCATAATTTGTTCATACCATGTCCTCCTTATTAGAACCATCAGAGAACTGTGAGATCTCAGAGTTAGATATCTATGCTTCTTTGGGTCTTAAAAACCCTTTGAATTATATGAACAGTGATATTTCCTACTTACACTAACTGCTAGGAAGTTCTGGATCTGTGTGTTCTCAGTTCTAACAAAGTGTCCAGAACCTGAGTGGATACTTTATTTTTTTCTGTACTCATTTGCCTTTTTCTGGCTTTATTTTCCTGTCCTTTTTTTTTTGCCCTTTTCCCATTTCTCTGCTTTAATTTTTTTTCTGAATTTCAAGTCCTCGTTGAAAATAAAACTGGTGATACAAAATTATGTTTACAGAAAAAAGCAGCCCTTCAGCTTATTATACTTTTATTTTGATGAGCACCAAAATATCTTTTTCTTCAAATCAACACATGAGGCTTTTTTACTTAACAAGTTATTTCCTAATTTGAGACATCCTTTCTCACATATGATCATCTTTTGCAAGTTAAGTCACCTACACTTATTTATCAGCTTTGAGAAATCTCCTCCAACCACAGTATTTCCACGATGAAATGCACATTTTCATGAAACACACATCTTTTATAAATGTGCTGTGATCTGCAGCCATAAAATGGCCATCCACAGTTATTGCTTTGCTACTGAGCCCGTCTGCACCAGCACCTCCCCTGACCATCTGTTGCCCAAACCCATGCATCCTGCGAAGGCATTTGTTCACATTGCTTCCTGTCAGCCTCCAGCCTTCTCTCCTTCTGTCTAGTCACAACCTTGTCATGAGTTCTAGTGCCAGGACAACTGTAGAACTATGATCTGATTCCAGGGCCCAAAACGTCATGGTAAGCTTGAGACCCCTGATTGCCACTCTTATGGAAGCCCCATTGGCCACGCTGGCATCTTGTATTTGTGGACCACAGGGTATAGAGATTAAACCATCTCATTAGCACCCTCTTGTGAATAGAAAAGAGAACCCCAGAGACTGGAGGGAGAATCCAGCCCAGACTGAGGGATGGGCAATCCTCAACCAGCCTCCCCGCAGCTGGGATTCGAAATGTAGACTGAAGTATTTCTAGCTTCCCCATCATCAATTTCAATTTTGCCAAGCTTCGAGGCAAAAATGGACACTTTTGTCTGTCCAGACACAGACACTTCTCCATAAGCATCTTTGGCAAAAGGAACTTCAGGATCAATTTTCTTCACATATGCATGGAATTGGTTTGAAAAGAGCCACACCTGTTTACCCGCAATGCAGCTAAAAAAGAGCCACATGCAAAGAAAGAGTGGGATATAGTGAAAATACCATGGGATCTGGTATCAGTGACCCTGGAGCCTACCACGGCAGAGTCTGAGCTGGGGGTGTTGGTTTCACCATTTGAAAATATGGCTAATAAGGTGTTCCTTATTTTTTAAAAATGCAAGGGATAATGTATATAAAAGAATGATGAAATGTTTGGTTTCATATTTTATGGTGCTTATTTACATACTTATTATTCCAAACAAGAGGTTATGCTTTAAAATCTGGAGAGGTATTTCCGACCTGGTTTCTCCAAACTTATTACTTTTATGGAGAGGAGAAAATAGGAACCTATCTTATCTATTAAGATCGTAAATTAAATCAGTACTTGATACCCTCAGTAGCAGATTTAATTGCCCATATAAAAAGAGAAGGTAAGTTTTGACAATAAATGTAAATGTAAACAAGGTCATCCTGAAACATCACAGCATTCTGGCACAGTTATTACCTATATTGATTATTTTGTTTCTGTGATAGTTAATTTTATGTGTCAGATTGGCTAGGCCAACCTACTCAGCTATTTGGTCAAATACCAGTCTCGAAATTGCTATGAAGGTATTTTTTAGATGAGCTAAACCTCTAAGTCAGTAGACTTTCAGTAGGGCAGATTGCTTTCCATGTGTGTGGGGGCCTCATCTAGTCAGTAAAGGCCTTCAGAGAAAACAGACTGGAATTCCCTGGGAAAGAGGGAATTCTGCCTCCAGACCGTCTTCAGAGTCTAGATGCAACTCTTTCCGGGGTGCCCAGGCTTCTGGCCTGCCCTGCAGATTTTGGACTTGCCAGACTTTATGATTAAAGGAACAAATTATTATATAAATTATGAATATAATTCTTTATATGAATCTCTCTTTATCTCTGTCTCCTGCTCTTCTCTCTCTCTATAAATAATATATATATGCAGTTATCCATATACATATATATACACATATATACATTCTGTGAACATATATAAACACACACACACATGCACACATCTTATTGGGTCTGTTTCTCTGTAGAACCCTGACTAATACAGTTTCCCTCCTTTTCCCCAAGAACAGGAGAAACTGAACTGTGAGTGGAACAAGCCACAGGGAGACAAGAAATCAAGAAATGCTGTCCCCTCACCTCTCTGCTCAGCGTCTTCCCAATGGTAGTAAAAATGTTTCCCTGCTCTGCAGATGAGCTGCTCAAGCTCCCTGGTGGGTGCAGGGGAGCTCCACTGCCTGTGTGTGACTGTCTCTCTCTCCTCTGTCTTTCTTTCCCTTCCCCACCCAATTCCTGAGTGGGAGGCTGGCTCATCTTGGGGCGGGTGGACCAGGGAGATGCCCTGTGGCAATGGCCTGTGAAAAGGCAGGGGTCACACGCACATGGTGCTCTGAGCTCTGGGAGGAAAAGCACTTCCAGCAGGGGAGAGCAAGTCCAGGCCCCACTCCAGAGCTGGCCATGTCCTCTGGCTATGTTTCATAGCCCTAAGTAGTGTTCAGATTTCATTTAGATGAAAACAAACTTTTGACCTAATTGATATTTATTTAGATATTCATTTCATTTATCCACTTGATCCTTTGGATTTGGAGCCTAGCAGAGTGTCCTTTCTCTCCAAATCACCATCATCACTAACTGAGGCAGAAGCAACATGCCAGCCAAGTTGGTGGCCTCCCCACAACAATGGCTTCCTGGTGCTGCAGGTGGAAGGGAGCTGGAAGTACCAGCATTCATTCCAAATTCACACACTATCGAAAGCCCACTGGAAAATGACTTGCTCATAAATTACCCTGAATTTGTGTTTTAGATAAGATGTGAGTAAATTATAGCTATTATCTATTTTCACTGTTTCTAGTGTAAGTGAATGATAAATCCTCCTCCTCCCTTTCCTCTTCCTTCTTCTTCTTTTCTTCCCCCCCTTTCTTTTTTCTGTTTTTGGAGACAGAGTCTCACTCTGTTGCCCAGGCTGGAGTGCAGTGGCACCATCTCAGCTCACTGCAACCTCTGCCTCCTGGGTTCAAGTGATGCTGTGCCTCAGCCTCCAGAGTAGCTGGGATTACAGGCGTGTGCCACCACGTCCAGCTAATTTTTGCATTTTTAGTAGAGACAAGGTTTCACCATGTTGGCCAGGCTGGTCTCAAACTCCTGACCTCAAGAGATCCATCCACCTTGGCCTCCCAAAATGCTGAGATTACAGGCGTGAGCCACCATTCCCGGCCTCTTCCAATATTATAAAACATGGTATCACTCATTTAAGCTTCTAGAGCTAGTTGTCTACACACCTTCATTCATTTACTCAGCAAATAATAATTGAGGGTCTGCCACTTTATCAGATACTATTAGACCCCATAGTTTTCATCACAGGCCAAAAAACCAAGTTTCCTTGATTTCCAACATTCTAACTGATCATGGCAGTGGCGGATACAGAAGAACCAAAAACCCCAAAATGTACCACATGAGATCATAAGTACTCTAAAAAAAAGAGGAGAAGAGAGAACAGGTAAAATAAGGTCATGTGGGAGGTGGGTGTGAAATGGTGATGAGTGTGGGCCTCCCTGAGAAAGTGACATTTAAGTCAAGACTTGCAGGAGGTAAGGGCTGTGCCCTGAGGATCCCTGGTGAAGAGCAGTCAAGGAAGAAGGAGCAGCACTCACAAAGGTCCTGAGGCTGGAGAGGAGGTGCTATAATCCACACAACTGTAAGAAGCAGGTGTGGGCCTACGCAGAGGATGGAGGGAGCTAACAGAAAGTGAAGATGAGACTGTAGCTTCAGTCTGAGGGAACATAACGAGCCACTGCTTTGATCACTGGAAAGATCTTTGCCACGACTTCAATACTCTACTCTAGGAACCAAGTTTTGAGCCTACTTTGGCATTTGTAGGAAGAATGTGTATCTTTTCCTTTATTGCAACTAAGGCAGAGAATTCTCTAACTCTAGGAGAAGAGCTCATGTCCCCTGGCATTTTCCTGACCCCAAGCTGAGATGCTTGGCATGAGTTAAGAATGGAAAGAGCTGTTTCACTAAATTTGTACCAAACATTGGGTGTTGTTTTGGATCCGTGGAACAGTGGGTGACACCAGCAGGAAAAGAAGAATGTTTTTCCCACTGGAGGTTGGGACCCCAGATGAAGCAGCAGCTTTAATCGGCTTTGAATCAGCTTTGAGTAACCAGTGAGCAAATCCATGTGTCTCTGACCAGGGAGCTGTTCATGCTGCCTGGACCTCCTATATGTCTGAGTGAAAGAAGACAAAACAAAAGAAAACAAAACAAAGAAACAGAGAGAGAAGAGGAAGATAAAGTGTGAGTTCTAATGAGCTTTATTTTTCTAGGAACATGTCTTTTTCATATACATTTTCAAATGCAAGATACAAAATTGTATATAACATCGTCTTACCATTATGTAATGTTTTAGAAGACTATACTGAATTC